>NC_000023.11:6512488-7137488 GCF_000001405.40 Homo sapiens | reverse complement strand
TGCAAGCTCCGCCTCCCAGGTTCACGCCTTTCTCCTGCCTCAGCCTCCCGAGAAGCTGGGACTGCAGGTGCCCGCCACCACACCCAGCTAATTTTTTGTATTTTTTTTTTAGTAGAGACAGGGTTTCACCATGTTAGCCAGGATGGTCTCGATCTCCTGACCTCATGATCCATCTGCCTCGGCCTCCCAAAGTGCTGGGATTACAGGTGAACCACCACACCCGGCCTTAGTTTTATTTTTTTTTTTTGAGATGGAGTCTCGCTCTTGTCACCCAGGCTGGAGTGCAATGGCGCGATCTTGGCTCACTGCAATCTCCACCTCCCGGGTTCAAGCAATTCTCCTGCCCTAGCCTCCCTAGTAGCTGGGATTACAGGTGCCTGCCACCACACCCAGCTAATTTTTTGTATTTTTAGTAGAGATGGGGTTTCACCATGTTGGTCAGGCAGGTCTCGAACTCCTGACCTCAGCACAGAGTTATTAAAATCAAATGCAGTTGCCTACGCTTTGTCTGCTTTTGAAAAGTAAACTTAATGTTTCAGACTGAGGTGTATTTGTCATTGGGGTCCTATGTTCTGCACAGTTTGTAAATCTACTTCACCCAAAGTGATACAGTGATACTCAGGAGGGCTTAAAAAAGATTAAATCCTTCATTTGGAAACATCATGCCCAGTGAAAGGAACACAGGCCCTAAGGAGATGTGGCTGATTCTAGGGACCGGGACCAGTAAAATACAACATGAGCACAGAGCACTTTCTCATGCCAGGATGCAGTGGGCGGGGTTGGGGGGGGGGGTCCCACTGGCACAATATGAACCATTTGTAATCAAAAGAATAATGACCAGAAGAGAGTATAATACTCTGTCTATATATTTTTTAAGTCTCTGTGTTATGATTCTCAAAAGAGTAAAAGGGTGGCTGGGGGTGAGCTCTTTTACAGAAGAATGCCAGTTAATAAATATGGACAGAATGGGAGAATTAGCCAGGTCACCATTTTGGGATCCCGACTGTAAGTGGTTCCCACAAGCATTGTCAGTGGAAGCCAAAATCATAGAGTAATCATGCAGGAGACGAAGGTGCCCGCAGTGCCATGTCAGAAGTCACTGACTGATAACAGAGGCAAACGGGCCTTCAGAGCGGGCAGCTCTGGGGGCCACAATTGACCCTGTGGCCCAACTGATGTAGCTTTGCCATCCAGAAAGCAGCATGTCACGTCACGTGTGCTTTCTGAAGTGACCTCAGAAATGGTTAACCTGAATCCATCTGGACCTCTAGCAGTTTCAGAGGGGTAGAGGAACACGGGAGGGGGTGTCATGTGGAAACAGCAAGACAAATCCTGAATGTAGGATGTTCCACCAGGTACCTGGACTGGGTCCTTGAAAATGTTGACTATCATGGGGAAAAAATAGGGGCTGGCTTTTCCACTTTTAAAGAGGCTAAAGGGACATAGTCAAATTCAGTGGACCTTAGATTGGGGAAAAAAATCTATAAAAGACATTTTTGTGACAATTGGAGAGGTGTGATGTGTGCTATTTAGGGGGTACTATGAAATATTGCTGATTTGCCTGGGTTTGGCAGTGGTATTATGGCTGTGTAGGAGAGTGTTATTCTGAGGAGAAACGTGCAGAGAGCTAGAGGAATGAAGAGTTAGGGCATCTGCATGTTTTCAGGTGTGTTGCGTGCAGGTATAGGGTATGTAGATGTTTCCTATCCTACTATTGACTCTTCTGTATACTTGAAAAGTTAAAATAGGAAAGGGAAGATTAAGTCTTAAGCATGAACCACTAAAAACAACCCCAAAAGCAGTATTAAGTAGTAGTCAGTTAATTCTGTTTAAGAGACAAGAATGTAAAGCATGCATCTTTAGAAAATTGATGTTGGAGATATGGAAGAAATAGTTTCAGAACCTTCAGCTCTCTCGAACATTACAGTGGCAATGCATTCATTGCAATGTGTATTATAGCAGAAAACATTCTGAAGGAAGAGTCCCATTTCCTAGTGCTCATTTTTCAGTTCCTCGTCTCTCTCATAGTGCAGGAGATTTGTAGACAAATGTCTACAGGATTTAGACAGATGTCAGGAAAATTGTCTTTTGTTGATGTCTTAATTGGAATCCGATAGTTTGTCAGGGCATGATGCTTATAAAAGGAATAAAAGCTTTCTAAAATTCTTCAAAGAGTAGCCACTGGTACCTGTGTGTCACATCATATGCTGATGAGACATGACAGAAAATGCTCCTAAGTAGCCTTATAGCTGATCCTGAGGAGCTACTGTGACTGGGCTCTCACTGCACCTCTCAGCTGACTTCTGCCTACTGGGTCTGTGTCATCCCTTTTTACTCTGAGGCTACCAAGGTCTTAGGAAACTGGAGGTTGGAGCTTGAACTGAGTGATGGGAGGAAAAGACTTCCTGAAGTGCTGCCCACATCTCATGTATGTTCTCTTGGACCCAGTTGTATCCCTGCCATTCCCTGGAGGTTACCTGTTCATACGCAGACTTCTCTTTCCCTTATTTACCTCAATTGCAGTAGCTTGGCAACCTTTTAACTCTTGCTTTTTAAAAGGAAAATTATTTGGTTATCGTAGAAACATTTTGTGCAGCAAAGTGTTACACATATTTCTGTTCTGGCCTCAAATAATCATGGATTTCATTAAATACTAAACATTTTGCTGATTTTAATACAGTGCTTTAGTGTATTCTTATTTTCTTTTTGCATCTCTTATTTGCCTCGTTTATCTTAACATAAAGCATTTCCTTTGGTTAAGTAGATCCTTATATCTGCTTTTTCTTTTTGTATGACTCCTATTTAGGTTGGTGCTAAAGTAATGACGGTTTTTGCCATTACAATACCTGTAGACATAAAGGTCTAGCTTACTTTTTGCCATTTGCTACCCTGTGTTTAGTACTGGCATTTTGCTGACTGCTCATCAGCTTTTGATACGGTGTGCTTACGTGACAAGCTCTTTAAAGTGAAATCATAATCAGATTTGAGATTTAGAATTGAGGCGACTTGTCCTGTCTACAGTGAAACTGAGGCAGGACAACCTGGGGAGCTATGAATAGTAGGAAAATCCCAGTGAAAATCCAGCACTTCTAACTTCTACTCCTGGGCGCTTCATCACTTAGAGTTACCAGCAGTCTTGGTACCATTTGTTCATAGTTTTGCCAGCCCTCACAGGTACAGGTACAATTGTAGATACTGAAACTCTCACCAGCTGACATCTAATTTACCAGCTGATTTAATTTTATCTCATTGATGATTGAGAGGCTCTACTGATAGCCCAAAACCACTTTAGCTTAGGTGAAACATGAGCTGCGTTGGTAACTGAAGCCTGGCCCATCTCATTGACAACTTACTTACTGTACTGATTTAGTAAAATTACCCATCCTCTGTGTCCCCGAGTATGGTTTGCAGCATATCACAGGCAATGTGTGACATCTTCCAGGATATTGCATGCCTACCAAAATATAATCAGATTAAAGAACATGTTCAGTTCATATCTGACCTACGGCCCCATTGCACTGTTTAACATGATTTTGCAACAGAGATGTAACCATCTGCACATGTTATGCATCCCCTTATACCATTAGGGTTTATGCTGAGATCAAGTAAAATCATATCCTCTCATAGGGAGGGGACGGGACTTCTGTGAAGTAGCCTGAAGAAATTAACATCTTTATATGATCACATCTATAATACAGAATAATAAATGCCATGTACCTGTTGCTGTGTTTATTGCTTCTGCTGGCTGGGACTAGTGAGTGTCCCGATTTTAAGGACGTGTTTTGAAACTGGCTTGTCTGTCTTTCTGCCTCTCTTCTCAGCCAAGTGTCTTGCTAAAGTGGGCTGTGTTTGCCGAACTCACTCCCCCATTTTCCTTCCCTCGCTATGAGCTGGCTTTTTGGCCCTACCACTCACAGAAATTGTTCTGACAGAGGTAGCAGTGATGTCCGTGCTGCTAGGTGCAGAGGGCACCCTTTTCTTAAATTGCCAGAACTTCCGGCTTCCTTTGCCGCTTCTGCACCCTCCTTGGAAATCTTTCTCTTTGGCTTCACGGATAGTTCCTCTTCTGGCTTCCCCATAGCTTTCTTTTCCTCCTGGTGCCTGTTTGGCGTCCCTATGGCTTTGTTATGGGCCCTGTCCTCTTGTGGAAACCTCTTCTGAGCTCATGGCTTCGGCACATGCTTCTGCTCTGATGACCCCTTGACCTCCCTGGCTGGGCCTCACCTCTTTTGAGTTCCTGTCTACGTTTCCCAGTGACCACAGGCTCTTCCTACCCGCGTGGCCAAGAGGCAGCTCTGAAGCATTGTATTTTAAACGGGGCCTCTAGTTCTCTGCCAGATCTGCTCTTTTCCTGCATTCCACACCAGGCAGCAAACCCCGAAAGCCCCACAGCAGATGGCTGGGAGTTATCTTCCAGTCTTCAATTCCTTGCCATCCCCACCCACACCTTCCAGGCACCTCCTGATTTATAAATATTTCAAAGCCACTTCTGTGTCATTCCAGCTGCCATTTCCTGCTTCAGGCTTTCAGGCTTTTTTCTGATCTAATAGCAATATTTACTGAGAACCTTTACCACATGCAGTTCTGTTGGTTACCTGCAGTGAGATCAGTGGTGGCTGTGGGGTTTTGATGCTCATGAGGGTGAAATCGCAGAGTTCTGGGGCCCAGGTGTATTTGCATGAGGTGGCTTTGGTGAGAGCATAGCCTTCACCAGGATGTTTTTGGAGGTTTTTCTCCTAGTGTATTTTCCTAGATTCCTTTGTCAAAGGAATTTGGTCATAAACTGGCCCTTAAGTACTTTCTAAGAGAAGCCTTGTTCATGTGGATCACAATGACCTTAGACTTTGTGTGCGTTGTCAGTGCTGCCCTCTCCTGGGCATTGCTTCTGCATTCTTAATGCAAATATGTGAGTTATTCCTGGGTGTGGCTCCATGACTTGTTCCTTTCTGGAAGCTCTAGCCTTATCTCAGCCCTCATCTTGTTAAACCAGTTGTGCTGACCTTGCTTCTCTGACAGCAACCTGATAAAAGCCTGTAAAGTTGCCCACTTCAAGTCATTGAGCAATACAGGTAGCCAAGCAGTAGAGGTGGTTACAATAAATGGCTTAACATTCCCAGCATTTAGGTGGCTCCATTCAGATGGCGGAAGGCAGGTGGCACTTTCTGTTGTGGAGAATTTGAGGAGAGAGCTTTAAGTTCAAAAGGAATTTAAGAAAAGCCTAAGTTGGATCTATGAGGGCTCTGGAGGAGAGATTGAGATGTTCAGGGTGTTCCTTCGATTCATGAACCCGACTGACTTTTCACAGCAGGACCACCAGTTGCCAGATACTGAGACAACTGAGTCAAATGAATACAACAGCATCCCTGTTCTTCAGGGGACTGCAGGCAGGGGTGCTGTAATTTGTACGGGGGCGGGGGTGGACATGATCTGTTCTTCTATATTATCATCATTCATCTGCTAGAGACAACTCGATTTTCTTGGGAGCCAGGAAAAGGAAGTTGGCCAGTCGGATGTGCCTCACAGCAGAGCAAACGCATCCCAAATGAGCCACCGGAAGGGTTGGGGAGTCACTGAGGTGGAGGAGGAAGGGCTGAGGGTATTTCAGGCCAAGAGGACTCGGTGAGAGGCGGAGCACAGGTAAAAAGGCCTGCCAAGGGCAGATGGCGGCGAGCCCTGTGCCAGGCTAAGGAATTCACATTTTATCTCGTAGCCATCATACAGCCTGGCGAGCACACGATGTCTAGAAGGGTGGTGCTTCTGATGATGTGGACTGTTGGCGCTTAGACACTGGAGACTGGTAGAAGGCTGTTGCCATTGTCCAGATGAACGATAGAAGGACTGCATGAGTTTTCCACAAACTGGGGGGCCTAAAACAACAGGAGATTACTTTATCTCAGCTCTGGAGACAAGAAGTTGGAAGTCAGGATATCAGCAGGGCTGCGTTTTTCCTTGGCTTGTAGCTGCATCGCTCCGGTCTCAGCTTCTCTCCACGTGGCCTTCTCTTCTCTCCTTTTGTCTCTTATAAATAAGGACCCCTGCCATTGGATGTAGGGCCCACCGGGATAATACAGAGTGCCACATCTCCAGATCCTTCACTTAATCACATCTGCAAAGGTCTTTTTTCCAAATAAGGTCCGATTCTCGGGCCCTAGGGATTAGGACGTGGACATATATTTTTGGGAGCCACCCTTCAACTGACTACAAGGACCCACAGGGTTGGAATGAAAGGAAGAAAAGTGGCTGATTCAGAGGCCGTTCAGCTGACAGCTGGGCATAGAGGGATGGGAGGGAGAAGGCAGGTGAATAGCAGTGACTTGTCCTGAAGTCGAAATTAGAGGAAGCTGTGAGGCCTGAAAATAGGGATGAGTTCCATTTTAGGCATTTGGACATGTTGAGTTTCAGGAAACTGAAAGACTGGGCACCTCTTAGGTTGACAGCATTGATGGAAACAACCATGATTTCCCATTTAAGACAAACAAAACTCTTGGTGCCGTTAACCCATGAAGAAAACTGACATAGGTGGCCATCGACCTACACTCGTCTTTGAACAGCTACAGTACCTAGAAGCCATTTTAGTTTTTACTTTTATTATTATTATTTTTTGAGACAGAGTCTCATTCTGTTGTCCAGGCTAGAATGCAATGGCACAATCTCAGCTCATTGCAACCTCTGCCTCCCAGGCTCAAGTGATCCTCCTGCCTCAGCCTCCCAAGTAGCTGGGACTACTGGTGTGCACCACTGCACCCGGCTAATTGCTGTATTTTTAGTAGAGACGGGGTTTTGCCATGTTGCCCAGGCTGGTCTCGAGCCGTGCACCCGGCTAATTTTTGTATTTTTAGTAGAGATGGGGTTTTGCCATGTTGCCCAAGCTGGTCTCAAACTCCTGGACTCAAGTGATCCACCTGCCTCGGCCTCCTAAAGTGCTGGGATTACAGGTATGAGCCACTGTGCCTGGCCCCTGGAAGCCATTTTAAACTTATTTCTAAGTCCCCTTCCTCAGAGAGAATACATGCACACACACAGTTGGATAATTAGCCTAGGAAGGGTCTGGAAATTTAGCCA
The DNA here is from genome assembly GCF_000001405.40 of Homo sapiens. Taxonomy (NCBI): domain Eukaryota; kingdom Metazoa; phylum Chordata; class Mammalia; order Primates; family Hominidae; genus Homo; species Homo sapiens. The sequence goes on along the minus strand of NC_000023.11, from coordinate 7,130,426 downwards.
TATGCCCACCATGTTTTGTCCTCCTCCTCCTTTTGTGTGTGTGTGTGTGTGTGTGTAGTATGTGCATCTCTGATACAAAGGGAGCAGCTCTGGATCCCTAGTCATTCTCCAATCAGCCTCCGAATTCCCCCTAACCCTGCATCAAAACCTGAATCCCCCCAACCCTGTGTGAAAGCCTGCCACTTCAGGCTTAATCTTTGTTGACACGTAAGGGTGCCGAACTCACAACTTTGAAGTCCTTTTATTCTACTCCCTTCTCCTTTTCTCATCCCAGCTGGGTTGTAAATGTCAGGGAGAAGTAGAGGGCCCAGTCCTCCTTCCTGGGGTAGGGAGATTATTTAACCATGGGATGCACCATGATTTCCAAACACAGTTGATTTTCCAGAGAAGGGAGTGAAAAGAAAAGTGCTTTGGAATAACCTTTGGACTCCACGCACCATGCCGGGGATAAACATGGAAAATAACCATTTGTTGGGCGGTGCTCCGTGTCACATATTCTAGTATGTAGTTTTATACCCAGCCATTGCCCTTACCCTTTCGATTTTTGTTAGAGCGGGACGGTGCCCTGCATGCTGTGTGCTGTCTGAGTATGACATTTCTAGTAGTAAGGAAGGTTAGGATGGCTCTTTCCTTTGCCTTCATTAAAGTTCTCTTGCCCAGATGTGAGATCTTTAAAAGGTCAGTGTTTTTGAATAAGGAATGAAATCATATTCTAAGATAAAAGTTCAGAGAGTTATACAATAAAATAATAAATTAGTAAATGGCACTTCCCTGAGAGGCGATGGTCACTGGTCACTGTTGTTGCATCCCATTCCTCTTGCCTTCAGGGAATATCCCCTCAGGTATGAGAATGCTCAGGGCTCAAAGACAGAGAAGAGCTGTACGTCACACTGTTGGGGCTGGCAGCAAAATGCTGAGCAACCTTGGGCTCTACAACATGTCCTCCATGGAGGTCAGGCTCTAGGCCTGTTCTGTTGACTGCTGGAGTCTCAACATTCAGAACACGGGTCCAACATGGCATGTGTATTGACAGAGAAGCTTCAGGTAATTTTTATGTCCTTGAATGAATGGGCACATGTTACATGACAGAGCAGGGACTAGATGGAGCCAATATATTAGATCCCCTTCTCTCCACACCTCATTTTCTATATAGTGCAGCCAGTATGAGAATATAAAATGGAAAGGAAGAAGGCATATCATTTTGTATGTGCTCTATGATCTTTAAATGTTATTAAATGTTGGTAATGAAATGCTGTGGTATAACTAATTATATCCTAGCACCTCTTTCCCATATACTTGCATTCTCTAATTATGTTCAAAGCAATGGTTGCCCGAAGGCTAAGGGTACTCGGTCCTTTCCTCCCCCATGAGGACTATGTTTTAGCTTGTAATTTCACCTGCAGGAGCTCACAAACCAGCTGCATTTGAGTGCAATTATACTTTATTCATAGTGACTAATAACAGAAAAGAGACATCGTGGGGGTTTGGGCTGGAGATTTATAATCTCATATAAAAAATACGAATTCTTGCTTATTTATGGGTTGAGCACCTTGGGCCCCCGCTGTTTCATCTGATGGCTGCCTGATTTTTATCCGCAAAATCATTCATTAGTATCTACACTAGAATGTAAACACAGAATGTAAGATAAATTTGTTGTGCAGTACTTGGATAGTTAGAACACATTTCCCCAGATAGAAACATTAAAACTAGAGGTTATTCACTCCCATATTCACACAACCTTTATGCACCTGAGGAGGTTCCGAATGTCCCTGACCATCTCTTATTTCTTATGGGAAAGTGTTTGGGTACCAGCTTGGAATGCCAGGAGTGTAATTCTCCAGGGCAGCGACTGCCGCCCGTGCCATTGGGTCCCTAGCCCTTTTTCATGCTCTGCTTTCTGATGAGCTTACACACACAGGCATGGTGTACTGTGGGTGCTTAGTATTGCTGTAGGACTTCTTGTGTCCTGAGTTCACCACTACCCTTTAATTCTAAACATTTATAAACTATTGAAGTTAGATTCAAAACTTTCTTTTCCCTAAGCTTTTACTTTCTGCTTATTCTGCTTATAAATTAGTAAATGTTGGCCGGGCGTGGTGGCACACATCTGTAATCCCAGCACTTTGGGAGGCCGAGGCATGTGGATCACTTGAGCCCAGGAGTTCAAGACTAGCCTGGGCAACATGGCGAAACCCTGTCTCTACAAAAAATACAAAAATCAGCTGGGTGTGGTGGTGCACGCCTATAATCCCAGCTACTCGGGAGGCTGAGGCATGAGAATCGCTTGAACCTGGAAGGCAGAGGTTGCAGTGAGCCAAGATCATACCACTGCACTCCAGCCTGGGCAACAGAGTGAGACTCTGTTACCAAAAACAAAAAATCTAGTAAATGTTAACAGTCACTGTTCAGAGGCCATAACAGTGTTTGAGTCTCAACCTTTACAATTTTTTCATAAACTTCACCTTTATACTGTTAACTCACACTTACAAAACTCTAATATATTTTATTTCTTTGTTGAGTACTTCAGTTGTCTGAATTAAAGAATGAAACTCTTTTAGTCAATAATCATCTTAAACATAATAAGTTTATAAAAATGATGAACCTAAAATTCTTAATATTTCAACATCATTCTGATCATGCCTTAAATTGCAAATGTAAATAATTCAGGTATGCATTTAAATGGTTATTTATTAGCATTATTGTTCTCATAGGCCAAATTCAATTAAAAAGTACAAGTAATAAAATAATAAGTAACATGGAAAATGTATTCAGTGGTCTTGCTGCTTTTAAGCATCCCTCTAAATGATTTGGGAGTTGAGAGATGTCTGTTCATTAAGGAAAACAGTTCCCTCCCAGGTACTTTACATTCCCATGCAGGTGATTAGAGTTTTCATTTCTTAAAATAAGTAAATATCTTTCCACCTAACTCCAGTAATCTTTGAACTTGGGAGGAATTCTCCATTCTTTTATGCTTCTCAGGTCAGTACAAGTCGTAGGTACAGCTATTAAAAGGATATCTGATTGAATTCTGGATATCTTTCATGTAGTTTGACTGACAGTAACACCTCATAGGGCCACATTACTGACATAGTTAGAACATTGTGCTAGCCTTAGTTATGTGTCTGCCAAGCCCCTAGCTGTTCAAAGAAAAGGCGGTCTCTTACCAGCTGTCCTTCCCTGGTAATTGGAGCTGTGGAATAAAGGTCAGTTGCTCTTTGAGAATGTGAGTGAGCATTTCTGACTCCTCATCCTTCAGTGCCCCCATGTGTGGAAGGCTTGGTAAATTGAGCTGTGCCTGCAGTTACCAAGCTATGCCTCCTTTTGTCAATATAATTCCCACTTTGCTACTTTGGGTACCAGAGGTACACTCTGCATAGCAGGAACCATACCCTATGCTTTTTGGTTCTTTTGAGAAATCCTAGGTAGAATTAGATACATAAAATCTGAGATACTCGAACCAATTTATACATATGCAAATATGTATTCTTTAAAAAAGGATCTTGATCCTTATTTCTTAGTGATCTTCTTCATCCCTTCCCCATGTTAAGATAGCACCTTCCATTAACAAACTGCTCTTGCCTTTTATATAAAAAAATAAAAATTAAAAAAACCAAGTAGATGAAGATGAATAACCCAGTGTTACGGGCTGAGTCATGTCCCCCTCAAACTTACGTGGTGGAGGCCTAACCCCAGGACCTCAGAATGTGACTATATTTGGAGATAGGTCTTTAAAGGGCTAAACAATGTCCTAATCCAATGGGACTGGTGTCCTTATAAGAGGCGATTAGGACACAGACACACTACGGACAACCACGTGAGGACACAGGGAGAGGACAGCATCTACTAACCAAGGAGAGAGGTCTCAGAAGAGACCAACCCTGCTGACTGACTCTGATCTTAGACTTCCAGCCTCCAGAATTGCAAGAAAATTAATTTCTATGTAAGCCACCCATTTTGTGTTATTTTGTGATGGCGGCCCTAGCAAACTTACAGTCCCAAGAATCTAAGATTTTTGATTGTGTGAAGGATCAAGCCATCTGGACCAATGTTTTCCTGAATTTCTGGGCAGACCTTTCCAGGAAGGTGGGCAGCAAATGGCCCAGGTCTGTTCAGTTAGAGGATCACCAGAGAAGTTTCTCCATTCTCAGCTCCTATCATCTTTTTACAGCTGAATTTTCTGACATTCCTCCACCCCCACCAGCACACAAAAATAAGTGAACCAAAAGCATAACAGCTAAAGAAATATTCCTGTGACATGGTCACTCATGTGTCTTTAGGAGAGAAGCACTTTGTACTGTGTATTGCTGTTTATATTCTTAATGTTTTTCTTACATTTCATGATGATTTACATTGCCCTAAATTTTTTAAAAATGTAATTTTGGCATTATCTTCATATATATGCATATATCCCTGGTGGTAATTCCTAACAGGCCATTGATAGGGAATGCTAAGAGTAAGGATAGTGATATGGTTTGGCTGTGTCCCCACCCAAATCTCATCTTGAATTGTAGCTCCCACAATTCCTGTGTATTGTGGGAGGGACCTGGTGGGAGGTAATTGAATCATGGGGGCAGGTCTTTCCCGTGCTGTTCTCGTGATAGTGAATAAGTCTCATGAGATCTGGTGGTTTTATGAAAAGGAGTTTTCCTGCACAAGCTCGCTGTCACGTCTGCCGCCAAGTGAGATGTGCCTTTCATCTTCTGCCATGATTGTGAGGCCTCCCCAGCCACGTGGAACTGTGAGTCCATTAAGCCTCTTTTTCTTTATAAATTACCCATTCTCAGGTATGTCTTTATCAGCAGCCTGAAAATGACTGATACAGATAGAAATGGAAGGGTAGCGGAGGGCCTGTCACCTTCACTGAAAAAGAATAGAAGTGATTGAGTTTTGGTAGGAAAGATGATCTTTAAATAAAGCCTTTGTGCATGTTGTGGAGGACAGTTGCTGGTTTTCATTAATTCAAAAGGCCTAGGGATATGTGGGTTTGGCATTAATCTATAATGCCTCAGACACTGGAAAACTAGCTCTGAGAAGGGTTTAGGCAAAGTGACATCCATCTAGAGCTCTATGTTTGTATATTTAGCTCTTAAAATTCAAAAAGAATTTAGATTATTGCCATTAGCTAAATGGAAGCATCATGGTGCATCAATAGGAAATGGGAAAAAAAATGATTAATAGTATTTATACATATGTGTTATTCTGTAGCAATAACGAAGGCCTAGCATGCTGGGGTTTGTTTTCATTTTGTGAGGACTATACTGTGCTGTTTTTTAGTAAACTGGTGAACTGCCTCAGATAAATTGTCACACATAGTTCTGTAAACTCTGCCTGTAGCTTTCATTGACTTTAGGTTGTGAATGAAACGTTTAAAAGTTTATTTTTATGTTTTTTTTATGTTTTTTTTTAATATGTTTGAAAGTCATTGTACAGTAGCCCGATGAGGGAAAAACAAAAAGATAGCCAAAGTTACTTTTTTTTTGAGACAGAGTCTCACTCTGTCGCCCAGGCTGGAGTGCAGTGGCGCCATCTCCGCTCACTGCAAGCTCCGCCTCCTGGGTTCACGCCATTCTCCTGCCTCAGCCTCCCGAGTAGCTGGGACTACAGGTGCCCGCCACCACGCCTGGCTAATTTTTTTGTATTTTTTAGTAGAGACAGGGTTTCACCGTGTTAGCCAGGATGGTCTCGATCTCCTGACCTCGTGATCCACCCGCCTCGGCCTCCCAAAGTGCTGGGATTACAGGCGTGAGCCACCGCACTTGGCAACAAGATAGCCAAAGTTTCTTAAATGCCTTCTATTTCTATTGCTGCTGTAACAAATTACCACAAACTGAGGCCTGATTTTACCAATCTCTTGGTAAAATCGGGTGTTGGCAAGGCTCTGTTTGTTTCTGGAGGCTCTAATGGGGAATGTTTTCTTGCCTTTTCCAGCTATTAGAGGCCACCCACACGTCTTGACTCATCTTCAAAGCTAGCACTGTTTCACCTCTTTGAACATACTTTTTTAGTGCAGACGTTTGTAGCCATAATTTCCCTCCACGCAGTGCTTTTGCTGCATCCCATAAGTTTTGGTATGTTGTGTTTCCATTTTTATTCTTCTCAAAGTATCTTTTAATTTCTCTCATAATTTCATCTTTGACCCACAAATTTTTAGGAGTATGTTGTTTAATTTCCACATTATTTGTGAATTTCCCAAGTTTTCTTCAGTTACTGATTTCTAATTTCATTGTTGATTGGGAAAATATATGATTTCACTTCTTTGTAAACTTATTGAGACTTATGACCCAGCATATGGCCTATTCTGGATAATTTTCCATGTGCACTTAAGAATAATGTATATTCTGTTATTATTGGGTCAGTTTTGTATAGATGTCTGTCAAGTTTTAATGGTTTACAGTGTGTAAGTGGATTAAATCAAGTCTTGTATTTGTCTTCCGTCTAGTTGTTCTGTCCATTGTCAAGTGTGGCATTGAAATCTCCAGCTACTATTATTGGAATCAGCTATATCCCCTTTCAGTTTTGACAGTTTTTGCTGCTTGTATTTTGGGGCTCTGTGGTTAGGTTCATATATGTTTATAATTGTTGCATCTTCTTGATGGGGTGACCTTTATCACTATAAAATGTTTCCATTAAAATTGTTTGGTTTTTTTTAGTGAAATGGTTTGTCCTAAGTCTACTTTGTCTGATATTACTATAGCTACTTCAGCTCTCTTTGGGCTGTTGTTTGCAAGGAATCTCATTTCCATCATTTTACTTTCAATGCTTTTGTACCATTTGGTCTAAATTGTATCTCTATTGTAGATATCATATAGTTAGATCATGTCTTTTTTAAATCCATTCTTCAATCTCTACCTTTTAATTGGCGTTTTTAATCTATTTACATACAATGCGATTATTGGTAAGACAGGATTTACGTGCGGCATGCTGCTGTTTTCTGTGTTAAGTCTTCTTGTTACCTTATTTCTTTATTACTGCCTTTTTTAACTTTAGATATTTTTTAGCGTGCCATTTTAATTATTCTGTCCTTTACTGTATTTCTTAGTGATTGCTCTGTGGACTATGATAAACATCTTAACCACTTATTTTAAGTAGTTCACAAACCTCTGCTCCTATGTAGTTCCGTTTCCGACTCTCTTATTTCTGTTGCTGTTGTCATACAAATTACATGTTTATACCTTGTTTGCCCATCAACACTTATAATTTACTTCACACAAAATTTGATTTACAAACAAAACATAACGTTTATACTGTCTTTAATATCTCCCAAGGGGCAAAAGCAAAGCCCAGTTGTGAGCCATTGCCTTAAAGTATAAAAAATAAGTGTTACAGCATTCTTGTCCTTTATCTCATTTTAAGGTAACTTAGCACGATTTAGAAAGAACACCAGAGACGTTTTTTTAATTGGTTATTGGATAATGAGACCCCAAAAAACCCTGGATAAAAAATGTTCCATTTTTAAGTGTTTCCAAATCTGGCTTGATAGTTTCCAGAACAAAAAATAAAGTAAAACTTTATAACAATTTTTGGTATAAATACTTCAAGTTAGAACTTTGATTCATTAATCTTTATTCAAATACTGAAAGTATGTTGAGAAGGAAAATATATACAAACTCATAACGTAACTCTAGTAATAATCTCAAGTGAGTTTGACCTGGGGAGAAGGTCTGTTCAGAGAAAGGTGCATGTAATCGGGTGATGAGAATCTGAATTTGAGCCAGCTGTATCCACACAGTCTTTATAAGTCATCCCTAACACTCAGAGCAATTGCGCGGGATAGCTGTTTGCCCTGGAAAAAAGCTTGACTCTTGCTGGTGGAGCCCAGATTCAAAACGGGGGCAGGGGGTGGTTACAAAGCATATCAATCTGTTATTTCATCACATACCTGCTGCCTTCTTAAAGGAAACAGGAAAGCATTCTTTGATCAGCATCTACAGGGTCTGAGATTCTGCTTTGAAAAAATCCATGTAGGAAAAGCGAGAAGGAAAGGAAGTACACAGGAAGGGAGAGCCAATTCATCTCTGTGACCAGAAAAATTAAAAGTTCTTTTTGCACTGGTCATCTACTGCCAAATATGTGCTTTTAAATGGGAGAGAGAACAATATGCATGTACATAGCAGTATTATTCAGTATCCTGGGCTTTTTCCTCTTCATTATGGTTATCAGATTTGTGTGCAAATGAATGTAAACACACACACACACACACACACACACACATATATGGGTTTTTTTTTTTGAGACAGGGTCTTACTCTGTTGCACAGGCTAGATAGAGTGCAGTGCAGTGGTGCAACCATAGCTGACTGTAGCCTCGAACTCCTGGGCTCAACCGATTCTCTTACCTCAGCTCCCCGAGTAGCTGGGACCAGAGGCACATGCTACCACACCCAGCTAATTTTTAAATGTTTTTTGTAGAGACAGGGTCTCGCTGTATTGTCCAGGCTGGTCTCGAACTCTTGGTCTCAAGCAATCCTCCTTGCCACAGCTTCCCAGGTGCCTGGGATTACAGGCATGAGCCACAGCCCCCAGCTAACATATTCTTTAACCCCAATATCTACAGGATTTAAGACTCTCTCTGTTGGATAGCTCAACTTAAAGATATGGTAGAGCTCTCCTGAATTTATAAATCCAAATCAACAGTTATTTATTCTCCCAAGCTAGGGACCCACCCTCCTTATGGTCGCAGGGGGTTCCCTGGCACACTGCATGCTAGTTAGAAAGCCCTCACACTGACCCCAGGCTCCTCCCTATATGCCTGTACCCTTTGGCCACCTACCTGTGGATCTTTTCTCTCTGGGAGCCTCCTTGTTCTCTGTGTTTGGGACAGGCTGTCACCTTCTGTCAACTAGGGTACCTTGCTCTTAAATTATCCCTTCAATCCCACCTCCACCATAATTAAAGTTAAAACAGTAGTGGGACCTGCTTTTAGCCTGCAGTGTGTGGGCGTGGAGGGAAGGCACCCTGAAGCTCCAGGGAAGGAATGGCGCCATACTTTGTGCGCTCACCAGTGCCCCAGAAAGGATGGCACTGGGGACAAGAGCCCCAAAACATGGGCATCCCCTCCTCCCTAAGAAGGCTCAACAGAGGGTCCCCTTCAGGGATTCCATCAATAAAGAAAGCACATTTTATGAAGGGGAGTTGAGAAGTCCCAGGAAGATTTCCTCACATTGGATTCCAGGGGTCATTTATGAGTGTTGTGATGGTCGGTGGGTATTTTTTGTCATTCAGGGCTACTTCTATTAACATTGTAACTGTTCATTTTTTCCCAACCTAATAAGTTTTTCTTTTTAAAACAACTTTATGGAGGTTTAATTGGAGTACAATAAACTGCACATAAAGTATACTGTGTGACCAGTTTTGGCATGCAGTTACCGTGACACAGTTCCCACACCCAGATGACAAATCTTCCCACAACTCCCAGAAGTTTCACGTGCCCACTGCAACCCCTGCCTCTCTCTGACCCCATGCCAAAGGAACCACTGGTCTGCTTCTGAAATTAAAGATTTCCTAGAATTGTATATAGAACCACACAGTATATGTTCTTTTTTTAATCTGGCTTCTCTCATTGAGCATAATTTTGGGAACTCATGTCATTGTGTGTACCAGTAGTTTTTATGCCTTTTATTCAGTTGTGTGGCTGCACCACAGGCTGAATATCCATTGACCTATTGACAGTCTTGGCTTCTTTCCAGTTTTTAGCTGTTACAAATGAAACTGCCATAAATATCTGTGCCTAAGTCTTTGTGTAAACATAGGCTTTTCTTTCTTGAGTAAACATGTAGGACTGGACTGATTCCTTCCTGAGGATTGTATGGTAAATTTATAGTTAACTTTTAAAGAAACTGCCCAAAGAGTTGCTATGTTAGCCTTTTATTACTGCTGTAACCAGTTGTCACAAACAGTGGCTTAAAACAACACAAATGTATTGTCTTACAGTTCTGGACACCAGAATTGGTCTCAGTTGGTAAAATCAAGGTATTGGCAGGGCTGTGTTCCTTTCTGGAGGCTGTGGGGTATTGGCTGTTTCCTTGCCTCTCCAGCTCCTAGAGTGGCCGCCATTCCTGGGCTCTGACTACCGCTCCTCTTCATACCTTCTCTCTCTCCCTCCTGGCCGCCTCTTATAAGGACCTTGTGATTATATTGAGTCCACCTGGATAATCCAGGGTCACCTCCCCACCTCAAGATTCTTAATTACTTTTGCAAATTCCCTGTTGCCATGGAATTTAACATTCACAGGTTCTGGGAATTAGGACTTGGACATCTTTGGGGGACAATTATTCTCTCTACTGCAGATTGCGTCATCACTGAGTTGTAAAGTTCAGTTCCTTACGTATTCTGGATACGAGTCCTTTGGGTGTCTGTGTGTGCATGTGTGTATGTATGTATTGTAAATATTTTCCCTCAGTCTGTAGCTTGCCTTTTGCTTTCTTATGTGTATGTGCCTTTTAATTTTGAAGAAAGCCCCTTTATCCATATGTTCTCGTACGACCCTTGCTCTTTGCGTTCTATGTATAAAACCTTCACATAATCCAAGCCTCCAAGAATTTTTCTCCTGTTTTCTTTACAGAGGTTTATGATCCTAGGGATCAATATTTTTCCCCAATACAGATATGTTTTCATACAGATAGGTATGGTCTAGCAACACCTTTTGAACCAGTTCATTTTTTAAGTGATTTTTTAAATTTAAATATGGATGAGAAAAAAATTCTTAGACCAATTCCCATACCTATTAAATAGAATTGCTAATGCCTGTGAATTATGCCACATGCTAATCAAGAGTTTTACTTTGCAGATGATCACTCAATTATCTTTACAGATCTCTATTTTAAGCAATCATATTTATTATTTTTTCTCTACAGTTCAAAAATGATAGCTTACAGCTACAGGAAGCGATATATCAAATACTTAAATACTTTTTTCTAAGCCCACTAGAGCAAGCTTCTCATTTGAGGCAATATTACTGAGACTCTTAATTTTATGCTTAATTATTCATTTCAGTCCTTTAAATTCCTAAACACGAGAAAGCACTAGCATTTACATGCAGGCTCATTTGTAAAGGTGAAACAGTGACAGCACGGTGCTGTGGAAGTTTCTATCCTGTATATATAAAGCACAAAATACGTTAGTGGTTGTAGGGAAAAGCGCGGTAGTGCTCACAGCGTGTTAACAACTTGCAACATTTGTTGAAGAACAGATGATTGCACTTCTCATCATTTGATGTTCTCATCACCGTGTCTTCTCCCTTCTCATACTGCTAGGAATTTGTGCTTGGCTTGTAACATTGCTTCTACCTGACTTCTGTTTTCGGGTCTGAGAGGACATTTCTTAGATAATAGGTCATTGAAATTAGTTAGCTGAAGGTGACATATGGATAGGTCTTCAGGTGAGAAAAACATTCTGATTTACATAGTGATGTATTCTTAATCACTGTTTTTGCAAGGTTTCTCTTTGTCAGTATTTGTTTCAAAATATATTAATGAACTTATCATTTCTGATTACTGATTTATTTAACCTTGTAAGGACTGTCTCCATGTCAGTTGTCACATTTTTCTTGGTGCCTAGCACAAAGTAGGTACCCAGTCAACATTTGTTTAATTAAACTGATTGTATTCTGAGCATGTGCCATTTCTGCATACCCGGGATATCTGGCTTCTCGAGATTTTTCATCTATGATTTGAATCAATATTACATGTTATGTTTACTTGTGTGACACAGGATGGTCCCAACTTAGAAATATTTGTCTCAGAAGGGGCTCTGTGCTCAGTCACTGGAAACCTGGACTGAATTTTAATTTAAGGGGAAAGTCAATTTTAGGTTCGTTTGGATTCTAGTTCATAGCATTACAGTTTTGTTCTTCAGTTTCCACAGTGTAAATGAAATAACACATATAGCAGCAAGGAGCAGTGAGCCAGTCATACGGGTGCAGTACAGTACTTAACCAAAACAAGCAAACCATACCGTTAAATTTTGAACCAGGTAGGTTTGGGTTTTCTCCTAGTTTATAGACAGGTATTTATTCATGGAAGGCAAGTTGGATGGAGATTGCAGAAAACCTAAAAGAGAGGAATATATTTTGTGTTTTTGGACTTTAACAGCACTAACTTTGATTTCCTTTTCCTGTGACATACTTACCTCTGATTTTTGCTCACACTCAGCCTCACTGTTCTATAGTTTTGGAGTGTTTCCTGCAAATCACAGTGTCTTTCTGCTATACATTGGGATAAGAAAATATATACATGAATTAGATCTGGTAATGGCAGGCCTTGAGAATAGAGCAAAGGGTAAAACCCAAATATGTCAGCATCCAAGCCCACATAAGTGTGACAGTTCTCCAGACTGTGTTAAAGTTTCCTGATTGTATTAGGACATATTGTATTGCTATAAAGAAATGCCTGAGTCCACGTAATTTGTAAGAAAATGGGTTTAAATGGCTCACAATTCTGTAGGCTATACAGAAAGCAAGCCACTAAGGCGTGTGGCTTGTGTGCCTACAGAGCACCAGGATGAGCTCCCTTTGAGCCCTGGCTGAAGCAGGAGCAGTGGGGATGAGGGGAGCAGTGTCCTGAGGCAGCTGGGCCCTGGGCGTGGCTCAGGAAACCACCCTTCTCTTCTAGGCCCCTGGGCCTGTGATGAGAGAGGCTGCCTTGGAGACTTCTGAAATACCTGTGAGACCTTTCCCCCACTGTTTTGGTGTCAGCACTTCCCTCCTTTTTAGATATGCAAATTTCTCTGGCAAGTGGTTGCTCCACAGCCTGCTTGAATTCCTCTCCTGAAAAAGCTTTTTCGTTCTCTGCCACATGGCCAGGCAGCATATTTCCTAAACTTTTTTGCTCTACCTTCCCTTTAAATATAACTTCCAACTTTGTCATTTCTTTGCTTCTGCATCTGAGCGTAGTCTGTTAGAAGAAGCCAGGTTACACATAGCATGCTTTGCTGCTTAGAAATTTGTTCTGCTAGATAACCTAAAGGATTACCCTGAAGTTCTAACTTCCACAGAACCCTAGGGCATGAACAGAATGCAGCCAAGTTCTTTGCTAAGAAATAACATGTGTGACCTTTCCTCCAGTTCTCAGTTTCTCATTTCCATGTGAGACCTTGTTGGCCTGGACTTCACCATCCATATCACTATCAGCATTTTGATCACAACCATTTAACTGTTCTCTAGGAAGCTGCAACTTTTCTCTCATCTTCCTGTGTTCTTCTGAGCCCTCCAAACTCTTCCAACCTCTGCCTGTTACCCAATTCCAAAGTCACTTCCATATTTTCAGGTATCCTTGTAGCAACACGCCACTTCTGGTACCAATTTTCTGTATTAGGCCGTGCTTGCATTGCCTTAAAGAAATGGCTGAGTCTAGATAATTTAGAAGAACAACGGTTTAATTGGCTCACATTTCTGCAGGTTATACAGGAAGCATAGTGGCAGCTGCTTCGGGGGAGTCCTCAAGAGGCTTACAATCACGGTGGACGGGTAAGCAGGAGCAGGCATGTAACATGGCAAAAGCATGAGCCAGAGAGAGAGTTGGGGGGAGGTACCATGCACTTTTAAACCACCAGCTCTCATGTGAACTCAGAGCAAGAGCTCACTGATCACCAAGTGGAGGATGGCCCAAGCGAAGGATCTGCCCCCATGATCAGTATACCTCCCACCAAGCCCTGCCTCCAACATTGAGGGCTACAATTCAGCATGAGATTTGGGAGGGAATAAATATATAAACTCTATTACTGACCAATGCAGTTTCTCCTCATAAACACTGACCTGATGCAGGGTCTTTTTGGCGTAGAGGGGGCATGGAGATTAGTTCATTCTGATTGGTCATTACCAAAGGCTGGGCAAGGGCATGTGGTAAGGGATGCAGGAGTGCCTGTGGAATATAGAATGGTGAATGAGGCTGAGCAGGGCAGGGGTCCCAGGGCCCAGAGAGAAGTGCCTGGCCCACCATCCACCTGGGAACATGCTAGGGGTTTGCTAACGGATGGCCAAGGTGGCTGGGAAGAAACCAGGAGGCAGGCCAGGGTAGGAGGGCAGCCACACTCATCCCATGAGTCTAGTCGGCAGCCCAGGGTCCTTGGCCAGCTCAATGACTTATCTCCTTTAAGGGACTTGATTGTCTCAGGCATGCCTACAGAGTTTCCACCGCCAGCCAGAGAGCCAAAATGTTTCCCAAGCCAATCCCATGAGATGCCTCACTTCTAGTGAGCCACCCCCAGCCCCCACAACAGCCTCCAGTCAGGGCCCACCTGAAGCCTCCCTTTTCCAACTGTAAAGCTTTCCCAGCTCCCCAACCTGCATTTGAGCTTCTGCCAAAGGCAAGTGCTGGTGTCCAACTTTCTTGCTATGCAATCTCTGAATGAATAGCCTCTGCTCGTTCTCATTTGAAGAGATTTTCATTTACCTTCACACATGGACAGTTATCTTTATAACTTAACTCAGTGCCTCCTCATTTACCAGAATCTGGTCTTTTCGTGGGCTTCTCTTGTCTTCCCGCAAATGTAATAATGCCTTCCTATGACACTAGGATGCTTTGAGCAGATAGACTCTTCCAGTCCATGCAAAGAGGTGGTGTGGTTTGGCCTCACTCCTCACTGCAGGCTTAGGCCAGCTCCCCCTTGCAGCCACGTGCGTGGACGTGACTCTGGGAGTGAAGTGAAATAGCGCTGCCGACAGGATCTGGGCTCTGTGCTGTGTGCCAGGAGCATAGAGAGCAATGTGAAACAGCTGTTGCCCACAGTGACCTTTCAGAACAGTTTTTGCTGTTAGGGTTCTAGGGATTACTAAGTAAGCTTGGCTGGTTAAGAAGGTCAAAAAAAGCCCAAGGCAACCCCAGCTGTCTGAACTAGCCATTTCAGAAGGCTGAAACCTTTCTGCTGTGAAGGGCTGGATTTCCTAGCTTATGTAGTTCAAAGCTCAGTTTTTAGGATTGCTGTGCTACTTACTGACCGAAAGTTGGTTTTTGGAAATTGACCCTTATTTTCCAATATCTTTCATAAAGCTGGAAATGCTTTCACTAGAAGAAAAGGAGGATCTTATGTTAGAACATATATATATAGCGATGTAAAAGTTTCAGTAGTTACTCTCAAAAGAAGGTCACCAAGGACAACTGTGATTTCATATGTAATGATTCCAGCCTAGAAAATGTTTTTTTCTTGATTTCCATTTAAGAGAGTTGAGCCAATTAACTAATCCTTGCATATGGTATGTTCCATTAAGTTGTCAGTGTTTTTATTCCAAGATGCATGTTTCTTTAAAAGAGCTAGCTTATTAGGGCATGTCTTCATAAGCACTTTACCCTGGCCATGTCCGTGAGAATGCTGTGCATAACTTTCATTGAATTCTACATCTCATTTGATGCAGGCCTAATTAACTATTATTAACTGAGAACTCCAATTTATTGGAATCATTTGCTGCAGTTAACTTGAGAAAGAATGGGGCATGTTTAAGGGTCCTTATTTTTAAATCTCTCTTTCATTACAAACACATTAACATAAGTCTGATTTGGGGGTGACAGAAGGAAATAGGAAAATAAATGTAACTAAACCATAATGGGGTACAATATAAAGGAAAGTAAGTACTGGGATGAATATCATCATAGATTGTTTATTCTTTAATTTGTACTAATTTGTACATTTGTATATGTACAATTAAGCACTTCTTAGTTAAGATTGATATATTTTTAAAATCACAACTTTATAGAGCACAAGTCTTACATGAAAACATAATGCCAGGTCAGTGGCCCTCCACTTGAGCACACATTCAAATCACTGAGAGGGCTCTGTAAAACACACATTGCTAGGTCCCACCCCAGCTTCTGATTCTGTAGATCTGGGGTAGGGCCTGCTGTGTGGTTTGAACGTTTGTTCTCTCTGAAACTCATGTTGAAACTTAATCCCCAATGTGGCAGTATTGAGAGGTGTGGGGTCTCTAAGAGGTGTTGGGTCATGAAGGCTCTGCCCTCATGAATGGACCCTTTCGTTCATGGATTAATAGATTAGTGAGTTGTTGGATGAATGCGTTATCAAAGGAGTGGGACTGCTGGCTTTGTAAGAAGAGGAGGAGGCTGGGCACTGTGGCTCACACCTGTAATCCCAGGACTTTGGGAGGCCGAGGCAGGTGGATCATGAGGTCAGGAGTTTGGGACCAGCCTGGCCAACATAGTGAAACCCCATCTCTACTAAACCCCATCTCTACAAAAAATTAGCCAGGCATGGTGGTGTGCACTTGTAATCCCAGCTACTCGGGAGGCTGAGGCAGGAGAATTGCATGAACCTGGGATGCAGAGGTTTCAGTGAGCTGAGATCACGCCTTTGCACTCCAGCCCTGGCTACAGTGCGAGACTCCGTCTCAAAGAGAGAAAAAAGAAAAAAAGAAAAAGAGAGAGAGAGAGAGAGACCTGAGCTAGCATACTCAGCCCCCTCAAGATGTGATGCTCTGTGCTGCCTCGGGACTCCATGGAGTCCCCACCAGCAAGAAGGCCCTCCCAAAATGTGTCCCCTCGACGTTGGACTTCTCAGTCCCCATAACTGTAAGAAATGAATGTCTTCATACATTACCACGTTTTAGGCATTCTGTTAATAAGCAGCAGAAAATGGAATAAGACAGAGTCCAAGAATATGTAGTTGGACAGCATCTCACTTCATACTGATGCTGCTGGTCCGGGGACCTCATTTCGAGAATCAAGGTGTTTAGGAAACAAGCAGTAGAATATCTTAGATGAACAATACTAGTGGTGTACATTTTAAATAAATTGAACAATTACTGATTAGCTACTATGTACTGTCAAAATGGTTCAGAAAAATGACACCACCACTTCTATCAAAATGTACTGGATGTTGGGTTTTTTAATTAAAGCAACTTCACTTTAAAATGTGGTTTTACACACATTCAAAACACTGCTGACCCTCTTTCCTCAGCTGCCATTAAGGTGCTTAGCCCTTCCGAGGAAGCTAAGGCCTTGTGAAGCTGTCACTCATTGGGTGACTAGCACCCTGCCCGGTGGCACCAGCCCCGCACTCGCCCACACCATGGCCTCCATCTTTGTTTGAGCTCACTTGCATCTACTCGGCCCTCATTCTACAGTGCAGTGTGGTGACCATCACATAAGACCGTCGCCCTCATTAAAGCAGCTAGTGTAAATGGTGAAACTTTTGGGCCTGACCTGTTTGCAAGGGCCTGGCCAGTGTCAACATCGGGAGCCTTTTTGGTAGCATGGGGGCTGGTGGACCTGTACCTACAGGCAGTTCTGCCCCTGTACCATTTCCCCAGCCAGAGTCAACATTGGGAACCTCCTCTGCAGCAGCATGGGGGCTGCTGGACCTGTACCTGTAGGCAGTCCTGCCCCTCCACTGCTGCCCCAGCTGAGCAGAAGGAAGTGCAAGCAAGGAAAGAAGCATCTGAGGGATCTACTTAGGACACGGGCTTTAATCTTTTTGAAGAAACCTCTTTTGTAACATGATCAGTGAAAAGCTGAACTCTTGGCTGGGCACCGTGGCTCACACCTGTAATCCCAGCACTTTGGGAGTCCATAGTGGGAGGATCACTCCAGGCCAGGAGTTCAAGACTAGCCTGGGCAACATAGGGAGACCGTGTCTCTACAAAAAAAATTAAAAATCAGCCTGGTGTGGTGGCGCACACCTGTAGCCCCAGCTACTTGGGAGGCTGAGGCGGGAGGATCACTTGAGCCCGGGGGGTCAGGGCTGCAGTGGGATGTGATCACCCTACTATACTCAGGTGAGACCTTGTCTCAAAAAGAAAAGCTGAACTCTTAAAACGTGCACACACACAGTCAGCTAACATCTTCATAACTGTCAGATTGTGACAATTTGATTCTAACTCAAGATCAGCCTTTCTTGTAGTTTATTTTGTGTCTTTAAGGAACTAGCCTATCTAACACAAAACACTGGCTTTAAGTTTTTTCTCTTTTTTGTAATTGGGAATAAAAATTATGCTCAAGATACATCAAGATTAGTTTTGGAGAAAAAAAGCATTAAGTAGATTCAGTTGTGCAAGATGCACAAAGTGTAACTTCATAAGTAAGCGGTCACAAACTCGGGTTCATAATCCGTTACCCAAAATCTATGGAGCCAGATGTATTTAAATATAGGTTATTTTTAAAAGGTATTAGAATTCATATGTTCCATGACACAGAACGTTCTCAGGCAGCACCCGTAATCAAATCCATTAGTATTTCTATAGGGAAGTGCTTGAAGAGTCGCACTAAGTATGATAAATGTGGACCATTAAAACCACCTCATGCTAGCCCAGTACAGATTTTGCAGTGTTTTCAGAAGCTTTTGGGTTATGGAATTGGGAACAGAGGCTGTGTTTGTTCCTCTGCAGCCCCGGCAATTAAGAAGTGTTTGTGAAGCTGGTTTAATGTGCCTAGCAGGTGTGATGTATTGGTGAATTCCAAATAATTGATAGTTTTGTTTGCTTTTTTTTTTTTTTAAGCAAAATATTTGGTAGGAGGCACTTTAGTTTCTCAAGTTCAATAGCTGTTTGCTCTTACTGGAGCGTTGCTGTTAAGGGAGACAGCAGATCTTGTCAATTCCCTATAACTCACGGTTAACAAAAGCATTCCCTAATGATTCCATATGTTGATGCTCAGAGGTAATTCTGGGCCAAGCGCTCAGAGCACAACACAGATTATTTCACTCCATGGACGCAACCGCCTAGAAGGTGTGTGGCATGACTACATCATTAGGATCCCATTTTAGAGGTGTGCAAGCCAAGGTCCAGCAGGCTTATAAGACCTGCAGTATGAATAGGATCCTCATTTTATAGGTGCTTTACCCAAGGCTGCTAGCTTCCAGAGTTTCCGGCTAGAAAGCTGCAGAGTTGGGGTTTCCCGAAAGACCACCAGGCTTTAGAGGACCTGGCTTCACTGCCTGGGCTGCCTGCCACCTCCCACACCTAAAGCATCTCCCCCCGCCCCACCCCACCCCCAGCTTTAAGGCCACCCCCGCTCTGCAGGTCAGCGGCTATTAAATACATTTCTCCAATAAACATCGTATGTTAGACAGGCTAAGAAACTTGTCCCAGGGCGTGCAGCTGAGCTGGGAGTTTTCTGCAGGTCTCTTGGGTCCCCAAAGCCCTAGGTCTTGTATGAACATGAGGGTAGGAGCAAAATCAGGCCTTCCCATGTGTATTAATGTTACTCTGTTCTCACACTGCTATAAAGAACTTCCCTGAGACTGGGTATTCTGTAGAGGAAAGAGGTTTAATTGACCCACAGTTCCACATGGCTGGGGAGGCCTCGGGAAACTTACAGTCATGGCAGAAGGGGATGGCAAGGCAGCAGGAGAAAGGGGCAAAGGAGGCACTTGCAAACACTTATAAAACCTTCAGATCTCACTATCACGAGAACAGCATGGGGGAAACCACCCCAACGATCCAATCACCTCCCTCCCTCCACACTTGGGGATTACAGTTCGAGATTGTCAGGCCTCTGAGCCCAAGCTAAGCCATCATATCCCCTGTGACCTGCACGTATACATCCAGATGGCCTGAAGCAACTGAAAAACCACAAAGTGAAAATAGCCACTTCCTGCCTTAATGGATGACACTCCACCATTGTGATTTGTTCCTGCCCCACCCTAACTGATTGACCTTGTGACACTCCTTCTCCTGGACAATGAGTCTCAGAAGCTCCCCCACTGAGCACCTTGTGACCCCCACCCCTGCCCGCAAGAGAACAACCCCCTTTAACTGTAATTTTCCACTACCTACCCAAATCCTATAAAACTGCCGCACCCCTATCTCCCTTTGCTGACTCCTTTTTCGGACTCAGTCTGCCTGTACCCAGGTGATTAAAAAGCTTTATTGCTCACACAAAGCCTGTTTGGTGGTCTCTTCACAGGGCTGCATGTAACAGATGAGATTTAGGTGGGGACACAGCCAAACCGTATCACCATATGTGCTTCTTAATGACAGTTGGCTCAAGGTGTTTTCCCCGTAAATAACGCAACTCACAGTTATAAAATTGAAGATAGGTCCCCATTTGCATGGTAAGCAGGTACAGCTCCCTGAGAGAGCAGTTGGGGAGAAACCCTCGCTTTTTATATCTTTGTTGGGTAAAACATCAACCACTGTGCCTCAGGGGCGGACTTAGTGAGCATTTAAGATACATTTTCAGTTATAAAATGTTACTTGATTTGCAGCAATTACCCAGTCTCCGCCTTAGACAGAAACTTAGAGGCCATCGGCCTAGACTTCCTCCAGGCACAGGGCTTCCATAACAGTTGAATTAATTTAAGCCTTAATGCCTCCCATAAGCCCCCGGGAACTCAGGCTGCCTCTGAGGATGAAAACACCCGCCAGTCTTTGGGCCCCAGCCTGGGGCACCCTGTAGCTTCTTCAGAGCTTCCACCTCCCTGCCAGGCTCTCCCCCTCCCCATGCTGCCCTTGCAGCTACTACAGAAGCTGCTCTCAACATGCCACACAGATTCCAGCTGGGAGGAGGGGAGTGGTCACAGTCACAAGGGATATTTTCTAATTCTCCTAAGGAGGGTAGTAGTGTATGTGGCCCTAGCATGTTAAAAACAATATGACCTTTCCTGGTAAAAAGGACCCTGAAGCAATGTTAAAGCTGCAAGCTTGTTAGTAAGCAGGGAAGAATATCCATCTGATGGCCCTAGTGCAAGTGTTTTATGCTCCTTTATTTTATTTCAGCATTTTTCCTTTCACAACGCTGTCCCTTTAAGTGTGCCATCATCAACAGCTGTAGTTATCATTTGATCTGAGGAGTTTAATTACTTGTTTAGATCCTTTCTTATTCCACGGATTTAGGATTATTTTATCTAAATGGTGAGGAAAAGTGTCTGTCTGCACAGTCCCCTACAGATTTATAATCCCACAGTTCTGTGTCTTTTAAATTAAAAGCTCCATGACATTTTAAGCTTTAAATAAACACTGTTGGAAGCATTTTTAGAGGATACAGCTGTTTTCCTGCCTTTGTCCACACTCCTTTCTTCCTGTTCGCACACTCGCCTTAGTCAGAGTTCCACGGAGCACCTCCATCGTCCTGCCTGCCCTCTGTTCTGTTCCTTCACTCGGCTTTTCAAACCCGACAGTGGTGTCTCACTTGTTCGATGCCTGCAGTTTCCTTTTGTCAATCTTCCTCTCTCAACTACTAGAACAAACACTCAAGGAAGTAAAATGTGCCGCCTCACTGCCAATCCGTCCATCTCCTTGCCCTGAGAGCCTTGGCTCTTTCTCCCCCTCACAGAGAAGAAGAAAATAAAAGGAGCGCTCATGCCTGGGTAACCCTCCCTTAGAGGAGGCTTTTCACCACTCAGCTGTTGAGGAGGAGGGTGGGCCAGCCCTTCCTTCTGTTCTGCAGCTTCTGTAGGGAGACCGAGTGCAGGATGGAATCCAGGAAGCCTTGAGTTACTCAGGTTGTTACTTGAACTTCGACTTCTACAAACCAGCCCAGACTTTTCTAAGAGTCCTGTCTTTTGTACTCTCCTAAAGGGCTTTGAGCCCTCCATTCAGGGATTGGGCCTTCACAGTCTGCAGTATCCAGAACGGTGGAGGTTCTGAGGTTTGTTTGGTGTGTTTTACAGCAAACTTAATAAAATACAGCTTGTGGCCAGGCGCAGAGGCTCATGCCTTAATCCCAACACTGGGAGACCGAGGCTGGAGAATCACTTGAGGCCACCAGTTTGAGACCAGCCTGGGCCACAGGGCAAGGCATCCCATGTCTACAAACAAAAAAATAAATGAAAAAAATACAGCTTGTGGTAGAAAAGCAAGGAGAAAAATATTATAGTGCTGAAAATGAAATGGCACCTGCAGATGCAGCTGTGGGTGGATTTGCCAAGAAAAGCAGAGAAAGAACAGAGGAGGGCTCTTCTTGTTGCTGTTAGCAGTCAAAACCAGAGTATCCATCAGGAGGTGGAGAAGCCAGGGGTCTTCTGCAGGGAAGAGGGCCACAGAGGGGGTCAGTGCACAGGGGGAGGAAGGAAGATGGGGAGTGCAGGGCAGGGGCCACCCAAAAGCCCAAGGAAGAGCCCAGTCCACAATAACCAGCCTCTCCTGGTCTCCAGTGTCCACAGGGTGGACTGGGCCCAGCCTCAGCCCCATCCCAGGAGGAAGAGCCAGAGAGTTCCCCAGGCAAGTGCAGTGAGCCCTGGGACCAGGAGAGAAGCGTGCACAGAGGCAAAGTCCACACCGTGGCAGCCAAAGCAGTCAGTGAGCCCAGTCCTCTGAGTATAAGGCGGCAAGAGCCCTAGCCGATGCTGCAGGTGCAGTCAAGAGATGCAGTTTGGATGCTGCTGAAGGAACATGATACAGGGCCACACGGAAAACTTTTTCTCAAGACAGCAGCACTCTGCCCTTGGTTCATTCAGGAATTTTGCATATAGGTGGTGGATATGATTGACTGCCCAGGCCTTGTGTCTACACAGATGACCATTCACCTTCTGTGAGAAAGATGCAGGAGACAAAGCACAGGTGGCCCTACCATTGCAGCGGCTCACAAGAGACCTTCCCGGCCTCCTCCATGTGTGACACAGCGAATCCTGCCGTGTGGTGCAGGCAGCTCTCTGCATGCCTATCTGGGAGGAGCAGATATTTTGGAGTTAAAACCTGCCCTAACTCTCTTTTTTTTGAAGACATAATTTCGCTCTTGTTGCCCAGGCTGGAGTGCAGTGGCACGATCTTGGCTCACTGCAACCTCCGCCTCTTGGGTTCAAGTGATTCTCCTGCCCCAGCCTCCTGAGTAGCTGGGATTACAGTCACATGCCACCATGCCCAGCTAGTTTTTTGTATTTTTAATACAGACGGGGTTTTGCCATGTTGCCCAGGCTGGTCTTGAACTACTGAGCTCGGGCAGTCCTCCTGCCTTGACCTCCCAAAGTGCTGGGATTATAGGCGTGAGCCACCGCGCCCGCCCCATAACTCTCCTTTAGTCGCAGTTCATACCTTGCCAACTTTCAAAACACATCGAGGCAATTACAGACAAGCATGCATACCTATGTGCATGTAAGCATGTGAACATACATAGGAGTATGAAGACTTACATGCCTCTTGGATACACATAGCCTTCTCTGTGCGTACACGTTACTTCCCTCAGTGTGTCCTGGGTCTCCCAGATACTATCTTACAGGGAAAAAAACTAGTATTTAGGGATGATTATTGTATTTGTTTATGTCATTGTGGGACAGTTAAAGGCCATTGAGATCGCCTGCTCTTTTCAGGACTTCTTGTTGGGTCCAGCTGTACAGATTCAAGGTAGACTACGTCCTGCTAATGCTGCTCCACACCCTGTGGGAAGGTTTCAGTGCTAAATCTAGAACAGGTGGTCAGTCTCCTAACTGAATTTGAATCCAGATTTTTGTCAGATGCATCCGTGTGTCTTCTTCTTAAATCAGTTGTGAACAGGGCTATTTCCAGCCTCTCGGGTTCAGGGACTGCCTCTGTGCCACCGCAGACTGGAAGACAAGGACTCTGCCCAGGCCTTGGGATAGCCTTCTGCCTTCACTGGGGCCTTGGGGGGATTGTCATCAGGCAACACTCAGCTCCATGGAGCTTACCTGGGTTTGAAATTCCACTTGGTAGACATTCCTCTGTGTTGAAGTATTTCTTTTTTTTTGGCATAATGCCTCCTAGCAGGTCAGTTAGTTGGTTCTTCAGTAAAGTAATCTTTCTAGGCCCACACTGGAGACAGAGTGGGGAAGACAGCTAGTGTGTAACAAGCATGCTCTAGGAGGCTGGCACTAGAATGTTACTTATGTGCCCTGAAATATTCATTCTGTAAAGTAGGATTATTTCACTGTAGTAGCATCCTCAGTAGTATTCTTATTGGTAATATGAGTGCAATTGATACTATGTATATATTAAATATACATACAGAAAAAACACATGAATAGAAATGGGTGTGAGCCAGTACTAGTTATTATATTGTATGTAGTGTAATCTAGCGTATATTAGTGGTACTGGTACTATTATTAGCAGTATTCCTGTTCATCTTGTGTAAGCGTGAGGAAAGCAGGCACCTGCAGGCTCACTATGTTTCTGAGGCTGTGCCCTGAGTAAGTGCCGAGCCGGGAGTTAATTCTCAGGTCAGCTTTCACCATCCCGTGACAGCCTGTGCATTAAATGTTCTGTTCTTACCTGGGAGCTTCACAGCAGCATCCTGGCCAGGCATGGTGGGGATTCATCCCACTGGGCAGTGGAAATGTCCTTAATACTAGTGGGCCATGCAGTGGACTTTGTCAGCTGGTGCTGGCTTCCATGTTGTTGGGAACACCGAGTAATGATGCCTTGTGCTATCGAATGGAATTGACCATTCCAAGGATATATTTAGATTCAAATACGTACATTTAAACAGAAAACACAATAATACAGATTTCATTTCTCTCCTGAGTTCTGAATTTCCAGATCACAACTCCAGACATAACTCCAGCAGCCTTGAGAGGAGGCTGCCCATAGTATAATTTAGTGAGAATGACCTGCAAGCCTTTCTCCTGTTCACTTAGGTCTCCACAAAAGCCTTTGTTCATGGAATGAGACCTACACAGTGTATGTTTATGCGGACCTGATACAAACTTACTGTTCATACAGTATGCACTCTAAAAATCTCTTTTTTTTTTCCTGCAGATACTGAACGGCTGTATTCAGTGGTGTTTCAAGAAATATGTAATCGCTATGACAAGAAATACAGCTGGGATGTAAAGTCCCTGGTTATGGGTAAGAAGGCATTAGAGGCGGCACAGATTATAATAGACGTCTTGCAGCTCCCGATGTCCAAAGAGGAGCTGGTGGAAGAAAGCCAAACGAAGTTAAAGGAAGTGTTCCCCACGGCTGCGCTCATGCCAGGTGCGGTTGCCTCGCTGTTTGCAGGGTTATGTTTGTGACTATTAGCAATGGTTTTGTAAATCACCTTTAAAGTCTAGCATAGGGCATGCTTAGTTTGTCCTCTTTTCTTCAGTATCTAAACTAAGTCCCTCCTGGTGCTCCTGAAAGAGTTTGGCTGATGCTGTGGGATGCTGTGATTCAATTTTCTCTTTAAAAGCTTCTTAAAATAATATGCGTTAGTTTCAGTGATTTCTGGGTTCCAAAAACATTTGAGTATTGTTTATATTACTATATATAAAGATTATGTTAATGACAGAATGTCTTCAAAGTTTACCTTAATAGATGGTTTTGCCTTTTTCTTTTCAAAATCAGATATAGGATTAATATTTCAGCAACTATTCAAACTTTAACAAATTGATAAGCAGCTAAATCTCCCCAAAGACGCTTAATTAAAAAAAAAAAAAAGTAAAAAGTCGAATTCATTTTTAGCCTGTGTGTTTATATGCCGTTCAGCCCTTTCTTTACTTGTATCCAGTTTTCTTCGGAAAGGAAAAACAACTTTGTTCCCTCCGTGCTTGTTAACTGACATTCAATCAGAACGGGCTTGCCTGACGCTCCTTGTTCAAGAATATTCTAGATTACAGACCTTGAAAATAGACTATTTGAAGATTTTTCTGGGATATACAGGATGAATACTCTGTCTTTAGAATTCCTGGTGCTAGGGGAGAAAAAAAACAGCAGTTATGTGAGTAATCTTGGATTTAAAATGATATTAATATGAAGCATACCTACTTTTGAAATGTATGTTATTATTTATATTTATACATATGTCCAAACATGTGGATTGACCATTCCTGGGCAGCACACACACACATGCAAACACACACCCTTTGTAATCACTCTGTCTGCATCCACTGAAAATGGTAGTGTTTGTGAATCTCAGGCATGGGTACGAGCATCGTGATACTCAGTTCTCTGCATCTAGTGTCTTTCTGCACCATTTGCACATGAAGTTACCTTGATAAGTCTTGGTGAAACACATCCATACAGTTACTATATACAAATTTAATTGTGGTAGGACACAGACACACACACTAAAATTTACCATTTTACCTATTTTAAAGTGGGCAGTTCAGTAGTGATAAGTCTATTCATGTTGCTATACAATTGACCTCCAGAACTTTTTCATCTTGCAAATCTGAAACTTCGTGCTCATTGAACAAGTCCCCATTTCGCCCTGCCCTCAACCCCTGGCAGCCACCATTCTACTTTCTGTTTCTAAGATTTTTACTACTCTCCATACCTCAAATAAGGAGAATTATGTAGTATTTATCTTTTTTTGATTGGTTTATTTCACTTAGCATAATGCCCTCAAGGTTCATCCATGTTAGAGCATGTGATAGGATTTTCCTCCTTTTTAAGGCTGAACAATATTCTATGGTATGTTAGACCACATTTTGTTTATTCATAGTTCATTTGTTGAGGGACATTTGGGTGGCATCCACACCTTGGCTGTTCTTGTGAATAATGCTTATATAAACATGAGTGTACAAATATCTCTTTGAGATCCTGCTTTCTAGTCTCTTGGGATATACCCAGAAGTGGAATTGCTGGATCCCATGGTAATTTTATTATTAATTTTTGAGTGACCACCATATTGTTTTCCATAGTTGTTACACCATTGTATATTCCCACCAAAAATCTATAAGGGTTCCAATTACTCCACATTCTCATCAACTCTTGCCATTTCCTGGATTTTTTTGATAGTAGTCATCCTAATGGGTGTGAGTTGATATCTCTTTATGGTTTTGATTTGCATATCTGATGATTGGGGATGGCAAGAATCTTTTCATTTGCTTGTTGGCCATTTCTGTATTATCTTTGAAGAAATGTCTGTGCACATCCTTTGCTTATTTTTGATTTTTGTGTTTTTGTTTTTATGTTGTAGGAGTTCCTTATGTATTTTGAATGTTAAACTGTTATCAGACATATGACTTATGACCATTTTCTCCCATTCTGGCTCCCTTTTCGCTTAGTTGTTGGTGTGCATAAGTTTTTGATTAGATGAATTTGACATATGTCATCTCATTTGTCTAATTTTGCTCTTGTTACCTGTGCTTTTGGTGTCATAGCCAAGAAATGATTGCCAATTCCAATTTCATGAAACTTTAATTTATGTTTTCTTCCTGGAGTTTTAGTTTTAGGTCTTACATTCAGGACTTTAATCCATATTGAGTTAATTCTTGTGTATGGTGTTAATTAGAATCTAGCTTCATTCTTTTGTACGTGGATGTCCAGTTTTCCCAACACTGTTTGTTGAAGAGACTTATCTTTTCCCCATTGAGTAGTCTTGGCTGGCTCGTTGAAGATCGTTTGACAAATACGTGAGAGTGTATTTCTGGGCTATCTATTCTATTCTATTAGTATGTAGGCCAGTACTGCACTGTTTTGATGAATGTAGCTTTGTAATATGTTTGGAAATCAGGACATGTGAGACCTCCGATTTTGTTCTTTTTCAAGATTGTTATGGCTATTTGGGATCCCTTGAGATTTTTTATGAATTTTAGGATGTATTTCTCTGTTTCTGCTCAAAATGCCATTGGGATTTTGATAGGGATTGCATTGAATCTGTAGGATTGCTTTGCATGCTATGAATGTCTTAATATTAAGTCTTCCCATCCATGGGCATAAGATGTCTTTCAATTTATTTGTGTCTTTCTTTCAGTAGTGTTTTGTTTTGTAGTTTCAGTTTATAGGTCCTTCACTTCTCTTATTTCTAGGTATTTTATTCTTTTGATGCTATTATAAATGGGATTGTTTATAATTTTCTGTTCAACTTGTTCATTGTTAGTATATTAAAATGCAACTGATTTTTGTTTGATGTGTATTCTACAACTTTGCTGAATTGGCTTATTGGTTCTAACAATTGGGTTTTTTTTTTTAATATGTTGAATTGTAGTGATTTCTATATATATGATCATGTAATCTGTGAACAAAGATAATTTTGTTTCTTCCTTTCCAGTTTGGATGCCTTTTGTTGTGTTTTCTTGCCTAATTGCCTGGCTGAGACTTCCATTATTATACTGTCTAGTAGTGACAAGAGTGTGTATCCTTGTTGTGTTCCTGAACTTAGAAGAAAAGCTTTAGTCTTCATTGAGAATGATATTAGCTGTGAACTTCTCATATATGGCCTTTAATATGTTGAGGTAGTTTTTTTTTTCTATCCTTAATTTGACTGTTTTTAATCGTGAAAGGGTGTTGGAGCTTTTCAAATGCGTTTTCTTTCTGCATCAATTGCGGTTTTTGTTTTTTTTTTTTTTTTTGGTTCCTTATTCTGTAAATGTGGTTTCATATGTTGAACCATTTTTGCATTCCAGGAATAAACTTCACTTGTTCATGTATATGATCCTTTCAATTTGCTGTGGAATTGTTTGCTAATATCTTATTTAGACTTTTTAACCTGTGTTCATCAGGGATATTGATCTGTATTTTGTTTTTCATATAGTGTTTTCCATGTTTGGTAGGGTTCTCCAGTGAAGCCATCTGGTCCTGGGCTTTTCTTTGTGGGGAGGTTTTCTTTTATTACTGATTCAGTCTCCTTACTACTTACAGATCTGTTCAGATTTTCTATGTCTTCATTTTTTCCCCCTTCTCAAAATCATCAGGGATTCTCTGTCTTCATGATTCAGTTTGGGTAGGTTGTGTGTTTCTAGGAATTCTTTTATTTCTTTTAGGTTATCCAATTTGTTGTCAAAGGATATGCCAACAAATAGTATTCTCCTTTATTTTTGTGGCATTGGTTGTAGTGTTGCCCCTTGCATTTCTGATTTTAGTCATATGAGTGTTTTTGTTTTTTGTTTTTTTAGTTAATGTAGCTAAGGTTTGTCCATAAAGTTACTCTGTGACTGAGTGTCTTTTGTGACTTTACAAAGCACTCATGATGTATGAGGCATGCACGTGTCTTATTTCTTCCATATCTACCCAAGCCTTTCACATGGTTTTCTTTCTACACTTTTTGTTCTATATTCTAAGATATACTTGAAATATGTTCTACTGCAATTCTTAAAAAGAAAAAAATGTTTTATCTAGATAGTCTGGTAGTTTGGCTGGAGTGCTAGTGAATCTGTTTTATGGAATCTACTTGGTGATCCCATCAACGTAGTGTCTTCATTTGGCTTTCTAAGCGAGCAGGTATCAGATTAAGTAAGGTGCCAATCATAGAAACTCATAGAAGGTGAACAACCAGCCAGGAGCTAGTTCTTCAAAGATAGTTCAGTCCTATAGAACTTATCTAGATGGCTCTCTTTTCTTTCTTTACTACTTTTTGACCTCTTTAACTTTTTTTTTTTTGACTTGACAAATCATGTTTTTTGGCATATGATTTGTGTGTGCGCGTGTGTGTGCACACGCATATACTTATTTTAACTTTTACTAGCCGCTCAGTTGCGAGTAGGGACTTCAATACTGAAAGTCTCTCTTTGAAAATGATCATATCTACATGCCATATACACAATTAGCTGTGCTTTGACAGAGCAGAGCATGCAGAAGACTTGAAGAGTATACAGAAATGCACAAGGTAATGCTGGAGAGAAGAAACTTAAAATCATGCTGGGATGCTGGCTCAGATGATGTGCAGGGACAGTGGTCAGATGATGTGCCGCTTTGGTATTCTGAAACGAGTTAGGTGTAGGATAAGACAAAATTATTAGAAATCATACTTAACCTGAAGGGAAAGCAAGCCAGAGGAGGACAATGTTGGACTGAATGTATAGAGCAGAAAGACAGGCCGTGCCTAATTCCAATCCAGAAATGTGTTCTTCCTTAGGGTTTCTGCTCAATATTATACCAGTCACAAAAATGAAGATAAAATAGCTCTTCTGTCCTGAAAGAACATTCTTGGAGACCTAGTTTCCATTCATTTTGCACTCCTCCCATCTCCTCTTTTATCTGCGCCAAACCTGAATTCCCCTCGGAAGGTGACCTTATAGCGTCATTGCTCTGGTGACTAGATTCAGAGAAACTTGCTGCTGTAGTCTTTCTTCTAGGTGTTCATTTTGCTCACTTACTACTTTGTTCCTGTTCTTAAGGTGTAGATGATAATATAACCCTTGACTTTGTTTCTTTTCCTTCTGGAAGTATTTTCTGGTAGGGTATGTTAGGTTGTGGAAATGACCTTGAGCTCTTTAGAAAAGAAAGCTGTCTGTAGGGAGGGCTTTTTAATTCAACGTCATTCTTTTTCACATGCTTTCAGAGCGACAGCCGAACCCAAGGAGGTATTTAGCAAGTTAAATTGCCGGAGTGAATGGTAGATTACCAGGGGAAGCAGCCCCTGATCATGCTGCAGGGGCTGTGTGCTGTGATTAGGCTGCAGGAGGGTGTCTGCTTGGGCCAGTCACCAGGGAATCAGCTTGATTATGCTGCAGGGACATGACTACCTGGGCCAATAACCAGGGAATCAGCTTGATTATTCTTGGGGGTGTGTCTGTCTTGGCCAATCACCGAGGAATCAGTCCAATTATGCTGCAGGGGTGTGTCTGCCTTGGTCAGTCACCAGGGGATCAGCCTGATTATGCTGTTGGTGGGTGGGTGGTAGGGGGCCGGGGAGGGGGACGGGATGGGGTGAGGTGGGGGACGGATGGGTGTCTGCCTTGGCCAGTCACCAGGGAATCAGCCTGATTATGCTGCGGGAGTGTGTCTACCTAGACCAATAACCAGGGAATCAGCCTGATTATGCTGCAGGGTGTGTCTGCCTTGGCCAATCACCAGGGCATCAGCCTGAGTATGATGTGGGGGCATGTCTGCCTGGGCCAGTCACCAAGGAATCAGCCCCCTGATTATGGTGCAGAGGTGTATCTTTGGCTTGATCATGGTATAGAAGTGTATCTTTGCCCTGATTATGAAGCAGAGGTGAGTCTGCCTGGTCATGGTATAGGAGGGCTCTTTGCCTGGGCCAGTCTAGCCACTAAGAAGACAAGGTGGACCTAATGGACTTGAAAGACGAGGCAGAGTGGCCCTGATGCACTCGCACATCAGCTGCCTATTTGCTATCATCACATTTCTGGAAGGCCCTCTCTATGAAAAGGTGGGTGGGCCTACGATGTCCTCAGTGGGAAATCCTTTTGAGCAGTTAGTTCTGTAGGCATTTCTTATATGGCTTCATGGTTCCATGTAAACTGTCGGTCAGCCAAGGCTTAAATTATTTTAGGAAAATAAACTTTTAAATTGTGGCACAAATTTTAGAGGAAAAAATGCATGTGGTTCATCTCTTGTGAGTTTTCTAGGGATTTTAAAAATAGGTACCGTATTACAACTGGAAATGTATGTCACATTACTTAAAAAAAATCTTCACTTAGGATATCAGAAAATCTTGTTTAAAACATAGCCTATGCTGGTTACCTCCATT
This sequence comes from Homo sapiens, assembly GCF_000001405.40. Taxonomy (NCBI): domain Eukaryota; kingdom Metazoa; phylum Chordata; class Mammalia; order Primates; family Hominidae; genus Homo; species Homo sapiens. The sequence goes on along the minus strand of NC_000023.11, from coordinate 7,099,237 downwards.
GTATCTTGAACAAATCCTTTCAGTAATGAATTCCTTGGGACAGATGAAATTCTACATTTCATTATAACTCAGCGAGGGTAATTTGGATTCAAAGACCAATAAGAAGAAAGTTGGTGCCTTTTATTGTGTAGAATCCCCCAGGAGTTTTTTCTGTTGTCCCAGCTCTCTGCTTTCCCATGTGTTTTCACTAAGCATGAGATTCCTAGAGGAAGAGCCCAGGGCATGGTATCTGGGCCAGTAGAAAGGACAGCCTGCCTTGCAGATGTGCTCCTCAGCCTGGCCGGCTCTCCCCTGCATCTCTTGGCCGGCTCTCCCCTGCATCTCTTGGCCGGCTCTCCCCTGCATCTCTTGGCCGGCTCTCCCCTGCATCTCTTGGCCGGCTCTCCCCTGCATCTCTTGGCCCTTACCGCCTGCACCAGGCTCTCTGGTGTTAACTTCCTGCCCTCTACTTTCCCCCTCTCAGACCATCTGGAGCAGAAAAAGCAAACTAGAACCCTGGCCCCCTGGAGAGTCGTGGATGGGTGCCAGAGCTCCCCTTAGGTGGCTGAGGGGAGGGAGCAGGTGTGGCCTGTGTGGTAGAAAGGATGGGTCCAGTCACAGCTCTGCAGCGGAGCACTCCTCCTGCTGTCCAGCCCCAGTCCCCTTAGGACAGTAGGAGTACTGACTGACATGCCCACTGTGGGGTACTATGATCTGAATGTGTCCCCCAAATCTAGTGTTGAAACTTAATTGCCAGTGTGATAGGATTAGGATATGGGGCCTTCAGGAGGTGATTAAGTCCTGAAGGTGGAGCCTCATGGATGGGATTAGGGCTGTCATGAAAGGACTAGAGGGTAAGGCCTGCTCTTCCATTCCTCTGTCACCTGAGGATACAGCATTCCTCCCCTCTGGAGGGTACAGCAACAAGGTACCATCTTGAAGCAAGGAGCAGTCCTCTGCAGAGACAGACCTGCTGATGCCTTGATCTTGGACTTCCCAGCCTCCAGAGGTGTGAGAAATACATTTCTGTTCTTTACAAGTGTCCAGTCCCAGATATTTTGTTATAGCAGCACAAACAGACTAACACCTGGGGCATTGCTGTAAGACAACCTTGGAGCATGTGTGGTTACACCTGGCCCAGTGAGTGGCTCCTAGCAGGCACTTGTGTCATCTCCTAACCCAGGAGGATCCAGTCCTCACCCTGAATCCCACCTTGAGGAGTTAGTAAGGTCGTTCTCCATCCCTGCTCGGCTTCGTTGAAAAGCACACACCAGCCATGACATGGACACCATGCACATGACATGGGCTCTAGTCCTCTTTCTGTCCAAGCTGTGTCTTCCTCTTGTAAGTAAGCCTTCCTCCTCAGGCTGACTTAGGTAATTATGGTTGTTTCCATCCTTCTACTTTTTTTCTTTTTAATTTTGTTCTTGGTTTATTTTCTTACACCGTTGTCTTCCTGGCTGTTAACAGATACACCCCCACCCTTTCCATTAGGAGCATCTGGCAGGAAGGCACTCATCCTCTGGAAGTCAGCTAACAACTTGCCTCTCTTTCCTCTGAACTCTCGTGCATGTAGTGCTGAGTGAGTGCTCGGGGGGACACAGGAGAAAGGTCTCTTTCCTAATGGAGTATGTCATCCATTTGGGGAGAGGGGACAGGCATATCTGCAGCATCCAAGTGAAAACCCGTGGTAGGATATTGTTGCACAGCAAAATGAGAAATTCAGGAAAGAGATGCCAAAGGGATGTAGAATTAAGTAAAGCAAGATATTCTTGGAGTAGTGGCCGCTCCTGGGGTAGGGGGTGACCTCGGGGGAGTCCACAAGAACAGAAGAGATACAGATGGGAGAAGCCATTTCAAAAGGAAAACAGCACCTGTGGAGGATTCCAGTCAGCCAGTGAGTTTGCTTCTATACAGCATGAAGCCAAGCTTCTCATGGCTCACAAGCTTCAGAGAGGAATTGTGGCTCTATGAGTTGAGCTTCTTATTCCCCAGCTCATCTGTTTGCTTTCTGGATAGGGAGAACCATTGGGATTTTTAAAAGGAGGCGTGTCAGAATGCAACCTGCACTTGGGGAGAATCCTCTGGGTTTGTGGCACACAACGCCTGCAGCCTAGAAGAGATGGGCCAGAGGAAGGCCAGGGTGATGGTAAAAGACATGCACCCCCCTTGACTGGGCCATGAGGTGTCCAGACGGAACATTCTTTGGAGTGTGTGTGTGAGGGTTTTTCTGGAGGAGATTAGCATTTGAATTGGTGGATTCAGTAAAGGAGATTTTCCTTTCCAGTGTGTCTCATGAAACACATCATTTTTCGCATCATGAAATTTGTCACTAGAGGAATGAAAGGATGATCTTAAGTAGGGAGAATATCCCTTCAGGATAAAAAAAAAACCACAATCATGATATGCTTTTTTTTCCATTGGAGACACAGTCTCATTCTGTCACCCAGGCTGCAGTGCAGTGGTGCTATCATAGTTCACTGCAGCCTCGAACTGCTGGGCTGAAGCAATGCTTTCACCTCAGCTTCTGGCGTGGCTAGGACTGCAATTATATGCCACCACACCCACTAAGGTTTTTTTCTTTTTTTCTTTGTAGAGACAGAGTCTTGATATGTTGCCCAGTCTGGTCTCAAAAGTTCTACCTCAAGCAGTCCTCCTTCCTCAGCCTCCCAAAGTGCTGGGATTACAGACATGAGCCACCACACTGGGCCTTTTTTTTTTCTTTAATTACACAAATTACACTTGTTTCACACGGTACAAAAATGTATAGCATTAAAATTGGAAGCCCTTCTAACTCCCACTCTCCTACTCCCTGGAGATAACCGTTACTCAGTGTTTAACTATTTAAGGTACCTCATTTCACCCCTTGTCTTATGATGCCTATGTGTTTGTGTGTAGACCCACAGGCACACAGAGATATGCTCACCTACACTCACCTACATGCACCTTTATGGAATGAGGCCGCTGACATAATTCACCAAGATCCAGAGCAAGTACCTATAGATTAATGGGACAGAAATCCCAAATGCTTTAATTAAATTGTTAGTCAATTTTTTTTTTTTGGAAGTAGGTCTAACAAAAGTGAGGACATCTTTTTCCTAGCTCTTAAATGAATTGTCACTGTGGATCCCTGAAATGCTGGACATCCCTTGGGATGGGAAGGCACTCAGAGCACTTCCTGCCTGGGAGCACTTACAAGGTTGCATTAGTCCATGCAGTGCTAACATGATTCTTGTGTCAAGGACAGCTTCCAGAAGACCTCAGCAGGCAAGCTGTGCTGCTTTGGTTTGTCCTCCTTAGTGATGGAGGTATTGTGCTGTCCACACCCTTACAGTCCTGTAGATTTTCATATGTCCACACTGACACAGTCACATCTCTTGTTCCGTCTCCTGTGCCAGTGGCTTCAGGGCCAGCTGTTACCTTTAGGAACCAGGAAGCACCCAGGTCAGCTTCCAGGCCAAGAAGGAAGCCAGCAGAAGAATTATAGCCCTTGGTTTATAGGCCGCTCTGATAATCCATTACTTTCTAAGTCTGGGCAGCAGGCCTCAGTGTTGAGGGGCAGTATAACACCTAGGTGGCAGGAGCCTCACAGAGAAGAGGGACCCATTTGTGTACATGGCACAAACTGTGTCTCCACCTGCCTGTCATTCCTGGCCTATCCTCAGCCAGATTTCACAGCTCGGTGCTGGGGCTATGCCAGTTAGATCTACCCAGGGTGTTGGGGCTTCGAGTCTCATTAAGATGGACAGTGCCTAGGAACCCCAGAACACATTCTCTGTGCCATGTTCAGGAAACATGCACCTGAAGGGTATTCATGCCACTTTTCCTTGTTGGTGTCCACTATGGTCGTGTTGGCTCACAAGCATTGAGGACTCACTGCATGTCATGCTCTCAGTGCTTTCACTCGTGGGGGTATGTGTCAGCCTCCTGCCGCCGCTAAGAAGCAGTCGCTCTTAGCACAGGGAATGGCAGGTAGGACTGCAGGGGTCAAGTTACTTGTCCAAAAGCTTGCAGCCTCTGATTATGGAGGCTGGCCTCGAACCCAGGTGGGGAATGAAGAGTCCATAGCTCTTAGCCACGGCGCTCTACTGCCCCAGATGATGTGGCGGTGACCTTCTGTTGAGGTAGACAACATCAGAGTACAAAGGGGAGAAGATGTGTTCTGACACGGGTCACAGGGCTGAGCCCTTTAAGGCCATATATAACCCATGTGGAGAAGTCCCCAGTGCTCGGGGACTCTGCCTCGTCCAGCTCCGTTTCTGGTGGTGGTCTCGATTTGGGGCACTCAGCTGATTCTCAGTCGCTGGAGAGGCTCTGCTGGCAAAGCTGGACCTCAGGGATTTTTACTTAGGCAGATTGTACTCCTTGGATAACAGCACAATTAAAGGACACACACAACAAGCGAAAAGGAAAATTGTACGCTGACAGTCATGGTAACACATTCAACTTACGCTGTGTTCCTTTTCCGTTTAACAAATCGAATTAGCCCCATGTTCAGGAAAATTTATGATCGTAGGGAGGAAGAAGCCCATTTGCCAGTCAAATGTAAATGTAAATGAAAATTCTTACCCCCCTTTTCCTTTAAAGTATCAGCTTATTGGCCAGGCGCGGTGGCTCATGCCTGTAATCCCAGCACTTTGGGAGGTCGAGACGGGCGGATCACGAGGTCAGGAGATCGATCGAGACCATCCTGGCTAACACGGTGAAACCCCGTCTCTACTAAAAATACAAAAAATTAGCCGGGTGTGGTGGCAGGCGCCTGTAGTCCCAGCTACTTGGGAGGCTGAGGCAGGAGAAAGGCGTGAACCCGCGGGGCGGAGCTTGCAGTGAGCCAAGATCACGCCACTGCACTCCAGCCTGGGCAATGGAGCGAGACTCCGTCTCAAAAAAAAAAAAAAAAAAAAATCAGCTTATTCAATGATGTATATGGACATTATTCCTCTTTTCTGAATATAGTGACTTTCATAGGCAGCTAATTGCCTTGTTATTTAGTAAATTGTAATGAAGACATCCTAGACTAAGGAGAATAAGATACAAATCTTTGCTTCTGATCATCCTAGATATTACCTCACTGCGCATGTGGAGATGTTTCTCAAAGAATTACAATTTATATTTTTTGCTTTGTTTGTTTGACACAGGATCTCACTCTATTGCCAAGGCTGGAGTGTAGTGGTGCAGTCATGGCTCACTGCAGCCTTGACCTCCCTGGCTCAAGTGATCCCCCCAAACCCAAGCGATCCTCCCACCTTGGCCTCTCAAGTAGCTGACACTTCAGATGTGTGCCACCATGCCCAGCTAATTATTTCTTTCTTTTCTGTAGAGACAGGGCCCTACTATATTGTTCAGGCTGGTCTCAAACTCCTGGGCTCAAGTGATCCTCCTGCCTCAGCCTCCCAAAGTGCTAGGATTACAGGAATGGGCCACCACACCTGGCCCAGTTTCTGTTTCTAAATGTGTGGTGGTTCTCCTGTGGATTTCTAAGTCTTTAGGAGTATAGGATAATGAACAAGAGAAATCCTTACCTCAAGGACCTCTCGATTCAAAGGAGAGGAAATGAGTAGATAAATGACCACAATGGGTTGAATCAAGTCACTGTCCCTCCGGGAGGGGTGTGCTCACAGCATAGGACAGCACTGTGGAGCTGCACAGACAGGCTTTGAGGGGTGTTAGGTGCCAGCACTCTCTGCACACTGCAGTCAGGACGAGGGAGTGGGGAGGGCAGTGACTTTTAGGTGAGCATCCAGGTGTAGAGCGCTGCCAGCTTGCCCCGAGTCCCAGCACCCGCTCACAGCCTCCTGGCGCCAGTAGTAGAAATGGTTGCACAAAGCAACCAATGAGAAATACTTTCAGTTTTCCATCTGCCACACAGAGAAGGTAGGAGAGGCTTGCAAAGGGAATAGCATCCAGTCCTTTTGTTACTTGGGCATGGAAAGTTGGGGTTTTCCTTTTGATTGAGTTCTGGGAAGTCAGCATGAATCAGCTTTCGGTTCCCTGCCTCCAGACCCTATTCTCCTGCTTCAGTATGATGTCCCTAGAGTTGTCAAATCCATAGAGGCAGAAAGTAGAATTGTGATTGCCAGGGGCTGGGGGAGGGGGATGGAGGTTTTAGCATTTAATGGGGACAGAGTTTCACCTTGGGGAGATGAACACGTTCTGGACATGGATGGTGGTGATGGCTGTACAACAATGTGAATGTACTGAATGCCACAGAATTGTACACTGAGAAATCATTAAAACAGTACATTTTATATTGTAGGTGTTTTACCACATACAACAATAGTTATTCTTTTTCAAATGGCAAGAAGCCATTCAAGGATTTTGGAGTTGTGTTTTGGCAAAGCTCCTGTGCAGATGAGGTAGAAAGCCTGTAGTGAGTAGACACAAATGTGGTTTTTCACATAAGTGTTGTGGATAAGTGCATCTCCTTATCCCCAACAGAATCATACACTCTTATCAGGGAAGACAGGTGTCTCTCATACGCCCCAAGCACCTGGGTCATGGGGACTTGGGCCCAGTGTCATGGGCAGGTTTGAGTGAGGTCAGGAGTACCTCGCACCACGCCTACTCTCTTGAGGTGGTTTCTGCACCACTTCTATACGGTGGGACCTTTCATCTCCATAGCATGGTAGACACAAGAATACAGGGAAAGTCTTACTCTCTCCTTTCTAGAGGATTCCTTAGAGAGTAGACTGTAAGAGCAAGACTTTAATATTTGAGACTATTGACAGAGACACCATCAACAGAAACTCCTCACAACAAAGCTCTAGCCATAAAACTGAAATTTCTATGAAATATTTGCAAAAAAAAATTGACAATAGGAAACTATGATATTTTATAGTAAGTAGTCCACAAATTAGGTTAAGAACTTTAAAATTAGTTTGGGATTACTATAACTTAAAGTATTCTGTTATTTTTGTCTTATTGTTGAATGCATAAGGCAAAATGAATCCATTTTTGATGTGAGTTATTTAAAAGAAGAATACTTTTCTGTTACCTCTTATTTGTGAAGAAATTGAAAACTGAAACTCTTTCCCAATCTTTATATCATTTGCACTTTTATGTTTGTTTTGTGACGTAGTCAGGGTTGTTCTTATTTGCATTATGTAGGTGAGGATACAGGTTCAGAGAAGTGAAACGGAGAAGGAGAAGTTTGACCCTGGCCTTGTAGGCCATTACCAGGCTGCTTTTATTGAGAACCTCAGGTATGGCATTCTCTACGATGAGTTAAATGCCTTCTTCAGATTGGGTTTTATAATACTTGTGCTTGTTTAGGTAAGAGAATTTACATTGTTTAATCACGTAGAGAGCTATAGTAGAAAATCAGGAAAATTGAATGAGCTATTATGTTAACATTTCCTAGTTTGTATCTTTTCCTTTGGCTATTAATCATAAGCTATTTAAATAGCTGTTTTATACATTTATTTTGTAGTGATAGATCCTTAGAAGTAGCAACCCGAAAAGTGATTCAAAGTAAATGAAATTAGTACTGTAAGCAGCTTTCTGGCAAATCAAAGAAGACACAAAATCAAATATTTTTCTGAGGATGGTCAGTATTTTGAGATAGTTGGTCAGGTTCTCCAGATCTTAAGAAAGCCAATGAAAGAAAAAGTCCATTTAAGGCCGGGCGCGGTGGCTCACACCTGTAATCCCAGCATTTTGGGAGGCCAAGGCAGGTGGATCACTTGAGGTCAGGAGTTCGAGACCAGCCTGGCCAACATGGTGAAACCCTGTCTGTATAAAAATACAAAAAAAATTAGCTGGGCATGGTGGCGGGCGCCTGTAGTTCCAGCTACTTGAGAGGCTGAGGCAGGAGAATTGCTTGAACTAGGGAGGCAGAGATTGCAGTGAGCTGAGATCATGCCTCTGCACTCCAGCCTGGTGACAGAGTGAGACTCTGTCTTAAAAAGAACGAATAAAAAGTCCAGTTAAATGTGCCTTCCCTTTGAGTTTCCAGAGCTTTCCACATTCTAGTGAAACCTAGGAGACCTGAGTTACCACAGTCAAGTGGTGAACTAAGTGTGTCCTGATCAGAACAAAATACTGTTCCTCGGTATCTTTCCCTTTCTTTTTTATTTACCATTGACAGCTGGCTACAGAGATCATATAATCTCCAGAAAGAATGCTGGTATAGCTTCTGTGAGGACAGGAGGCTCCTGACGATCATAAAGTCTTTTTCATGGAGTCACCATTGACCCTTTGGAAGTGTTCAGTGCCACTTCTTTCTCATATCAACGTAAAACTCTGCAAAGTCATCTCCTTCTCATCTGTTACATAATACAAAAGAATGCATTTTACTTGATTTTCAGGGCAAAGAGCAGATTCTGAAACTGATAGCACATTTGCACACTGAACTCAGAATTTGCCAGTGGTAGTAACCTTTGTCACATGGCGGGGAGCACAAGATTGTGTCTGATTGTGTCTGGCCTGGTTGGGGTGAAGTCGGGGCTAGTGGGTCGCTTACATGGTAGCCTCCAGCCTCTTCATTGTGACAACACAGGAGCTTCTGGTGTTGAAACTGCCTGTCCCTGTAAGACTGAGATGAGATGTGAGGCATATGATCAAAGGGTCACTTACCAGCTAGCTAGGGGGAAGTGGACATTTCCTGAATGTCCCACATTTTAGAAAATAGTACGAAATTCCCAATGCAGATACTGTCTGGGTTGTATGAGTCTTATTTTACTGAGTTTTCTTTGTACCATGCACAGCCTATTGTAAGCGCAATTTAATAAGGAGATTTTAAGCATGTTGGTATATCAAATTGATTTGATCTTTATATACATCCTTTTTGTCTATTAGGGATTTATATGAATTCAATTTCACAGGGCTAAGAAAAATTTTTTTAAATTTAAAAATTTCTGCTCCTTTGGTTGCATTGAAATGGTGGGTCTATGGCTCATAAAATATTCTATGCATGGTAAGCTAAAATATATCTGTATTTGGATTTAGCTGCATAAGTACAGGAACTGAACATCAGACTTTAATAAACATTAATAAACCCTTATGCTATATGTTTTTCAATGAGTTATTATATAGTATATATAATATTTAGATACTATATATACTTTAAATTCTCAACATTGTTTTGATAATTTGCTCTAATAACGCTCTAATAATTTGAGCACTTGTAGAGAATATTTAGTTAAGTGGTTAATGGAAGAAACTCGTTGGGGATTTTTGGATTCCGTTTCTAGGAGGGCAGTTCTCTCATGAGGTAAATTTCCTATCTGGTCTGTGCATGAATTTCTTGAAGAACTGACAATAATTCTTCCTATTAGTGTCACAGGCAAGGGGGCAAAGGGGTTAGGTGTCAATGCCTGGCTGATTTCCTGCATTACAAAATTTACCTCTTACTTTTCTGTCTTCCTGATGTTACCCCCTCTTTTCTTTCACCTCTTGGGCCTGCACATGATTTGTTTGCTATCAGGGGCCAATAAGCTTTCTCTGTGTTTTCAGCTTTACAGACCCCATGGTATATGTGTGAAGCCTTTAGCTTTGCTGTGTTAAGAAGCAAGTAGCTGTAAACAGTGCGTGAGTGGGTGCTGGTGCTGCACTCCAGTCAAACTGTCTCTACAGACACAGAAAGTGGAACTTCATCTCATTTTCACAGGTTATAAGATCATATTTTTTGACTCTTTTCATTTAAAAACAGGTAGTAAGTTGAATTTGTGTTTCAAAAAAAAACAAAAGGCAGGATAAAACGAAGAGCTAAAACACCACAGAGCAGGTTGAAATCCCGGATGTGAAGTAGTGGAGCCATTGGGCCCTCCACCCCAAGCTGTGCATTCAGAATGCCACCTGGGGCAGAAAACAGGTTTATACACAGAGCCAGAGAGACTTCAGATCTCCGGTGATCAGGCACAGTGGAGGACGTAGATAAAAGATCCCTGCACCCTGCGCTGTGAGCCCACCAGGTCCCTTCACCTCACTCTCTTTTATGCACAACCAAAAAAGATCCTGGAGAACTCTTCTCTGGGGAAGGAAGTTACCTCATGACAACAACTCTTAAACACCAACATTTCGAGGCCCACTGATGGAAAAACTGACTACAGGTAGTAACTTCGAGTTTGGAGAAGGCTCCCACCTGTGCCCCCAGGTGGTGCTGTGTAGCTTACTGAGAATCTGCCTGGCGGCTCAGCCCCCACTCTTCTGTTGTGGCAACCCACATCTGAAATGTTGTCCTCTGGGGAACATGCATCCTTTCCAGACACTCCTGTAATCTATATATTTGTTCCTCCCTTTCAAGAGGCTTAGAACTTAAACTTTGGTTGTCATTTTTGTTGATATTATGCTGTTCATTCCTAGTATAGCCGTTTTCTAAAAGGAGAGAGAAGCAAGGATCATGGATCAGTAGCCAACGTTAGAGTCAGAGAGCAGTTTGCATGCAGGTTGTCACAGAGGCACATCTAGAACACAAGGAAACTCTCATGCATTCCATGTGCTTATTAAAAGGGCATTATACTGCGAAGTACTAGTCTAATAATTCTCTGCAAGGGATTTAAAAAAGGGATCAGGGGTTAGTACTACTTGCTAGAGTCAGAGGGCAATTTGTATGTAAATTGTTACAGTGGCAAATCTGGAACACAAGGACACTCACATGTATCCCATGCTATTAATAAAACGGCATTTTATTGTTTAAGTCCTAGTCTAGTCATTCTTTATAAGGGAAAACAAGGATCAAGGATCAGTACACCATGCTATAGTGAGAGGGAAATTTTCACGTTAAGTTGTTACAGAGACAAATCTACAGCACAGGGAAATATTGAGTCATTTTTAACATTAAGGTGTCAAGTCCTGCCTGGAGGAGGGGCACTTAGGGTCAGTAGGATCAGGTGGAGAGGCTTTTCTTCTAAAGTCCTAGTGCTTAGCAGAGGAATGAGAGAGACCATTCAGTCCCACTATCACATTGTACACCTGTAGTTGCAGCACTGTGGGAGGCCAAGGTAGGCAGATTGCTTGAGGACAGGAGTTTGAGACCAGCCTGGTAAAATCCTGTTGCTACTTAAAAAAAAAATTACACGCTGTAGTCCTACGTTTACTTCATAAAAACTAATGTAGAAATGCAAAATTAATTTTCCTTAAATAAAATTTCTGCATTACTCTCTATATTACTTTGTCTCTTTTATTTTCAATGGCTGAAAAAAATAGTTTTGTTTTAATTTTTATTATTTGATCCATCCTTAATTACCAGGCATTGATCAGTGGTTTGAATTGCCCTCCCTGGCTTTCCATTTTAATCTAAAATTCTGCTATAAGTCTATGAAATTGGACCAGAACACAAGCTGTGCCATCAGTGATACTGATAACGAGATTCTAGAGAAAGGTGCTTCTTTGGCTGGAGGAGTTTAGGCCGATCACATTTCAGTGACCCCGGAGAACATTAGACAGCACCTATTGCCACAAAGCAAGCAGCCAGCTGTGGGTAGAACAGCAAAGGCAGTCGGATGCTCATCGCCTGTATTGCCCTGGGACCAGCAGACCAAATAAATGTAAACTGGACTCTTGCAACTGTTTGTTTGAAGATTTGAAAGGAGTTAGTTTATATTTATTTTCATAACTGCTTTATTTCTGTCAGTATTTAATGTTTGCCAAAAAAGGAAACACAGGTTTCCCACACTGTCTCCCCATCAAGTATCACAAATTTGTGTGTCAAGTACCAGAATTTGAGAAAGATAATTAAGATGGTTTAAGGTCATCTCACAGATAGAACCTCAGTCTATCCAAGTTTTCTCCTCCAGGGTCAACCCACTGTATTAGCTTCCTGGTAGTGCTGTGTTAATTAACAAACTCCGTGGCTTAAAGCAGCAGAAACTTAACTGTCTGACACCTCAGAAGGCTAGAAGTCCGAAGTCAAGGTGTGAGCAGGGCTGCACTCCCTCTCAAGGCTCTAGGGAAGGATCCTTCCTGCCTCTTTTCAGCTGCTGGTAGTTGCCGGCCACCCTTAGCTTTCCTTGGCTTGTACCTTCAACTCCCCAATCTCTGTCTCCATTTTCACACGCCCTCCCTCGTCCTGTGTGTCTTTGTCTCCAAATTTCCCTCTCCTTTCTTTGGATTTAGGGTCCAACCTTAATTTAGTATGGCCTCATAATAACTTGATTACATCTGCAAAGACCCTATTTCCAACTAAGGTCCTATTCCCACGTTTTAGGTGAACATGAATTTTGTGGGGAGAGCACTGTCAAGCCAGTACACCTCCACCCATACTTTCCTACTCCCAGCTCAGACTGCCACTGTTCAGGTTGCCCCAGGAGGGCCCTGAGCTGGGGCGCGGACTCAGTCAGTCGTGTTTGGCTGGAGTGTTCCATGAGGTTCAGCCAGTCTTGCCAGAGCCTTGCTCCTCTTCCAGCCCCTCAACCCAATTCCTTTCTCCTGTTTCCTTTCCTTCCACACTACCACACTGTCTTACGTCCAGGATATAGGTTAGTCACTCAATTCCATAAGCCGGATCCTGTGGTGCAAATTCCATAAGTGGCGATCCCTGATATTAGCTTTGAGTTGGTGCCGGGTCCCTAGTAAATTAGGACTGAAGATCTGCACACAGCCAAGGGCCCTCTCCCTAGCAGCAAGCACCTTTTCAAAAGAGCAGAATTCATTTGGAAGGCCTAGAAAAAGGAAGGAGGTGCTCTGCCAAAATCAATGATGTCTGAGAAAGAAGCATGCTCCCTAGAGCTTGGAGAAGATCAGAAGAGGGATAGCCTGAGGCATGGCTCTGCAGTAAATCATTAAGAGACGCCCACTCACAGTGGCTGTGGCTACCAGAGGTTTCCTGTGAGGGAACTAAAAAGCGCACAGTAGTGTTTGTAAGTGATGGTTCCATTTTAATAGATAAACATACAGAACTTATAAAAAATCAAGAATCTATATTAGCCAGATTTCCTAAATTAGTTAATATTTCTTTTAAATTTATACTTAAAGTCACAGTTTTTAAAACTATATATATGAATGTGAATACTATATGCTTTGGGGAATTTGACTTTGGTTATTTTCTAGTGTCAAGGATAAACACAGCCAGACAGTAGTTAAAGCGATCAGCACAGATTTTCTTCCATAATATACTATTGCAATAGAGAAAAGAGACCAATGTGAAACTGGGCTCAACATCAATTATCCCAGAGGTGACTGGGCATTTTAAAGGGAAATTCAGGGAGTAGGGAGGGGTCAGCAGGGGCTCAGCAGAGTTGGGGAAGTGAAAATTGCAGAAAGCAGGAAGAGGGTTTGGTCAGTGTGAAGCCATCTGGGTTTCACTGGTGCTGATAGAAGTCAGGCTCCTGCCCTTCCACAGAGGCTTGTCTGCAGGAGTGGCTGGAACCAACAATCAGTTATTTTGGCAGCCTTGAGTTTTCGTAGGCAAGTACTTTAAGGGGGCTAGAGTCATGTAGCGGTGTGACCTTGAGCTGTTGAACTTGTTCAAGTCTTTATAGGCCAGTGTGGGGGCCTTGTGGAGAAAAAGACTCAGAGCAGCCTGAGTAGAGTCTGGTCCAGGAGACACTTTTGTCACTGAGCATGACCAATCCATTTATCACAATGGTAGCAGCGTGTCCTCATGGAATTATGTTTCCTTCGATAAATCTTGAACAAGAAATAAATGCATCAGCATATGTTTTTAAAAGTTAAACAGATGTTAAACTTAAAGGAAGTTTGCTAAAATCCATTTCGTGGACCCCTTTGTAAATACCTGACCTACACAGCTTACCCCTTATGATTTAAAGTTAACTTGCATCCATTTTATGGAATCCCAGGTGCCTGTTTGACCTGCAGACATCTTTCTCCCTTCTTGGTCACTCTCTCAGGGCATCAGCTCTTCACACAGCAACAGCTTCCTGCATGTGGCCCCTGACTGTCCATTGATGACCGAAGGCTCGTGGACTTGCCAAGTTGCCCACGTAAAACCCAGGGTTCAGAGAGCGAGACAAGTCCTTGCATTGTGAAGTGCCAACAATTCTAGTATTCCAAAGCTCAGTGTTGTTCAGAACATGGTACCCTTGTGAGATCACGTGTGACATTTGTGAAGAACCTGGAACTGATGTTTCCTTAGGAAGCCTCGCAACAGTAAGTGCTTTCAGCTCGCTCAAGGAACTTCAAGTAGGCAAGAAATAAGAATGGAAACCCTGCATTACTCCATCAGATCTTGAAAGTTTTCTCTTGGATAAATGTGCCTGTCAATCACATCGAATCTTATCCCCTGCCTCCATGTGCTATACCACAACAGCGACGTCTGCTGGACCGTGTGTGCTCTCTGGGTACACATTTTCCAGGAGGCAGCATCTTATTAGAGAGTAACAGGTCTGTCTTGTGTAAAGGAGAATGCTAACCGCTTCATGAGAAGGCTCCCCACCATGAACTCGGATAACCGGATGCTATTTTTTTAACTTATTTATTTTTTAATTGACAAATAGAAATCGTATATAGTTATCACACACAACGTGTTTTGAAGTATGTATACATTGTGGAGTGGCTGCGTCAAGGTAATGAACACATGCATCATCTCACTTTCTCATCATGTTTTGTGGGGAGAACACTTAAAATCTAGAATCTGAGTGATTTTCACATAGCCAAATGTTATTTTTAATGACCTTTGCCTTAATTGTCCATTCAATATCGGTCATAGATATTTATTGAGGGCCCAGCATGTGCCAGCCAAGCGTGGCCTCCTAATTGGAAACACAAACCCTGAGAAACTCTGAGCATTGTTGTGTAGTGCAGGGGCCATCCTCACACCCCCACAGCCAGCATTCAGCTTGCTTCATAAGCCATGGATGGAGTCAAAGGAAAACTAGCTCACCTTCCCACTATGTATCTGAAATCACTTTCTATTCCATGCTGCACACATGTACTGCAAGGAAAAGGAATGATTCCTGCCCCCACCACTGCCTTCCATTCCTAAGAACAGAGAGGATGGAGTACGAGGATGAGGAAAACAGACGGCAGGAAATAAGCAGTTTATTCACTGGATGTCTGCATGGGGTCTTGGGAGTGCAGAGGTTGTGACTCATTCTTGAGTGGAAGTTTCTAACCACATACATACAACCGCAATAACTGCAGCCAGCTGCTGGAGGTGTTGTGGTGAATCCCAGCGGGTTACAAGGGTGTGAGAAGCCTGGTAAAGTTTCCAGGAAGTGAAAGCACATGAGCTATGTCTTCACCCGCAAAGATGCAGGTAACAGCTCAGATTCTGAGTCTTAGGAAGAGGATGGAGGCCGGAGGGTGACAGGGTTTCTCTGTAGTCCTCAGGAAGTGAAACTGCCTCACAGGAAATAAAGCAATATCAATCAGGCAGTTTCTTTCTGTGTATATTTGAATATTGTCAATGTTTTAAAAATCACGACGTATTTCTTTTTTTTTCCTTCTTTTTTTTTTTGTTGTTGTTGTTGTTGAGACAGTCTTTCTCTGTCGAGTGCAGTGGTGTGATCTCGGCTGACTGCAACCTCCGTCTCTTGAGTTCCAGTGATTCTCCTGCCTCAGCCTCTCGAGTAGCTGGGATTACAAGCATGTGCCTCCACGCCTGGCTAATTTTTGTGTTTTTAGTAGAGATGGGATTTCACCATGTTGGTCAGGCTGGTCTGCAACTCCTGACCTCAAGTAATCCGCCCACCTCGGCCTCCCAAAGTGCTGAGATTGTAGGCATGAGCCACCATGCCCAGCCAAACCGGACATATTTCTAAGGAACGAGAAAGAGCAGCCGTCTGTCCACCACCTGCCCCCCACAACTGTCTTGAACCGCATCCCAGACAGCTTGGTGTCGTAGCTGACATTGCCTGTGTCGGCCCTCCTCTCCTGATTTATTTTAATCCTCATATGTTCTTTCTTCTTCTGGGAATTGTTCTTTTCTAGCATTCTGTTTTTGTTTTAAGGACTCAGTAACTTATATGTCTTCATGAATACTAATTATTATCATGACTGTTGCTTCCTCGCCCACTTTTCTCTGGATTGTCATTTTTTTCTGGCAGATTCCTGTCTTCTGCCTGTTTGAGTCTTCTTCCACAAACACCTGGCAGTGTCTGTTCTGCTCATTCACATTCAAGAACAGAGCACCTGTGTGTTCATTTCCTGGGGCTGCTGCCACAAGATACTGAAAACTCAGCAACTTCTAATAACAGAAGTTGACTGTCTCCCAGTTCTGGAGACTGGAAGTCTGAAATCAAGGTGTCTCAGGGCCACACTCCCTCTGTAGGCTCTAGGGGAGGATCCTTCCTGCCTTTCCCAGCTCCTGGGGGCTCTAGGCATCCCTGGGCTTGTGGCCACATCACTTCAGTCTCTGCCTCCGTTTCCACGTGGCAAAGTGAGCTCATCTCAAGATTTTTAACTTAATTACATCTCCAAAGACCCTTTTTCTAAACAAGACAGAAGTACCATGGGTGAGGACTTCTGTTTGGGGGCTACCGTTCAACCCACTGCTCTCAGTCACACAAAGCTTTTGAAGCATAACACCTGCTGTTCAGGCAGTTGCAAAAGTAGCCCCTAAGAAAGACAGCATGCCAAAGCACCTTCCCCATGGTGGGGTGGGGTGACGGGCCAGGCACCCTTAGGATGCCCATGCAGGAAGTGGAGGCTCAGCAGAATCCCACAGGTGTGTCTGGTCCTGGGATAGCATCAGCGTCTTCTCACAGGTAGCCAGGTGGCATCCATCAGCTGACCACATCGTCTGCCCCAGTGGCACGGGCTGTCTTCCATGTCTCACTTCATAGAGCTCTTCTAGACTGAGGCCCAGGACATGGTTCTCGGCACACAGCGTTAATGACATGCACGGCCCTCTAAGCGGTTCCCTCTCCCACTTTGCGTTGTCAACCCCCGGTACCCCCCACTTGATTCTGTTGCTCACTGCAGGTCTTAGGTAGTACAGAGAATGTTCAGGCTTGTAGGGTTCTGATGGCCAGATCACCCAACAAAAGAATGCCACGAACACCTGAGACCGCGCGGCAGCTGCCTGTCTTCTGCCTCTTTCCTTTGTTTAATCCTGTTTAATTGCACATCCCTGTTCTCACCCACCTTGGGTCTCTAGGATGGAGGAAAGCAGGAGCGTTTCTTCCCACTCACAGTGCTGATTCTCCACATTCCCCAGTTCTTCCCCTGGAGATGTGTCCTGTGAGCTGATTGTTTGGAGCAACAGATACCTAGATATCTGTCTCTCTGCCCTTCCTGTAAACCCACGGAAGCACACCAAATTCTAGGAGCTGGGAACTGGAGTTCATTTATACACATAATTAACCAGCTTCTCCCTAGAACAGAACTCCATTTGCATTTTTTCGTCTTTTACTTCTCAGGGAAAGCCACTGAGTGAGACAAAGTTTGTGTGCACTCTTTAAAAGATGAAAAACTTTGTGAAGGCATCAGGCAGTTTTGAATCAGGTGATTAGGATCGTTCATTCCTGATGATACACTGGAGCTATATCTGATGATAACGACACTACCTAACATTTATCTGGGGCTTCCTCACCCATGTCATTTTCCAGGCATTGTTCTTCTTGTGAATTAATTCCATGAGGAACGTTAATCATTGCTCTTTGACAGATGACAAAATTGAGGCCCAAAGAGGGCGTATAATTGACGGATGTCCCGTAATCTCTGACTGTGGTCATAGTCTTGTCTTGGCTTTCATCTTCATAGGAGTCCCAAGCATTTTGGAGATCTCAGTATGTTGTGGTGGTGTAAAGCAGTCGTCCAAAACCGTTTTTGATTCATTCTCCATCAATAAGAATGTTGAGCTGCATTCCAGTCTAGACACATTGGTGTGTGTTTGTTTATCTACTCCACCTTAGAAATAATTCACAGCAATAGAAATGCAAGAAGGATAAGCTAAAATAAAATAATCGGCCGGGTACAGTGGCTCACATCTCTAAGCCCAGGGCTTTGAGAGGCCGAGGCAAGAGGATTACTTGAAGCAGAACTTCAAGACTAGCTTAGCTAACATAGGGAGACCCTGTCTCTACAAAACATAAAAAAATTTACCAGGCATGGTGACATGCACCTGTAGTCCCAGCTATTCGGGAGGCTGAGGCTGGAGAATCGTTTTGAGCCCAGGAGGTCAAGGCTGCTATGATTGTTTGACTCTGCTCCAGCCTGGGTCACAGAGCAAGATCCTGTCTCAAAACAATAATAATAAAATAATCTGTTTAAGTTTTTAAAATTAATAGCACCAAAGTACTTTAAGAAAATTTTTATACAGTGTGTTTTACAGAGCCATGTGTTTAAGTGTGCTCCATTTTTTAAAATATTGGTTTAAAATTGTGTGATCTAGCAATTTAAAAATCTTGTTTTAAATTCAGATTGTTTTGATACTCAGCTTTAATCACTGTTTATATCCAGACAGAAGTTCATGATTGGCTAATTTTTTTTTTTTTTTTTTGAGATGGAGTCTGGCTCTGTCACCCAGGCTGGAGTGCAGTGGCGCTATGTCGGCTCACTGCAACCTCCACTTCCTAGGTTCAAGCGATTCTCCTGCCTCTGCCTCCCAAGTAACGGGTTACAGGACGCACTGCCACACGTGACTGTCTCTTTTTTAAAAAAATTAGAGCCTTTTATCTCATCCATCAGTTAGGTTAAGGTTTAAATTGAAATTTAGCTAATAAATATAGTCCTCTGTGATACTAATCAGTGGTTGTTGCAAACTAATGAAATAGTGTGGCATTTTAGTATTTTTAACTAATGGATTCAAGTTCTGTAGAAGCTCTTTAGGTGGAGTACTTCTACACTGATTGAATATTGTTTTTATGCGTGGAGGTATGTGTATGTATGTTCATGAGATCTGTCGTTTTCTTGTCTGGCTTTTGTCTGGTTTTGGGATCAGGGAAGTGCTGATGTAAAATGTAAAATGAGTTGAGAGGTGTTCCCTCCAATTTCCTGAAAAGTCTGTTTAGAATTGGCATCCTTTTTTTCTTGGGAAGTTGGTAAATTTACCAGCAAGGCCATTTGATCCTAGATGTGGGAAGGAGGTTTTTAATTACAAATTCAATTCCTTTCATAGGCAGAAGGCTATTCAGGTTATTTGTGTCTTCTTGA
Source organism: Homo sapiens (assembly GCF_000001405.40). Lineage (NCBI taxonomy): Eukaryota > Metazoa > Chordata > Mammalia > Primates > Hominidae > Homo > Homo sapiens. Next base: position 7,080,265 of record NC_000023.11, on the reverse strand, counting down.
GGGAGTTTTATATCTTTCAAAGAATTATCTCATTTCATCTAAATGGTCAAATGTGTTGCCATTAATCCTATAATAATTAAGTTTTTATCATTTTATCGATGTTAGAATCTGTAGTGATGTCTGTCCCCTCTTTCCCTGCTAATGTTAGTACATTTGGATCTTCTTTATTTTTTTGATCAGTTTAGCTAGGAGTCTACTAATTTAATTGCTCTTCTCAAACAACTCGCTTTTGATTTAGTTGGTTTTCTGTATTCTACTTTTATTTCATTGATTTTCTCTCTCATGTTTATTATTTCCTTCCTTTTATTTGTTTTGGGTTTAATTTGCTCTTTTCCTTCACTTTCTTAAGGTAAAAGCTTAAATCATTGAACTTCTTTCTTTCAGGTTTTCAATGTGGCAACTTAGATCACTTATTTGAGACCTTATTATTTAACATATCACTCAATGCCATCAGTTTTCATCGAAGCAATGTTTTAGCCACATCCCAGAAATTTTGGTAGTTTTTAGTTCTCTACAAAATATTACCTAGTTTCCCTTTGTGATTTCATCTTTGACCCATGTCTTACATAGAAGTGTAACATCCAAATATTTGTGATTTTCCACATTCCTATTATTAATGTCTATTTTAATTCTACCATCGTTAGATAAGGTATTCTGTATGATTTTAAGTATTTTATAATTTTTGAGAATAGTTTTATCCTTATAATAGGATATTTCTTGTTGAATGTTCCACGTGCACTTAAAAATAATGTGGTTTCTGCTGTTGTTGGGAGAAGTATTACATAAACGTCAATTAGGTCAGGTTGCTTGACAGTGGTTCTGAAGTCTGCTGTGTCCTTACTTCTTTTCTGTCTACTTGTTTTATCAATTACTGATAGAGGAGTTTTAAACTTCCTTCTACGTTTGTGTTTCTCCATTCAGTTCTATTGGTTTTTGCTTTATGCATTCTGAAGCTCTGCTATTTGATGTTTACACATTTAGAATTATGTCTTATTGATGAACTGATCTATTTGTCATTATGAAATGTCCCTATTTATCCCTGATGATAGTCATTCATTGTTCTAAAGGCTTGTTTGTTATTAATGTAAGTAACCTGGCTCTCTTTTGAGCAATAGTTATGTGGTATGTAGTTTTCTATCCTTTTATCTTCAATCTATCTGTGTAGTTATATTTAAAGTAGGTTTCTGTAGACAACATGTAGTTGGGTCTTTTGTTTTTCTTTTTTATTCTGATAGTGTCTATCTTAGGTGTGTTTATAATACTTATAAAGCCGTTACATAAGGTCATGATCTGCTAATTCCATCTGTCTCTATCATTTCTGTGTCTATTTCTCCTGATTGTGGGTGGTATTTGCTTCTTTGCAGCATGGTAATTTTTGATTGAATGTTAGACACTATGAATTCTACACCCAGTGGAGTGCTAGATTTTGCTTGATTTCATTTGCTTTATTTAACTTTGTCCTGGAACTACATTATGATCTGTCCATGCCTTCCTTTTAAAAATCTTTAGAGGGTCAGGTGCTCCAGATATCTGTTACCTTATCCTGAATGACTGTAGGTGTTCGGAAAAAATGAGTCTGTTGATTGTTTTGTGTAACAATTGACAAAGTAGGGACATTAAATCATGACATTATTAAAATAGGCATGATTATACAATTATTTAAAATAATTTTAGGCCAGGCGTGGTAGCTCATGCCTGTAATCCCAGTACTTTGAGAGGCTGAGGCAGGCGAATCACCTGAGGTCAGGAGTTTGAGACCAGCCTGGCCAACATGGTGAAACCCCATCTCTACTAAAAATACAAAAATTAGCTGGGCGTGGTGGCACATGCCTGTAGTCCCAGCTACTCTGGAGGCTGAGGCAGGAGAATCGCTTGAACCTGGGAGGCCGAGGTTGCAGTGAGCCAAGATCAGCCATTGCACTCCAGCCTGGGCAACAGAGTGAGACCCTGTCTGAAAAATAAAATGAAATTTTAGGCAAACCGTCACACCTTGTGTGGATTTAGATGTTCCTGTTGTGCTAGTCGCATAAGTTAAAGGTAGGAAGGACTCCTGGTATTTTTGATTCTTTCTGATAACTAGTCCTCTCATGATTGGCTCTATGATGACCTCCATGGACCTGTGTGGTCCCTGTAGTTAATCCGTGTGGCTAATGACAGTGTGAGGATGCTCTTTTCATATGGCACGTTGCTGTTGATCAGCTGTGTTCAGCAGCTTTCTTTTGTCCCCTGATCCCTTGTTAAGTAGCGCTGCAGCAGTCCCTCAGCCACAGCCTTCTTCAGCATCTGGTGGACGCCTTTGTGTAATTTCCTCTCCTTAGCAGGGTGAAGAATGATTGAAGTGTTTTCTGTAGAATACAGCATTTTTGCAGAAAACACCAAAAGCATAGTCCTTGTGTATTTACTGCTCTGGAAAAAAAAGTATGGTTCAGCGAGGCCCTGCTGAAGGGCCTTCCCCGGTGCCCTGGCCAGATCCCAGGTCCAGTCACCTCCTGGGCCTGCTCTCTGCCCTTCTCCACGTTTCATAAGGAGGCCCAGCAGGCAAAGCAGCAGTGCCTCCCAGTGCGCTCTTCTTCTGTTCCTTTGGGAAACGTATCGCTCAACCGCCAATAGCTTTTTTGATTTTTTGGTTTGTTTTATTTGAGCAGGGATGTTGTGGAGCTGACAACCGCTTTTAGACAATCTGTCCTAGGTCAGAAATTCCTCAAAAGGAGCAGCCTGAGAGTGTGCTGCCACACAGCTGGAGGGACTGTCCCTGCAAGAAGGTCTTATGGTGGAGGCCTCGCCCCTCACCTCAGTCCTTCCCTCCTCCTCCCCAGGGGCGGAGAAACTCATCATCCACCTGCGGAAACATGGCATCCCCTTTGCACTGGCCACCAGCTCGGGGTCCGCGTCGTTCGATATGAAGACAAGCCGCCACAAGGAGTTCTTCAGCTTGTTTTCCCACATTGTGCTGGGAGATGACCCCGAAGTGCAGCATGGCAAGCCAGACCCGGACATCTTCCTAGCTTGTGCCAAGAGGTTCTCTCCCCCTCCTGCTATGGAGAAGGTAAGTGGGTGCCGGTGACACGGGCCGTGTTCCACAACCATGTTCCACCAAATAATATCCATGTAGTGTTTGCTAAATGTGAAAAGTTGTGGTTTGTGCTGTTGAAGGCCACTTTGCAATGCTCCCTAGAACTTGGGTATGTGGGCAGGGAGATGGTCTGGTTGGAAGATTTTGTGAGGAATCGTGGCCGCACCTAAGTCACCAGGCCAGGGAGACTCAGCCAGAATCCACTGGGTCTCAGGGACAATCTGAGAAGCTTACAGTGCCAGAACAAGGCCTATTCAGACATTTTCCAGGGAAGCGGCGGTTTTAATGATGTGGGGCTTAAAACAGTCTTATTGTCTAGGTGCAGGCTTTAAGGTGAGTATTCACTGCAGTTCAGATGTAAATCACTAAAACTCACTTCCCCTCCCCAACTGCTTATAGAGTGCTCGTTGGTTGCTGCAGTTTTTGCTTGTGTAGTGACGCTGGGTTTTTATCGCCAAGTTTTTGGACTTCCATCCATTTCTCCATTGGAAAGTGGCAGCTGGTGGGCTTGTATGCCGTGGCACCCCCTGTCCCGCACCACGGCTGCTTGACCATGCAGGGTATGCAGTGGAGACGGCCCCTGGCTCCCTCTTCTTGTTAAATAAGGCTCCTCCTCAGGTGACCTGGGCAGAGCGTTTAGAGAGCCGACCGCTTGTGGTGGCTGGGCCTGGCTCCAGATTCCTCTGACCGTTCTGTGACTGCCAAGATGGAGTCCTTGGCCTGAACGATCTGCAGGTACAGATTCCAGAATCACAGGAAGTCACCCTTGAAAGGGGGGCTCCCGCTGGCGATGTAAGTGTAAGCAGCTGGGGAGGGCATCCGTCGGGGAGTCTCTGCAAATGCCTGCTTCCCCTGGGTTCCTGCATGTGAGGACTTTTGTGGTTTGTGGGGAAGAGCCTTTCAGTGAGAGGTCTTTTTCAGGCCTCACCTCTCATTACTAACCAGTGACACCAATCACGAGCTCAGGGAAATTACTCAGAAACCTTCCCAATAAAGCGGAGCTACCGGAGTAGTCTTGAAAGACCTGTTTTTTGTTGTTGTTGTTTTGTTTTGTTTTGTTTTTTGCCCAGGGTGCAACTTACTACCTTGAGCCTATAGAGGCAGCCGGAACCTGTGCCTCAGTACACAGGCCTCTGATTCTCTGAAGCTAAGTGGGCATCCAGCAATTCAGTTCAGTTCTGACACTGACTCCTACGGTTAGCCCAGACCCCGAAGGTTAAGGCCCCAGTCCCACAAGACGCCCATTGCACGTTCCAGGGGCCACCTGTACTTCTGATTGGCTACAAATTGGGGGTTCCTGCAATCCTCTCTTCAGGTCTAATAATCCCCTAACATGACTGACAGAGCTCAGGAAAACACTTTCATACACTTGCTGCTTTGTTATGAAGGATAAAACTCAGGGACAGCCAAATGGAAGCAAGGCATTGGCCAATGTATGGCGGGTGGTTGCAATGCTCCCCTGCCCTCTCTGGGCACCTGACCCTCCCAGCACCTCCATGTGCTCACCAAACTCAAAGCTCCCCAGGCCCCTTATGTAGAGGTTTTTATGGAGCTTTCTTACGTAGGTGTGAGTGATGACATCACTGACGATTGCTCATTGAACTCAATCCAGGCCAAGGTGCCCTCCCTGGAGATGAGGGGGAGGGCTGAAAGTTCCAGTCTTGTTTGTTTGTTTGTTTGTTTGTTTTGAGATGGAGTCTCGTTCTGTTGCCCAGGTTGGAGTGCAGTGGCATGATCTCGGCTCACTGCAACCTCCACCTCCCGGGTTCAAGCGATTCTCCTGCCTCACCCTCCTGAGTACCTGGGATTACAGGCGTGTGCCATCACGCCTGGCTAATTTTTCTATTTTTAGTAGAGACAGGGTCTCATCATGTTGGCCAGGCTGGTCTTGAACTCCTGACCTCGTGATCCACCCGCCTCAGCCTCCCAAAGTGCTGGGATTACAGGCGTGAGCCACCGTGCCCAGACCTAATCTTCTAATCGCATATTTGGTCTTTCTGATGTCCAGACCCTGTCCTAAAGCTATCCTGGGTCCACTAGAGGCATCTTATTAGGTTGAAAATGGCTTATTAATGACTCAGAAATTCCAAGTGTTTTAGGAGCTCCATGTCATGAACTGGGGACAAAAACCAGGTGTGTAGTTTTTATGATGCCATAGCTATAAACAGTCATTGAAAGACAGTGGGGCATTCTTAGCAACACACATACCTGGGCTGATTGAAATCTCATTCTTGATTTAAGTCTCATTATTGAATTCAACTTGACTGCAATTGCTTAACGTGGGACGTGCCTGAGACCTCCCAGCTAGTAAGTCAGAGAGTCAAGGCTGAGCCTCCAGGTGCGGCTGGAACAGCTCCCAGTGGGAACATGTATCTGCTTCTTATGTCTGGACATGTGTATGTCTGCATGCTTGGCACCCTGTTACAAATTCCTCTGCAACATGTTCATTTTTCCTTAGAATTTCCCCCTTGTGGAAGAATTATTCCATAGCTTCAGGCTATAAAGCCTTCTTCCCAGAAACACCATTTTTGTTGTTGTTGTTTAACCTGAGTTATTGTTCACTAGAAAAGTGAAGGTGCTGCACTCCATAACCATGTCCCAGAAGCGATCAGAGTATGTTGGCACTTGCATTCAGTTCTGTATTTACAAACTGATAAAGACAAGGTGAAATATTTGCCTTGTTAACATGAGCTGTTCCTATAGCTAAGGCAATTAAACGGAATTTCAAGTACAGGCAGTCCTTGTTTTGCAAGGTACTCTGTTAATGGAAACATGGTGTTTCATGTGGGGTTTTTTGGTTTTGGTTTTGTTTTCCTTTTGTTTTTCAGATAGGGTCCCCTTTGTTGTCCAGGCCATAGGCGGTGGTAGCACAATCGTAGTTCACTGCAACCTCCATTTCCTGGGCGTCAGCAATCCTTCTGCCTCTGCCTCCCAAGTAGCTGGGACCATAGGCACACACCACCATGCGCAGCCGGGTGTGGCAGCTCACACCTGTAATCCCAGCACTTTGGGATGCTGAGGCAGGAGGATGCTTGAGCCCAGTAGCTTGAGACCAGCCAGGTCAACATAGCCAGACCCTGTCTCCACAAAAAATTAGCCATGTTTTAAAATGTATATGGAAGCAAAGTGTATGTGGAAACCACATGCTGCCATTGCATGGGACCAGTTATGGTGAAACCCACAGAGCAAGGGCCCTCATGAGGAGGAATTTCTCTCACAAGGTACCCTGCAAAGAGGCCCATGGAATGAATTGTGTTTTAACATCTTGGTGTTCTCATTGACAATGTTTGTTTTAGACTTGTCAAAGAAAAATGAGCAGTTGCATTTTTTAAAAGTCATTTAGCTTTTAGAAAGTTCTAAACATTTTCCTTATTATTAATCTACATTTACTTACAGATATATTTCTCTTGCAGAAATGAAATGTTTCCTCTCATGCTTCTTACTTAGAGACAGTGACACATTGTGGGTCTTCCTCCTGTGATGTGCATATTGTAATACTAAAGGAAGTTTTTCCCAAGCTCCTGTCAGGGAAGCAGCCCTGGTTTTGTACTTGGCATTTGTGTCAGGAATACAGGAGGCAGTGGCCAGGGGCCGTGTGGACGATCTTGGAGCTCTTCAGTCAGGCCCTGCTGCTGCTTCTTGCCCGCAGTGTGGGTGTGAGCTCACAGGAGCAGCATGCCTCCAGAGTTCAAGGGCATTCCATTAAATCATCAGTCACTGAAGAGACTTCTGAATCTCTTAGGGAATTGCCTTAGGGAATTGATCATGCCATAGGTGTCACCAGGTTAATTAGGCATAGTAGTAGTAGTAGTCATAGGAAAGTAGTCAAAAACAAGTAGGATCAAAGGGTTATTAATTATGTTAAATATTAATTCCCATCTTACTAGGAGAAAGTGTCCAACAGAGCTGACATTAAAGAATCAAGTTTTCACTGAGAATATTTTCTAAGTTATTCATGTATCATTATTTTGTTCTAAAAAATATCAAGCAAACATAAGGCCACCTTCAGAAGCCCCCCAGAAACCACCTTCAGGATAATGAGCACCCATCGAGTGAAAGCACCCGCCCACTGTGTGCCAGGCAGGGTGCGACATCTGCCAACACATCCCCTGAAGGCCAGAGACCCAGTGGGTAGAGGGCCTCCATGTGCCGAACGCCAGGTCCTGAGACTTGCGAGTGTGAGCACACTCATTGCTTGGTGGGGACTTGAGCGACCAAGCTGGGAGGCACCCCAGGGCTCTCTGTTCCCAGCCACAAAAATGCCATCATTGTTGTGAAACAAAAATGATGGCATTGCTTACATATCACTTCTAGGGTTGATATTTATTACAAGTAAAACCAGAAATCGGAAATCAGTTTTGTTTTTTTTTTTTTTTTTTGAGACACAGTCTTGCTCTGTTGCATAGGCTGGAGTGCAGTGGCACGATCTCGGCTCACTGCAACCTCTGTCTCCTGGGTTCAAGTGATTCTCCTGTCTCAGCCTCCCAAGTAGCTGGGATTACAGGCACACGCCACCACGCCCGGCTAATTTTTTTATTTTTAGTAGAGATGGGGTTTCACCATGTTGGCCAGGCTGGTCTTGAATTCCTGACTTCAGGTGATCTGCCCACCTCGGCCTCCCAAAGTGCTGGGATTACAGGAGTGAGCCACTGTTCCGGCTGGAAATCAATTTTTTACAGCCTAGCCATCACTACTTTGCGTGTTTTAGTTTTCTTGTACTTGTTAGTGTTGTTTTAGGAGCTGAATTTCAGGTTTTAAAAAAATTATTTTTGTTTTTGTTTTTCTGTTCTATTTTCAAGAAAGTTATACATGTTAAACTGCATAAACAGATAGAGTAGACTCATTTTGCCAGCCTAAGTTTTGTGTATATTCGGTATCTGTCTTTTTTTGTATAATACCAGGGTTGAAGTTGTGAGATAATATTCACAATTAATAAACAAGGGACGTGGTAGATTCTACTCTTTTTCGTGGAAACCTGCATATTTCTTAATGAATAAGGGCTAAGTCCACATAAATAGGTAGACTGGGCTCATTTCAACCAGCCTTTAGACATTTCTACTCATAGCCCAAACTATTATGCTATCACCTTGTTAAGAATACAGTCTTACAGGTGGTGGTTCATGCCTGTAATCCCAGCACTTTGGGAGTCCAAGGTGGGAGGATCACTTGAGCTCAGGAGTTAAAGACTAGCCTGGGAAACATAGTGAAACCGTGTCTCTACAAAATATAATAATGATGATGATGATAAATTTGCCAGGTGTGGTGGCGCCTGCCTGTAGTCTCAGCTACTTAGGAGGCTGAGGTGGGAGAATCACCTGAGCCTAGGAGGTGGAAGTTTCAGTGAGCCGAGATCATGCCACTGCCCTCCAGCCTGGGTGACAGAGCAAGACTCTGTCTCAAAGGAAAAAAAAAAAATAGAGAGTACATTCTGGGTGGTGACTTAGGGATACAGGTGTTCTGTGAAATTCTTTCAACTCTGCTGTACGCTGGACCATCTCTACAGTGCAATGTTGGGGGAGGCAGCTCTGCCTAGTGTGACAGTCAGACCAAAAGTTCACTCAGGCACAAATTAGAGCATCATAGGGGAACTGGGGATGGCACAGGGCCTGAGATAAATGCTCAGCGTTTTTACAGAGAAGAACAGAGGGTGGGATTAGTGCTGAACAGAACAAGTCCAACAGGAGTGCAGCCAACACAGAATCAATCGTGAGGACTTTGGAAACCAAGCAGAAAAGTTTACACATGGTACAATAGGCATTTGAGCTCACTGGAAATTCTTAGAAGGACACATTGGCCATGTCTGTGTTTTAGAGCTCAGTGGAGTACTGGGTGACAGATTAGAAATAGGCAGTAAGGGAGGAGGAAGTGCCAGGTGTGATTCCAATGTGATTTCCTTCAGGGAACTTATAGTTCAATTAGAAAAAAATAAGTAATGTCAAAAGTTATAGGAGGCTTAGGAGAAAGTGAAATTAAGAAAACTGTCGCTGGGCATATATTCATATCAACTTGTACCAAATTTGAAGAACTTTTTGCATCTCTGTGACTCTTTCCTAGATTTAAAAAAACTGAAAAAAAGATGTAGCTAGTTAAAAATACATGTATTTTTCTAATACCTGTAACTGCATGTGACATTTACACAAAGTTTCATCTTAACTTATCCTTATCGTACATTGCATATGTCCCAAAAGAATGCAGACAGGAGCAGGCAGGCTGTCAGTGTGAGCTGACCTCTGTAACTGGAACTTCTTTTCCTCCGAGAATAATAGAGAACAAATAGCTGTATACTACTTATGTCCAATTTAAAGTTAATATTTGGGCCAGGCGTGATGGCTCACGCCTGTAATCCCAGCACTTTGGGAGGCCAAGGTGGGTGGATTACTTGAGGTCAGGAGTTTGAGACCTGCCTGGCCAACATGGTGAAACCTCATCTCTACTAAAAATACAAAAATCAGCTAAGTATGGTGGTGCACACCTGTAATCCCAGCTACTCGGGAGGCTGAGGCAGGAGAATCGCCTGAACCCGGGAGGCAGAGGTGCAGTGAGCCGAGATTGTGCCATTGCACTCCAGCCTGGGTGACAGAGCAAGACTCCTTCTCCAAAAAAAAAAAAAGTTAATATTTGGTGACCAGCTGAGCTTTGCTGGACCTCTGGTTTTGGGGAGATTAGATGTTCTTGAATCAGCTTCTTACCCTGCAACACTGAGTTACGGGCACAGCCACACTGGAGCTGCTCCAGAGGGTGAGGACCGTCACCTGCCATTGTTTGCCACCCTCTGTGGGCCTCAGGACCCCACAGCCTGGGTCCTCATTGCTCCAGCCTCAAGGCCACCTCCTCCTGTCACCCATCATCGCTGAACAAAATAGGCATGCCTCTGCTCACTTGTCCTTGGTATTATTTCATTTCCCTTTCTCCCTTCTTTCGTTATTTAAAAAACCGTAATAACAAGGACCTTCACGGTTACTGTCCTTACACTTCTTTTCTTTCATTGAACTTGCCTTTGGGCTTGGTGTCCCTTCTGAATTTCCTGGCACGAGGGCACTTGCTTAAACCAAATTTCACTGTCAGAGGAAATGTGTTTCCTCTACCCTCTTAGGTGCAGTGATTGGGGGCCTGTAAATCAGACTAACAAAAGACAGACTATCAAGAGTAAAGATAGATTTGTATTTACATACAACGAAGGAGTTCACAGAAAAATGTGACTCAAGGAGGCAGTTAGAATTTCGGATTTGTATGTCATCTTAACATGGATGGGAGAGAGGCAGAAGGACACACAGAAGAATAAACTTTTAGGAAAACTTTTAGGAAAACTAAGTGGGCCGTTAGGAGACTAGATGGTGGATAAGATAGTTTTATAACAACATCTTTTGGGGCGATTTCTCATCTAGGTGTGACAGGTGCTGACTTCTTATCTTTGGTGATAAGACTCACACTTCCCTGGTTGTGAAACTCCTGAGCATTGGATGTATGAGGGCTGAGGGCTGAATTCTTCTGGAAGGCTTTCCTTAGAAAGGGAAGGGAGTGCAGAAGCCTTCTGTTCCTGTACTTGATGCTTACTGTCTTCAGCTCTAATAACCCTCATGCCACTGTGGCATGTTCCTCAGTCCATGGAGGCCCCATCTGCTTCTCCCCAACACCCCATCATTACTCCCCTGCCCCCTTCTCTGAATGCCCAGCACCCAGCACTAATAAGAGGCCCTCTGCCTGCCGAGCGCACGTGGCATCCTTGTTTCTAAACAACCCTGAGGTGCCCGGCCCCTGGTTCTCAGGTCCTGCCTTTATCCAGCCCGAGTAGCCTTACGTCCGTGTCCAGAACACTAGCCTTGGGGCATCTTGCTCTCCCAGATGACCTCGGTGTCCCTCAGTCTTGTTCCCACATTAGCTGCCAGGTGCCACAATCCCTGTTTCTGACTGCATCCTCGCCTCCTCACCTCGCCTCGGGGGGCATTTCATCCTGGCATCTGCCGCTCCTGACTGCTGAAACCACAGACATCCGTTTCCCACGCTCCTCTGCAACGTCTCCCTCTGCTGGCTGCACCATGCCCATCCGCCCTCATCCACTGCTCCCACTGTTTCTCTCTGCACTTCCTCTCACCCAGGAACTCGGTTCAGCAATCCCCAAATGTCAGCATCTGTGTGTGTGCAGGTGTTGTTTTGGTGTTCATCTCACTCTGTCCCATCCCCCTGGGTGATCTTATCTGCTACTTGTTGTCACTGTGCCTGACTCAAATCTTGGTTTCTGGACATGGGTAGAGTCCTGGGCCCAGTGGTCTGGAAAGGGGCCTTGGGAAAATCTTATGTAAAAGTTCAGCCAGGCCACACTTACTAGGAGTCTCAATAGAGGTTCTCCTACCTTAAATCTACTCTTGGGGACCCTGCTGCTTGTCTGAGCCCCAGGCTCATGAATCTGCACTGCCTGGAAGTCATGAGCACCTCTGAAAACACGGCCAACACTCCATTTTCCCACATTTTCCTTCAGCCTGCTCCTGTCCCTCCAGGCACCCTGGAGTCCCTCAGCCAACCTTGAAGCTTCTCATTGCACGAGGATTCTCTCTCCTCACATGCCGTCTGCAGCCAGCAACCTCCTTTATCCATCCACTTCTTAGGCCCTCTCTTCTGAAAACCTCCCTTGTCCTCATTTGTACGTTTCTTCCCTTCCTGAATTGAGGCTGTAGGTAGCAGCTGCTATGTTGACTTCAAGGTCTCATTCCCAGCCTGAGAACACAGACTCCTCCCCTGTCCCCACACCCAAATCAGAGGCTATCAATGCACGATATACGGAAGCAGAAGCCAATAGACACAGAATCCAGTCACTGATTCTGTAGGTAAAGAAACAGATTCACACCAAGGGACTCAATTCCCCTCTGTAAGCTTTTATTGAACCTTTCGTGTACGTGCCATTTTATCAGATTGCAAGATGCCAGGAATACCGAGTGATTTAGGAGCACACACTGTCATTTAGTTTTAATAATAGCCAATGTCATTTCTTATTAGAATTTAGTAGTTATTTCTTGCTCTTTGATTTTCAGTTCTTATAAACTTTGGCAAAGAAACCCTACATTCCCAGCTATAGTGTGGCCTTCTATATTAGTCTGTTTTCACGCTTCTAATAAAGACATACCCAAAACTGGGTAATTTATACAGGAAAGAGGTTTAACGGACTCACAGTTCCACATGACTGGGGAGGCCTCACAATCATGGCGGAAGGCAAGGAGCAGCAAGTCATGTCTTACATGGATGGCAGTGGGCAAAAAGAGAGCTTATGCAGGGAATCTCTCCCTTACAAAACCATCACATCTCATGAGACTTACTCACTATCACGAGAACAGCATGAGAAAGACCTACCCCCCTGATTCAATTACCTTCCACCGAGTCCCTCCCATAACATGTGGGAATTGTGGGAGCTACAATTCAAGATGAGATTTGGGTAGGGACACAGCCAAACCATATCACCTTCTTTTTCTTTTCCCGTGGTGTTCCCCACAAATAGAGAAGGCATTCCTCTTCTGTACTGTTATTTCACAAACCCTGACTGACACTTAGTCTCGTGATCCTTGTCTCCATCTCCTGCCACTACAGCTGCAGTGATGTCAATGGGGAGGCTGTCTTTTTCACCTTCAGGCTCTCCCTCTCCCCTTGGGTACATCATCAGCTTTGATAGGAGGTGGAGCTGTGCTTTGGCCAGGTCACAGCTCAGTAAGTGTTCTGGCTTCTTGGCAGACCCACAGCCACCTGCGTTCCTCCAGACTGGTTTCCAGGGCTTACAGTCAGCGGCAGAATCTGTCCTCCTTTGATGGAGAGCTGCTCGTCATTCTTGGGGAACTTGGGGCACTGCAGTGTTGATTTCTAGTTCACAGCCCTGCAGAGACCTCGACACAGGTTGCATGCACACGGGCCCCTGTACTGTTCTGCAGAATTACGCCAGAGCTGAGCCATTCCTGGGGCATGAGGGTCTCTGGGAAAACACAAATTAGAGGCATGAGGCCCTTCTGCACTCTGTCAAATGCAGAGAAGTGAAGAAATAATTTCACTAAATGCTAGAGAAAAACAGCAAATCTCAGAACAGAATGAAGTTCTGTCCTCTCATAATTACTCTTCATATGTCTTGCCTTCAGATATCTTCTTTATGCTTGGCTGGAGAAATTCCAGGATGGCACTGTGCCCTGTGCTTTGTGTGGAGAAAATATGATGGATGAATCCCTGGTCCACTATTTCCCTTTTAAAGGCAGATACTTGTATGACAATGGAAAATGTAACAAAACTTCATTTAATCAGCACTGTGTGTGTGTGCGCATGCATGTGCGCACACGTGTGTGTGTTTATGTGTGTGTGATTGATATGTGTTATGGAAAAAGCTCATGTCTCTGGAAATACTTTCCAGCAAAAAACATCTAATAGCTTAATCTTTATAGCAGTGCTGGTTTTGGCCCTTTAACTTCCCCGAAGTTGTAAACCAAAAAATTGCAGTCTCCATATATGTTTTATTGCATCCTCTAAAACAGGAGTCCCCAATCCCCTGGCCATGGACCAGTACTCCATGGCCCGTTAGGAAGCAGGGCGCACAGCAGGAAGTGAGCGGCGAGTGAGCCAGCATTACCACCTGAGCTCCGCCTCCTGTCTGATCAGAGGCCACATTAGATTCTCACAGGAGCCTGAACCCTAGTGTGAACTGTACATGCAGGGGATCTGAGTTGTGTGCTCCGTATGAGAATCTAATGCCTGATGATCTGAGGTGGAACAGTTTCATCCCAAAACCAGCCCCTTTCACCCCCCACCTATCTAGGAAAAATTGTCCTCTACGAAACCGGTTCCTGGTGCCAAAATGCTGGGGACCACTGCTCTAAAACATGTATTTTTTTATTTCTGGACTGTCACTCAAATGCCTCAAAAAAATCCATGCCTCGTAGTTCCTTGAAACACTTTTTAAAAGAACTAGTAGCCACTATTAGTACAAATGCCACTACCCTACTCGGGGCATTTCATTAGGTTGGCTGGTGACCAGCTGTGCATTTTTTGTAATGATACTGTGTTCACTGAGTCTTTTTGATAGCAAGGTTTCAGACAACTAGCCAGTAAAAATACAATCTAGTCACTATTCCCCCATACACTAGTGCATCAAGTTCGTTGGTCCTGCATTACCAGTTATCTTTTACAATTGTGTCAATTTTCAAAATATCTTTTAGCTTTTAACTAGTAATTATTACTAATAATTATTGGATGTTTTGGGCTAAAACCTTGCTAAATGTTTAGCATCTCATTTAATGTAGTACCACAGATTATTGGCAAATTTGGGCATTGTTTCTCTTCACTGCGATTGGAGGAGAATGGTGTATTGAATACAGAGAACACGTGACCCATAAGTAGCACTAGTGCTGTTTGTATGTATGGCTCCCCACCTTGCATTGCATAACATTGCTGTAGTTGAGGAATCCGCTTTTTAAAAGTGTTTGGCCTGGGCTAATTTGCAATAAAGCCCGTGAACTCTCCCACCCCTGGACATGTTGTACCTTCCTTGTACCTTCCTCACCCGATCTGGCCTCCACAATGCTTGTGTACACATTCTCGGACTTGCCCTCACCCAAACTAGAATAGGGAGAATAACCAGTGAATTCAGCCTCGTTATGTTTGGGGATTTATGCGAGGATCAAGGTGGCATTTCAGATTGTTGTGAAACAGATGGATCAGTCAGGAAATAATACCGGGGTAGATGTCTTGCCAGTGGAGAGGGGGACATAAACCCCAAGGCTCTGGCTTACTTCCAACACTAAGGTGAATCCTACTCCAATCAAATATTAACATGTAAAACTCGAACCAAGTCTCCTTCTGGTGATAGGACCTAAGCAAGCTGCGCTAACTCTCCCCTTAAGAACAGTGAGAAAAACTGGACAAAAACTCGAAAGCATCTTTTTGAAGGGATCTGATTACCCAGCAGGTAGGGAACGGTGGGACCCTTTACCCCTAGAGCTGTCCCCAGAAGAAGTGGCTAATGAGAATGAGAAGCCCGAGTTTGTTTTTTGTTTTTTGTTTTTTCTTTTTTTGGTTTGGGGGCAGGGGGGCTGAGGTGGGAGAATCACTTGAACCCAGGAGGAGGAGGTTGCAGTGAGCTGAGATCACGTCTCTTATATAGAACCTAGTTTGAAAAGGAAGGGATATTTTAAGTCTTTTAAGATAATGTTAACTATTTTTCTTTCTTTAGCTCTATTTCTGTGTGTAGCTGTTTTACTACACCAGAATTCAGCAAGTGATAGTTTCTTAAGAGTTAGTTGCTATGTGGAAATTGAAGCCCTATCAGTAACCTTTTCCTCCTCGTGTATCTTCAAATCTATTACCGAGCCTTAAACTTTGAATGGATCTTGTATCCCTAGCTTATTCAAGGGTTAAGAAAATACGTTTTCTGTAGAAAAGAAGACATGTTCTGTGGCTCATCCAGAGTATTATTTGAGCTGCATGTCTATAGTTTAATCACATACTGTTGGAGGTCTTCCTGGGAGATGCTGGAGGCCCAGGAGTCAAGGGGCTCTGTGTGCCGTTCTCCAAACACAGCTCTCTAGAAAGAAGGTTCCAGCATGACTCAGGAGAGGTTGGTGCAAACTGGGACCCTCTGGGCACCTCTCAGGGACACAGACTGTCCAGCTGGTTACGGAAGCACATCTCCCACCTGATTTATTCCTAAATAGGAGCGAGGAGGGGGACAATCTTTCCCTTCACCCCCACATCTTCCTTTCCTCTTCCCTACCTCCCTGTATTAATACTGAGAAACCACACCTGAACAATGAAATGACTAGGAACTACGGTTTCTGGTTGTGTTCCCAAGTGGGAATATGGGCTGTTCACGACCTCGGAATGTAGAATGCCCTCATTATTTATTCAGTAGACATCCAATAAATGCGGATCAACAGCTTGCCTATCTTTGATAGTTTTTGGCAGTGTGTGCTGGTTTTAATCTTTGTACTTGTCCCATAAGTGACCCCATGACTAGAGAGTGGGCTCTTCCATCTTGTAAGAGCCTTCTGTTCACGTTCTGTTCTTTTTATGAGAAGGAAGTTCCAGTGCATATCCCAACATAAAGAGAAACGTTGAATACGTACTGTTTTTCTCTTATATATATGCTCAAAATAACGACTGTAGTAAACAGTCGTCATGATTATAGGATGAATTACGCAGCCATTCATAGATTTTTGTAGTTGTCATTTACAAGTGGACTATGCAATAGTTCATAGGCTTATGAATACATAATCTAACAATATTAGCTGGGTGCAGTGGCTCACACCTGAAATCCCAGCACTTAGCGAGGCCAAGGTAGCTTGATTGCTAGAGCCCAGGAGTTCAAGACTAGCCCGGGCAAAGGGCAAAACCCCATCTCTACAAAAACTACAAAAAGAAATTAGCCGGGCATGGTGGTGCTTCCCGGTAGTCCCAGCTACTTGGGAGGCAAAGGTGGGAAGGTCACCTGAGCCTGGGGGTGTCAAGGCTGCAGTGAGCTGTGATTGCACCACTGCACCCGAGCCTGGGCGACAGAGTGAGACCCTGTCTCAAAAACAAACAAACAATATTATACTTGTAGTATTTAAAAAACATAATTATCTGGTATTCCCATAGCTAATAGAATGAAAGGGGAGACTTTATCTCCCTAGACAGGAAGCACGGTACCTCCTACACTCTCTTCTCCCCACATCAACTGGATAGGTGTGTGAACGCATTTCAAAGTCAAGTATGGTTAGTAATTACTTGATCTTTTTCCAGCCCCTTCAGATAAGCTGAATTGAACACCCAAAAGTGATAGTAACATCATTTTCCTTTGCAATTACAAAGACCATTAACCCAACAGAATCTCCATGCTTTACCTGTTTGTGATGTTTTTGTTCCATTTTATTAAGTATGACTCCTGATAAATGAATCACTACACAATTAATTTTTTCTCATTCTTTAGATTCATACACACAGACACATATATCAAGCAAACTATAAATTGCTAAAATGACAGGCCAGCAGTGACTACTTGTTATCACGTGTGTAACATCTCTTGAGGGCTGCTTTGTAATTCATTTGTATGGTGTTGTTGTACCAGTGTAACTGCTAAGTGGTTTCTCTGGTTCCATGTGCATTTGTACATGAAGTTGTGCAATCTCCACATACCAGCAGTTTCAAAGAATGACAGTTTGCATGAGGCCATCTTAATAGCAGGTAGCATGTAACCAACCCATCTGAATTAAGCCACCATTGCAGAATAAAACATTTGACACTAAGCCAGGTATTTCAGTGGATGAGTTGTATTTTGGATTTCCAAAAAAAAAAAAAAAAAAAAAAATTAAGCAGTCATGCTCTCGAATAATCTTACTAGACATAAACAATACTGCTAGGGTAGGGGGGCACTGCCTTTAACAATGGTCAGAGTTTCTTGGTAAATCAGTGGTTTTGCTTCTTTGATGTTTCTAAAACACTGATATGCCCAGTTGCCCTGCTCTGACCTCATCTCACCCTCCCCAGCTTCCCTCCCCACCCACCTCGTAAAGCACAGACCTCTCAGCCTGACCCCTTGCTCCCTACCTCACTCATTACTTCTGGTTTCCTTTTGGGGCCTTGTCTTCTGCCTGCCCCCAGTACAATGTTTATTTTTCTGCATGTCCATCTCATCCTGACAAGCCTCTCCACACTGGAGTGCAGCCAGTAGCTGTCTCTGCTAAGCTCTTCCCTCTGCCTGCATTTCTCACCCCACACACACCTTCCATTTCCCAGTGGCTACATACATCATGTGCGATTATGCCTGTCTTTCATGACCTGCCTCTGACCAGAAATCCCTGAGTCATCTTCCCTAAACCCACTCCTTCAAATCCACCTTCCAAATCCTGGTGAATGGACTGCTGTCCCTGCTCCAGAGGACTGTGTGCCTCAAACAGGGCTCCCCACAGTGGGCCTGTATTAGCAGGGATTCCCCAGTGCATGTTTCCTGCCTTGGAGACCATGAACTCCAGGGAGGCTGGAGAGCTGTCTGCTCTGCTTTCTGTCTTCTGCCTGCCCAAGACAGTACTTTATGTAGGTGTTAATTTCCTAAAAATATGTCTAACATGCTTGAATTGCTGATAGCTATTGATTAAAGCCCAGCTTCTAATATAAATATGCATTTCTGATGAATCTCACAAAAAAACAGGAAGAAACAAATGCCATTAATTTGCAGTTTATCAATATCCTGGCTAGTAATTGAGATATTTAGTGGCATAGTCACTAGAATATAAGGTGCTAGTCCCAGTCCCAACACGAGCTTGAGTAATTTTAAACTTCATAGTGAATTTTTTGTAACGTCTACAGAATGGATCACCATTATCATAATAATAGCTGATAGCGACGGAGCATGTCCCATCTGCCAAGCACTGGATATCATTGATTCATTCATTTATAAAATTTGAAGTTGGTGGGAGGGCATATTTAAAGACTGCTACCTGGAATAGTGTTATTTGTCAGAGATTCATTTGTTTGTTCTCCACATTCTTCAATATATGAATTATTCCATGCAATTGAACAGCTCCCCAAGTACGTCATAGTTATGAAATGTTGTGTGTTGACTTTGGAAGGTTACAGTTCATTTGTGATCTTCCAGGCAGCGGGGGTGGGGGTGGGGGGATTCTTCTCTGTAGTGAAAGTGTTTTTCTCTGAAATCTTCAGCTACTTTCCTACTCTGTGAAGCCTTCTTCTCCTGGGTCAGTGGGACCCTTCCTTGAGAGTGGTTTCAGTAGGTTCTCCAAAAACTGTTCAACTGAGTAAAATTGAATAGAATAGTCCATGCATTTTGTCCCAAGGTATAAAAATTGGCTTTGGGGAGGTGAAAATGAAACCTTACTTTTTTTTAATGTATCAAGCACCAATACACATACAGAAAAATATAGTGTATCTGTGTTATTATAACATGTTATGGGGATAGACTGTTGGGGAAAAATAACTGGAAAAGCTTTTTTGGGGGTGATCATGAATGAAATGGTTGAGAAACACTGAGTTAGTCATACACAGTATCAGACAAGTACTGTGTCAGTAGCCCCAGTAATTTCCACCCTCAGGCCAGGCCCCACATCCAGCACATTCTCGCTCTTCTCTAGCCCCCACAGCCAGGTCAGTCTTCTAGCCCAGGCTCCATCAGCATCTCAGGTTAGAGAAAGGAAGGCAAGATGCCTTCCACCTCTGTTTTCCAGGATTGAGAATATGCTCACGCCCCTCTCTATCTAAAGGAAAGGAGAGAGGGATGGACCAGGCCCTGTGTTGCCCTCACAGGTGCCCTGGGCGCCATTTTGTCATGAGTGGTCAGCAGAGCCCATTGCCGAGGGGCCTAGGGAGGGTGCCCTCACAGAGCTGGTCCCTTCAGTTCTGAATTAAGCAGTAGCCTCAATGCCATGTAAGCAACCATTCCTGCAAGAGGATAGGCATTTAAGGTGAAATCTGCCTCATCTGTCGTTATTTACAGGTAAGATTCAGAATAGTTCAAGAAAACAAGGCAAATGAATTGCATTTGCATTGACGTGAGTCATGCCACATTCAGCTACTCTTTGTGAAAACGTCCCCAAAATAGATTCCTCGGAGTGCTGCTTTGCGGGACCTTCATCGATTTGCTCTGAAGATAGGTGTCCATGCCTGAGAGGCCTCAGTGAGGTTTCAACTACACAGTTATCCATGGCAGCACTTCTGGAAACATTTCTGTGCTAATTGTACATGGCAGGTCCCCAGTTCCTCATTTAATGGGAGGAATCTCCTTTTTCTGGAAAATTTCTCTGGACTGCTGTGTCACAGAACATTCTAGAAACCCCTTACCTCATGAACATTCTACTACTAGACAATTTAGAATTGAACGTTAATATGGGCATGGGAGGCCAGTGAAAACAACATAAGCCTCACCTGGTACTGCAACACATCTTTGTTTGGGAAACACTGACTTTGCAACCACAGCTATAAACACCGGCTTTTATTTCAGGAGTCAGCAGTTACTATATTTGCAGGAAGGAGAACTGAGGGCATCCCTGTGAAAACCAGAAAATAAATCCATCCTGAAGGGCATTGGCTTTGTAGGCCTCTCATCCCCTGTTGAGTAGGTTGCTGGGCCATGCACAACGGGTGTCAGTATGGAAAGGACCAAGGAGAGGACCGAAGAGAGGCCTCTGCATTGCCAGCTGCCACGTGCTCACCACACAGACAGCTCATTGGCTCATCCACCAGCTCATTTAATCACGAAGTCTTTTAATCCCCTCCAGGTCCAATGAATTCCTTAGGCTTTTTTCTCTGTGTTTATCAGTTCCCATTATAAATGGCAGCTTCTTCTACATGGCACATTTGGAGATGACATGGAAAAATCACTCACACAGGCCAGCAAAGGCACTCTCTTTATGCTGTGATAATCCTGTTTGGGGAAGCCCCCTCTGTAGCTTCTCTCAAAAGCAGGCAAACATCGCTGTGCTTTTGCTGTCCTGACAATGTGTGGAGTCATATTATACAGCAAGCATACCACAAGCAAGTCACATCTAAGGCACCTAAATGTGGTTTTTCCATAACGAAAGTGCTGTTGAAAATAAACACAACTTGCTGCTCTACAGGTTAGAGCATTTTAATCCCGTACATGGCTAATCTTCCCGAGTCTGTCTGAAGTCATAATGTCCCTCTAAACACACAAAACCGATAGGGGCCTCCCGTCACACTTGCGGATCATGAGTCTCATGCAGAAGGCTACGTAAGATGAATTGATTTCACATGTTTTACTCAGAGGATGTGGAAAAAGAAAATGATTCTAGTGACCATCTAGAAACTTGCGGTTTGTTTTTGACTTTAAGACAGTCAGCACCTTTCAGGGCCTTGCTGGGTTTTCACTGGTTTCTGACAGATTGGTGGACGCGGCATCTGTACCATTAAAAGAGGAAATCAGGAAGGTTTTTTGAGCTGTCTTGAAGTCTTTTGCTCACCACTTAATTTACATACATACACTTTAATATGCATGCTAAGAGTGCCCGTAATGTACTTTTATTGAGTAAAATGACACAGAGAGAATTCGTTAGGAAGCTTTCCTGCCCACCCCCCAACCAAGTCGTTAAATAACTTTTTCAAAGGCTGTTCTCTATAGGAGAAGGAATCAATTTAGGGGTGTAGTTCATTCATTTACCTAGCTTGTAACTCTAAAGGGTTTTGTTATAAACATGTTTATATCAATAATGGTTTTATAGTTTGATTTTCAGAGCACTATCGATTCAGTAAAACAGTAGCTCTGCGGTGCACAAGGGATACTGACCTCCACCTCAGCACTATTACTTAGAGGAATGCAGCACCATATGTAGCTTACTAGTAGGTAGGTGGATGTTTGGATGAAGGAAGGGAGAGCAGGAGGAAGGGAGGGATGGATAGATTGATAAATAGGGATGGATGGACAGATGGATGGATTGATGAATAATATAAACAAAAGTACTAATTAATAACAAAATACACACATACCTCAGCAGTCATTTTGACAGCAGTACTTAAAAGTTTCATGTTTAAACAAACATCTAATAGTGTATATGTATCCAACATGACAACATTGTGGTACTTATTTACAGATCACTGTCTGACAAGGAACATGAAGTCAAACAGAACTTAAACCTTAGATATGAGCACTGCCAATCAAAATTAAAAACAAAGTTTAAGGCCCCCTTGAAGTTTTGATGTCTCACCATGTGAAAATTGAACTTCATATTACAAAATTAATGCATAGGAAAAAACCTCCTATGAAAAAGCCTGGTTTTGGTGATGAGATTCAGATCATACATGGCTTTATAATTGATGAATAGTTGTGAGCAGCTGCTGTACTTTCTGTGCTTCCATGTAATTCCAGGACCGCTTCTGGGAGCCCTGAAAGTACCCTTCAGTGACTTCCTTCCAAATGTTGTATTTCACTAAGCAAAAGGGAAAGCTTTATTCCTTAGAGATGATATAGTAATATTTGGAAAGCTCACTAGTTCCAATGAAGCACATAATTTAAAACAGACACATCATAGTTTAAAAGGTAAAATCGGTTACGAAATGTGATCCCAAGTAGGCACGGGCAGCACTCTGCCTGTGGCCTGGAGGAGGTCCCGGTGTGCAGGATTGGAAAGGGGCTGGCTCCTTCCCTGCTGTGACTGTTCTGTCTGCTTCCCGATGGGACGTGCTGTTGATCCCAGCTGCTGAGAAGAAATGGTGGGCAAGTGCCACGGGGACAGGATTTGCAGCAGGGAGGAGCCAAAGGTGGAAGCATCACCGGGAAGTGAGACCTGGGGAGGAACACGAGAGCATCACAAGCCGCGGGCCCTTCTCCTTCCCTCTTGAAAACCTAACCTAGCTCCTGACACTGCCTCCTACTGTGTTCCCTTCCTGCCCAAACTGTACCTAGAGCTCCATCCATAGACCTCGTCTGCTCACCGCACAGAAATGCCAGGGCTGCCGGGATCCCTTCTCAGCGCTCCTCCTTCTGTGTAATCAACTGCTTCTCTGCTCTGATGACACCTGACCGCACCTCCAGCTCACAGCCACAGTGCATGGAGACCCCGAGCCTTCTACTTGGGTGTCCCACGATGGCCTCAAACCCAACTTGTCACAAAAGCTACCTCTCCTTCCTGCCACCAAAATGGCGGCCCCAAGACCCACCACATCAGAAACATGAGAATCAGCTTCTCCATCAGGCTTAACATCCCAGGTATCATCCAGTTCCCTATTGCTTCTCAGTTTTTCCTCTAATCCCATCCATTTTTATTCATTGCTCTTGTGTTTGGACTGTTTCCCTCCCCCAATTCAGATGCTGAAATCCTCACCCCCAGTGTAATGCGTTAGGGGGAGACCAGGGAGCCAGAGACCACGCTGGCTCCCTGATCTCACACCGCCTGGCCCCAGACCTATGGGAAATCCCTGTCTGGGGTTTAAGCCACCCAGTCTGTGGTATTTTCTTACAGTAACCTGAAGGGACTAAGACACCCTGCTGCTGTCAGACAAAGATACTCTTATGTGCAACTTGCTAGTTATAAAATGGAACTTTTAAGCTATATGATATTTGTCTTTTAAGAAATTAAAGTACAAGGACTTTTTAAGTCCCCTGGACAGAGACCATCCCCAGGTCGCTGCTGCGCTTCAACATCGTTGGAGAAGTCAGTTCATCACCTCCAAGTGATAAGCCGCCAAGGTGCTTCACCTCCCTTGTCGTTGGAAATGTCATGCTCCCTAAATTAAATCCCTCAAGCTACAGTTTAATTAAGCTCATCTCCTCGCCTGGAGATGGAAATCAGATATATTTTAGCCTTCAGCTGGGTAGAGTGAAAAGAACATTGGATTCTGCAGACCTGGATTCTATTCAAGAGTTCTGTCTTCCGCCTGACTGCATGACCTCCAGCTTGCCTCTGAACTTCCCTTGCACTAAGCAGAGGAGATGCTGCATTTGCTCTGTCTATTCCCTAGCGCTGACTTTCCATGGCCCCTTTGTGGCTCTAAGTCCTGTACCCAGGACACCTCCACCATCTTCACTAATTTAGCAGACGTTCATCAGTGCTCACGATTTGCCATGGCATCCTGGGAAGGTGCGTGAAAACTGGGCCCTGCCTAGTTACAGCCGATATGTAGGCTGTACAAGCTGCGTCAAGAATATTCTTGACCAGATACTTCCTTGAAGATGTGGAAGTCAGCCTTAGAAGGTCCACTAAATACACTACAAAATGATCACAAAATTAATTAAAATCATATAGAATATGCATGCATACACACACATCCATGTGCATGTCCTGACACAGAGATGATATGTGGGGTGAAGGAGGGAGATTTCAGGGTAGGCCGCAGGCCTGCCGGGAGCATGTGCAGGTGGCAGCGCCATCCCCTGGACCAAACCCCAGTTCTCCGGCTTCACTGAAGGTGCAGGAGCCCTGCTAGAAAAGAGAAGGGAGCCGTGGGCACTTCCACCTTCCCTGTCCCTGGCCACCACCCTCAAAGGAGCAACCCACCAAGTCCGTGCAGAGAAAAGTCAGTCTGCCTCCACTCCCCACTTGCAGAGGCTGAAGTCCCTTGGCTTAGAGAGAAAAGTTTCTTTCTACAGATGCAAACATACGAATCCATGATTCACTGTATGGGTGGTGGTATGAATGAGTTTTAGGTCAAGTGTAATTGGTCAGTCATGGTGGGACAGGAAGGGCTGCCCCCTAAGTGAAAACATGAGGTGCTTAAAAGGAAGCATGAGAGCCAGGTGCTTAAAAGGAAGCATGAGAGCCAGGTGCTTAAAAGGAAGCATGAGAGCCAAGTTCAGTCAGGGTGAACCTCCTTTCCCTGTAGCTGGGTGTGGCAGACGGAAACTGTGTTGAGATATTTCTGCCTTCGAAGATAAGAAACATACTTCTTCCTTAATTTTATTTGTGCAAAATATAAACTGTATTTAGCTTATATTCTTCTTTCTTTTTTTGATGCTTAAGTCCTGTGATTACCAGACACAGTTGTTCCAAGATAGCTTTTAAGGATTTATTCTTAAATCCTTAAGTTTCAGTAGACAGACAGCCATGCTGTGAACATTCTTTAAATGGTTAGGCTTTTAGATACCAGGTACTTTTCTTGTAGGTGTGGTCCTATTTACAAGTGCATTAGATCTTTGGGTGTAACGAAGTCTAAAGACGACATAAAAATCTTTTGGGGCTGGGCACGGTGGGTCACGCCTGTAATCCCAGCACTCTGAGAGGCCGAGATGGGTGGATCAGTTGAGGTCAAGAGTTCAAGACCAGCCTGGCCAACATGGCGAAACCCCATCTCTATTAAAAATACAAAAAAAAATTAGCCGAGTGTGGTGGTGCATGCCTGTAATCCCAGCTACTCGAGAGGCTGAGGCAGGAGAATTGCTTGAACCCGGGAGGTGGAGGTTGCAGTGAGCTAAGATCTTGCCATTGCACTCCAGCCTGGGTGACAGAGCCAGATTATGTCTCAAAAAACAACAAAAAAAAAAGAAAATAAATAAACCTTTTGGGACATTTTTAATAGGTGCTTCAGGACACAGTAGTTGTTCTGCTTTATAATTCTACTGTTTCTAGGGGAAAAAAACCAAACCAACAAAACCCAAACTTCCAGATGCTGTGGCATGACCCCGAATCATTTCCCACGTGCAGGCTGTGTGTGTGGTGCAGTTGCCATCTGGGCCTAGCACCAGGGGGTTTCTTCTCAGGACTCATGTTTGATGTCTTCTCTTTGTCCTGTGTCTGGGGCTTTCTTTAAATTTTGTGTGCAAACAATGCCTGGTATTACAGGCTGTTTTCCTGTAAACCACTCACTTCTGCTCCACTCCTGTTCTGTTGAGTTTTCCTGGCACGTTTCCATCATCGACCACCTCCAGCTGACTATTCTATCAGCTTTTGAAACTTCAGGTTCCGTTTTCAAATTCCATCTTGATCAAATGGAATTCTCGTTAGCGGACATGAAGTGTAAGAGTCCGGCAAATGTCGGGGAAAGGTATCTCCTGACAGCTGTTAGCAAAGCGGCCACATGAGAGGAGGAAGAAGAGGGTTTCAGGTGCCAGGGGTGTCATGTATCCCATTGCTGTTTGTTTTGGGCTGAGATCACCCATGGCTGTTTACATCAGAGGCTGTACTTACTTTTGACCTTTTAGAATAGTTAACTTTGCAAGGGTCTTGTGCTGGAAAACCCAAGCCAACTGGCCTGTCTTCCTAGGTTTCCCCTCAATCATTTGAACACTGAGGGTTTTACTTACTCACATGGACATATTTCAAATGGCCCTTCTGTTGCATAAGCTTATTATGTCACCTTCTCTCTTTTTTTCTTTTTTTTTTTTGAGACGGAGTCTCACTCTGTGGCCCAGTCTGGAATGCAGTGGCACGATCTTGACTCACTGCAACCTCTACCTCCTGGGTTCAAGCCATTCTCCTGCCTTAGCTTCCAGAGTAGCTGGGAATACAGGCATGCGCCACCATGCTTGGCTAATTTTTTAATTTTTTGGTAGCGATGTGATTTTACCATGTTGGCCAGGCTGGTCTGGAACTCCTGACCTCAAGTGATCCGCGTACCTCGGCCTCCCAAAATACAGGTGTGAGCCACTGCGCCCAGCCTACGTCACCTTCTTATTGTGATTGATTGTGATAGCAACCAGTTACCAACCTTGACTTTTCGCCACTCTTCATGCTTATTCGAGTCCCCCTTACTTTATGTACGACATTTGTCTTACATGTTGTGTGTAGTATTCCAGATGTCAGTGCCATTTTGGATTATTCTTAAAAATAGGTGAGGACAGATTAATTGAACACAGAGGAACCAGCAAAACGTGAAAGCCATGAGAAACAGTAAAAAGGTCTCCAAGAGCTGGTGTCAGCTGCTCCTGCTGTCAGTGCCGCAGACACTTGCAAGTTTCCCTCCTCACTCACAGCCCTCACTTAGTTGCCTTTAAACAGGGGCTGCCTTTGAAAAGATTTCTCAGGTGTGAAGGGACACCATGGGGCCTGCATTTCCCTCCACTGCAGACCCCCTGTATTAGTCCATTTTCACACTGCTGATAAAGACATACCCAAGACTGGGTAAATTACAAAGAAAAAGAGGTTTAATGGACTCACAGTTCCACATGAATGAGGAGGCCTCACAATCATGGCAGAAGGTGAAAGGTATGTCTTGCATGGCAGCAGGCAAGAGAGAGAATAAGAGCCAAGCGAAAGGGGTTTCCCCTTATAAAACCATCAGATCTTGTGAGACTTATTCACTACCATGAGAATAGTATGGGGAAAACTGCCCCCATGATTCAATTGTCTCCCACCAGGTCCCTCCCACAACACGTGGGGATTCTGGGAGCTACATTTCAAGATGAGATTTGAGTAGGGACACAGCAAAACTGTATGACCCCCTTTAGGTGAGTGCAGGTGTATTGGGTGCCTTCCATTATCTCTTTGGGAACAGCCACAGTCAGCTACTGATTTCCCGTCCCACACACCTGTCTTGCTCCTTGGAAGCAGCCTCACGCAAATAGAGAATAAAAGCTGCTTTCACAACTTAGCCAAGCAGTGTTACCCCAGGGGATAATCCATCTCTTCCTCTACCCCAGTCCACATTTCACAGGTGGACCCTGCACAAAGCTTCAGAATCCCCGGAGAAGGTGACGGATATTTTGAAATGTCATTTGACATTTAAGTGCCTATCTCTGGTCCCAGATAAAAACAGTGGAGGGCATTTAGAATACAATCAAGTCATAACTTTTAAAAAGGCAAGGGCAGAAATATCATGAACAGGTAGTCACTGAATGAGATAACAGAGAAAACCAACTTGGACAGTCTAAGTGGAGTCATTTCTTCTCGCGTCCTACGGTGACCAGTGTCTCACAGGAGAAAGAAACCAGGGGGCATCAGAGGCTGTTGGAAGGGAGGTGTTGGGACGGACTACTGTGGCTTGCCTGGGACTGTCCAGGGTGTAGCACGGAACATCCTGCCCCACAGCTGACCCTTCAGTTCCAAGCAAACCGAAACAGCTGGGCCAACCAAGTTCCCTCTGTGAAAGTAAGGTAGCATTCACATTCCATTGTCACATGGATTAACTCACTTAATCCAGGGTTCAGCCCTGTTGGGATAAGTTGGCTAATATGATATTTTAGCCCCAGATTGAAGGAAAGAATGGGGTAATGGAAAGAAAAAGGGAGGGAGGGAAAAAGAAAAA
The DNA here is from genome assembly GCF_000001405.40 of Homo sapiens. Lineage (NCBI taxonomy): Eukaryota > Metazoa > Chordata > Mammalia > Primates > Hominidae > Homo > Homo sapiens. Next base: position 7,052,550 of record NC_000023.11, on the reverse strand, counting down.
AGTCATTGTGCTGGCTACAGCACAGACCACTAGTAGTTAAGACTGTGTGTGTGTTTCAGTGTTTTCTACTGAAAACGCCAAAGAATGCAGAGCTTCTCTTTCAGACCTGGCATCAGGCTTCCGTGAGCCCTTTCCAGGACACCAGTGCATTGAGTCGCTGCTATATACCTGGTGATGAGCCGAAGAGGACATTTTCATAATGAAAGGCAAAGGGGGCCAGGTGTGGTGGCACACACCTGTAATCCCAGCACTTTGGGAGGCCGAGGCGGGCAGATCACTTGAGTCCAGGAGTTGGAGACCAGCCTGGCCAACATGGTGAAACCCTGTCTCTACTGAAAAATACAAAAAAAAATTAGCCGGCTTGGTGATGCATGCCTGTAGTCCCAGCTGCTTGGGAGGCTGAGGCATGAGAATTGCTTGAGCCTGGGAGGTAGAGGCTGCAGTGAGCCAAGATCGCACCACTGCACTTCAGCCTGGGTGAGAGAGCAAGACTCTGTCTCACCAAAAAAAAAAAAAGAAAATGCAGAGGGACAAAGGAGACAAAGAAGAGATGAGTGGAGAGCTGAAAGGCCCCACCTCAACAACTCCTGGAGTTCTAGGCCACATGTGGAGAAGAGCAGGGGAGACTCCTCAGCATAGGTCGCCATGGCGAGGACCTCTCTTCCCTTACAGATGTCTGGGCCTCTGCAGAGTCTCAGTTAAAAAGCATCAGTACATCTGTTTTCACATGAAGTGTGTGCCATTCTAGGAATGCAGGGAAGAAGCTTCCTTCCTAAGTGTATGTCTTCCTGAGAGGGTCGGTGATATGAAGATAGCACATGTGGATTATGCTTGTTTATACTATGGAGCAGGCTCTGGGGTGTCTCCTTTGGAGGGAGCCCTCATGTGAAACTTACTGTAACATTGTCAATGTGGTGGCACCTTTAGGAGCTCACTGATAAATGCAGTGTACAAACACCCCATTTTATGTATTGGTTTTTCTTTTAGTACTTTATTTTTTTCCTTTTTAATTTTAATTTTTATTTTAATAGTCTGTAGGGTACAGGTGGCTTTTGGTTACATGGATAAGTTCTTTAGCAGTGATTTCTGAGATTTTAGCACACACGTCAACCGAACAGTGTGCACTGTACCCAGTATGTAGTCTTTTCTTCCTCACCCCGCTAGTCCCCAAAATGCATTATATAGAATTCTTATGGCTTCCCATCCTCATAGCTTAGATTCCACTTATAAGTGAGAGCATACGATATTTGGATTTCCATTCCTGAGTTACTTAGAATAATGGCCTCCAGCTCCATCCATGTTGCTGCAGAAGACATTATTTCATTCCTTTTTATGTCTGAGTAGTATTCCATGGTGTATATATGCCTCATTTTCTTTATCCGCTCATTGGTGGATGGGCACTTAGGTTGGTTCCATATCTTTGCAGTTGCCAGTAGGAAACACCCCATTTTCAATGTGGGTATCTGAATGAAGAGACCACGGGTTTTGGATGGTGTTGTGTCTGTAATCCCAATAATAAAGTGGATTTTCGCGATTATCCAAAAGAGAGCATGCACGCACACTACGTTTTCGTGCTCATTTGTCACGTCACACTAGCACACACAGGAACTGAATTTTTAACTTAAAAGATTCTAACCATTTAATTTTCAAACCACAGTACATAAAACAGGAGCAGCTCTGAAGTGGTTTTATATTTTAAGAGCATGATTTTTAGTTTTGCAATTGCCTCTCACACTCTGAATGTTCAATTATTGATTGAACAGATTGTTATGATCCCAATAAAATAATAAAGTTTTAAGCTGAGAATCTTGCCTCACCACACAGCTGCGCTCCATTTCAACAATGCTTTGGCTGCAACAGAAACCTCTCCCCTTTAAAGGAGCCACGGCGGGGAGACCCCCGGAGCCAGTAAGAAACAGCATGCTGTCCTCACCACAATCTCTACTCTGGGGAGCCCCCACTGTAATTCTGTCTCTTTCTGCACAGTTGCAGAGCCAATGGTGACGACGATAATAAACACTTCATCCACATGTCTGGTTCCATAAAAGGCCATCTCGACTTTCTTTTTCTTCCTACAGTGCCTTGTCTTTGAAGATGCTCCCAATGGGGTGGAGGCGGCCCTGGCAGCTGGGATGCAGGTGGTCATGGTTCCTGACGGAAACTTGAGCCGAGATCTGACAACAAAGGCCACCCTGGTGCTGAATTCCCTGCAGGACTTCCAGCCCGAGCTGTTTGGTTTGCCCTCCTATGAGTGAGAGGGAGGGCCTCAGTCTTCCGCCCCCAGCCCACTCTCATGGTCCACACTGCTGGGGGAAAGGGAAAGGAAATCAGCAACTCTTCAATCCCAACCTGCGCTGTGATTTTAGCCTCCTGAGATTGGAGTTTCCATCCCATGTTGGTTTGTCCCAGTCTAACGTGTTGATAAAATGTGACTTGACGGTTGAGACAAAAAATACAGTAGAGACAGAAACGAAGCCCAGAACAAAGATGAAACTTGAATTACCATCTCAGAAGTCAAGCTGATGGAGTATGTGATAAAGTGAATGTACATGTATATACACACACACCTCCATATATACATGTGTGTATCAGTTTGGTAATATGCAGGTAGGCATTACATGCATATGTATGTAGACATATGCATGCATGTATATGTAAAATATATACTTTTCCAAGACAAAATGGAACATCACTTCTCTCTTCTAGTTTTTCTGAACACTGGCTGGGAAATGTAAACTGTGTATGCATATAAGTATATGCTTTATGTATGCATATGTATGTAGATATGTTTATATCTATCGTCTGCATCACTCTCCTCAGTGTTGATGTCAACATGCAATGACAACTGATAAAGCGAGATGGTAGTTCTGCCTGGTTTGCAGTCTGAGTGGGAAAGTCCTGTTTTTGATGAGCACTCCTTGTTAGCTAACATTTAAATTCTTTTTGTGACCTCAGAATGTCTCTGGATCTTTCCTCATTGACTGACTCTGTGCCACGTCATCCATAGTTTATTGTTAGTATGAACACAACTGTAACATTTACCTGGTATCTACATCCTTACCTGCATTGGAAAATGTTTGCTACCTCACAACAACCATTTGCCTCCTTTAAGAACACTGATGGGCTGCACTTTTTGGATAGAAATAGAATTTGATTTCAGAATGTATGCTTGGTGAGTCTCAGTGCCCAGGAACACTTTTGGAATAATTTATCAGACATTGAACTTCTGTGATTAATCGCTTTTATAGATTTACTCAGTCTTTAAAATTCGTCTCTGATTTGCCAGAGAAAAACGGTGGTAGCCATGGAAATCGGGAGTGAAGGAGCACTGCTTCATTGTGGCTCAGCCCTTCCTAGGGGCCTCTGCCCTTTGATGTCCTTGAGCTACTCTTCAGCTCTGGAAGTTGTGGACAAACCGTAGGAATGTATGTGTGCGTGTGGTGGAGTGATTGTCTGTGAATGACAGGCCCTGGCTATTGATTGATGTTGCATCAATTTAGCAAATTCATTTCCTCATTCTTGATGGCCTGAATATATGTCTGCACTTTTAATGCTCCTCTTAACCAGTTGTAACATCTTACCATTTCCCTAACAAATTGAATTAGTTTAATAAAATCTTTTGACACATGTTGATATTTGTATGAGAGTCATGATTTTACCTTAAAAAGAAAAAAACAGTCTTCCAAGAAATGTAAAATATATATGTGACTAATTAAATTTTTTAAAAATCCCAATTAGTACTCCAACTGTAAACGGATATTTATATATTTTAAGTGAGCCGTCCTGCTCCTGCAGTGGTGAATAGAGGCTTTCAATGAAAGACTTACTTCTTTGATTTAGTATCTTCTCCTTCCCAAGTATTTATGTTGGTGTTTTCTAATCATTAAGCCATTTTGTATGAATAAGACAAATGGGTGTAATGCATATCTAAGTGATGTGCATCTACATCTGGGTGAATTTCCTACAGGGTAAATTTGATCTCATGTCCGTTACTGTTTTTTAACCAAAGCTGCTGCCAGATTCTTATATTTTTAGACAAAGGACACACACTGATGCTTGGCCAAAGCACATACGTTCTTTTTTATTCTTCCACATTAGCCAAATTGCTTCAATACATTTTAGTGATGTTACTCCATTGAATAGCTCATGGATTTCACAGAGATATGGTAATACAAATTTACACTAGAGTGATACATGCCAAGGAAGTTTAAAGAGTAATTATACTTTCATAGCTCATTGAAAGTATGTCGTATTAGGGACACACAGTGATTAGTAGAATGTATACAGGTGTGCTGTAACTAGCAGCTAATGTTTGCTTATATATTGTGTGCCCCTAGGAAGGACCTGTTATACTGCTGATATCATCCAAGAGATGGCGCTATCAACGTCATCTTAATTTCACTTAAATGAAACATACACAACACTTAAGAACTTACTGATTACTACTTATTAGACTTTTTTTCCACCTCATAAATCCTCAGATGGAGTTTGGTGTTTTATATAAAAAAATAATCTGGAAGACACCTGTCTTATACTTGAAAGAATCGGCATTCTAAGGAATAGGAGTGATGCTGCTGTGCAACAGTAGTCAGTGTCTAGACACTGCAGTTTATATTTCTTTGATTACATTTGGCAGTTATGCTAAATTTGGCACATTTTATATGGTGTTTCAAAATTTTAAAAAACGTGCACATTAGAACAAGTTTTATAATGAAAAATAATGAGTTTTCACCTATCTGTAATAATGCCTCTGCAGAACATTGTTCTGTAGTCTGCACTGTACTCTTCTGCTCCACAAGCAGTCGGCTAAAGCTCCTTGGTCTCACATGAGACTCTTTGTCTCACAAGCAATCTCTAGAACTATTATCTTCTAAAAAGAGAAAATGAAGTGTTAAAGAGCAAGGGATATTAGTATCATTTCAAAGTCTGTAGTATTCTCTGGTGGTTATTGTTGGTTGGAGAGACTTGCTTTACGAAGATGTTGGTGAGAATATTTGTTGGCTGAGGAGTACACGTTATCTCTGAAAGCAGATCTTCAGGATGGCTCAAAATATTCTGGTTCTTTATGAGTCTCTTGAATAGATAATATTTTGTACACATAAGCAATATTATTTTTTTCTCCTTCATTAGCCACACAATATTTCCATGGATTGTAATTGTTTTCATCAGAAAAACTGTTATCCAGATAGAATTAATTCAGGAAATACTGTTTACTTACATGACAGTCATTGTAGATGTACAAAACTGAATAAGAACATAACTTAGGGTATTTTGTCTGTTAAACTTTAGTCATGACATGTTGGGGTTGGTTTCGAGATCTTTTTCCAGCACCATGGAAAACACAAGGGACAGAGAGAAATGTTGGAATTCGCAGTGAGATCATTGTGTTACCTGTTCCGATTTAATTGCTCCTCAAATTAACTACATTTTTTTCTGTACATCTTTTGACCTAAGTTGTTTGTGAAGGATTAAGTCGTTGCCTCCCTTTCCTTGGTTCCCAACAGTATGGCAGGGGCTTCTCACAGAGTCCTTTTGAAACTGTAAAACTATCACCCTTGTATTAAAGCATTGGATATTCTTCATTGCAAAATGCCCATAATTTTCAAGTTCTACGTTAATTTCAACAACATGGTATATGAAATGAATTTTTTTCATGAAAATATTTTCAAATATTTACCAAAATGTTAATAATTATTTCTCTAGGGGACAAAATGTATTTTAAAAACTACTTGAGAATTTTAATATTCCCTAATCTCTGAGCGAAGATGAAGGCTTGGGAAGCATGAAGTCATATTCATTCACTGCTTATTTCAAAACCGTGTGAAAGGGATGGTGAATTCATCCTTCACATAGGCAAAGTCACTTAAAATGATGTATTTTCAAAATTCACTTTAGGAAAGAATTGGCAGTATTCCATATTCAGAGTCAAAATAAACTGAGAATAAATAGATAAATATAAAGAATACCTATCTGTTTGTAAACCAACAGTTAATACTGTACATAGTGGTAAAATAGTCATTCCATTTAAAAGTCAGAAATGAACTGTCTTAGTCTTTTCCAGCTGCCATAACAAAATACCTCAGGCTAGAGTATTTAAACAACAGACATTTATTCTTTCACACTCCAGAAGCTGGAAGTCTGAGATCAAGGTGTGGGCAGGGCTGGTTCCTCCTCAGGCCTCTCTCCTTGGCTTGTAGACACTGTCTTCTCCCTGTGTCCTCACATGGTTGTCCTTCTGTGTATGTGTCTGTGTCCTCATCTCCTCTTCTTACAAGGAGTTCAGTCCTATTGGATCAGAGTCCACCATAATGACCTTGTTTAACCTTAATTACCTCCTTACAGGTCCTAGCTCCAAATACAGACACATTACGGTGGTTAATGAGCTTCAGTGTAGGAATTGGAGGGAGGTGGAGCAAATTGAGTTCATAATACAAACAAAAAAGAATTTTCACTATCAATTTTAATTATCATTCTTCTAGAAACTCCAGTCAATGAATAACATCATTTAGTGTTTACATATATGGATCCGATGATGGCAAATCATCTCAGTTGTTTGTCTCACAGTGTCTGTATTTGACTTTCTTTTCAAGGATGTTTTCACTGCATTTCACTGCATATTCAATTCCAGTTTAAGAGCAATATTTTTTCATCTTTTAAATATGTAGCTTTCTTTTTACCTGACTCCTGTTTTCCATTGAAAAACCAGCTCTTGGTGCTGCAGTCACACCTTTAAGGCAGTCTCTTTTTTTCTAGCTACCGTTCAGGTTTTGCTCTTGATCTTTGGTCTGTTGAGGTGTGGCTTACTTTGTGTTGATCTTGTTTGGACTTTTTAGATTTCCCTGGGGCTCTGCTTTGTTTTATGTATGGCTAAACCTCTCAGTCATTATCTCTTCGAATATGCCCAGGCTCATCTCTTAGGGTCACTTCCACACAACCAAACAGAAAAAAAGCAAACTCCAAGCAGTCCATATAAGCAGGAAGTCATGCCCAGGCATGGGTTATGCCACCAGCCAAGAGGACAAGGGGACGACTGGGGAGCTTGAATCTGAGCATATGCACCTGGAAAGAGTTAGACTGCAAGCTAGACCAGAAGCCTGGCATGCAGATACCAGCCAGGTGGAGACCAACCCCTCACTGCCAGGAATCAAGTATGTTAGTAGGGCAGAAATCCAGGAAACCCAGAGAACCAAAAGCCAGCGTGTATTGGTCTGTTTTCACACTGCTAAAAAGATACTGCCTGAGACTGGGCAACTTATAAAGGAAAGAGGTTTAATTGACTCACAGCTTTGTGTGGCTGGGGAGGCCACAGGAAACTTACAATCATGCTGGAAGGAGAAGCAAGTACCTTCTTCACAGTCAGCAGGACAGAGACTGAAAGAGCGAAGTGCCAGACTTAAAACCATTGGCTCTCATGAGAACTCCCTCACTGTCATGAGAACAGCATGGGGGAAACCACCCCCATGATCCAGTCACCTCCCACCAATCCCATGTGGGGATTACAGTTTGAGATGAGATTTGGGGGGGGACACAGAGCGAAACCACAGGGGATCTGTCAGGCCCAGGACAGAACACCCTGAAGGGTACCATTCCTTTACCACTACTCGGGTGCATGCTATTTGTCTCCCATGAAGGCAAAACCAAGAGCTGCTAAGCCCACCAACCAATAGAAAAGTGCTTACCTAGCAAAGAAAGGCACAGACGAGATAGTTGCTGAAATAGGGAAAACTCACAGGAAACAGTTAGTATAAAGTATTCTCATATGCTGATGATCATTTGAAAATGACAAAATAACTCTAAATTTCTGCACAAGTAGGTCACCTACCACTTGTCATTCTAATCCCACACTAGGCACTTTAAGAACATGCGCCCCTGGGCTTTTGCTACACTCTTTTCTTATGTTGGTACCCACCTTGTGGTGACTGAGGGTACTCTTAATATCCCCAAGTCTGAGGAAACTGGGGCACAATTCGATTATCCACTTATGAAGTGGTGAAGCTATGGATTAAACTTATAAGACATATCCACTTCACACTCCAGAAAACTTCATCATTCCCAACATTATTGTCTTCAACCATTGGGAAAGAAATACTTTTCTTGGTAATTAGAGGAGAAAAGGTGTTTGGTGTTTCATTGTCACTTTCCTGGTGTAGACCAGATACTTGCGGGTCTTTCCTAGGGCCAGTGAGTCCTAACATGTTTGAACATCTACCCATGCTATTTAAGGCAGCACACCAAACACATTCCTGCTTCAACTGCAGTATCTGTTTCATCAAGAGTATTTTCCTTAAATAAGTTTGAGATGCCTACTACTTGGGGAAATACTAAGCCTTTGGTATGCTTCTGCTCATCTAGGCATGAAACGGCTCCCTCATTACTTTGGTCTTCAGTTTTCTGAATCTGCTTCTGGAAAACACTGCAAAATGTCATTTTTGAGAACTGCTGCTTTGCAAATACTTTTCATGCCTATGTGATGTGCTGTTATTCTCTCTCATTTCCTTGCTAACATACAGTCATGTTTATGAAGCAAGTTATGAGCCAGTTAAGACTGGATCTGAGTCAGTTAGATTTGCATGCATTTTCAGCCACAGTGCAGGTTCCTAAAAGTCATCACATGTCTAGTCTCAAAGTTCTTATAGAATAGCATCTGATTATTATTAAGTAGATTTTTTAAGGCCTCTCAAGGATAAAGATCCGAGGTGTTATATCCATTGCTTTCCTCCCTCACACTGTTTTTGACTTTTAATTCTTCCCTTTCTCCACTTTAATTTCTTGTCTCCCACTGCTAATTCTCCATATAACCCATCCCCACCACCACCACCCTCAACAGCCACCAGTGAGAATTCTTACTACTTGAACTTCACTGTGACAAAAATCAGCCTTGGACCTGTGGGCTAAATTGTTCCAAGAGTCCTGATGAAGTTCTCAGATTCAGGCAAAGCTAGGTCTCCTGATACCCTGTCTTAATCAGTTTTGCATTGCTATAAAGGAATACCTGAGTGAGGCTGGATAATTTATTAAAAAAAGAGGTTTATTTGGCTCACAGTTCTGCAGGCTGTACAAGAAGCATTGCACCAGCATCTGCTTCTGGTGAGGCCTCAGGGAGCTTCCACTCATGGTGGAACGGGAAGGGGAGCTGCTGTGTGCACAGATGACATGGTGAGAGAGAAGAAGCAAGAGAAAGAGGAGAGGAAGGTGCCAGGCTCTTTCTAACAATCAGCTCTTGTAGGATTGAATAGAGAACCCACTCATTACCATGAGGGCAGCACCAAGCCATTCATGAGGGATCTGCCTCCATGACCCAAACACCCCCCTATAAATCCCCATCTCCAACATTGGGGATCAAATTTCAACGTGGGTTTTGCATTTTCCTGTAAACTCACGTGCTGTGCACTCCCTCATGTCATCTGTGAATGATCACCTGCCCCAGGACTTCTTGAAGGAATAGCTCAAATCATATTCTAAGAGTTCTGGGGGTAAAAAAGCAAAAACTAACTCTACTGACTCCCTTGTTTGTCTCCCACTGTTTATGGAGGGTGGCCGGTGTTCACAGCCCTCTGCCAGGCATCGCAAATACAGAGGTCAAGGAGATAGACATAGCCCTGCCCCCGTGGAACTTGTAATATAGTTGGGGAGACATATGAAACCACTGCTCACTTAAAGGTCTGATTGCCAATTATTACACAGGCTAGCAAGGGAAAGAACAGAGTCAATGACAGAACGGCTCTGGGCACCTAACTTAATTCAGGTCTTGTAAGGCCAAGGAGTGGGCCTCACTGCAGAAATGGCATGGAAGGTGAAATCAGGAAGCAGTAGAAGTCCAGTTTCTGAAAAATTAGAACACAGATTCATCATACAACCCAGCAATTCTACTCTTTGATGTCTACCCCCCCCAAAAAATGAAAACATATGTCCACCCAGAAACTTGTACATGCATGTTCACAGCAGCTCTATTGATAACAAAAGGAGGAAATGACAAGAAACTACCAAAAGAGAACAATGTGAAGGGCTGGGTGGAAGTTGGTTCTTCAATGAAATCTCACAAATTCCAGTGTTTCTAGTACTTCTTACCAACACTTACTTGTATTCACCCTAATTAGCTCATGTGAAAAGGATCTTCCTGTATTTCTAACAAGTGTAATTTGGAGAGTAGATAGATCTCAGGTGAGGACTTTGGAGCATGCCAAATGAATTAATGGACTCAGTCCATTTTCTAACTTAACATCACTCGCTTACTTAGCAATACGTGACGTTGGTGAGAAGAACCAGCAGAGGACACAGGAAGTAGAAGATGAGCTCACTTCTGTCCATGATTTATATTGCATTTCAGTTTATGTTGTCATTGGAGACTCAGTTTGTGAAGGTAAGCCAATCTTTGCCTTGAGGAAGATATACATCTTTAGGGGAAGATGGGTCTTACTAGATGAAAAGATAATAAATGAAAAGAGGGAGAAGGGAATGCATGGTGGCCCCGACAAACCAGAGAAGACAATTACATGAACATGGACGTCAACCACCAAATGTTGTACAGGTCAAAAAGGAAAAGCAAAGGACTGGAGACCAAGCAGAAGGGCTCACACCCCTACCAGCTACTCAGGAAGATGAGGCCGGAGGATCTTTTGAGCCCAACAGTTTGAGACCAACCTGGGCAACAGAGTGAGACCCCTGTCTCAAAAAAAAAAAAAAGAGAGAGAGAGAGACTGGGAAGTAGAAGCTGAGATGATATGAGGGTCACCTGTGGCTTGGACAGGATTAATGCAGGGACCATTGGAGATCAGAGACAAACTGGAGAAGGTTGCACTGAAGAAGCAGAGATCATGAATGCAGAAAGCTTGAGAAGTTTTTCCAATCAGGAAAGCCAAGACATGGGTCTGTCACTACAGGTCAAAACGGAGCTTGCAGGGAGTCATGCAAAAGTATTTGTCTCTTTTGAAGTTTGCTGTGACATGAGGGATTCAAAGAGAGTTGACAGAGGAGGGGAAGCTTTTAAACTCCAGATGATGAAAGAGCTCAGAAAGGAATCTTAACTTTCTTCCAAAGGGGATGAGATGGACAGAGTTTAAATTTCTCTTTCAAAAAATGATGCCTTCGAGGGAACAGTAAGAGGAGAGCAGGCTAAGAGGCCAGCCAGGTGGACGAAAAGCATGTTTTTTTCACTTAAATTTGTGCAGTCCTGCAAATGTAACACAGCCAGATAATTCCAGAGCTCCTGGGTCACCGTTCCCTCTATCTTCTCAGACCCCACTCAGCAGAAGAGATGTTTGTTTATGGCCCCGCCCAGGAAGCAACTGCAAGCTCCTATGACTTCAGCATTTGAAAAGTACTTCAGATCCAAACTCTCGCTTCCTGCCCTGAACGGAGCTCATCCCCACTCCCCTGTCACTCTGCATAAGATTCCAGGGTGACATTGTGAGACGTCGTCATTAATCTCCTTTTAAAAATGCAAATCCCCTCAGAACATGACTCTGCTCATCGCCTGTTTAATCAGATCGCTTCCTTCTCATTTGTAGCTGAGAAGTGCTTTGAAGAGGGAAGCAGGGAAGAGGGCAAGGAAAGAAGGGGAGGATGAGAAGCAAAGTACTTTTGAAGAAGAAGCACAGCAGGAGAGGAAGTAGGTTTGAGTGGGTACTTGTTAGGACGCTGGAGAGGTTGAGTGTAACAGGCCAGAAAGAAAGAGGGAGCTAAGAACAGGGGTGTCAAGAGATGGGGAGAGGGGGTCTTAGGAAGGGGATGACAGTAGACAGCATGATGTCCCGAGCACTCATGTCTGTTACTCAGTTCTTGGGTGGAGGAGGTAAATGTGCATGTGGGAAGACAGGATTAGGAAACTACCATCTGAGCTGTCGGGGGCCTTTCTTGAATATCAGAGGAGCCCAGTACCATTCTTAAAAGTAGAACGCTGCATGCATTCTACAAAATTCAAGCACTTATTTTCCTTGCACAATTCAGGGCCTGCTGTCTTCTTTGAAAACTCAGTGGCGCCCCTACTGTGGGCAGCACAAATGTAGCAAGATCAGGTTTGGAGAGGAGCATCCCTGTACTCTCCAGGGAAGAGTGTCCAGTGTCTGGAGGCAAATCACTGTGACTGTTTTTTGTCCCCCTGCCCTTTCCTGGGACACTTCCCCAGGGCAGCTTTTCCATGTGTGAAGAGCCCTGCAGTAGCAGGCACTTGGCTGGCTCTTTTCTGTGGTGGGCACAGATTGGATGGGAGTAACCTGTCCTGAACCAGCTCCTAGAGCAGACCCCCAGCTCCGGGTAGGCACAGGTGCCCAGACATGAGGGTCTGCATATGAGGGTGATGTTGTGTGGGTCCAGCTTTCCAGGGGAAGCAGAATTGGGGCCCAAGTTCATAAAGAATCCCACCCCCACACCAGTGCCCAGGGTGGGGATGCAGGCCAAGGGGCTGACCACGGGTGCTGGGAGAGTTCTTCCATGCTGAATTTTCAGCCTTTGTTTGGATAGAGAGTTATATGAAAATGGCAGATGTCTGTGTGATGGTCCCTTACCTGTGAAGGTCAGAGGTGGTGAACTCACAGAAAGAAACCCAAAATTCTGTTTTAGGATTGGAATGGTTAGTATTCCTCCTCCTAACCCAACCATGTTATGGCCTGGAGGGCATTTTTAAACATTCTGTGCCATTTTCTGCACTGATTGGAGTCTGCATTTCTCCCGAAGAATGTCAATATTATGCCCCCAAATTAGACACTTACTCATAGCAGCACCTATAAAGATAAAGTTTTGAACTCAACACTGGATAGTCATTTCCAAACCAACATTGTTATACATTATTTAAAGAAAGTCTTTGCACTCCCATTAGGCTTCTTGGGCAGCCATAACAAAGTCCCACATATGGGAATGCTTAAACAGAAGAAATTGTTCTTACAGTTCTAGAAGCTAGAGGTCTGAGATCAAGGTGTCAGCAGGGATGGTGCCTCCTGAGGCCTCTCTCCTGGGCTTGTAGGTGGTGTCTTCTCCCTGCATCCTCACAGGGTCATCTCTCTGTGTGTGTCTGTGTCCTCATCTCCTCTTCTTGTAAGGAAACCAGTCCTATTGGATTAGGGCCCACCCATGTGACCTCATTTTACTTTAATTTCCTCCTTAATGACCCATCTCCAAATACAATCACATTCCGGGTACTGGGTGTTAGGATTTCAACATAAGAGTTTTGGGGTAGGCGTGGCACAATTCAGTCTGTAACATTTCTGTTATATAATGCACTTGTAAATATCAGATTAATTTTCAAATAAACCTTGTTGATGGTTGCTTCAAATCTGCCTTTCTTTTAAAAATATCTGTTGTGAGATATTCAAAGGAAAACCTTCCTTCATTAGAAATGAAGGGACACACCTGTAATCCCAGCACTTTGGGAGGCCAGGGCAGAAGATCGCTGAGCTGAAAAGTTTAAGGTCAGCCTGGGCAACATAGGGAGACCCAATCAATACAAAAAAACTTAAAAATTAGCGGGGCATGGTGGCAAACACCTGTAGTCCCAGCTACTCAGGAGGCTGATGCAGGAGCATCACTTGAGCCCAGGAGTTCAAGGCTGCAGTGAGCTATGATTGTGCCACTATACTCCAGCCTGGGCAACAGAGCAATACTCCATCAATCAATAAATAAATAAATACAGAAATAGACCCCATCTCTAAATAAATAAATGCATACATAAGTGAATGAATGAAATGAAGGAACAATCCGAGGAAAGAACGATATTCATCCCAATGGGATCTTGAGCTCTGAGTAAACCTAGGATTTTCTTCCATCCTTTAAATGTATGACTTTTTTCCTATAATTTCCTTTTTGCTGTTTTAATAGAAGTATATAGTAACATGAAGTGACTAAGTAATATGTATTAATTTCTTCCCAATCACAATGGTATGAGTTTTGAGAATAATATTGGTCTATTTATCAATTTTGAGCTTTTTTTCCCTACCCATTGCACTATACTACTGGGAAGAATCCCTGTTCTTTTTAAACCTTTTAGTTTGTTTACATCAGTCAAATGCTACAAGCAAGAGGTATCAAAACTAGTGTCTTTCTGTAATCTCTCAGAAATCTACACACTTCACCTAATTTTAATTATTTTTAAGGATTATATTAAGCATCATGAAAATGAAAAGAACCCCCTATGTGTTCACTGTTGGGGGCTCTGAAGGTGATTTATACAACAAATCAGAATCCTCTTTCGTGTATTGCCAGCCTACGTCACATAGCCCAGATGGATGCTCCCTAATATTTCATGTAAATATGTGCTATGCTCACCTGGGCCAAATGTCTGCTCCACTCATCTGGGCCAACATTTTGGGAACTCCCAAGAGAAGGCTTTCTGCACAACAGCATGTTGAGCTCAAGTGGGAAAAATGTACTCTATAGCACAGATAAAATGGGAGGGAAAGAATAAAATGGAAATTAAGGTAAAAGGATATATATATATCTGCATCCTCTGGTGCATTTCAATCAAATAGCTTAGAATTGAATGTGGCTGTCTATATAAGCAATCTAATTGTTTTGGATTAAAGAAAAAAAATGATGGCTATATACATCATTCTCATAGAATTACAGTTCCTCATCAGGTTTGTTCTGTAGCTCCTCATCCTCATTAACAGCATTTTTGCATAGTCTGTCCTTATATAGCATTAAAACTGCCATCATTATACTGGTAAAATTTTCTGTGCCTTATACCTGTGACTTTTTGGATTTGAGTAGATTAGACATTCTCTTCAGTCCTCCCCTCACCCCATGAGATTCATTGGAAAGAAAAAAAAAGGAATGAATTTGAAAGAAGGAATTTATCTTTTCTTTTCAAATGGTAGTATAAGTATATTTTTGTCTCATTTCCTTTATGAAACCAATCCAAAGCAAACAAGAGAATAAGAAACAAACAAATGTTATCTTTGATGAAGCTACAGATCCCCTATAACCCTGGATCACAGTAGATGCAGGAAGATAGCCAAGTGTATGAAAAGTGGATGGAGGTATTTGGGAACTCCAAGAGAAGGTGTCTGTCTATGTGTGACTCAGGCAGAGTGGACCCAGTTCATAGTTATCCAAAGTGGTTGGGTGGCACACATTGAAAGGAAATGTGTTTATCCCATGCTTAGAAAGTTAAGATCAAGGTTCATGTCCTGGTTTTGGAAGCCTACATCATGTTTCAATCATGGCATAGGATAGAAGGAAGAGTCAATAAGATAAAAGCTACCTGGCCATCTTTGCCCAAAGCTGCCTGGTGAAGATAAGTCAAGGTAAAATAATCACATTAAAATGTTCTGTAAAATGCACAGCCTCCTTGTGAGCCTGGAAGATGTCCTGCTATGCTGGACCAGATAACCCACAGGCCAAGTCCAGCTGAGAAAAATCCCAGAGATAACAGACTGAAACCAATCTTCCCATTTGTTTAGCACATTCCTCTTCCCCTTTCCCCAGAACTTTGCCCAAAATTCTAGTCCAAAAAGATGAGGAACAGTGCTACTTAAAAAGGGTGGAGCCAGCCGGGGGCCTTTAAAATGATGCTGAAATGAAAAAAGAAGAACAGAACATGATTTATGAAGATGAGAACCGGAAAGATTGTATACCACAACGCAGCCAAAAACCGTGAACAAAGTTATTTCTAAGGAATCAATTAAAGACAATATTGTTTCTCTGAAATGAGAATTTAAAGAAGCAATATAAGGCTTTAAGGAAGAACTGATAATACATTAGGTTAGACGGGAATGAAAAGTGAGTGGGTAAAGCCTCAGAAATAAATTACTAATAAATGAGAATGAAAAGGGAGCAGACAGAGTCTTGGAAACAAATTAGAAACAAATGAGAATAAAAACGGAATAGGCAGAGCCTCAGAATCTCAGAGAGAGAGACACAAAAAGAGACCAAAATCAAAGGTCATGATAGAAGCAGCAAAAAGGAGATGAGACACCACTGAAAGAATTTGAAGGATGGTTTTGAGAAGAAAAAATGAGCATGTGAGATGGAAAAGAACAAAAAGTAAAAGATGGAAGACAGAGATAGAGAAAAAGAGGGGGATGGGAGGGGGTGGTAGGGAAGAGATCAAATATCTATAACACTAAATGCCTTGCATGGGTTAAAAAATGAATGGAACATGAAAACAAATTTTCAAAGATACAATTCAAGGTGAAATTCCTGAAATACAATGAAATTTGAATCTGCAGACAGAAATAGCCCAAGAATTACAAGGCTGTGTTTATATTGAATAATTAACAAATATCCCAATAAATTCCTGGTATTTGAAGTTATGGAAAGAATTCTGTGGATATTCAAAAAAAACAAAAACCTAGGAGGCTAAGATTTCTTTATGTGACACATGAAATGCTAGAAG
Organism: Homo sapiens; assembly: GCF_000001405.40. Classification (NCBI taxonomy): domain Eukaryota; kingdom Metazoa; phylum Chordata; class Mammalia; order Primates; family Hominidae; genus Homo; species Homo sapiens. Next base: position 7,036,223 of record NC_000023.11, on the reverse strand, counting down.
ACAGTGGGGCAAGATATAAAAAGTCCTTGTCCCTTTTGTGTTGCTATAAAGAATACCTGAGGCTGGATAATTTATAAAGGAAAAGGGATGATTTGGCTTATGATTCTGGTGGCTGGAAAGTTCAAAATTGGGCATCTTTGTCTGGTGATGGCCACAGCCTGCTCCCACTCATGGCAGAAGAGGAGGGGAAGCCAGCATGTGCAGAGATTACATGAGCGAGGAAGCAAGAGAGAAACCGGGGAGGTGGCCCGCTCTTTTAACAACCAGGTCTTGCAGGAACTAATAGAGGAAGAATTCATTCACCATCAGGAGAGGACATTAATCTATTCAATGGGAGGGATCTGTCCCCATGACCCAAACAGCTTCTATTAGGCCCAGCCTCCAATATTGGGGACTAAATTTCAACATGAGCTTTGGAAGGATCAAATATCCAAACCTTAACAGTCCTCAGGGAAAGAAAATGTGCCCCAAGAATGCAACCAAACAAACTTCCATAAACTTCAAAGGCTACAAATAGCTATGTACAAACATACAACTCAGGAAATATATATTCATGAAGAAAACAAATGAGTAAAGGCTGGATCCTCAGCAACTGAGAGGAGCTGTGTCTAAAAGATTTCTTGTAATCTTTAAGGATGCATTATGGTTAAATCTGTGGAAATTATGGTCCCAGAGAAGAAAACAAATACCATCAACTGTGACAATGTAGAGATAATGTAACCAATTAAAAATAAAATAGCAAGTGCAGTTGAAACTGAAATTGACATCAAGGGGACACTGATTTTCTCATTTTTAGTTCCAAGATTCCAATATACATTGTTTTAAAACTTATATCAGGCAAAACTGCATGTACAGCATGTGTATTCATTTCAGAAAAATAATTGCATAAGTGGTTAATGACACCAGGAAACCTAATTTTTGCAGACTATGTATATATTACCTCAAAATAAGAATATTATAGCATTATATTCATTTTAAGAATATTTAGTAATAAACCCATATATATCGTATAAAAAGTTATAGTCTATTTTGTTCCAATACAATAAAAATCATTGATATTAATTAAGCAACTTCTATACAGAAGGTGGGTGGTTTTCAACTGTGAGTCTGTTTTGTCTTAAGGAAGTTAATATCCCTTAATCCAAACTTTCAAAATAGTGTTCAAGGAACAGGAATGTTATTCTTAACTTGAAAATACTTTGCCCATACACATAATCTAGTTGAATCCATAAAGAGATTGTGGTGTTTTGATACCTAATAATTTCTTTATAAAAAAAGAATGTATCCCCTAATAAAATTAAAAATAACTCTCTTTGAAGATAGAGAACTAGACCTGCTGATGTTTATGAAAAACTCAGTTGGATGTTTCAGGTTTTCATGAGCAGCAGATTGTCAGACCATTGGACATGAGCTGTTTCATTTTGCATTTCATAGCCCTGTGTCCAGAAACTTGATTTTGAAGATTAGACAAAGTGGGGAGCAGAGGGCGGTATGGGCCAGTCCTGTAAATTTTGCAGTTCTGCATAGATAGATTATTAGATAGATACACAATAGATAGATCATAGATGGATAATTATGATGATGATGAAGATAGATACATACATATATACATACATACATAGATGCATGGATGAACAGATTTGTTTTTTGTAAAAATTAAAATTATAAGAAATACCCACAAGACTCTACAATAATAATTAGAACTAAATCTCTAAGAGATGTATGTCTTGACATTCCAGGCCAGAAATGACATTTTTCTTCTTTTTTAAATACCTTTCCTAGAAAGAGTTGCATGATGAATACTTCTTGAGGATACTGTTGAAAAAAATGTCCACATAGAAGTTTGAACTTTTCATGTAAAAAAAATGCATGTGTGAATCCAGAAAGCACATTTGTGTTACTCAGTATCACCACTTATATCAGTTGGGATGGTTCAACTTCAAGTTACATAATACCTGAGTCAGATTGGCTGAATCAACATGGACATAGCTTTCTCAAGTTAAGGAAAGGTCCAAGGTAGGGCTGGTGCCCTGCTTTGTCTTGTCCCATCCATACCCTTTATTCCAAATCTCTCTCTTCCACCCTACCCTACCCCATAGCCAGCAAACTATAATATGTCCTCAAATGTTTCTTAAAATATTCTTTTCAACTTCTTGCCTTAGTTAAAACTAGGTTGTCCTCTGAGGACCCTGACTCTGTTCCTATCTGTCATCGCTTAGGGCTTGGGTGGGTCATAGACATGACTGCTGCTTCAGTACCATCTCCCTTCCTTTCACCTTGAAAAGTCCTGTCTCTTGACAACTCATGCTATTGTGCTGTATTGGCATTTACGCCTCTCTCTTTGCTGTCTTCTATCAATCTACTGGTCACACCCCAATATGTATTGACAATTGAAGCTCTGGGGTTCGCATGATACTTTCCACCTCACTCTTAGCAGTACATTGGCTTGGTTCAGCATCCATGTTGATGCCCTCCCTCCACTCCAGTTGTTCTTCCCTGAGCTTTGTCATCACCACCTTTGGCACCCCCTTTAAAATCCCAATGTACCAATTCTCTCCAACCCCTAGACCATGAGCTCTAGGGAGCCAGGAACTATATGTTCCTTACATTCACCCACTCCACACCCTACACTCAGCCACTGCCACATAGGACATGCTCAACAGATATTTGTTGAACAAATTAATGCCAAAATCAATTTTCCTGTCTTTTACAAATTCATTATTAAATGAAAACTTTAGACTTATTCTCAAGTTTCAGACAGAAAGTCTCCTTTTGGAGGTTGAGAAGATATTTATTTTTAATTAAGGCATAATTTACATTTAATAAAAATGCATAACTGCATTACTCAAGGTTCTCTAGAGGGACAGAAGTAGTAGGATAGATGTATATATAAAGGGGAGTTTATTAAGGAGCATTGACTCACATGGTCACAAGGTGAGGTCCCACAATAGGCCATCTGCAAGCTGAGGATCCAGGAAGTCAGTCCAATCCCAAAGCCTCAAAAGTAGGGAAGCCAACAGTGCAGCCTTCAGTCTGTATTCCAAGGTCTGACTCCCAAAGTTGAAGAACTTGGAGTCTGATTTTTGAGGGCAGGAAGCATCCAGCTGGGAGAAAGATGTAGGCCAGTAGACTAAACCAGTCTAGTCCTTTCACGTTCCTCTGCCTGCTTTTATCCTACCACGCTGGCAGCTGATTAGATGGTGCACACCCAAATTGAGGAAGAGGCTGCCTCTCCCAGTCCACTGACTCAAATATTAATCTCCTTTGACAATACCCTCATAGACACACCCAGGAGCAATACTTACATCCTTTCAATCCAATCAAGTTGACACTCAATATTAACCATCACAATAACTTTTTGTGGTTTTTTTAAAATTTTATTTTGAGTTGTAGGATCTTTTTATATATTCTGATGAGTTTACACAAATATATTCACCTGTGAAAACATCATCCTAATAAAGATATAGAATATTTCCATCACTCCAGAAAATTTCCTCATATCACCAACCCCCAAAACTTCAGGCAACTGCTGTTCTTATTACCATGGCTTTCATGTTGCCTCTTCTAGAACTTTATATAAATGGAATCATGCAACATATTCTATTTTGTATCTGGCCTATTTAACAACATACTATTTCTGAGATTTATATGTGTTTCCGTTGCAGGTAACAATAGTTATTCCTTTTTTTATCTGTTAGTAGTATGTCATTATATGAATATGTAACAGTATGTTTATCCATTCATCCTTTGATAAGCATTTGGGTTCTGCTCCATTTGAAGTTATCATGAATAATGCTACAATGAATATCTGTGTACAGGTCTTTGTGTGGATGAATATATGCTTTCATATCTCTTTGGTGTATATCTATAAGTGGAATTGTTGAGCCATAGGGTAGTTATTAAAAGTGGTTGCGCCATTTTATATTCTCACCTCAATACATGAGCATTCCAATTGCTCCACATCCTCATCAAAACTTAGTATTGTCAGTCGTTTTAACTGTAGCCATTCTAATGGGTATGAGTATCTTATGGTTTTACTTTTTATTTCCTTGATAACTAATAATATTGAGCATCTTTTCATGTGATTGCTAGCTATTTGCATTTCCTTTTTTGGGAACTTTTTGTCCAAATAATTTGCTCATTTTTTGTTTTTTTATTTTTTGCATGTGTTTTTGTTTTATTTTTGTCTTTTTATGTTGAGTTTTAGAATTCCTTTACATATTCTGAACACAAATACTTGGTCTCAAAGTCAGTGAATTGCCTTTTCATCTATCTTGAAGAGCAGATGTATTTTTGATGAAGCACAATTTATGATTTTTTAATGTTTAGTGCCAGGTATTTGTAGAAGGAGTCTTTGTCTACCTTTGTTTTATTGTAAAAGCTTCGCAATTTTAGATTTTACGTTCAGGTCAAATCTCAGTTAATCTTAATTTAATGCTTGTGCAGAGTATGGGGTAAGGGATCAAAGTTCATTTTTATACATATAGGTATCCAGTTTTTCCAATTCCATGTGTTGAAAAAGACTATTATTTTCCCATTGACTTGCATTGCCAGCTTTGTTTAAAATCAATGGACTGCGTAAGTGGCAGTTTGTTTGTTTGTTTGTTTGTTTTTTAAAATATAATTGAGCCTTTAAAAAGGCCAATCTTTGTTAAAAGTTAAACAAAAGTTAAAAGTGATGATGACAAAGACCTAACTGGCTGTCCTTGTGGCTTTAAAGCAGATGATGGAGCAGTGGAGCGAGTTTAGCGTGGAAGGGTGAAGCAAGCTTTAGGGACAATCATCATTACGTCTCAGGGGAAAGCTGAGACTTTCTTTATACCCAGAGATACATGTCAGCCAATTCTGTTCAGGTTGCATTGCCTCTGATGCCAGTGTCTGAGCGTTACCTATTACATCTGTCAGAGACATTTGAACAAGAGCAACTCCATCTTGAATAAAGGCTGAGTAAAATGAGGCTGAGACCTACTGGGCTGCATTCCCAGACAGTTAAGGCATTCTAAGTCACAGGATGAGACAGGAGGTCGGCACAAGATACAGGTCATAAAGACCTTGCTGATAAAACAGGTTGCACAGAAGCCAGTGAAACTCCACCAAAACCAAGATGACAACAAGAGTGACCTCTAGTCATCCTCACTACTACCTTCCCACCAGCGCCATGACAGTTTACAAATGCCATGGCAACATCAGGAAGTTACCCTATATGGACTAAAAAGGGGAGGCATGAATAATCAACCCCTCGTTTAGCATATCGTCAAGAAATAACCATAAAATGGGCAAGCAGCAGCCCTTGGGACTGCTCTGTCTATGGAGTAGCCATTCTTTTATTCCTTTACTTTCTTAATAAACTTGCTTTCACTTTATGGACTCGACCTGAATTCTTTCTTGGCAAGATCCAAGAACCCTCTCTTGGGGTCTGGATCTGGACCCCTTTCCTATAACACATCCACCCTAATTATTTTATTTTTGGCAAAATAATGTTAGAGCCAGTAACGTCTGAGAGGCCAACATTCCATGGCCTCTTGCATATGAGGAAGGGCAGTTTACAGAGGGACTAAATGAGTCACCCAGTGTCACCTTGTCAGTGTGTGCCAGAGCCAGAACTGTTCCCAGGCTAGAGAGTGGCCTCCCCTGTCTCCAAGCATGTTCTGGGATGTGTGTTTTGCATACTGTTCATCCCACAAGATGACCTGAGCAGGGGCTGTGCAGGTCTGGGATGTGGGGTGCTATGCCATTCTCCTGGAAATACTCTAAGCTTTTCAGCATGGTTAAGGATTTGAGAAGCATCCAACACAGAACACTGGTTTTGTTTAACTCAGCTTCCCCAATCTCATTCCATCGCGGAAGCCTTTTATCAAGTAGCTTGTATTAACTTGCTTCAAAACATTCCCCGAGAGATGTGGATCTAGCACACCATGGGGCAGGTCATGTTAGTTTTCTCTTGTCATTATTCTTGTCATCTGGATGGCAAACATTTACATGGGTTATCAATACTAGGTTGTGTTGGCCGCCATGAATCTAAAGCCCCTGGTAGGTCTTGGTATTTCCTAAAGATGATTTACTTAGATTCCTATAGCAGAGTAAAATGAGAAGGAAAGATAGAAATAGCCAGTGTTTTGGTGAGGACTGACATAATGATTTTTAAAAAATACACCTGATTCTGCATTCTGAATCCTCCAGCCTCCTCAGCATGGGGATGGAGAATTGGAATGGGGCAAGACACACACATGCACACACACGCAAGCAGACACACACCCACAGAAATAGTCCTCTGAGGATTCATTTAAGATTGGCTTAGAAGAGCTTTAGAAAAAAAATGTGAACCTTTCTGAAACTCTCAATGCCTCAAAATTAATCTTTGTTGAAATAACATTTTCAAGACCCTTTTTAGGAGCCTGCTCCCAATCTCCATCATCCCTCCAGCCAATGAGTGTTGGGTAAAGTGAATGAGATTAAATTGCCAATTAAGAATCTAAATGAAGGCTATTGATTTACTCCATGGCAATGAACAGGTTATCCCCAGAAGGTGGCCTGTGAAATGCTTCATAGAATTCCACAAATAAATAAGGGAATTTCTCCCCACCACTGTAATCCCTCAAGTGCCAGTGTCTGCAGGGATATTTTCTTTTACAGCATACTAAATGAAAATCTATCAGGAGATTGAAATTGGCACTAATAAGTGAGCATTTCTCACCTCTATCACCTTGGACTTGGGGAATGCCCTTGATATGTTCGATTCCTCCCCCTACATGGGGTTTGCCTGGGAAGTCTCTATTACTTAAATTGTATCTTTTCCATATGTCGTTATTTAAGCGACCACTTTCCTCAAAATAAAGACTGAGAACCACCATTAGAAGTATTTTGTCATGAGCTGAGTCGAGGCCCCCTCACCCAATCCATACATTGAAGTCCTAGCCCCCAGGACCTCAGAATGTGACTGTATTTGCAGGTAGGGCCTTTAAAGGAGTGATTAAGGCAACGGAGTCCAATCTTTTGGCTTCCCTGGGCCACATTGGAAGAAGAAGAATTGTTGTGGGCCAAACATAAAATACACTAACAATAGCTGATGAGTGAAAAAACAGGTCCGTGTTTAAATCTCATGTTTTAAAAAAGTACGAATTTGTGTTGGGCAACATTCAAAGCTGTCCTGGGCTGCATGTGGCCCTAGGGCTGCAGAATGGACAAGATTGGATTAAGGTAAAACAAGGTCACTAGAGTGGGCCCTAATCCAACAGGTCTGGTGTCCTTATAAGAAGAGGAGATGAGGACATAGACCTACACAGAGAGGGAACACCATGTGAGGACACAGGGAGAAGACAGCATCTCCAAGCCCAGGAGAGAGGCCTCAGGAGGAACCAGCCCCGCTCACACCTTGTCTCAGATTTCCAGCCTCCAGGACTGCAAGAGAATCAATGTCTGTGGTAAGCGGCCCGGTCCGTGGCGCTTTGTTATGTCAGTCCGGGCAAACCCATGCAGATAGATGCTTATGAAATCTTCCCAGTCACGTGGTTTGTACATTTCAAGCAGCCCTTTTTACCCATTTCATCTGGTGGCTGGCCAAGCGGAGTACCTTTTAGTTCCCATAACTCTAGAACTGAGCTGCATTAATGCCTCTGTTGCTGCCTCGTTCCAGTCAAGCTTATTTCTCTGGTACCGCTTCCCTTGTCTTCCAAGCCTGACCCAGTTTTTCCCCAGAACATCTTTACACAGACCAGCTGCTCCCACATTCCCACTGCTGACTTCACTCTCTTACTCCCTGGATGAGTCGGGGCCTCTCATGCCAGCTTTAGTGATCACGTGACTTGGCCTGTGTGATCTTGTGACTGGGCAGGGTAACTTGGCTAGGATGCAAAATAGCCCGATTTTTTTGGATACAATTATGTACAGTACCTTGCCAGTAATTTGAATTTTCTTGTCTCTATTGAGATATCTGTACTCAGTAATACATGTTTATGAGTCTCACCCTGGATAAAAAATGAGCCATTATCTTCCTCCTTACAATATATAGACTATATATAGTAGTACAGAAAGACTATATTATCATTTGTTATATAGTCTAGACTATGTATCTATTATATATATCTATATATTTTTATTGAATGATAATATTGTCTATCTGTACTAGACTATATATCAAACAATAATAAAGTCTATGAGTTTGCTAGGACAATATATAGACAATATCATTCTATATATAAACTATATATAGAATAATATAGTCTAGACAATATATAGACAGTATATAAACTTTATATAAAATATATATAGAATAATATAGTCTATATATAGTCTATATAAACTATATAGAAAAATATAGTCTATATATAGTCTATATATAGAAAATAATATATTCTATATATATAGTCTATATATAGTCTATATATAGAATATAGTATATTCTATAGTCTATATATAGAAAATAATATATTCTATATATATAGTCTATATATAGAAAATAATATATTCTATATATATAGTCTATATATAGACTATAATGTAGTCTATATAAATAGAATAACTATATTCTATATATTCTAAATATATAGGATATATTCTATATATATTATATATTCTCTTTATATGTATTCTCCTTTACATATATTCTCTATATTCTCATATATATATAATTCTCTCTATATTCTCTCTATATATCTCATATATATTCTCATATATATATTCACACATATATGTGTGAATATATATATATTCTCTCTATATTCTCATATATGTGTATATACATACACTCACACACACACACACACATATATATGTATTCCTGCTTTGCAAGTGAAGTGTGAAAAAGTTATCTTAGGATAAGCTCAGAAAAATCAGAGAAATATTAGAAGACACCTGCGTACATGGTAGGTCCTGCAGCAAAGGTTTACTTATTCGGTTGTTAGCAGGCAGCACTTGAGCCAACTTCTGCAGGTGGAAGTTTTCAGTGTTGGCTCGTGGCCACGGTTTTATCCTGATGCAGCAGGCTCAGCTGGGAGACCTGCTGGTAACTGGGCATAGGGGAGCAGGGCTGCGATGGGAGAATGAGCTGAATCTGCTGGGGATGGTTCTGGCATGAGACGCTGTGCAAGCTAAACACAGTGTGTCACACGTGTGCATGGTTTGGGTATCGTGGATACCTGAGGGAATGCAATGAGAGGTTTCCAGGAAACCAATAAAAATATGAAGTCAAACTCCAGCTGGTGAGCATTGGCGGGATAATTAAGTTTCCTGAGGAAAGATTTCTTCCTAAGGGAAGATCTAGGTGTCAAAATCTCAGTCATTGTGGACAGCACCATGGGACAGAGTCCAATCCTAGAGGAGAGAGAATCGCAGGTTTCCTTGTCAGACACACGAGAGTTCCCCAACCTTGATGCTACTGACATTTAAAAAGATTATTCTTTGCTGTGGGACATCGTCTGTGTACCATCAGCACTACTGACATTTAACAAGATCATTCTTTGCTGTGGGAGGGGGGTCTATGCAACATGGGATGTGCAGCATCATCCCTGGCCTCTTCCCACTAGATGCCAGTTGCACCCACTCCCAATGGTGGAAACCAGCAATGTCTCTAGATATTACCAAATGTTCACAGGTGGTAGGAGGGTGGGCATCACCCTGGATGGAGACCCATGGAGCGAGACCAACCGCATGGGGGCCACACAGAATCTCAGCACCATGGACAAGATCAAGAAAGGCACGCTGGGTGGATGCTGGGTGCCACTTCCCAAACTGCAAAGGTGATGCTGGATATCTGGCACACTGTCAGAAGGATCTGAGGGCACGATTCTGCAGGGAAGAATTGAACAATCCATCAGTGGCATCTGGCCAAAGCAGAGGAGCAGGGATAGTGGCGTTTCTGCCATGTCTTTGTCATTGCAGGCCCAAGAGACAGCAGGGAAGGGAATGGTGTGACTTGATGGGCCTCTGATAATGGGTCTGCTTTGCAACAGGAATCAGCACTATTCCCTGTAGGTAAGGAGCACTGAGCCTGCAGCTTTTCTTCCCATCACTACCGTGCCATGATTGTTGCAAGGATAGTGAAGCCTTGGGCAGGCTGCTGGGGCCCTTGGAAGGTCGAGATAAAGAGAAACAATACACATTTATAGTTCTAAGAGGTTATGCATTATAGAACACCTTCTCCAGTTTAATATAAGAATAAGCAGTCTCTGTTCTCTAAAAGCCAGAAGGCTTATGGGGGAGACCAACACACTAATTTAGGGCTTCAGCAGAAATTTCTGTAAAGTGAGGTGTGCCTACCTTCCCTTTCATGTTTCCCTAAATGATATGTCCCCTACCCTGCAGATTGATATCTGATGATGCAAAACAATTAAACAAAACCCTCTCTTTGCTGACCTGTGAAATCTGAAGTTTTTACAGTGAAAAGTGCTAAATAAATGTTCAAAGTTGACATAGTATATTTATCACTTTACACCTAATGGTCTTTCTATGATGAATTGACTTAAGTGCTTTGTACTGGAGAATCAGCACAAATTACCTTTTTTAAATAAGGAAGGCTGAAATGACAAGCTTGTCTCCCTTGGGGTTAACAAATACAGTTCTCTCTTAGAATAGGGCGCTTTAAAGTTGGAGAAGTTCTGAGAGCTTGAGGGTCATTCAAACTGCAAGGTACCCTGTTCACCGAGTAATTCAGGTTCAGAAAAGTCAAGCACAGATATATGCAGTGATGTGTGCAAGGCTTCACAGTTGGGAGGTTGTACTACATCCCCACAATGATAACCCTTTGCTGCCTACCTTGATCACTTTTGCTACATCTGAATTTTGTTCAGTATCATGGCAGGACCTTGGAGTATCTTTGTAATCACTGAAGGGTGCACCAAATATGTAGAGAGAAGCCATGCTTAGAAAAGACTTTAAGACAGAATTGGAATTTTGGGAAATGGAAGTTCCAGTGAGTGGTGTTAATCTATATAGCAGACAGAGAAGAGTAACTTCTATCAGGGTGAACAGACCAGTAAGCACATCCTGAATATGCCCGAAAGAAGAGGACGTGCTCTGACAGGCTGGCCACAGCTCTCAGTTTTTAAAAAAGCAGGAAGAACACCTACAACAGTTCTCTTATGGAAGACTGAAGAAATCCTCCTAGGTAATTACACCCGAGAACACAAACTGCAATCACACTGTTTTGTAAGGGAGCCGTTCATGCCTGGGCAGATTCACTCCTGTTCAGTTCCATCACCTCTGAGGCGTTGCTAAGATTCAGGTGCTACTCTGCTAGTAAAAGAATACATTGCAGCCATGTGGGTCCTGGCAGAATGTGATACTGTGATCTATTTAATCATGCACACACACTCAGACAAAGAAGGCTAGGTTATGTCGGCCAGGTGCAGTGGCTCACGCCTGTAATCCCAGCACTTTGGGAAGCCAAGGTGGGCAGATCACGAGGTCAGGAGATCGAGACCATCCTGGCTAACACGGTGAAACCCCGTCTCTACTAAAAAAAAAAAAAAAAAAGTTAGCCGGGCGAGGTGGCGAGCGCCTGTAGTCCCAGTTACTTGGGAGGCTGAGGTAGGAGAATGGCGTGAACCCGGAAGGCGGACCTTGCAGTGAGCTGAGATCGCACCACTGCACTCCAGCCTGGGCGACAGAGCAAGACTCTGTCTCAAAAAAAAAAAAAGAGAGAAGGCTAGGTTATGTCACAGAAGTAAAAAGTAATTTGAAACATAATATTGTTTCAAAACATTTGAAGACCAATCAGTGTTACCCACAATATTGAATATTGTCAAACTAAAAAAGACGAAAAAACAAAAACAAAAAAACAATGTGATCATCTTAGTAGATGTAGAAAAAGCATTTTTAAAAAACCCAAACTCCAGCCCTTATTAAAACCCTACAGCAGACTAAGAATTGAAAGGAACTCCTTCAACCAACCTGATAAAGGGCATCTACTAAAAATCTAAAATTCTTGTTAATGGTAAAAACTTAATACTTTTCTTTAAGTTTAAGAACAAAATAGAAATGCCAACTCTCACCATTCTATTCAACGTTTTACAAGAGATCAGAACCAGTGCAGTAATAAAATAAAAATAAACAGAAGGCACTCAGATTAGAAAAGAGGTGGTAAAGCCATCTTTATGCCTAGACAACATAATCAAAAATCCAATTGAATATACAAAAAAGCTACTAGAACTATTATTAATTGAGTTTAGCAAAGTGACAGGACACAAGCTCAATATACAAAAATCATGTACTATTTTATATACTAGCAATGAAGAATCAATACTATTTTCAGTAGCTTCAGAAATATGAAATATTTCGAAATAAATTTGAGAAGATATGTATAAGACCTGTACTCTGAGAACTACAAAAAATTCTTGAGAGAAATAAAAGGAGACATAAATAAATGGGGAGATATACATTGGGCGTACGTTGGAAGACTTAATAATGTTAAGATGTTTAACTTTGAAAAATAGAACAAAGTTGAAAGACAAATGCTATTTGATTTCAAGCTGTGTTAGAAAGCTGCAGTAATCAAGAGAGTGTGGTATTGGCATAAAGATAGACAAGTAGATCAATGGAACAGCATAGACTCACATATATATGCACAACTGATTTTGGCAAAGGTACAAAACAATTCAGTGAAAAAAGGATAGTCTTTTCAGCAAATGGTGCTGGAACAACTGGATATTCATATGCAAAAAAAATGAACTTTGGTTTATGCCTACAAATAATACATACAAATAAACATACATGCATCCTAATGTTACTCAAGATAGATCATAGACCTGTATGTAAAACCTAAAACCACGAGACTTCGAGAAGCAAACAAACAGCAAAATCTTGAGACCAAAAATATGATCTCACATATGCATCCATTCCGAGTCAGTGTCTGTTGATGAGTTTTTTATATTATGTATCATTTTTTCCTGCTTCTTTGCATGCCTAGACATTTTTGATTGGATGCCAAACACTGTGAATCTTCTTTTTAAGACGCCAGATATTTTTATATTCCTGCAAATATTTTTGAGCGATCTGCTCAGTTTGGGTTAAGTTACCTGGAGACAATTGGCAACATTGGAGCCTTGCTATTGTGAATCATTAGGGAGATTCAGAGCAGGACTCAGCCTGGAGCTAAATATTCCCCACTATTCACACAAGACCTTTCTGAGTAGTCTAGCCAAATGGCTCATGAATTACAAGGTTTTTTTCAGTCTGGCTGGTGGAAACAGGCACTCTTTCCAGCCCTGTGTGAGCACCATGCACTATTTTCTCTATTTCAGATGGTTCTTTCCCCAGAGTGGTTTGTGTGCCCTACAGCCCTGTCAAGGCAGTCAGCTGTGTCAAACATGGTGTTCACCTTGTTAGTTTCCTGGCTCTCAGGGAGCACTGTCCTTCACTGCCTTATTTCCAGAGTCATGAAACCACTCTTTCATATATTTTGTTTGTTTTTCTGGTTGTTTCAGGTACGAGAGTTAAGCCAGTCTATGTTATTCCTTCTTGGCCAGAAGAGGAAATCCCTCCTTTACTTATATGTAATGTTCCAGAAACAATAGCATGCTCTAAATACCCTCATTTCAGAGAGAAAGCAATAGAAGCCCAGGGCATTGCTGTAATTCTTCACATGAGCAGTTCCTGGCAGTGTCAAATTTTGAACCCAGGGATTCTGGCAGTGGAGGCCAGAATCATACGCATGTGCTCCATAGTGATTCTCACATCCTAATATGCTTTGGTCTTGACTGCTCCCATCGCCTTATTGACTGGACCTGTGAATCGCTTTGTGATTAAAAATGAGACCAACCTCTACAGAGGAAACTTGAGGATACATTTAGCCCATCATGTAGCTACCATGGGAAATCTTACCCTTGCTGTACTCCTAGTTTTAATTTAACCTTTAAATCAAGTCTTAGTCATTTCCAGAGCTCCATTTTCCCAGCTCTATTTCATGAATCCAGAGCCTGAGAAACAGGATGTACTTCATGCAATATTGGTAAGCTCGGACATCTCAAACACATACAGAAGGGCTCTGAGATCATCATGTGCTGCATCACCTTTGCCCTCAGGACTTCTCTTGGCATGGTTAAAACAGCTGTGGACTTCGGACCATGCCCTTCCTTCAGTATGGATTCTTAAGGTAGAAGACAGAGTTCCTCCTTTATCTCAGTACCAGCAGAAGGAAGGCAGAGGAAAGTACCGACCTGGCCGAGATGGTGCCCACAGTCCAGTTTGTTAATGATGAGGATGAAGTGGTTTGAATGATACTGATAAAGCCCAAGGATGCTGACAATGGCAAGGGATGAAATGACTTTGCAGGTGGATGAGAAAACCACTTGGGCAAAGAACAATTCAGTCTGTAATGCTGTAATTAATTTTGCATAAAATCAGCCATACTATATTGTTCTGAAAATTAGGTGGTAGTCTATCCTTCACTTGCTTTTATGAGTTTACAGCAAGTCTCAGAAATCGAGGTAGGATTACAGGCATTTTGTGAATGCAACATTCCAGCGAATGTCCTCAGAAATCATACCCAGCCATTGCTGGTTCCATCCTCAACACCAATGTGCACATCTGCATTTATAGCTATAGTTTTGACATACGCATATGGATATGACATACTCATATCCATAATAATAAATCACTAAGACATGATTAATGATAAACCTGAGAGCCCACCCACAAAAGTTTCATGTGCATAGTTTTGAGCAAATTTGCAACAACAAACTTTTGCCATTGACACTTCAAAGCATCACGGTTTAACCAACAGTTCATGACAATTCTACAGAGCACATCTTCTCTGGCAGTGTTGAGTAATTGGGATGGCAATGTGATAGAAACTAAGGGGGGGTGCATTAAAGGCATTTGTGGGGTGAACACTATATGCATTTTGGTCTCTGAGGGTCTCTAGTCTATAGCAAAAGCCCTTTCTTCCAATTACTTTCAGGTCGCAAAGGAGTTAGACACCAGTTGAGGCGGCCCATTGGGATGATTTTTCTTCCCTATCAGTTTGTTCCAAAGCAAAAATAACTTTCCCATTCACTTGCCATTTCAATAAAAAGACAACACATTACTTTTTTATATAATAAAAGGACACGTGTTTGAGCAGGAATACCATTTGCAGCTAGAAAAGATAAGATACTGGCCATGGTTCAATAAAAAGACCCTGAGAGCTTCATCAAGCATTCCTCTGTCTTCATGACCTCTCTATATATGCTGAAGGTCAGGAGAAGAGCCAGAAAGCCCCTGCCCTGGCGATTCCAGCAGACATGTGCATGAATTGGCTGAGCCATTCTCAAAACCCAACAGGCTGCCTCTCACAATGGCTCTGGGCCACCTCTCAGTGGCCAGTCCACGGTGGTGAAGTAATCCCACATCCAATTGCTAATAGACAGGGGGCATGAGCTAGCCAACTCTGGGCTGGGTTCAGACACTGGGATCACCCACACACTTTGCTACATTGGCCAGTATTTGGGATGGATAGTGCCAGCCATGAGGCTGATGTTAAGCATTCAAACAGGAACAGCAGTTCCCTAATTGCATTTCATTTTTTGTTAGAGCATCTCCTTCATGCCACTTTGGATAGGGAACTGGGGCCTTCCCCGAGTGACAAAGAGCAGCTTCCTATGGAAATGACAGGGAAAATGAATACATCATCTTAAGCCTTCATAAAGATGGTGGTATATGTGGTTGTGCGTGTATTACAGACATGCTATTAACATTTAAACTGGTCCTGCAGTTTGCTACCCTGGGTGCTGAAGACATGAGAAGTCTTCACCTTTTGGCATCAGTGATAATAAGTTTGAGCAGCCAAACTGCCTGAGATGGGAGTCAGGGGATGAAGGTGAGGTGCTGAGGACAGCTCTAACTCATGGACAAATAATTGCAGTTTGGGAGAGAAAGAGCTGAAGGTTAGGTTAAGACAAGTAATTACTACAGCCAACCTGAATAGTTGAGTGGAGACCCAGCATGGTCACCTGAGTGGCAAGTTTTTCAAAAGGCTGGCGAACTATGAGGCCCCTTTAAAGAAAGCCTTATTTCCTGGCTCAACATGGTGGCATCCCATTCAAATGGAAACCATCTTCTATATCCAGAGAAGCTCTAAAAAATAATTCCATTGTTTCACCAGTGTCTCGAATAGGCACACACTAGAACCTCTTAAGCTCATATTCCCACTATCTCTCCAGCATGTCAGACGTCCACAAACCCTCCTTCCACCTCACTTTCCCCAATCTCCCTTTCTCTCTCTCTCTCTCATTCTTCCTGCATCCTCCTTCCAATACTATTCCTTTTTTTTCCCCTAAGATAAATTCCTGGATCTTTAAAAAAAAATTCTCCCAATCTTTCCTAAATTTTTCATGTTACATCTGAATTCATTATCCTTGCAGAGGCCAAGGGAAAACATTCATTTTTGCTCTGAAGTTTTGCTGGAAAATCAACTCATGAAAGGCAAAATTAGTTGGAGAAAAATCAAACAAATATACTATCCTGCACACAGGGAGCATCGTAGGGTGACTAATAGGGTGATTACCCAACCCCATGCCCCGGATGGAGTGCAGAAGCTTTCACACCATCTTGAGGTTGAAGAATGGAGGCTTGCATTGTGACAACACAGGCTATGGGAGGAAGAGAAGAAGAGGCCAAGCTAGCAGAGGTGGTCTTGTCATATAGATGAAACCTCCTGGGTAGCAGGCGTCAGAGAGAATAGATGGCAAATGTTTCTTTCAGACCTTTAAAGATGTCAGACTCTCTGTCCATCTTTCCTACAGTAAGACGAGGGAGGATGGTCTCCGAGAAAGCCTGGCTGCCTCCATGCAGAATTTATCTGCAGACGCAAATCGCCCCATACAAGACAGCTTTGCAGGGCTCCTCCTGTTTGCTGGCTTTCTGAACAGCCGTCTCAAACTGTATCATAGAAATACATTTTGAAGTAAAAGAGTTTTATTTTCTTCATCCTGATAAACATAACAGCTGCCTTCTAAATTGACCAGGTGGATATGTTACAGGAAAGGGGTCCCGATCCAGACCCCAAGAGAGGGTTCTTAGGTCTTGGGCAAGAAAATTCAGGGTAAGTCCACAGTGCAAAGTGAAAGCAAGTTTATTAAAAGAGTAAAGTGGTGAAAGTACAGCGACTCCATAGACAGAGTAGGGCATTCCAGAAAGTAAGAGAAGGAACACACCCACCCCTAGGTACAGTGCTTGTTTATATAGAGAATTAAAAAAGGTCATGGGGAGATGTGCTCTGCTACAAGGGTTTGTGATAAAGGATTAATTTTCTTAATTACTATATTTTTCAAGAATCAACATTATTATCTTAAAGCAAAATTAGGAATGCTTCTGTTCTCAAGATATCGGGATATCAGGACACTCCCAATTCTGGGTCTGTTTAGTGAACGTTATCAATCTATTCCCTTAACTGTAAACATCTAGAGGCTAGGAACACCTAACTTTCTGGGAATGCCGACCAGCAAGTTCAAGCCTCATTTTCCTAGCCCTCACTCAAGATGGAGCCACTCTGGTTCAAATGCCTCTGACAGATACAACACCCTTCTTGGAAAGGGAGGGAGGAAGGAAGGCCATGGAGAACCAGCAAGTTAGCATTCATTAGCATTTTTGCATTTATCAATAAATACAATCTCAAAGGAGAAGACCACACTCTCATTGTGTTCCATGGGAATCAACCACATCGCCATTGCAGAAATGAAAAACACATGGCCTGATCTGTAAACAATGAATTTTCGTTTTCTTTAGCTTTTTGCAACCGTTGGTTTTCTCCAAAGTGCATTAAGATATCAAAACCTCATTCATTCAACTCCTCAAATTTTTCTTTGATTTAGACCCAATACACCAAAGGTGTGCTGGTCATGAAAGACATTTGGGATTATGAGTAAAATTACAATCATATATTATTTTCCTTATTTATAGTTGTGTTTGCTTGGTGATGACCAAAAGATAAAATGAATAGTTCTTTTACTGGAAAGGGGTCCAGATCCAGACCCCAAGAGAGGGTTCTTGGATCTCGCCAAGAAAGAATTCAGGTCGAGTCCATAAAGTGAAAGCAAGTTTATTAAGAAAGTAAAGGAATAAAAGAATGGCTACTCCATAGACAGAGCAGCCCCAAGGGCTGCTGCTTGCCCATTTTATGGTTATTTCTTGGCAATATGATAAACAAGGGGTGGATTATTCATGCCTCCCCTTTCTAGACCATATAGGGTAACTTTCTGACGTTGCCTTGGCATTTGTAAACTGTCATGGCGCTGGTGGGAGTGTACCAATGAGGACCACCAGAGGTCACTCTTGTGGCCATCTTGGTTTTGGTGGGTTTTAGCCAGCTTCTTTACTGCAACCTGTTTTATCAGCAAGGTCTTTATGACCTGTATCTTGTGCCAACCTCCTATCTCATCCTGTGACATAGAATGCCTTAACCATCTGAGAATGCAGCCCAGTAGGTCTCAGCCTCATTTTACCCTGCTCCTATTCAAGATGCAGTTGCTCTGGTTCAAACACCTCTGACAGTTCCACATGTGCTCATGTTACTTCTGTTTTGGGAAAACATTGGGTGGGTTTGCACCGCTCATCAGGCTTTGGTGTGTATGCAGGTGGGCATGAGTAAAGTAGATCATATATAACATCCAATTCTAGGAAGAACTCTGAGAAATCTCAGCTGCCAGGAGAAAAGAAAGACTTGTTTTTTCTGCTGATGCACAGCAGGTAAAATGAAATCTATTCTCACTTCCCACAGTCCTACCAGCAAAGGCTGTTTTAACAGCAGGAAAACTGAAAGCAAGATTGCAACTGGAACATAGAACCAAGAACTTGCAATTTGCTCAGTCCCATTCCCCATTGCAGTGGGATGTGTGGCCTGAGAAGAGAAGTTTGACAATAAATAATATCTCAGGATGCTGCTCTCATGGGCTGTGAAATACACAGACTTTATGGTCATAACAGCCTTTAAAGCAAGGACCTTTGTTTATTCACTGGTTCCCTCACCCTTCCCAAAATAGAGTGAATAGAAGGGCCTTTGAGGGGACCTAAAGAATGTGGTGCATTCGATATGTTTAATTTCAGAAAAAATGCTCTCCTGGCTACTCAGAAACTAATAACATGTATGCAATAATATAACATGAAAATGTGTAAGTGCAATGCCTTAGGCTTCAACTCTGTGTGCAGTGGCAGCTAATAGTGGAGGGTTTCGGGCAGTGGGGTGAAGCCCTATGACTTTTCTTCAAAAAGAATGTTTGCTGTAAGGTCAACTCAAGAGCCAGGTTATCAATTAGGGGGTCATTGCAGAAGTTGAAGCCCAAGGTGATGGTGCATGGGACCACAGCCATACCACGGCAGGTGGTGGAAAGTGCTGGATTCTCGCAGATGGATATTGTACATGGAAACAATATCCTGGACCCATGTGGAACTGGAGTCTCAAGGTCTGGGGTTGTGGCCAGCCAAACACCACGTCTTTGCTTGCATGAGAATTATTCCCAACATTGGCTCCAGTGTTCCTCTGCCCACAGCCTTGACCTCCCCACTGTCCAGCACCCAAAAAGATACTTCCTTCCAGTGCTCCATGAGCAGAGAAAAGACCCTCCTTACCCCTGCTATCATCTCAATCACAGCATCCTGGCCTCCGTGGCATTAGGGTCACTGAACCTCGTGTGGGCTGGAGGTCATAGAGAAAGGTATAGACCACTCTCTAACACTATATGAATTGTGAAGTTCAGGAAGGGTCTCAGATTGGCATATGATAAATGTGTACCCCATTATTGAAATGGGTGGGGTGGGGAGGACTTTATCTTATGCTACCCAATCTCTTTTCCTGTCCCTACCCACCAAAGGTGTATGACAGGCCTATCAGTGAGAGCATCTCCAAGTGGCCCATGTGGGAGTCACAGTTTGATAGTTAAAAAATAGAGATTCTCATATGAACTTCCCCCATGACCTGAATACTGATTCTAGGTCTAAGGCTCAGAAAGCAGTACCCCAAAATCAAAGCCTCAGAAAGTTCACCACACCTTAAACTCCTGGCTTCAAGCAGTCCTCCCGCCTCAGCCTCTCAAGTAGCTAGGACTGCAGGTACATGCCACATACCAGGCTATTTTTTTTTTAATTTTTTGCAGAGATGGAGTCTTGCAATGTTACCCGGGCTGGTCTTGAACTCCTGAGCTCAAGCAATCCTTCTGAAAGAGCCTCAGAAGCAAAACTTTCTCTCAGAGCTTCTTCTGCCCTCCTGTTTCTGAGTCCCATTCTCCCTGGAGGCACCTTAGAAACTAGAATCCCTCTTCCCCATGACGGGTCCTAGAAACCAGAACCCCTTTTCCCCAAAGCCAGCCATAAAACCTAAAAATCGGACTCTAATTTTCCCTCTACCTTCCTGTGTAAAAACTGGCCATACAGAAATTATCTGGATTGGGTGTGGTGGCTCAAATCTGTAATTTCAACACTTTGGGAGGCCAAGGCAGGAGGATTGCTTGAGCCCAGGAGTTTAAGACCAGCCTGGGTAACATTGCAAGACTCCATCTCTGCAAACATTTTAAAAAATTAGTCTGGTATGTTGGCATGCACCTGTAGTCCTACCTACTTGAGAGGCTGAGACTGGCAGATTGCTTGAGTCCAGGAATTTGAGGCTGTGGTGAACCATGGATCAGGCCACTGCACTTTACCCTGGGTGACAGAATCAGACCCTGCCTCTTGAAAAGAGAAAACAAAAGAAGAAATGATCTGACCTACTTTGTTTGACTGTAGGTCCTAAGACCTCCGTTCCAGAAAGTTGGTTATTCATTGGTCCTCTCGCCCTTCCTGAAATAGAATGAATAGAGGGGCCTTTGAGGGGACCTAAGGAATATGGTGAATTTTTCCCACATCCAGAAGGAAGAAGCACTGCTCAGACAGGCCAAGAAGAATCTAGACAGACAGGCCTGGCTGGGTTTCCACACTCAGTCCATTAGCTTTAGATCAGGCCCTTTTTGTCCAACCCTATTTCTACATGGCTGTCCATACTTTGTTGAACCTAGGCATAAAAATGGACGGTTTCCCCTGTATCTTTGGGCCTTCATTCTAAAGGCTCTCATGTCATATACAACTGTGATCAAATAAATATTTAAGCTTTTTCTCCTGTGAATCTTCCTTTTGTTAGTTGGTTATCAGCAAACCTTCAGAGCGTGAAGGGGAAGCTTTCCCTTGGCCCCTATACAGACAAGAATTTGGAATGCCTTATTTAATTTTTGCCTTCTCAGTACTAAGCGGAGTAGGAGTGAATTCGATATATTCTGTGTCATCCCAGAGAACAGAAACAAGACCAGGGAGTGAGTAAAAGTTATCCAAAGGCAGATTTTGATTTCATATTAGAAAACACTATTAAAAAGTGATGTTAGTTATTATTGCAGTGTTGCAATTTGTTGAATCTTGACTTCCTGTTCCTGGCCATATTCTAACCTAACTAAAGGCTCCAGGTTGGGTTAAATGCCTTGAGGTTGCCTAAAATACTCCTCTGTTGTGCTTCATTCTGTTTCTAGAATTTTCTAGATAAGATTAATCTCTAATTTTTTGGCTGTCTTCCACACTAGTTTTCATCTTTTTAGGGACAGAGATTAATAATGTCTTACTCATCTTTGTATTTCTAGCATCTAATACAGTTTTGAATACATAAAGTTACTGAAAATATAACCCTTGAATTAGGAACTGGGGAGTGGTGGAGGTAATTGTATTGACTGAGAGATAGTATTCGATTCGTTTTAAAATCCTGCTACATTTGAAGATTCGCCAAGTCTGCCCCTACCAAAAGATTCTATTGCTAATTCATCATTACCAAATTAGATGCTACGAATTGGCACCCTAGTAGATTGAGTGCATTCACTCCTACTTTCCAACCTCCAAATTCTGGGTTCATGTTGTGACCACACATTCATGAAATTGATATGGACAGGAGACAGGGAAATACTGGGTAAAGAAGGCAGTTCCCCAGCAAAGTCCCCACCCTCAAGCCTGGAGACCCGCGGCCCTAAGTGGGAAAAGTTGCCTTTTTGCCTGCCATGTCCCCCTATCCTGTACCCATATAAACCCCAAACCCCAGGCTCCAGAAGCAGATGAGGAGATGAGGAGACAAGCAGACAAATGGCAGATGACACGGCAGAGAAAGAGAGAAGGGAAGGAACGTGTGAATGCCAGGAGTTAAACTGGGGGTGGTCAGAGGGAATTTTGGCTGCTGGATGACCAAACTCCAGGGGAAGATCATCTTCTCACTCCATTCCCCCTTCCAGCTCCCCATCCATCCTGCTGAGAGCCACCTCCACCATTCAGTAAAACCCCACATTCATCCTTCAAGCCTGTGTGTGTGACCCAATTCTTCTGGGACACTGGGCAAAAGCTGGGAATACAGAAAGCTGTCACACTGGCCCTCTGCCCTTGTGAAAAGGCAGAGGGTCTATTGAGCTGGTTAACACTTAAGCCATTTGCAGACAGCAAGACTAAAAGAGCATTGTAAACCTTAGGCTGCAGGCACCCCCCCTCCCCAGACACTACTGCGGGGCTGGAGCCCAAAGCACTCACTCCAGCCCCCGCACCTGCCCATCTGTGTGCTCCATCTCCCATCAGGGGTTTGAGCGACCAAGCGGGCGAGCCACACGCCTGTTGCACTTCCTGTGAGGTGGATCAGGGAACTCTCCTCCTTCAAAATGGCTAGTGGTAGATATGGAGTATAGATTAGAGCTTACATACCAGGGCCAGCACTCTGTTTTAATCAGTTTTAGCTCACCGGAGACACTCAGCAAAGCTGACAACTTATTCCCATGACAAGAGATTCCCCAAATCAGTATTCCCAAATTACCACCTTTGCTGCAGAATCATAGCATGGAAAACCAACCTATGCTTGCTATTCTAATTATTTTTCTTCTAATTTCATCTCTGGTTGTTGGCCTATTCCCTTGAAGTTGATATTGGATTGATTAGATCCCGGATTCTAGGAGTAGAACTTTTTAAAAAGTCACTCAATTTTATTCCCTGGAAAACCAGTCCAAATCTCAGTCATCATTTTTCAGGACTGCTGAATGACATGTGTGCTTTTCTATGCCAAGTCTCACCGAAAAAAAGAAGCTTTTGTTAGCACTGGGTCAGAGCATTCACTGTGGTATTATTTTTAACTTCCTGTGCCTAGACACATCTTGAAAACTAATCAGGAATAAGCCTTTTGAGTTCTACCTTTATTTTATTCTTTAAGCATTTAATGGAATTAGTCATTGAATTCTATATCCTCTTGATAAATCAGTCTCCAATTACAGAAATGAAGAAAAAAATTAAGAGTGAACTTAATGCTACTCACATAGGGAGGAAATTACACCCCCCACCCCCACTACCATCAGACATTTCTATTTTATTTTCACAAATGACCTTTCTCCATATTGCTGAATGGATAATACTTTTAACAGAAGAAAATGCCTTTGAGATCAACAGAGGACATTACGTTTCTGATGAGTTAGGAGCAGGACTCCTGTAGAATAACTCTATACATCCAGGAGCAACCCATTTGCAGAGAGAAGTCAAGAGAGTTCCACGGTGCACTCAGGTCTGAGTGGCATCATCTCTCACCAACCTGTAACGTGTGCACCATCGACTTTGCACATTGGCACTTACCCATAGTCCGCTCACTGATGTGCTTCTGCAGGTTTAAAGTCCCCTCAGTGAGAGAACAAGAGGATCCCTTTTCTTCCTAATCTAATCCCTTCCCATCACCCACCCTGCCTTGCTGGGATCAGCAGCTACTCTACCGATGACTCTGCCAAGCAGAATGAATACCTTTCATCTGAGCGTGCGGCAGTGACTCTCTCAGCAAAGAACTCTCTATCCTTGTGGAGCCAAGGGGATCTCTGTAAAGAGAGAGCTATCAGGAACATGTGTCCAGGGGCTAAAGATATGAGGCTTTAGAAGAGAAATGCTTGTTAGTTTCCAAAGATAAAATCTCAGCAGCTTGCTAATAATATTTATGTAGCACCTAAGTGCCAAAAGCTCAAAGCTTTTTTCTCCTATAATCACATAACTGGGCTGGCATCAAAACACGTCTCCAGAATGGCTCAGGGGTATCTATTATCCCCATTTTCTCACAAAGGAAACCAAGATAAAAGGTTTAAATGGTTTTGCACAGAGGGACAGAGAAGACATTAGAAGTAGGGTCAGAAATAGAAGAGAATCACTCAATTTTTACTCTAACGGTGTTATACAACTCTCTGAAATAAATAAATGCTTTGATGTGCATGTTTATATACACAAATCATACACACTTCTATTCTCCAACTGATACAGTTCCTTGATGTTGTAGTATTTATTTCAAAACATAAATGATCTCAATGAAAATACCTTAATGCTAGTGCAAATGCTAATCTTGATATGAGCCACAGGTTCATAAATCAGACCATAGCAATCAAGTCTTTTCTATGGATGTTGTTTCCAGAAGGTAGGTGCCTACTCAGTTTCTTTTGAAATTGTGTTTAGTTCTCAAGCCCTTGAAGGATCCAAGAAATTGCTCTAGAGGAGGTTAAAGTGAACATGCTCTGACGAGGAAAGCCATGGATAGAAACCAAGGTGGAAGAGCAATGTATAAATGCTACCGGGCAGTTGCAGGGGTGCTGCCTGCTCCCCACACCTTTTCTTCCCCAGGCATTTTCATGTCTTCATGCTGATAGAAAGTCCCCTGGTAATGGCATGAGCATGGTGATGTGCATAAGTAGATGGCTTGTGACTGGAGGAAAGAATGGCAAAGGAGCTATGCTTTCATGAGGGAAGGAAGGAGGGAGGGAGAGAGGGAGGGAGCGAGGGAGGGAAGAAAGGAGGAGAGAAGGCAGGAAATGACAGAGTCAGCATACAGTACACTGTTGGGTATTTTCCACTACCAGACACAGTGTACAAATGCTGTTCGTCATCCTGCACCCTCTGTTACTATCTTAAATCTCTAAACGAAATCCAGAACCAAGTGGGCTACTTCCTAACTGATACCCATGATTTCATGGAGAGAAGATTCTGTTGTTTTGCAAGCAACAAAACTGGAGGGAAGTAACGATATTGGAAGATAGCTAGGCAGTTCATCTCACTATCATGAGGACGTCCCCATTGTCTGCAATTGGCCTTGTCTCTCATGGGTTCTTACAAACAAGAGGGAGAAATGTACTCAATATCTCTACAATTTGGTTAATTAATAATCATGGTAGCAATCAAATCCAAAGGGCACATTTGCCCCAATCATTACCAACCCGAGATGTTTCTAATGAAGAGCCTTTAGAACCTGGGTTGAAAGTAGTAATTGATAGTTGAATGGCCAAGGCTTGGCACTGGTTTTGTTGAAGACATTTAATCAGGTCCGACTCCAGGTTCTCTGTCATAACAGTGCTCACCCTCTTGGATTGTGCTGTGCTGTATTGAATAAAGGAAAGGGTCAGAGTGAGAAACTGTCATCCTGTACCCATGAGGGGATGCCAGGAAGGCCGGGCTGGGCACATTACTGAGGACAGTGGGCTTCAGTCTTGGTTGCATGTTCAATGAGCCTGGGGAGATTCCAAACATCCTGATGTCCAGATCTCACCCCATAGCATTACACCAGAATCGTGGTGGGTGGGATTCAGCATGGGTATCTTTTATAGTTCCCCAGGCAGTTCTGGTGGGTGGCTAAGTTTGAGAAACACTGCTGCAAGGACTTTACTCTGCTCTTTGTCTCTATGGGCATCTTTTGGATGAAGATTTATGGACATTGAATCACATGAGTCAAAAATTGTGTCTCCCATAAGAGGCTCTGCACATCTGCTGACAGACCAGTGTATCAAGTTTAAGACTTTTAAAGGGGCTGTTCATAACAATCTGCCCTTGGATTCAGAACTCTTGGTACAGCATCCGCAGTGGTGCAGCATCCACAGTGGTGCAGTGTCCATAGTGAATGTGTAACATGGTGTGTGGCCAAGATGGTAGAGAGTCTTGGAAATCAAGCCCTGTGAAGAATGGATGAAGATGCAGAGAGTGTTGGGCTCTAGGGACAGAAGATTTGGGTAGAATGACTGTTCCAGGACATTGAAGTGATGCTTCATGAAACAGGGATGGATTAGCCTTCTCCTACACTAGATGTGAGCAATTTGAGGTGTTTTCTGATTGCTCTAAAAGTGCCAATGGGTCCTCACCAGATATGTATTAAGTGACTATTCCAGGAAAGATTGCTGGGACGAATTGTGGCTGTGACAGTGTATTGACTTGCATGAATGTTTACCCAGCCTTTTTGGTAGACACTGGGGAGGGAGGAAAGCAAAGACAAAATTCAATATGACTTTTTTCATTATTCCAAACATTGGAACCTTCATTCAATGACATATTAAAATTTGACCTTGGGACATCCAAGGACACAATTCTTCTAGCTTGAATTCTGCACCTCTAGAATGTTTTCTTTTTTATTTAGATATAGTTTTCTTTCGTTTTTTTGTTATACTTTAAGTTCTAGGGTACATGTGCACAACATGCAGGTTTGTTACATATGTATACATGTGCCATGTTGGTGTGCTGCACCCATTAACTCGTCATAGATACTGTGTTCACTATTTACCCCAAATAAATTTCAAAGGACATGCAGCTCTCTCATATCTAGCTCCACTCCAAAAGTAGGTAACATCACCATACCAATGATGCTGCTAATAATAATAATTAAAAAAAAACCCAGTGCATTCTATGCTTACATTGGTCCTTCATCATAAAGTTCCTTGCTAGATTGATTTGTATTCCTCAGAATCTGTTTTATGCAATCTTTCCATTCTTTCTGTATGGCCGAAGAATTAATTGGTCTTTTTTGAACACTGTTAAAATAACACCACCTTCGTTGTACCTCAGATTAACTAGTAGATGATGCATGTTTTCTTCAAACTACCTTAGCTTTTCTTTTGAATCAAAAACACTTTTTACCCTCCGAAGTATCTGCCTACCCTTCACTTCACTGCTTCCCTACTTTCCTAAAATCCTTAAAATTGTCTCATGTCCCTCATTACTTATGATCATAACACTGTATTCCTTTGATTCATAGGAAGAATATACCAACTAAAGAAAGTTCTCTAGAAGGCAACTTCGGAGACAATTTGATGCCCAACATTTACATAACATAAATATTTTCATTTCTATCTGTAGTAGATATTTGTTGGCCATTCCAAGTGTTTTCTTTGACATTGCATTTTTCTAAAGATGTTTATTTCATATGTGATAGAGATTATATTTTTCTTAATTAGGTCAGAAATGACTTTATAAAAATCTTTGTTTTATTACTTTAAGTACTCCTATTTCAGTGTCTACTTCTATCTCAACAATTCCATGAAACCACACATTAGAAAATGTAAATAGTTAAGTAGTAAATTTTATTTTTGCTTAACTGGTGTTTGACTACATTGTAAACCTCCCAACAAGCATTCAAGTAGTTTTAGTCCTTCTAAATTTTTTAAACTTACTGCTCCAAATGCTATTTTCAATGTTTCATGACCACAATGTCAGATTATTTGGACAAAAACCTTCAAACGCAGGACTTTTCCTTAGGCAGAATGTATTTCTTGATTGTTGTCTTAAGGCATGGGTTTGGTTTATTTCATTTTAAAGCATGGGTTATGGTAAAGAGAAAATGCCATTTGAATGATGTCTATGTCTATGTCCCCATTAGTTACTCTGGGCACAGAATTAGCAAGAAACACCCTTATAAGTAAAGCAGTTAGGGAAGCATTTTCCTACTTCCAGAGAAAAATCAGAGATTGAAAAATATTTCTTTGAATGCCAGTGACCTGGGCTATAGAGAAAGAATGTGCCCTGCCATAGCCACCCACCCTGGTGTTGACCACCGAAGAGCACCACCTGTTCCTGGGCGTTTATGTGTTGTGCAAAGATCATGCAAATATTAGTTGAACTAAATTTAAGTTGTGCCAACACTAAGGCAGTATCAGCTAAAATAAACACCTGGCTTAGAGGTGATTCACCGACCTTGGGATTATATGGAAAAGAGAGCGCATTAAAAAAAATTTTTTTGGCCAGGTGCAGTGGTTCATGCCTGTAATCTCAGCACTTTGGGAGGCCGAGGAGGGCGGATCACGAGGTCAGGAGATTGAGACCATCCTGGCTAACATGGTGAAACCCCGTCTCTACTAAAAATACAAAAAAATTAGCTGCGCGTGGTGGTGGGTGCCTGTAGTCCCAGCTACTCCAGAGGCTGAGACAGGAGAATGGTGTGAACCCAGGAAGTGGAGCTTGCAGTGAGCCAAGATCACGCCACTGCACTCCAGCCTGGGCAACAGAGCAAGACTCCATCTCAAAAAAGAAAAAAAAAATTTTATTATTATCCATAATAAAGCCCTTGTGTACCTATTAGACTTTGGAATTTATATAGTTTTCTTGGGGTTTCAAAGAATAAGATAATCGTTAATGAATGATGAAAATCCCCACAATCCTTTTACATTAGGCAGCAGCATGATGACCTTCATTTAATAGAGGACAGAGATTAAAGGACTAATCCTGAAGTCTGTCTGTGCCATCAGTCGTGGAGCTGGCAGCAGGACTTGGACTTCTGTGCCTGTTTTGGTGCCAAATGATTTGCCTGCAAGGGAAATATGAGGAATGATTTAAGCTAAGCCCCCACTTGCAGTGCTCATATGGCTGGATCTGGTGAAATTATCAGGGGAGAGGTAGCAAAGTGGCATCTTCAGAGATGCCTCATTGCTCAATATAACTGAGTAGACAAAGGGAGTTCACTGAGCTATATTGTCCCAACACACCACTTGTGTCATGCACTCTGTGTGTGTGTCAGACACTGCTGGTGTTTTACTTATATTGCATCATTTAACCCTAACTGTGATAACTGGGGGAAACCAGCTCAAGTTCCACATAGAACTGATATTTACAGGGTTTTTGAATAAACATAGAAATTGACCCATCTGGTCTTAAAACTTGAAACTTAACATTTGTCAGTCATCTGAGTTAGGAAACGGACCTTCAGGCAAGAGACTGAAACTCACCACATCACCATCAGACAATGAGACACCAGACTCCTCATTTATCATGATTGCTTCCTTACCCCTCCTTAATTGCTGTTTTCCCTGCAGGTAGCTACCTCCCTTCCCAGCTATATAAACCCTCCAATTTTAGTCAGCTGGAGAGATGAATTTAAGACTGATCTCCCACCTCCTTGGCTGCAGCACCCAAATAAAGCATTCTTCCCTGGCAATGCTCATTGTCTCAGTGGTTGGCTTTCTGTGCAGTGAGCAGTGGGACCTAGACCCAACCACTGGCATTTCAGTAGCATGGGGAAACCAAGGCATGTTGTTATCTCACAGAGCCAGGATTTGAACCTCAGATTCTGGACCTAGTGTCTTCTTGCCTGGCCACTGTGCCATTATCTATTTTTCTGCTTACTTGCTCCTTGAAAGTGATTCTGCATGTTAGAATCACCTTTTTCCAGTGGAAAGTCTCCCTTTCCACCTGTTCTTGTGTCAGTCTCATGTATAGCCTGCTGTCATCAGGCTGAAATTCTTTAGCAGAGAGCAGTCACACCATGTTCTTGCTCCTGGACCCTTTGTGGCTTCTGATGAAATTCACATTGAATTTTGGAAAAGGCACTCAACCTCAGCCATGATTGAAACCAAACTCACATTCTAATACCTCATACAACTTCTCGTGAAATCAATGGCCCAGCATTAGTGAAACATCACTGGTATTCAAAGATTGCCTTCTCTACCTAAACAGCAGCAAAAAAAAATCAACCCAATTTAAAAAAATAGGCAGAGGACCTGAATAAACATTTCTCCAAAGAAGATTTACAAGTAGCCAGCAAGCATATAAAATATTGATCAATATCACTAATCATTAAGGAAATGAAAATGTAAACCACAATGAAATTATACCTTATGCCAATTTAAATGGCTACTATCAAACACAAAGCAAAAACCCCGGAAAATAATGTGTTAATGAGACTGTGGAAAAATTGGAACCCTTTTGCACTATTCATAAGAATTAAAATGGTGCAGCCACTATGAAAAACATTATGGTGGTTCCTCAGAAAACTAAAACTAGAGGTACTGTATGACTTGGCCATTCCACTCCTGTGTATAAACCCAAAATAATTGAAAGCAGAGACCCAAACAGATATTGGTACCTCAACGTTTATGGCAGCACTATTTACAATAGCCAAAAAGTGAAGGCAACCCAAGTGTCCATGGATAGATTAATGGATAAACAAAATGTGGTCTATCCATACAATGAAATATTATTCAGCCTTCAAAAGGAAAAAAATTTTCACATATGTTACAATATGGATGAACCTTGAGGACATTATGCTAAGTGAAATAAGCCAGTCACAAAAAGATACACAGTGTATGATCTCATTTATATAAGTCCCTAGAGCAGTCAAAATCATAGAGACACTGAAATAGTGGTTACCCGGGGTGGGGAGGAGGAAGAATGAGGAGTTAGTGTTCATGGATATGAATTTTCCCTGTTGCAAGATGAAAAATACTCTGAAGATGGGTGGCGCTGATGGTTGTACAATGCAAATGTATTTCTGAACTGTGCACTTAAAAATTTTTAAGATGCGGTCAGGTGCAGTGGCTCATACCTGTAGTCCCAGCACTTTGGGGCTAAGGCAGGAAGATCATTTGAGTTCAGGAGTTCGAGACCAGCCTGGGCAACATAGGAAGATCTCGTCACTCCCAAAAATATAAAAATTAGTTGGGCGTGGTGGTTCATGCTTGTGGTCCCAGCTACTCAGGAGGCTGAGGTACGAGGATTGCTTGAGCCCAGGAGGTGGAGGCTACAGTGAGCCATGATTGAGCTACTGCACTCCAGCCTGGGCAACAGAGCCAGACCCTGTCTCCAAAATAATAATAATAATAATAATAATATGGCAAATTTTGATGTGTATTTTATAATACCACCATTAAAAAGTTAAAACTGCTCACCCTTGCCTCACTCCTGTACCTCTGCTCACTTTCATTCTTCCTGCTTCCATATCCTTGCTTTTAAATTATACCAACTTTTAAAGGTCTAGTTCAATATGACCTCCTCCATGAAACAGCCCTTCTTGGAAACTGTGGAATGGAACTCTACCTTCTCTGAATGGCCATCAGTTTACTTAGGTTTTGATAGCCCTTGACTCACAAGTCTATACTTAGCGCTGCTCCAGGCAGGTCACACCACCACCCCTAGTGGCCCCCACAAGACTGTGAGTTCCCTAGGGGTAGAAGTCATATTTCCCTCCTCTCTTCATCTGCCGACTGACTTATACGTACATAATAAGCATTCGAGTCGAATAATTTGATAGTTATTTTCCTTTTTGTCAGAACTTTAGGGAAGATACTGGAATTGTCTCCTGTGCTTCTAAGGCTTTGCATTCTTTCATCATTGGACTATATATGGTTTCTCATATAGCAATTTACATTTTGCAGAAAGACCTCAAACTGGCCTAAAGCTCTTTGAATGAATCCAGATAAGCTGCTTCCTAAAGAAAGAACCTCCTGACTTCCTAATACTCCTTTCATACCCTAATCTTTAAACAGTGTTTCTAGCAATAATTCCATTTTCCACATATGTAGCAGAAGATCTGAGTATCATCTAAATATAAAATCACTATTTTTCAAATTTTATTAGGTTTCTGCTTAATGGAGAATTATCGCTGTCAGTACATCAGATCTAAACATATGGTCATTTAAAGGAATAAAAGGCAAACCTTTCATTATGATCTTTATGTTGTGGTACATTGTATATGTTTGTATGGAAAATTTCGGGAAATGAGCAAAGTGTTTGGGTTGGATCAACTATTTCATATCAGTCTTTGTAAGCCACGTTATTGTTAAGAAGTCAGTCAGAACCACCCTTTTTGGTAATTTTACCTGGCTCATACTTGGCAGATCTGGCTGTGAGCAGGGTTTAAAGTTGGCTTACTATATGGAATTATTTTTAGGACACCTTCAATGCACTCTACACTGAGCTAAAACAAAAAAAAATGAGGCTTAGCTCCTGACTCTGGACAATCTAAATCTACATTTGCTACATCCAAAGCAAATAATTTCTGTTTATTTATTTATTATTACATAAGATGTTCATTCTTATTATAAAAAGCATGAAACCGGCAGGAGCAGTGGCTCACACCTGTAATCCCTGCACTTTGGGAAGCCAAGGCGGGTGGATCACTTGAGTCCAGGAGTTCAAAACCAGCCTCAACAACATGGTAAAACCCCATCTCTACAAAAAATACAAAAATTAAGCGTGCGTGGTGGTGTGTGCCTGTAGTCCCAGCTACTCAGGAGAGCAAGGTGAGAGGACTGCTTGAGCCTGGAGGCACAGGTTGCAATGAGCTGAGATTGTGCCACTGCACTCCAGCCTAGGCAACAGAGTGAGACCCTATCTCAAAAAATAAAAATAAAACCATGGAACCAATAGGACATCATTAAAAAAATGTCACCAGTAATTTGCCCATCTGGAGGTCATCACTATCAAAATTGTGGATATTTTTGAAATTTTACTGAAGTTTTCAGCCTCCCCATAAATACTCTCTTTCCCAACCACAACGCTGTCCCCCTTTCAAAAAACTCAGCAGGTATGTGCTCATTGCCTGGGGCAGAGATGTACAAAAGAATGGCATGAAGAGAAAAAAATTCCTTCCTTTTCTTTTTCAAAAGTCTAAAAGCAGCAGGAACCTGGACTGCTAATGGCATAAAAAGTATATTTTAGATCAAGGGACATGAAAATAGGGTGGAAAAATTAAAAGGATTTTTTGATCAAATAGGCACATATATTGTCTTCTAGCTTTTTATGGTTTCCCTTTAAGTGTTGTTTTATACTAACTATTGAATACTTGCAAAAATGATCAGGGAATCAGGACTCACAATACATTGGCCACCGCACCCAACACCTTGAGTCACAGAATGTCATCAGCACATCTACAGCCCCGGTGTGCCGCCTCCTGAATTCCATCCTACTCACTCTACTGCCCACCATAAATGATCTCCCCAATTTTTTTGGTATCATTCTCTGGCTTTTCTTTATAGTTTTACCCTCTATGAAAACAATATAGAGTCAGAATGTTGACCAAGCATACAACTTTATTATCCTCTCCGACCACCCATTTCAAACACTTGGAGAGATCGTCACACTCAAAAAACTAAACTATCCTCCAGCCACTTTTGGTCATAAAACTGTTTCGTCTCAGGAATTGGAATATCCAGTCCCACATAATAGCCAATACTTCAAAACTGGCTTGACATTACGTCTTCTACGTATTTTCAGTTTCAGTTCAGTCCTCCCTACCTGAATATGTGGACAGAGAGGTCCCTCTGTGTCCCTAGGTAGCTTGCAGAGGGCAGAGGTTGCCTCCTTTTTCTCGGTGCTTTCCGGGGCTCCTTGGTGGGTTTCAGCTGAGCCCCTTCACAGGGGATGAGGGAGAGTGTCTGTATTCCACTGGGTGCGTATAGTTCTGTCCTGTTCCCAGAATGTCCGGGAACTCAAAGGAATTCCACTCCGGCTTCCCTCTGATGAGTTCCATCTAATTTAGGAAATGTGGATTGATCCCATTATGCAGCCCCTCCTGGCGCTGCCTCTCTTCTGCACACTACACTCCCCAGGTGAGTCAGAACCTAGTCCACAATCCAATTTAACTTTCCCAGAAATAGGTCAGACACCCCTTCTCCATGTCTTCCAACTGCAAGGATCATTTCAAAGCATTGTGAGGATCTCCTTGAAGCTCACCCATTAGGCAAGGGACCAGTAATAACCCACTCTCCCCTCCAAAAGGTTGGGTTACTCACAGCATGGCAACAGATTTCTCCAAAGAAATCTCCTCACCAGTATCACATTTGATCTAGTTTTAATATTCTCAAAGTCGGTGAAAACATTTGCCAGTCTTGAAGCAAGTTTTAGAGTCCTCCAGTACATTGTCAGCATTTCCCATTGAAAACCCACCATATGCAATTTTGCCTCCACATTTACCTTGGTAGCTGATATGGGCACCTCAGCTGATATTTCTAGATTTTTAAGTTTCTGCCAATCTGATGAGTATAAAACAATATCTATGTCTCATTTTCCTGATTATTAATGAGATTGAACATCTTTCCATATGATTTTGTGTTTCCTCTTTTACAAAGTCTTCATTCAGGTATTTTCTTTATTTTTTTCTGTTGGGTGGTTTATCTTTTTTATATTGATTTCTAGACGTTTTAAATGTAGTCTAGAGACTGAGCCATGGTGACTTACGTGTTGCAAATATCATCTTTTATTTATGGCTTAATTTTTTCTCTTTATGGCATTTTTTGACAAACTGAAGTTTGTTGAATATAGTCAAGTTTGTGTCTCTTTTTATTTATGGCTATTGATTATTATTTTATTTGATTTAAGAAGTGCTTTCCTATCCATAGGACATGAGATTGTCCCCTAAATTGTCTTGTGAAGTGTTAAGCATTTGACTTTGGCATTTAAATTTTTCAATCATCTGGATTTTATTTTTGTGTAGAGTGTGAGATGTAGTTTGAGCTCTCCTTTTTTCCGTATGTATAAATAACCCCTTGTCCTAGTACCATTTATTTTGTATTTTCCCACACATCAGAAAATCTCTTTCCGTTATACATGAAAATTCAAGGGACTTAAGTCTGTTTCTCTGATCTCGATTCTTTTCACTGGTCAATGCGTCTGTTCATGACCCAAATGGCTCTTTATCTTTTGAATTGTCTAGTATGTCTGTTCCAGTCCTAATTCTACATGGGTTTAACCACCAAAATTTTATATTAATTCTGAATAGAATAAGTTTTTCCATCTTCTTCTTTTTCTCAGAAGTATCTTGGTTATTTATGGCTCTTTGTTCTTTCATATATATTTTAGAATCAAATTTTCCCTAAAAATCTTCTTGGCATTTGACTGAAATTAAATCTATCTACAGATTGAATAGAGGAGTAGTGACTTCTTGAAAATGTTGTGTCTTCCTATTCAAGATTATGCTATAACTTGTCACTTATTTTTACTTTGTTATTTTTCAGTATTTCTATAATTTTTCAATAAAGTGTTTTTGAACAAATTTTATTCTATTCAGTACTAATTCTTTATATTTTGTGGCTTTCATGAAAGCTATTTTCTAAAAAATATATGTTCTAATTTTTGCCAGTATTAAGATATACAAGTGATATGAATATTTATGTTGTATCCAGCAATCATCAAAAACCCTCATTAATTCTAATAATGTATCTAAATATTCTTTGAGGTTTGAGGGTTTTTTTAGGTAGACAATGAATAAGCAAGCAATGATAACAGCTTTTTTCTTTGTAATATTTATATACTTTATTGTTTTCTTATTTTATTGAGCTAGAATTTTCCCCCAAGATGAAGCTTGATACAATTATTTAATATTATATTATATGTAATATAATATAATCTCACTAACAATGTTAAATAGGAAAACTTTTACCTTTTCACAATTAAATATGATGTTTCAATTATGTTTCTTAAACTAGGTATTATTTATCAGAGTAAGGGAGTTACTTTCTATTCCTAATTGCTAAGAATCTGTAAAAAAAATCAGGAATAAATAGTGACCTTATCAAATGCTTTTTCTTCATCTGTTAAAATGATCATTATAGGTTTTTCTGTGGTGATTAATGAGTTGGTCTTTGTAATTTTTTTTCTATTTTATTTATATTTGTTTCTATTTATATATTTTTTATTTATATTTTATAAATGTATTTGTTTCTATTCATATTTGTTCCTATATTTAATAAAAATGTCTTTCCTTGGATAATTTGATTACTAAAGTTAACTAGTCTCATAAAATGAATTGGGGTAAATTTCTTATTTTTTCACTCCTTGGAGGAGTTACATTGGTTTGGTATTATTTGTGGATTGTTTGTGAGAATTAACATATTAAACCAACTGGGCCTAGATTTTTCTTTGGTGGAAAGATTTTTAAACCACTGACTCAGTTTATGTTTGTTTGTTCGTTTGTTTTTTTAGTTTATCTGTTTCTTCTTGAGTCAGTTATATTTTTCTAGGATTTTGAACATTTAAGTTTAAGTTTGTTGGTGTAGAGCTGTCAAGGCTATCATTTTTATCTCTATAGTATTTACATTTGTGGGTTTTACAAATTCCAGTAGTGTGTGTTTGTTTCTCTCTCTCTCTCTCTCTTTTCCTCTCTCTCTTGCTCTCGCTCTCTTTTTATCTCGCTTCTATTCAGTCTTGCTAGACGTTTTTCAGTCTTAGTACTTTGTTCTTTCTACTTTACAGAGGTTTAATCCGTTGTTCCTTCCCTAGCTCCCTTTGGTGGATACACAATGTCTTGATTCCTGCCCTATTTTCACCTCGAATCTCTACATTCAAGGCTTTAAATTTCCCACTAGGTACTGCCCTAATGGTATTCTCTTTTTTAAAAAATATTTAATACTATTATTGTTTACACATATTTTCAGTTTCCATTACAGTTTCTTTTTTGACCGTTGAGGGTTTTTTTTTTAATTTTTAAATTATTATTATTATTTTTTATTTTCATAGGCTATTGGAGAACAGGTGGTGTTTGGTTACACAAGTAAGCTCCTTAGTGGTGCTTTGTGAGATTTTGGTGTACCCATCACCCCAGCAGTATATACTGCACCCTATTTGAAGTGCAGCCCCTTGAGTTTTTAAAATGTGTGTTTTAAAATTTCACTTAAAATAGTCATCTCTGCTTTCTTGATTTCTAACCTAGTGCATATGGGAAAAAATGTGACGTCTATACACCAACCTGATGAAATTTATTGAAAACCTGCTTTATGAACTAATAAGTGGTCAATTTTCATTACTATTTTATGTACCTCATTGTATTGAAAGAATGTATTTTTTCTTCTCAGGCTGCAATGTTGTGATACTAACTTGAGGTGTTTCTTCTTCTTATATTTCCTATTTTTAAATTTCCACCATGTAGGGAATCTATTAAATCGCTGAGCAATGTTCAAAAATTCAAACTTTTTTTATAGAGTGTTTCATATGTGCTTACGTATGGCTATATAGGTGGCGTTAAAGACATAGTGATGAAAGTGACCAACACAGTCGCCCTGCTCCCATGGACTTATCTTAGTGTTTAGAGGGGAAAGAGAAGTACTCACATGGTGGTCTAGTTATTGCTGTGTGAAATGTTACAAAGCACAGTGTATGATGAGGGAGGTTACCTGAGATCAGGTACTATGGCGATTGCATGGCGCTTATCACTCCCTGTACCCAGAAGTCTGGACACAGACATAGAGAAAAGTCACCCAGCTATATGGATCATCAAAAAAAGTTCAAATACAGAGCGTGTCCCTCTACCGTGCTTAGTCTTTGATCCTCATTCCCCACCCTTTCCCCACCAGTTCCCAGCCTCTTTTCCCTCCTCTCCCTTTCTCCTACTTATTCATCTGTCTGCATTTTGGTTCTTTGCCGTAGTAGTCATCTTTCTCTGAAAACATATTGTTGGGCACTCAGGACAAAACTCCACAGCTCTGTGGGTGATCTGTTCATCAGAGACTATAATACCACTCACACTGAATAAATTCATTTTTCCAACCCCAAAGTTACATGGTTAATCAAATTTTATTCTTAATTGTGAATTTGCATAAATATCAAAGATACTTTTTAGTAATTAGCATGTGCTCTCGATTATTCTAATGAAAACCATCACTCAAAGTGAGGTACAAATTGAGGTTACTTTCATTATGCTCAACACTACATTTATACTGCAATTGTTGGAAGTTATATGAGGTTGTTTTTTGTGAGGTTTTTTTTTTCGGCTGGAGAAAGACTAAAGTCTCATATTGCCCTGACAGTCAATTGCCCTGATTATTTTTCTTGTGTAGCCCCTCATCCCTGTCTCCCCTACTCGGTACTTGTGTAGCTGGTATATTTGAACAAGAGTAGTACTTTGCTGCTATCAGTCTTCATCTTGTTAGCTTCAGTCCATTGATCTAGTCCAGCAAGTCTCCTTTGAAGCTTGTTTCTTCATTTCTCTTTTCCATTCCTGGTTTCTTTTGGTCTCAATTGTGTCATACAAGGCATTATTATCTCGTCATCCCAGCTTCCCCAAATTGGCAGCTCTGATTCCCACACCATCCTTTTACTCATCCAAATCATTAGCTAAAATGGCCAACAGGAGACAGCCAGAGAGGGACCCTGAGAAACACCCCTCCAGGTGGACATCCATCTCTTAATCCTCAGTGTCAATACTTGTAAGCTGATCTTAATTGTATCCTCACCAGGTCCACAAGACTATGATGAAAAAGCTTGTCAATTATTTTAGCTCCAAAGGAGATACAATCCTTCTAGTCTACTACATTTCTTGTACTTATCAGTCCAGTGAAATGAGTTTAGTCTGGCATGACTTACTCAAAATGAGCCCATTCTGACTCAACATGACCTCCACTTTCTGACTTAAGTACTCACCAATGATCCTTAAAATAATCCATTTTCAAAGTATCCTCAGGGATGACATTAAGCTCATGTTTTCTCAAAGCTAAATTGCTTTCTCAGCAATCTCACGTAACTTCTAATCCCCAAACTCAGCGTCCTCTCTCAACTCCCTCTGCCTGACTTCTCTGTGGCACGCATTTGACACTGCCCAACACCCCATCTTCTTGCTCTCACATTTGTGCAATTCATGTTCTTCTAATCTTTGAAAAATCAGAACATTTGTTCATTTTAATTTTCAGTTTTCTAGATGGAAATCTGCACTATTTTATAAATGATTTCTCAACATTATCAATGATAAGTCCAGAAAAATTGTAAGCTTTTCACAAATTTAAGAAGCAGCTTATTCAGGCTGGAAAATATTTCTTTCACAACTTGATTCTCTTGTAACTTCCTCATAGTTTTAGGATTTTAATGTTCTTCTATATTTTAACTTCACAATCACCTCTCTGCAGGCTATTCTGAAAGAGAAGAAGCAGGAAAATAAAAGTCCAGGAGATATTCTGTCTTGCTGTAGAAGAACTAGTAAATGGTTTTTACCATTATGTAGGTGATGGAACACCTAGAATTTGCAGTACTCCCTATAGGACACCTTGATATTCTGAAGGACTATGATTATTGATAGCTATTTTCATTTTATGATTAATATGGCTAGCCAAAGCTAGCATATATGACAAGTATTCTATAGAATATATAGAATTATAGTTACAAACAAATACACAACCCAGCCCTGCCCTCAAAACAAGTTGTTAAACTTATCCCATTGTGGGATTTTCTGCTAATAATTGTTGCATTTTGTTTATTTATTTATTTTTTTTCAGTTAGTACTTCCAAACCAGCAAAGGCAGAGGATGTCAAACCATTAAGTAAAAGAATTATGGGAGGGGCCTTGTGCGGTGGCTCATGCCTGTAATCCCAGCAGTTTAGGAGGTTAAGGCGGGTGGATCACTTGAGGTCAAGAGTTCAAGACCAGCCTGGCCAACAAGGTGAAACCCTGTCTCTACTAAAAATACAAAAAATTAGCTGGGTGTGGTGGTGAGTACCTGTAATCCCACCTACTTGGGAGGCTGAGGCAGGAGAATCACTTGAACCCAGGAGGTTTGAGGTTGCAGTGAGCCGAGATCACCCCATGGCACTCCACTCCAGCCTGGGCAGCAAGAGTGAAACTGCATCTCAAAAAAAAAAAAAATGTATATATATATACACACACACATATATATATACACACACATATATATATATACATATGTATGTATAAAAATGTATATATATACATATATATGTGTATATATATATGAGGAAAAAATGGAAATTGAAACTATTTTTTTATTCCAATGAATTTGGGTAGGTTGTGAAAAGACCACAGCCATTCCATAATTTTAGAAGCAAGGACCCAAAGAGATCTTGGTAGTGCACAGGGGACCTGACAAGCTATGTGTTGGAAGTTGGAATGATTCCCACACATGCCCAAATTCTCAGACAAGCAGTTACCTGAGCACAGTAGTTCCCACCTATTGTTCTACCCTTTGATTAATGGCCTTTTGGGAGGAAAAACTCAGTGAAATCCACTATTTGTTTCTCATGCTCCTCTCTCCATATTGCACAAAATAACTAAAAACAGTGTCAGCTTTACCTAAAGAAACACAAATGTGTGCAAAAGGGGAGCTGTGAAGTGCCCCAGGGCAGAGGAGAGGTAGTTAGATGCCTTTGGACGGGGAAAATGTTTTATATCCCAAGTTCATTACAGTGTATGTATTTGCCCATATGGATTAGCACCTAAGCCCTCAAATAACTAAGCAGCAGTGTATACCTTTACACAGGAGTATTGTATTGGGAATCAGGAATGACTGTTAGTAGCTTGGCTTTGTGGGAAAGAAAAAAAGAGAACATCAAAAGATGGAAAAGACAGTGGTAGCTAGAAAGAACCAATAAGAACTGTTAACTCTCTGGCCCTGAGGAAGAAAGGGCTTGAGAATAATCTTCAGAGAAGGACCTGTGAGCGCCTCTCATATTTGGCTGATGCTATAAGACCCAAGATGAGGTTTTTCTCCTTGTTCTTCTAGCTATAATATTAACTCAAAGCCCCTTTTGATGCCTTTCATATTTTTATTTTTATTTTTTATTGTTTTTGTGACACAGTCTTGTTCTGTCACCCAGGCTGGAGTGCACTGGCATGATCTCAGCTCACTGCAACCTCCACCTCCCAGACTCAAGTGATTCTCCCACCTCAGCCTCCCAGGTAGCTGGAACTACAGGCATGCACCACCACAACTGGCTAATTTTTGTATAATTTTTAGAGACGGGGTTTTGCCATGTTGCCCAGGCTGGTCTCGAACTCCTGGACTCAAGCAATCTTCATGTCTTGGTCTCTGAAAGTGCTGAAATTACAGGTGTGAGCCACCATGCCCAGCCTCCTTTCATATTTTTAGATCCCTTACCTCATTCTGGGATTAAGACTTCCTGATACTTTTTCTACACTTTTCTGCAAAGGCTTTCGATATTTTGGTTGACTGTGCACTCTACCTTTCCTATTTGGTGCATGTACTTGTCATACCTAGGTTCATTTACAGGGTTTTTTTGTGGTCATGATAATTTCTGTTGAAATGTCAGCCTTCTTGTATTCATTAGGATGATTTGCCATTGTACTGTCTAGTTTTCAGTTTTGAGAATTGCATGTCCATTCTCTGTTCTTGTTCCACATGTAAATAAATGACTTCTTTATTATTTTGAGCTTTAAAAAAAAAAGAAAGCCATGCCTCTTTGAAACTGAGATTCCTCATAATATTCTCATAAGTCTATGCAAAGATTTCAGATTCCTTCACAGTTTTGTGCCCTTCCTGTCATTTCTTGTCACATCTTCTTTTTTTCCATATTTTGACTTTTTTCCTATAGTACTTTCCCTTCTTTTTATGAGAGTACCAATTATACATACCTTGGATCCCCTATGCCATTATTTTGTCATCTCTTAGCACTTTTCCCCCCATCAGTTCTCTGTTATGACATGACATAGCTCACAGTTAGGAAGGAGTTTCTCTGCCTCAAAAGAAACTCCATTATGTTTTTTCGATAGGGTGAAAAAATTAACTCTTTTCTGCTCAGTAAACCAGCCTTGCCAAGCAGCTGCCGTTTGTCATATCTCTTCTGTCACACCATGTTTGTAGCCTACATCTCACTATGTCTGAAAGTTTCCATGATCATTCCTGCTTTCCCTCATTCTTTTCTGCATTCTTACTTTGAATCCCCACTTTGTCTTTTCAAGCAAAGTTTTGCCTTAGGGGTTTTGCCACCAATTCTGGAGAACATATCAGAGGTGTTCTCCCTGTCTTAGTACCTCCCCTTCACACTGTTCAACTTTTATTTGGCTTGACAGTCTTTCTTCATAGATTGTGCTTTAGTATTTCTATGGTTCTTCACCTCATCAAAGACAGACTTTTATTTTATTTTATTTTGGAACAGGATCTTGCTTTGTCACCCAGGCTGGAATGCAGTAGTGCAATCATATAGCCTCCAACACCTGGGTTTAAGCAATCCTCCCACCTCAGCCTCCCAAGTAGCTGCGACTACAGATGCATGCCACTATGCCCAGCTATTTTTTCTGTTTTATGAGGAGACAGGGTCTCACAGTGTTGCCCAGGCTGGTGTCAAGCACCTGGCC
The DNA here is from genome assembly GCF_000001405.40 of Homo sapiens. NCBI lineage: Eukaryota > Metazoa > Chordata > Mammalia > Primates > Hominidae > Homo > Homo sapiens. The sequence goes on along the minus strand of NC_000023.11, from coordinate 6,994,198 downwards.
TCAAGTGGTCCTCCCACCTCAGCCTCCCAAAGCGCTGAGTTTATTGACATGGGCCACTGTGCCTGGCCTAATTTTTTCCTTTTCTTCATTGTTTTCCATTGCTTTGGTCTGGAAACAGGAGATATCTGTAACAAAGCTCATCAATATGAAGACATTATTTTTGTAGGTTTATTTCTGATGGACTCAATAGCAGTTAAAATTCTGAAATGTAAAAGAAATCTAATATTCCAATTTGTTCTGTCTTAATTGTCATACAATTTCATATGGATTTTGTATTGGCTTTCAATATTCTCCCTTAGATCCACGTGCCCTACTGGACATCCCACTCCATGAAGATTGATTCCTCTAGCACATGTGGGGTGAGCTCAGTCCAATTGACTCAGTAAGAGAAATGGTGTTATGCTCTGCTCCTTTGATACAAAAATGTGGTAGTCCTTGGAGTGGAAGCAGCAACATAAATTTGAACATATTTATTTTTAACAATATTATAAGATTAACAATATTAGTACAGTTAACATCATTGTATATAATTCTATGTGGCTATTTTTCCCCATTTTCAAAATGGCCTGTTATCAAATCCATGTATGAAGTGCATGTCAGATTGCCTCTATCTGAATATAAAGAAGTGTGTGTCACATAATGTGTGTGGCTTTCCCAGAGTCTGAGAGGACTCTGGACTTCCTCTGTTTCAGTTTTCATGGCACTCTTTCTTTAATACCCTCTCCTATATTTTCACAAACCCCAGAGATACCTCAGTGGAAATGAACAGGCTCAGCCTTGGTTATAATTTGCTTCCTATTTTTGTTACATTTCGTTACATTTTGTTATCTTTCTGTAAGTAATAATACCAGGGAACTTTGGGAAAAGAAATCATTCTAGAGACCATCAACTCCAGCTCCCTTATTTCACAGACCTAAGGATTCATCCAAGGTGCTAAGGGACATGCCCAGGTGTATTACTCAGGGTTCTGTAGAGGGACAGGACTAATAGGATAGAGGTATATATAAAGGGGAGTTTATTAAGGAGTATTGACTCACATGATCACAAGGTGAGGTCCCACAATAGGCTGTCTACAAGCCAAGGAGGAAGGAAGCCAGTCTGAGTCCCAAAACCTCAAAAGTAGGGAAGCTGGTGATAGTGCAGCCTTCAGTCTGTGGCCAAATGCCCCAGAGCCCCTGACAAACCACTGGTATAGGTCCAAGAGTTCAAAAACTGAAGAACTTGGAGTCTGATGTTCAAGGGCAGGAAGCATTCAGCATGGGAGAAAGATGGAGGCCAGAAGACTCATCCAGTCTAGTTTTTCCATGTTCCTCTACCTGCTTTTATCCTAGCTGCATTGGCAGCTGATTGAATGGTGCCTACCCAGATTAAGGGTAGTAGGTCTGCCTCTCCCAGTTCACTGACTCAAATGTTAATCTCCTTGGCAACACCCTCACAGACACACCCAGGAACAGTACTTTGCATCCTTCAATTCAATCAAGTTGACACTCAATATTAACCATCACAACAAGTTCTTACGCTGTTGAGTGGTGGAGCTCATTTCCCAGAGATCAAGTCTCACGTTCTTCCTACACCCCACTGCCTTTGGCTCATTCTGCCTGAGGTCAAACAATATTAAGACACCCTGGGCCGGGCGCGGTGGTTCACGCCTGTAATCCCAGCACTTTGGGAGGCCGAGGCGGGTGGATCATGAGGTCAGGAGATGGAGACCATCCTGGCTAACAAGGTGAAACCCCGTCTCTACTAAAAATACAAAAAATTAGCCGGGCACGGTGGCGGGCGCCTGTAGTCCCAGCTACTCGGGAGGCTGAGGCAGGAGAATGGCGTGAACCCGGGAAGCGGAGCTTGCAGTGAGCCGAGATTGCGCCACTGCACTCCAGCCTGGGCGACAGAGCGAGACTCCGTCTCAAAAAAAAAAAAAAAAAAAAAGACACCCTGAAAATTCTCCTTTAAGAACATTGCCCATGTTCAGAATGTAGCTCTATTTTGAACTTGAACATCAGCTGAGTAGACAAGTACATCCGATGCAACTGCAATCATGTCCTTGGAAATTTATAGCATCGCTTTCAAGCTCAACAACTTGTTGGCAGCCACCCAAACTTCAGTTCTGTCTCTAAGTAAAAATAAAATAGAATACATGTCATTAGCATAACTATGACATTTAGGCAAACTCAGGAACATTTAGACCTCATGCATCTGGGTAATTAATTATATAATTTTTTCTTACGCATAGATGTCCTTTCTTTATGTTTGTTACAGTCTCAAATTCCTCCCCTCTCAGAAGATAAGCCAAATATTTTCACTTTGTCACTCACTTTTTAAATTTTCTTTTTTTTCCTGTTTTTCTTTAAAAATTTTTCTTTCTTTTTTCCTTTTTATTTATTTTTCTTTTTTTGTCACTTACTTTTTTCTATTCTAAATGATTCTCTTTAAGTTATCAAACAAATGGGGAAAATAATGGGACTTAGCAGGTTATCTTAAGTGGTTATTTTTTAAAATTTTATTTTATTTTTTTTTTTTTTGAGACAAGGTCTTACTCTCTCACTCAGCTGGAGTTCAGTGGTGCAATCATAGCTCACAGTAGCCTCAACCTCCTGGACTCAAGTGATCCTCCTGCCTCAGCCTCCCAAGAAGCTGGAACTATAGGCACATGCCACCATGCCCAGCTAATTTTTAAATTTTTTATAGAGACAGGGTCTCACTCTGTTGCCCAGGCTGGTTTTGAACTCCTGGGCTCAAGCAATCATCTTGTCTCAGTCTCCCAAAGTGCTGGATTTCAGGTGTGAGCCACTATACCCAATATTTAAAAAAAATTTTTTTAAAGACATCAAATAAATGGGGAAAATAATGGGCCTGAGCAGGTTGTCTAAACACTTGACTTTGGTGATCACAAACAAGGCATTTACTTGCTGAGTGGGCAAGAAAAAAAAATCTTAAAAGAGACTCAAGTGCAAGTGATTGAGATACAAATATAGTATGTTTGTATTTGAATGGTCCGCTGGAGAGTAATGGTAAAAATGCACACAACCTCATCTGTGTGGGGCAGATAGAGAAGAACTTGCTTGGGGGCAAGCGTCCTGGCAAGCTAGGTATTGCAAAACCATAATGTCAAAAATTTGAAACAATTCCACAAGCCCAAACCTGACCAAAAGCCTAACCTGGGAAGTGCAAGCATGCTCCCGTGGGAATGAAACAAGTGACAGAAGCAACTATCAGCACTCTTGTGCCCGTGCAGAGAGGCAAAACACCCGCCAGTAGGCACTTTCCATCTGGAGTCACCCGAAACCAGGACTCTGTAACAAATAAACATTTATATTCTGACATTCTTTATATGCAGTGTCCACTAGCCTGACACCACCTCACACACCCTCTCTCCAACCTGCTGGCTCTCCCTCTCTTGGAAGGTACCAATTCCCAGTTTTCTGACTTCGTTCCTTCAATAAGGGAAGCTCTCTCTGCAGTTCCCGGCCCATGCGGCATTGGCATTTCCAGCGAGATGCATTCTCCCTCTGCCTACCCTGTCCCCACCTTCTGAGGCGAGATCCAGTTGCTACCACTCCTCTCTGCAGCCTGGACAGCTTCTCTCTCATTCTGCTGGAGACATTGGAGGCAGTTAGAAGGGGAAAATGGAAGAAGAGTCCAGCCAAAAAGAGTACTTTTGGGGCAGGAGAGGTGAAGGAGGAAACTGGAACTTAATTTTCTGTTGATTCCTCGTTTTTTAGAACTTTCTATTTGGGGAAGTTGGTTCAAATAAGTGAATTTTTCTTAATTAGAGGCTACCCTGGGAATCCCAAGAAAAGACATGGCCCTTGATATTGATGTACCCCTAGACCTTTGGGATAGATGGGCAAGTAGACAGATGTGTTCAATGGAGGGATTTTACATGGCAAACAGCAGTACACACAGACAGCCCAGAGCTCAGTATCGAGGCATTCGGGTTAGGGAGGGGCTCTTGAAGAAGCAAAGGCTCAAGGCAACCCCTGGAAGGGGCTCAGGATTTAGAATCCTGCATAAGCATTTCTCAGGAAGTTGGGAGATAACAGCCTTTGTGTGTGTGTGTGTGTGTGTGCATGCGCGCCTGCACATGTAAACCTAGGGTGTTTGAATGTAGGGCGTGGGAGGAGAGTTCCTGTTGGTTTGGAGTTAGTAGATTATAAGGTGCGACGTTGGGAGGGAAGGAAGTAATGCCAAAGAGGTGAGAAGGGACTAAGACACCAAAGTCCTCCTTCCCCTGCCTTCCCTGAGTCCTGGAGGAAGTCAGGAGGCTTTTCTGCTAGCTCCGAACATAACCACCACTAAAGGTGAGCAGCTTCTCTTTGTCAGTGCTCTACCTTATGTCAACTGGCTGAACAATCTCTATTTCAACTTATGACTTTTATTTTCTTAGTTCATGTCTCTTATTAACTCATACACGATTACTTGTCTGGTTTGTTGAAGCAATAAGACAACATTTGCCACAATAATGCCTGTCAAAGTGGCTGGCCATAAAACCTCCTGCACCACATTCATCTAAAAGGCACTTCCCATGAAGGCAACCAATTTTGCCATTGTCATGCACCTTGGAGTTTTTCAGGACAGCCAGCTTAATCTTCTTTCTGTAATGCATATTCTTTTTGGCAATGGCATAAGACTTCTTCATTTTCTTAGCACCACCATGAAATCTCAACACATGATGAAGAGTGGACTCCTCTTGAATGTTGTAGTCAGACAAAGTACGTCCATCTTCCAGTTGCTTGACAGCGAAGATCAGTCTTTGCTGGTCAGGAGAAATTCCTTCCTTATCCTGGGTCTTGGCCTTTACATTTTCTATTGTATCCAATGGTTCAATGTTGAGAATGATGGTCTTCTCCATTTTTACAAAGATCTGCATTTTTAAAAATCCAAAAAATATTTATTACATTCCCACTCTGAGGCAGGTGCTGTAACATTTGCTAGGAATACAAGGACCATCAAAACTAGATGGGTTCTTATCTCAGTGGTTAGTTAAATAATTACACAAATAAATGTGAATTTACAACTCTTCTAAGTGCAGTGAAGGATACAGATACATGAATATGTATACATTTATACATGCAAATATATATGCATGTATATGTATCTTATAAGGGGATTTGACTCAGTCTTGGGGGAGAGATGGTTCATTTGAAGAAGCGACATTCCAGTTGATATTTTGAAAGTGTTAACTAAGAGTTAACTAGGGAATACTTGGGTATGCATGTGGCAGGCTAGGTCTCACTAACAGCTGAACAGGCAGGCCTCCGTAACAACTGTTTCAGCACTGACTGAGTGGTGAAGTTAAATATTAAAAGCTGATAGAGCCAGTGTCCTTATACAAAGGCTGGAATGTAACAAAAGTCCACCAAGAGTTTTGCCCAGGCCTCTCCTGGGCCTTGAAGCATGACAAGATAATGAAGGAAATCTTAACAGGACCCTTTTAGGATTAAACAGTTTTATTGGGGGTCTGAAGAAACTCACCAGGCCTCCACAAACAAGTTTATTGGGGGTCTGAAGAAACTCCCCAAACCTCCATTCTTTAGCAGGAGATAAGATAAGGGTAATTACCCCAGCACCTGGACCCATTTAGATTAAGTCAATTTACTGAGGCTCCAGAGGAAGGCCTCCAGGACTCAGACCTTAGTTATGGATTAGAAGAAGTTAATCACTTAAAGCTTTAGATGAATACACACTTATGCGTAGACATATAGCTTAGAAGGCATATAAGCTCTGGAAAAGTTTGTAATTTTGAGTTGGTCTAGTGATAATTTCTAGGTCTTCTCCCTGCACCCGGTTACAGAAATGAAAACTCTCTTCTCTCCCAGTTCATCTCCATCTCATTATTGGGCCACGAGAATAAGCAGCCTGACCATTGGTTTGGTCCAGGAATATGCATGTTTAGGGGCTGGGGATATAGGAGAGAGCCAAAGCCAGCCAGCTGAGGGAAGAGTGGGAGCACCAAAAGAGATGAGGTTGGAGGAGCCTGACCTCGCTGGGTTTCGAGAAATCAGGTTCACAGTTTTGTCTTTGAAAATCTGCCTTTTCGTGGTGGTTCCACTGCAGATGGCAGATGAAAAAGAAAGAACACTATGCAGACCCACGAGGTTGCCCTAGGACATTTTTCCCCTCTTCCTGCATTGTATCCTTACTTTTTCATAAAAATGCCACTGAGAATCAGTGTAGAATTGACTTTGAAATCAGAATGTTGGTGTTTTCAATGGTATGACTTTGGGAAAATAACACCTGAGAACCTCAGTTTTCTCAAAATTAGAATGGAGATCGTAATACCTATAAGATTAAATGAAATCACATATGACCAGACATAACAGATGGTCAACAGATGGAAGCTTATTGCTATTCCCAAGTGATTGGTGATTAACTGATGTTCTAGACCAGGGATCAACAAACATTTTCTGTAAAAGCCAGGTAGTAAATATATTCCACTTTTTGGGCCATATGGTATCTGTCTCAATGGCTCAATTCTGCAGCTGCAGCAGGAAAACAGCCGTGGACAGTATGTCATGAATGGGCGTGACTGTGTTTTAATAAAACTGTATTTATAAACATGAGCAGTGGGCCACATTTGGCCCATGAGCATAGTTTGCCGACCCCCATTTAGAACATTTTCTGTGGGTCACGATATACAATGTATGCTATTAAGCAGTCTGTCTTAGTTGCTGTCACATATATAACAATCCAGTAACCCTGCAAGGTAGGTATTACTGCCTCTCCTTTACAACGAAAGCTCAGTGATGTTAAGAAATTCATTTCCATTCACACACTCAGCAGTTACTGCAAAATGAACCCCCGAGTCTCTAATTTCCTTGAGCTTAAGCTGGTTTCCTTATCGTGTTTCCTTCTTAACTTGGTGTTTAATGCTCCTTGGTTATCCTGATGTTCTTGGAGGAACATAGATGCCCATTATTCTTAGGGCACAGATATTTCTAACCTAAACTCTTTCCTCAGGCCACCTCTAAGGCTGCTGGATTTTGCATTTTTCTTCCCAGGTTTTTTAGCATATGCTCCCTGGGCTTTCTCTCTGCTGCTCTGTCCACATCCATCACATCCCACCTACGTGAAGCTCACACGTATAATTCTTCTTGGCTGGTGATTTCCAGTTTTTCAGGTTTCCCACATCAGAGGTGACTGCTCTGGAGCAGGCTTCTTAGCCTTTACTTTTATTTCGGCTGGATGGTGGATGAAATGGGGTGGGTCTTGGCAGGCAGCTGGAGGGAGGGTTGCATGCAAACGTTTTTAATTTGCATGAAGCAACTTAACAGGTCTGAGATTGGCAATGAAATTCTGCTTTGGGGATATTCGGATGCAGAAGAAAACGCAACGTGAACCCAATTTATTTTCTTCTGACACCTCTAAAACTATATTTCATACTTGCTCCTTTTTATCACCTCTGAGCAGTGGATTGCATGGATGCCTGGGGCTGATGGCCCTCCAGGATGCAAGTTTCCCTGGAAGCCGGGGAGAGAGCAGACACTAAATTCAGAGTCAAACACAATGACAGAAATAGCAAAAATCAAAGGTTCATGTCAGACCCGAGCCCTGGGCAACTTCTTGAGTTTTCCACTTTGCAGTCAAGTTAAGCCTTTAGAATGCTTTCAAAGGTGTCTCCTCTTCGGGGTACAATTTATTACATTTCTATTAAAATACAGGGGTGCCTCTTTCAGACTTCTGTGGCCGGAGGGGGCGATTGTCATCTGCTGTGGTTTTTCACTGTAATGAAAGCATAACTGGGAAGAGCCTGCGCCGAGCCCCTGGGCTGTGTGGGGTTGGAGGTGGTAGGTGCACTCCAAATGCAGTTCTCAGTGAACGTGAAAGGTCCCGCTGAGGGCGGTTTGTAGGGCTGTTACAGGAAAGGGGTCCGGATCCAGACCCCAAAAGAGGGCTCTTGGATCTCGCATAAGAAATAATTCAGAGCAAATCTGCAGAGTAAATTGAAAGTGAGTTTATTAAGAAAGGAGAGGAATAAAAGAATGGCTACTCTGATCATCGACAGGTCAGCCCCGAGGGCTGCTGGTTGCCCATTTTTATGGTTATTTCTTGATGATATGCTAAACAAGGGGTGGATTATTCATGCCTCCCCTTTTTAGACCGTATAGCATAACTTCCTAACGTTGCCATGGCATTTATAAACTGTCATGGCGCTGGTGGGAGTGTAGCAGTGAAGACGACCAGAGGTCACTCTCTTCACCATCTTGGTTTTGGTGGGATTTGGCTGGCTTCTTTACTGCAACCTGTTGCATCAGCAAGGTCTTTGTGACCTGTATATTGTGCCGACCTCCTATCTCACCCTGTGACTTAGAATGCCTTAACCGTCAGGGAATGCAGCCCAGTAGGTTTCAGCCTTATTTTACCCAGATCCTATTCAAGATGGAGTTGCTCTGGTTCACATGCCTCTGACAGAACCACTGAGTCACCCCTCCAGGAAGGTGGGCACTGAGAATTATTACGGGGCAAGAGGCTGCCTCCAGATGGGCCGTGTGGAAGGCCAGGTCTCACTAACACAGGCTTCCACAACAACTGTTTCAGCACTGACCGAGTGGTGAAGTTAAATATTAAAAGCTGATAGAGCCGGTGCCCTCATACAAAGGCCGGAATGTAACAAAAGCCCACCAAGAGTTCTGCCCAGGCCTTTCCTGGGCCTTAAAGCATGAAGATTTTAACAAAGTAATTCTTAGCAGGACCTATTTAGGATTAAACAGCTTTATTAGGGGTCTGAAGAAACTCCCTAAGTTTCCACAAACAAGCTTTATTGGGGACTAAAGGAACTCCCCAAACCTCCATGAGTTAGCAGGAGACAAAATAAGGGCAATCACCCCAGCACTTGGACCCACCTAGATTAAGTAAACTTACTGAGGCTCCAGAGGAAGGTCTTCAGGACTCAAATCTTAGTTATAGATTAAATGAAGTTAATTGCTTATATCTTTAGATGAATGCACACTTTACACATAGATGTATAGCTTAGAAGGTATAGAAGCTCTGGAAAACTTTGTAATTTTGAGTTGGTCTGGTGATAATTTCTAGGCCTTCTCCCTGTAACTGGCTGCAGAAGTAAAAAGTCCCTTCTTTCCCAGTTCATCTGCATCTCATTCATTGGTCCTCTAGAATAAGCAGCCTGACCCTTAGTTTGGTGTGGGAACAGCCGGGCTGTAGAACGATTTCTGAAGGCTTTTGACCAACCCAAAAGCACTTTTCCATAATAAAACTTGCAAAAATATCAAGTCCATTCATTTTTAAAAGTACCAGCCCCATAATGGCTCAGGCACTGATTTCTTGACTCTATGCTTTCAGTGGGCCAGTTGGTATTGAATCACCTAATTTTGGTTCTGGTGTTTCTGGCATTATATTTGCAAAGCACAGCCCCTGAGTGTACAAATAGTGTGAAACCCAAATTGCGTGAATCCTTAGATAAAATTCCTGTTCTGAAGGCAGGATTTTCCATGGATTCGGAGGCAGTATTCTCCTGCTTACACCCTGAATTTCCTGGAGTCACAAAGCATTTGAATGGTTTTTAAATCTGTACTGATGTAGTACAATCTAATTAATGTACCAGGAGGGTGGTGGCTGGCTCTGGGTGTGGCATTACTTGACTCCTGATTCAAGGAATCTTTTATGATTTACTAATTTATAGGAATTTAGGGAATTTTGGGAAGACATTGAACTAAAACTTAACCCACCTCCACTCCCTGATCTCCTCCCCATTTAATTTTTTTGTATAGCACTTATGGCACTCTATATTTTTCCTTAAAAAATAGAACAGCTATATTGAGATATCATTCACATACCACCCAATTCGCCCATTTCATGTGTACAATTGAATGCCTCTTAGTATATTCACAGGTTTGGGCAAACATCAGCACAGTGTATTTTAGATCACTTTCATCACTGCCCAAAATAAACCCCATACTCATTAGCTCCTTCTTTTCCTTCCCCTCTCCAGTCTCTGGCAGCCAATAGTCTGTCTTTCTGTCTTGATGGATTTGCCTATTCTGAACACTTCAAATAAATGGAATCATACAACCTGTGACTGAAACCACCTTTGCAAAAATCATAACTGAGAAAATTACGACAGTGAAAGACATCAGACCTAGCTGACATCATCTTATTTCTAACTGTCACCAGTGGAGGGTGTCCAGGTTCTTGACGTCTTGAATAAAAAATTGGACAAAATGCACACACAAAGCAAGGAAGGAATAAAGGGATTTATTGAAAACGAAAGTACACTCCACAGTGTGGGAGTGGGCCCGAGCATAGGGGATCAACGGTCCTGTTACATAATTTTTGGGAATTTAAATACCCTCTAGACAATTCCATTGGTTACTTGGGGTACGCCCTATGTAAATGAAGAGGATGAAGTAAAGTTACAAAGTTATTTACTTGGCCTATGCCCTATGGAGAGGATATTTCCTGTCATAGCTGAAGTGTGAATCGGCCTTCTGTTTCTTGCCTCCAGATTCTATTTTCTTACCTCATAACCTCTAAACTGTCCTTATTCATTACTGGGCGTAGGCTGAACTGGCTTTGGGAAGGAATTTAATATATAGTTTAAATAATAGCCCTTCCCGAAAGGCTAAACTGTTCTTGTAAAACAAATGAAAGACCACCAGCCAACAAGTCAAGATGAAAGGGGCTGGAGTTCTAAATATTACCAGCCATTATTCCAGAGATCATAAAATTTGCAACTTCCCCAATTACTCTTGAAGGTAACATCACTATTGTGAGCCTAAGACCAATATTTTGAGATTTTTTTTCATGTTTTTGCATTTCTAACAACCGGATGGCCCCATCTGGACCTGCCAACCAGTTCTGTGGTCCCCACCCGGGAACTGACTCAGCAGAAGAGAACGGCTTTGCTCCCTATGATTTCATCCCCAAGCCAACCAATCAACACTCCCGATTCACTGTCCCCCTACCCACCAAATTATCCTTAAAAACTCTGATCCCCAAGTTCTTGGGGACACTGATTCGAGTAATAATAAAACTCCGTTCTCCCGCACAGCCATCTTTGTGTGAATTACTCTTTCTCTATGGTAATTCCTCTGTCTTGATAAATCGCCTATGTCTAGGCAGCGGGCAAGGCGAACCCCTTGGGCAGTTACATGACCTTTTGTGCCTGGCTTCTTTCACTGAACCTCGTGTTTTCAAGGTTCCACCATGTTGCCAATGTATCAGAACATCATTCTTTTTTGTGGCTGGATCATATTCCATTGTATGGATGGACCACATTTTGTTTATCCTTTCGCCGGGCAATGGACATTTGTGTTGTTTCCACCTCTTGGCTATTATGAATAATACTGCCTTTGCAAAAGTATGACAGTGAGAGAAATCTGACATGGCTGACTCTGTCCCGCTTGTAGCCTCACAGGTTGGCCATTTTTGCTCATTCCTGGGCATGGGCCAAGCTAACTTTGGGACAAATTTGGCTTATAGTTTAAAAGATAATAGCCCTTCCCCCAAACTAAACTGTTTTTGGAAAACTGATGAAAAGCCACCAAGTTAGAAGGATGAGAGGGGCTTGAATTCCAAATAATTACCAGGCATCATTCTGGAGGTTGCAAGATTTGCAACTTCCCCAATTACTCCTGCAGATAACATCACTATGGCAGAACCTAAGATTGGCCTTTTGAGATGTCTTTTCAGGTTTTTGCATTTCTGACAATCAGATGGCTCCACCTGGACCCGTGACTCAACCAGTCTTGTAGCCTCCACCCAGAAGTGGACTCAGTGCATGAGGACCACTTACCACACCCCTATGATGGCATCCCCAACCAATAGCATGCCCCCTACACTAGTCCCTGCCCACCAAACTATCTTGGAAAAACCTCCAACCTCCAAGCCTTCGGGGATATTGATTTGAGTAATAATTCTGGAATGGCTGACCTCACGCCAATTAAGCTCTTTCTTTACTGCAGTGCCATGTCTGGGTGAGTTTATTTTATATTTGCAGTTGGCAGGAGGAACACATTAGGCAGTTACACTATGAACACCTGTGTACACATTGTGTCTGTGTGTGTGTGTGTGGCTCCGTAAGTTCTAATTTCTCTTGGGTATATGCTTGTGTGTGTGTATTTGTGTGTGTGTGTGTATGTGTGTGTCTCCATAAGTTATCATTTCTCTTGGGTATGTGCGTGTGTGTATGTGTGTGTGTGTGTGTGTGTGTGTGTGTATCCATAAGTTCTCATTTCTCTTGGGGGTGTGTGTGTGTGTGTGTGTCTGTAAGTCCTCATTTCTTTTGGGTGTAATCCTAGGAACAGAATTGCCAGTCACCATGAAGGCCTGGACTTTGGCTGCATTGTTTATTCTGCCCGGCATCCAGCAGATGTGCACCAAACTCTTGTAAAATGAATATACGAATTTTAAAATCCTAATCTGAAGGTCTGTGTCCAATCCTTGCCTTTTTTCCGATTGACTCTACGATTTGGGGAAAGGCAAAAATGTTTCTTGACCTCAATTTTCACATCTCTAAAATTTTGGACTGGAATAGATGATTTCTAAAATGGCCCAAGAAGTAAAATATATGAAATGATGGGGCTGAGGTTACTTTTCCCTTAAAACATAGGGAAAATGAAAAAATAACTTTTAAATCGGGGTTGGGATTTATAGGTTAAAAAATGGCTTTGTAATTATTTCCAGTTCTTGGAACAGAAGGCATTTTTCAAGCGAGACTCTCTGATGAAACTTTTAATTTTTTTTTATACTAACAATGGCACTAAAAATGCTATATCGGCTGTTTCAAGAATATGGGAATAACCACGGTAAGAAGCACTCATTAGTAGATAAGCCATAGCAATAAGTATATAGAGAAAGTTTTATTAAACACCTGCCAGTTTTAAAACATTGGGGTTTCTTCCTAACCTTTTTAAATCAAAAAACAGAAACATGTACAACATAGAGAAAATAATGGCAATGAACATGATGTAACTCAGCTTCAACAGTTCTCAACTGCTGACCAATCTTGTTTCAATTACCCCCCACCAACTGGCTCATTTTGAAGTAATTCCCAGACATCACATCATCTTATCCATCAATATTTCTGCGCCACATAGGATTTGGGTGAAGATTTGAATTTAGTTGATGCTGAAGCTCAGCTTCAATCCAATTCAACATCAATTTATGGAGCCTTGAGCTTTTGTCGGTCTCATGCTGGGTTGTGTGGGTGATGTGGAGATGAGTATCACACAGCATCTGTTTTTCATGCTTTCTCTAGTGGGAAATAAAGCACCATGCAAAGGAGAGAGTGCAGTTTTCCCTTGGTATCTGTGGGGGATTGGCTCCAGGAACCCTGTGGATACCAAAATCCACAGATGTCCAAGTCCCTGTTATAAAATGTCGTGGTACGTGCATATAAACTACACAATCCTCCCATATACTTTAAATCATCTTTATATTACTTAGAATACTTCATACAATGTAAATAGTATGTAAATAGTTGCTATACTCTCTTGTTTACAGAATAATGACAAGAATAAAAGGACATACGTGTTCAGTACAGACATAATCATTCTTGTTGTTTTTTTTTTTTTAATTTTCATCCATAGTTGGTTGAATCCTCAGATGCGAAACCCATGGATACAGAGGGCCGGCTGTAATGCACCTTGAGTGCTGCAAAACTGATAACAGAGCTACCATTGGAGGTGCTAATGGTCAACAACAAAGGAGGAAGTTAATATTGTAAAAGGAGGCCAGGCACTTTGGCTCATGCCTGTAATCTCAGCAATTTGGGAGGCTAAGGCGAGAGCATCTCTTGAGCCCAGGAGTTCAAGACCACCCTCGGCAACAGAGCAAGACCCCTTCTCTACAAAATATTTAAAACATTAGCCAGGTATGGTGGCACATGCCTGCAGTCTCAGCTCCTGCAGAGGCTAAGGTAGAAGGATCACTTTAGCCTAGGAGGTTAAGGCTGCAGTGAGCCATGATTTTACCACTGCACTCTAGCCTGGATAACAGAACAAGACCCTGTCTCAGAGAAAAGAAAAGAAAAGAGAAGAGAAGAGAAGAAGGAAGGAAGAAGGGAGGGAGGGAGGGGAGGGGAGAGGAAGGGAGGAGAGGAGAGGAGAGGAAAGAAAGGAAAGGAAGGAAGGAAGGAAGGAAAGAAGAAGAAGAGAAGAGAAGAGAAATGAGAAAAGAAAAGAAAAGAAAAGAAGAAAAACTACCTATCGGGTACTATGCTCATGATCTGGGTTTGCAATCTACCCAAGTAACAAACCTGCACATGTAACCCCTCAATCTAAAATAAGTCAGAAAATAAAGAAAAAATATGGTTTTTAAAAGCAGAAGCCAAAGTTCAACTATAGAAAAAAAATTTCATACTGATTATTATAATTTTAATTCTAGAGCTACTATTTGCCTCTTTTTAAAGAATTGCTTTGACAATTTTTATCAATTCTTTCTCCTTTTTGATATTTTCAAGCTTTAAAATTTTATTTAAATATAATAAACATATTTATTTAATTAATTAAAAAAAAGCACTGGAAGCCAAGCTTTGCTTAGTCCTCGCCTATCAGCAATGCCCTATTGGCTTTCTGCAGGGACCTAGCATCAATTATCCGTCTCTGGAAAAGGCTTAGCAGGAACTAGGTGCCCTGTTTCATTTTCCAATAAAATGATTCTATTATACATATCTTCCCCCTCATATCCCATTCCTTAAATATGCCTTTTGTGCCTATAGACCAACCATTCATTACCATTTTATGCTATTGTCTTTATTTCCAAAGTGGGAGCAGCTTATTCATTTTATTTTTTATCTACAAGGATTTTGTGGAACAAACTTGCTCAGGATCTAGAACACTATAATCGGCAATTTCACTTGCTTTTTTTCACCAGTATGTTCATGGAGAGTATCTTTCTAAGTGTCCTTCAGATGTGTGTGGAGGAGGTGGTGGGGGACAGAGAGTGACCACCTATAATTCGAGGAGCTAAACAAAATAAACAAAGATCCTGCATGGTATTTATTTTGAAATACTTTAATCATGGTATGTTAATGTGTGCTGTTGAATGCATGCTAATTTAGCTGTAAGGAGACACACTTTGGAGGGTACCATACTATTACGCGACATAACAAATTATGACATTTTATGCATGATAACATTGTGTTATAGCATTATATAACATTAGGTATTAATTAAAATAATTTTAATCGAGAAACAACCCTCAGCCACCAGTCTTTGTTTCTTGCCCAAAAATGTTTTATCCTCTGCACATGCTCCTTGATTTCTGCGTATATGGTGTCTGCTTTAAGTTGCTTGGGTTTTTTAAGAAGCAAGGATTCTATTAGTGTTAGCAGTTGCTTTGAGGTCCACATCTGGATGTCCTGAGGCTGGTGAATGGACTTGGGAATGGAAAATGGAGCAGTTTTATCAAGAGACAAGAAAGCAAGATTGTAGAATACAATTCACACTTTCTGCTGCACCAACAGTCTTCCCATTTGCTTTTGGCAACTTCTCAGTACCACGATCACTGACCATACCTATCTGTAAAAATATTCATTGGCTAAGATGGCCCAGAATTGATTCTTGAAAGATTTTTTAGTTATTCTTTTATTTTATTATGTCTTTTTTGTTTAAGTCTGAGATGACTGTTGTTCATTTTTTGTTACGTCATCTGTCTGTTATTATAAACATTTTTAACAACCTTTGACCTAATAGAGTCAACTATTGCTCTTTTCTCATTCCTTAATGGTGAGTACAATCTGGACAACGATACACATGTATTAAAAACAAATTAAACTAAAATTAAACAAATAGCTACTTTTTTCCAAAAATGTTAACAGCACAGGGAAAAATGAATACAAATAGTGTTTACATTGTAAATCCAAGTTGTTCTCTCTCTCTCTCTCTCTTTTTTTAGAAAGAACATTACATGGCATTTCCTACTGAAGATGGGACTTAGCACAAAAACCATCATGGATTCCATCAAAGAGATCATTAATGTCTCAAAACGTCTCCAAGGATACATGATCTACAAAGGACCACAGAGTGCCCTGCAGAATTGGGTTGAAAAACTAAAGAAGGCAAACAGAGTTTATGGTAAGGTTCTGTGTTACTAGACTGCCCTTGAACCCATAGCCATGGAATTTGTTCAAATCCTACACACACTGTTTAAGGCATTGTTTAATTGGCATCTTCTGTGTGAGGAATCATCAGTGCCATGTACCACTTTATGATAACCTGGGACTCTGGCCCCAGACTCCAGTGTCCAGGCTAGCAGGGCTGGACCATGTGAAGGACTTGTTTTGCAAGGACAGGAGGTAGCCAAGACCTGGAACCCAAAGAGGTTTCATGATGTTCTTGAACATCTTCCTGGCAAGTCCATATTACAAAATGGCAGAGCACAGGCTCAGATTCAGACTGTGGAGCTAGCTCATGCATTGTCTATGCAAGTGCTGACTTTCTCTGCCATGGCGGAGCTTCCTATGGCCAGGCCAGATAAAGGTATCAGCATTTTAGCCTCAGCTGGTAGAGCCTCTTTTTCCTGGCTTTTGGTTTGCCAAGTCACTGTCCAAGTATCTGAGTAGCAACAACACATGGAGACCTAAGCAGAGGTCCCAGGTGGGACTCCTGGGATGCTCTCACTTTAGTAATGTTGATTTCAGCTTTATATCACTTGCCTTTAATAGTCAAGGTGTCCAAAGTCACAAATTCAAACCCCAATGGAAGAAAATAATAATTTGTTCCATGGGTGCAAAAATACAGTCTGATGTCTCAAATTTATTCCATTGATTATTCTTTAAACTAGAAGAGGTACATGTCAACACAGAAATGGTCTTTATTATGGAGAACAAATTCCTTGAAGGTGTATACTATTGATTCTAGGTCAACAATGTCATTTTCAGACTTGCAGGGCAGCAAAGTTTTGCTTAAAACTCCCTCCTCTTAGATGATTCCAGCAGTCACCTTACTGTCTACATCCTGAAGGTGTCCTTGATACTACATTTTCTGCTCCTCTAAGGTAAGGCGGCAGTCTCTGGTCCCCGTTGTGAGATTGGGTTCTTCCTGCCTGTTCCTGGAGTGGCATGGAGAAAAGAGCATGGATTTGCAGAAGAGACACTTGAGAGAGAGGTAGGAAACTCTGTATTTATTTAAATGCAAGCTCAAATATTGCAAATTTAGTAAAACATGTGGGAAGAGTTCTTTTACAGAGCAATTTTCTGTTGCCTAGGATATAAATCCTTAGAGTTTTTCTGTGTAGTGATTGGCATTTACAAATAAGAACCTTCCCTGTTTTGCAAGGTTACATGTTAGTTAATGTTTGCAATGCCTCTTGAGTGGCTAATTATTTTGTTTATATTCCATGCTCAAAAAATCAGAGGAGAGGAGTTTCACCTCAGGCTTTGGCTCTGAGAACAGTACAGCAGAAGCTTTGATTTTCATCCATAGAAAGTAATAGGGGGTTGAAGTCTCCAAATGACCAGAGGTCAGATGCCCCTTGATGCTGTGTTGTTCTTTAAGTGGAACCCACATTCAGAATTCTCTAAGGAAGGAGCTGGGACAGAGGTGCTAAACTTTGGCTCAGAAAAGATCCTCTTGGGTGGCTGGCGAGATGACTGAATAGGAACAGCTCCAGTCTGCAGCTCCCAGTGAGATCAACGCAAAAGGCAGATGATTTCTGCATTTCCAATTGAGGTACCCAGCTCATCTCATTGGGACTGGTTAGACAGTGGGTGCAGCCCATGGAGGGTGAGCAGAAACAGGGTGGGGCGTTGCCTCACCCAGGAAGTGCGAGAGGTTGGGGAACTCCATCCTCTAGCCAAGGGAAGCTGTGAGGGACTGTGCCATGAGGAATGGTGCATTCTGGCCCAGATTCTATGCTTTTCCCATGGTCTTTGCAACCCGCAGACCAGGAGATTCCCTCCGGTATCTATACCACCAGGGCCCTGGGTTTCAAGCACAAAACTGGGCAGCCGTTTGGGTAGACACCAAGCTAGCTGCAGGAGATTTTTTTTCATACCCCAGTGGCTCCTGGAATGCCAGCAAGACAGAACTGTTCACTCCACTGGAAAGAGGGCTGAAGCCAGGGAGCCAAGTGGCCTAGATCAGTGGATACCACCCCCATGGAGCCCAGCTAGTTAAGATCCACTGGCTTGAAATTCTCACTGCTGGCACAGCAGTCTGAGGTCAACCTAGGACACTCAAACTTGGTTGGGAGAGGGGCATCCACCATTACTTAGGCTTGAGTAGGCGGTTTTCCCCTCACAGCGTAAACAAAGCTGCTGGGAAGTTCAGATGGGGCAGAGCTCACTGGCTGCAAAGCTGCTGCAGCCAGACTGCCTCACAAGATTCCTCTTCTCTGGGCAGGGCATCTCTGAAAGAAAGGCAGCAGCCCAAGTCAGGGGCCTATATATGAAACTCCCATCTCCCTGAGACAGAGCACCTGGGGGAAGGGGCGGCTGTGGGCGCAGCTTCAGCATTCCTGCCTGCTGGCTCTGAAGAGAACAGTGGATCTCCCAGCACAGTGCTCAAGCTCTGTTAAGGGTCAGACAGCCTCCTCAAGTGGGTCCTTGACCCCCGTGCCTCCTGACTGGGAGACACCTCCCAGTAGGGGTCAACAGACACCTCATACAGGAGAGCTCTGGCTGGCATCTGGCGGGTGCCCCTCTGGGATGAAGCTTCCAGAGGAAGGAACAGGCAGCAATCTTTGCTGTTCTGCAGCCTCCACTGGTGATACCCAGGCAAATAGGGTCTGGAGTGGACCTCCAGCAAACTCCAGGAGACCTGCAGCAGAGGGGCCTGACTGTTAGAAGAAAAACTAACAAGCAGAAAGGAATAGCATCAACATCAACAAAAAGGATGTCCACACAAAAACCCCATCTGAAGGTCATCAACATCAAAGACCAAAGGTAGATAATTCCACAAAGATGAGGAAAAACCAGTATAAAAAGGCTGAAAATTCCAAAAACCAGAATGCCTCTTCTCCAAAGGATCACAACTCCTCGCCACCAAGGGAACCAAACTGGACGGAGAATGAGTTTGATGAATTGACAGAAATAGGCTTCAGAAAGTGGGTAATAACAAACTCCTCTGAGCTAAAGGAACATGATCTAACCCAATGGAAGGAAGCTAAGAACCTTGAAAAAAGGTTAAAGGAATTGCTAACTAGAATAATCAGTTTAGAGAAGAACATAAATGACCTGATGGAGCTGAAAAACACAGCACGAGAACTTCATGAAGCATAAACAAATATCAATAGCCGAATCGATCAAGCAGAAGAAAGGATATCAGAGATTGAAGATCAACTTAATGAAATAAAGTGTGAAGACAAGATTAGAGAAAAAAGAATGAAAAGGAATGAACAAGCCTCCAAGAAATATGGGACTATGTGAAAAGACCTAACTTACATTTGATGGGTGTTCCTGAAAATGACGGGGAAAATGGAACCAAGTTGGAAAACACTCTTCAAGTTATTATCCAGGAGAAATTCCCCAACCTAGCAAGAGAGGCCAACATTAAAATTCAGGAAATACAGAGAACACCACAAAGATACTCCTTGAGAAGAGCAACCCCAAGACACATAATCGTCAGATTCACCAAGGTTGAAATGAAGGAGAAAATGTTAAGGGCAGCCAGAGAGAAAGGTCGGGTTACCCACAAAGGGAAGCCCATCAGACTAACAGTGGATCTCTCTGCAGAAACACTACAAGCCAGAAGAGAGTGGGGACCAATATTCAACATTCTTAAAGAAAAGAATTTTCAACCCAGAATTTCATATCCAGTCAAACTATGCTTCATAAGTGAAGAAGAAACAAAATCCTTTACAGACAAGCAATTGCTGAGAGATTTTGTCACCACCAGGCCTGCCTTACAAGAGCTCTTGAAGGAAGCACTAAATATGGAAAGGAAAAACCAGTACCAGCCACTGCAAAAACAGCAAATTGTAAAGACCATTGACACTATGAAGAAACTGCATCAACTACATCAACTAACTGGCAAAATAACCACCTGGCATCACAATGACAGGATCAAATTCACACATAACAATATTAACCTTATATGTAAATGGGCTAAATGTCCCAATAAAAAGACACAGACTGGCAAATTGGATAAAGAGTCAAGACCCATCAGTGTGCTGTATTCAACATACCCATCTCACATGCAAAGACACACATAGGCTCAAAATAAAGAGATGGAGGAATATTTACCAAGCAAATGGAAAGCAGAAAACAGCAGGGGTTGCAATCCTAGTCTCTGATAAAACAGACTTTGAACCAACAAAGCTCAAAAAGGACAAAGAAGGGCATTACATAATGATAAAGGGATCAATTCAACAAGAAGAGCTAACTATCCTAAATATATATGCACCCAATACAGGAGCACCCAGATTCATAAAGCAAGTTCTTAGAGACCTACAAAGACTTAGACTCCCACACAATAATAGTGGGAGACTTTAACACCCCACTGTCAATATTAGACAGATCAACAAGACAGAATATAAACAAGGATATTCAGGACTTGAACTCAGCCCTGGACCAAGCAGACCTGATAGACATCTACAAAACTCTCCACCCCAAATCAACAGAATATACATTCTTCTCAACACCACATCGCACATATTCTAAAATTGACCACATAATTGGAAGTAAAACACTTCGCAAATGCAAAAGAGTGGAAATCATAACAAACAGTCTCTCAGACCACAGTGCAATCAAATTACAACTCAGGATTAAGAAACTCACTCAAAACTGCACAACTACATGGAAACTAAACAACCTGCTTGTAAATGACTACTGGGTAAATAATGAAATTAAGGCAGAAATAAATAAGTTCTTTAAAACCAATGAGAACAAAGACACAACATACAAAAATCTATAGGACACAGCTAAAGCAGTGTTTCGAGGGAAATTTATAGCACTAAATGCCCACAGGAGAAAGTGGGAAAGATCCAAAATTGACACCCTAACATCACAATGAAAAGAACTAGAGAAGCAAGAGCAAACAAATTCCAAAGCTAGCAGAAGACAAGAAATAACTAAGATCAAAGCAGAACTGAAGGAGATAGAGACATGAAAAACTCTTCAAAAAATCAATGAATCCAGGAGCTTGTTTTTTGAAAAGATAAACAAAATAGATAGACTGCTAGCCAGACTAATAAAGAAGAAAAGAGAGAAGAATCAAATAGACACAATAAAAAATTACAAAGAGGATATCACCACTGATCCCACAGAAATACAAACTACCATCAGAGAATACTATAAATACCTCTATGCAAATAATCTAGAAAATCTAGAAGAAATGGATAAATTCCTGGACACATACACCCTCCCAAGACTAAACCAGGAAGAAGTCGAATCCCCGAATAGGCCAATAACAAGTTCTGAAAATGAGGCAGTAATTAATAGCTTACCAACCAAAAACAGCCCAGGACCAGATAGATTCAGAGCTGAATTCTACCAGAGGTACAAAGAGGAGCTGGTACCATTCCTTCTGAAACTATTCCAAACAATAGAAAAAGAGGGACTCCTCCCTAACTCATTTTATGAGGCCAGCATCATCCTGATACCAAAACCTGGCAGAGACACAACTAAAAAAGAAAATTTCAGGCCAATACCCCTGATGAACATCGATGTGAAAATCCTCAATAAAATACTGGCAAACTGAATCCAGCAGCACATCAAAAAGCTCATCCACCATTATCAAGTCGGCTTCATTCCTGGGATACAAGGCTGGTGCAACATACACAAATCAATAAACATAATCCATCACATAAACAGAACCAATGACAAAAACCACATGATTATCTCAGCAGATGCAGAAAAGGCCTTCAATAAAATTCAACACCTCTTCATGTTAAAACTCTCAATAAACTAGGTATTGATGGAACGTATGTCAAAATAATAAGAGCTATCTATGACAAACCCACAGCCAATATCATACTGAATGGGCAAAAGCTGGAAGCATTCCCTTTGAAAACCAGCACAAGACAAGGATGCCCTCTCTCACCACTCCTATTCAACATCATATTGGAAGTTCTGGCCAGGGCAATCAGGCAAGAGAAAGAAATAAAGGATGTTCAAATAGGAAGAGAGGTCAATTGTCTGTTTGCAGATGACATGATTGTATATTTAGAAAACCCCATCATCTCAGCTCAAAATCTCCTTAAGCTGATAAGCAACTTCAGCAAAGTCTCAGGATACAAAATCAACGTGCAAAAATCACAAGCATTCCTATACACCAATAATAGACAAACGGAGAGCCAAATCATGAGTGAACTCCCATTCACAATTGCTACAAAGAGAATAAAATACCTAGGAATACAACTTACAAGGGATGTGAAGGACCTCTTCAAGGAGAACTACAAACCATTGCTCAAGGAAACAAGAGGACACAAACAAATGGAAAAACATTCCATGCTCATGGATAGGAAGAATCAGTATCGTGAAAACGGCCATACTGCCAAAAGTAATTTATAGATTCAATGCTATCCCCATCAAGCTACCACTGACTTTCTTCACAGAATTAGAAAAAACTACTTTAGGCCAGGCGCAGTGGCTCACGCCTGTAATCCCAGCACTTTGGGAGGCCGAGGCGGGCAGATCACGAAGTCAGGAGATCAAGACTATCCGGGCTAACAAGGTGAAACCCCGTCTCTACTGAAAATACAAAAAAAAAAAAAATTAGCCGGGCGTGGTGGTGGGCGCCTGTAGTCCCAGCTACTTGGGAGGCTGAGGCAGGAGAATGGCATGAACCAGTGAGGCGGAGCTTGCAGTGAGCCGAGATTGCGCCACTGCACTCCAGCCTGGGTGACAGAGTGAGACTCTGTCTCAAAAAAAAAAAAAGAAAAGAAAAAAGAGAAAAGAAAAAACTACTTTAAATTTCATATGGAACCAAAAAAGAGCCCATATAGCCAAGATAATCCTAAGCAAAAAGAACAAAGCTGGAGGCATCACGCTACCTGACTTCAAACTATACTACAAGGCTACAGTAACCAAAACAGCATGGTACTGGTATCAAACAGATATATAGACCAATGGAACAGAACAGAGGCCTCAGAAAAAAAGTCAGGTCTGTATAAATGGATCTGTCAGGTGGCGCATGAACATGCAGCATCCTCTTGTCCATAGCGGGACCTTTACCTGTAGCAGGTATAAGACAGGGGCTGAAGCTATTCTGACATCTGTTTTTTTTTGTTTTTTTGTTTTTTGTTTTTGAGATGGAGTCTTGCTCTATCACCCAGGCTGGAGTGCAGTGGTGTGACCTTAGCTCACTGCAACCTCCACCTCCCAGGTTCAAGCGATTCTCCTACCTCAGCCTCCTGAGTAGCTGGGATTACAGGCACCTGCTACCACGCCCAGTGAATTTTTGTAGTTTTAGTAGAGACGGGGTTTCACTATCAGGCTGGTCTTGAACTCCTAAACTCCCACCCACCTCAGCCTCCCAAAGTGCTGGAATTACAGGTGTGAGCCACTGCACCCAGCTGTTCTGACATCTATTGACCTTATCCATCATACAGGCAGTCCTCTCTTTTCCTCCTCTTGTATAACTTTATGGATAAAAAGCTTGGCTGGCTAAGTTAATATTAATACATCTAAATGAGATCCCGAAAGTCTGTGTTTGGAGCCACCTGGAGAGCAATCATTACTCTAGTCTTTGAAAAGATGAATAATTATTCTCTAGGGCAATTTTGTTTCAAAATATGAATGCAAAGGGGCTCAATGCTTATGGCCAAATAGGAGTCCAGTCTATTCTGCGTACCGCCAGGTCCTACCCCAGATAGATCCTCCTAATCTTGGGTTCGCTCAAATCCATCATCCATCCGGCAACCCCCTACTGCTCACCTCCCTACCCATAAAGCACCACAAAATTATTTTTTATGCCCAAAAGGAATAATTTATTTAAAAGGCCCTTTGCAGATAGTCATTGCATTCTAAAATGTTACACAACACAAAATAATTATTGTATAAACATTTAGCTTGAAATAATAGCATACCTTCCAAAAAATTTTACAAAGCGATTTTCAAAATGGCTAAATGATTGACAAAGAATGACTCAGTTGCTAAATTGTGTTAATTCAAACTCAGACTTATTTATTTTATTATTGCTATATTTCTTTGGATCTTCATTCTGAAGCCTCCCGTGTATACACATTGATTTGTGTGTCTTTTCTCCTATTTATCTGCCTTTTGTAAGTTTATTTTTCAGTGAAACTTCAGGGGACCCCGTGGCCCCTAAACCCCACACGTTTTATGCCCAAAAGGAATAATTTATTTAAAACACCCTTTTGTATGTATGTCATATTCTAGAATGTTACACAACACAAAGCAATTACTGTATAAACTTTTAGCTTGAAATAATAGCAGACCTTCCAAAAAATTTTACAAAGAGACTGGGTCTTGCTCTATGCAAGCTGCAGTGCAGTGGTGCAATCATAGCTCACTGCGGCCTTGAACTCCTGGGCTCAAAGAGTCCTCCCACCTCAGCTTCCCTAGTAGCTGGGACTACAGGTGTGCACCTCCATGCCTGGCTAATTTCAAAAGAAAATTTCTTGTCAACACTGGATCTTTCTATGTTGCTCAGGCTGGTTTCGAAATCCCAGCCTCAAGTGATCCTCCTGCCTCAGCCTCCCAAAGTGCTGAGATTATAAGCATGAGCCACTGCCCTGTGGGCCCAGATGTGCTTAGGGGAAAGTACTTTGTGTTTAGAAAATGTGATTAACCCTTCACAGTTTTCAGACACAATAGGTTGTGTCCTGCAGTTGTTATTAGTGTTTAAGGGATGATTAGCTTTTGCAAAGAGATCTGTTCTGAAAAACATAAGAGATCTACCTTTATTCCTACAGCAGGGCCTGATGTGGGAACATTTCTTCACACCTCACCCCTTGGGTTGCTCCCTGAGACACAGTCTGCCTTGGTGTGGCAGCCAAGAGACGAGGACACCTATGGCTTGGGTGGAGGTGGAGCTCCAGGCTGTCAAGCAGTCTATGGACAATGAAATGCCGGCCCATGACTATTTTAAGAGCAGATAGATGTTTTTAGCGGAGTTCATGTGGGTAGCAAGGTTTGTCATAGGACATCTCAGCCTTAGGGTGGTTTGGGAGTCATTCACACCCACCGTGCTCACATACACTCTGTTGCCTTCTTTTCACAGATGGTTTAGAGAGGCTTGGCCCCCTG
This sequence comes from Homo sapiens, assembly GCF_000001405.40. Classification (NCBI taxonomy): domain Eukaryota; kingdom Metazoa; phylum Chordata; class Mammalia; order Primates; family Hominidae; genus Homo; species Homo sapiens. The sequence goes on along the minus strand of NC_000023.11, from coordinate 6,969,087 downwards.
TCTGTGGGGCCATGTCATGGCCATAAGGAAGGCAGTTAGTGCACAGGGGGAGCTGCTGGTCTCAGTAAATCCTAGAAGTGACTGAACAACGTTGACCAACACTAGATCTATGAGAAGATACTGGCAACAATGAAGCCTAGGCCCTTGGAAACATAAGAGATGAAGAAGGGCCAGGTGCGGTGGCTCACGCCTGTAAACCCAGCACTTTGGGAGGCCGAGGCGGGCAGATCATTTGAGGCCAGGAGTTTGAGACCAGCCTGGCCAACGTAGTGAAACCCTGTCTCTACTAAAAATACAAAAATTAGCTGGGTATGGTGGCACGTGCCTGTAGTCCCAGCTACTGGGGAGGCTGAGGCAGGAGAATTCCTTGAACTGGGGAGGTGGAGGTTGCAGTGAGCCGAGACTGTGCCACTGTACTCCAACCTAGGAAAAAGAAAAAAAAAAGGAGAGAAAGATGAAGAAGGTGGAAACTAATTACTCCAACCCCCTAAAACACAGACCCCTGCTCAGCCAGCACACTGCAGCTTTAAGAGATGATGGTGACACCAAACTCTCCCGCAGAGAGACGATCGGCCCCACCATCAGCTCTCCAGATCACAGACTCTGAGCCACAGTGAAGACAGTGACTCACACCCCCCTGCCCCAGACCCACAGGGCCAAAGTTTTCACATTCATGAGATTCCCAGATGGTTCACTTGCTCCTGAAACTGGGAAAGGCACGGACACATCCTTGTTAAACACAAACCTTCCCTTCCACTGATCCATCAGATAGAAATAGAATTTTGCATTTGCGTCTCTGCATCCCACCTTATTTCTATCCACTGTGTACTACACGGATGGTGGTGAGTATGTGCCTGTGTGCAAGTGTGTGGGGTGTAGGGGCCAAGGGGTCCCCTGAAGTTTCACTGGAAAATAAACTTACAAAAGGCAGATTAACAGGAGAAAAGGCACACAAATTAATGTGTACAAATAGGAGACTTCAGAATGAAGGCCCAAGGATACAGGGGAAACTATCCATTTTTATACTTAGGTTCAACAAAGCATGGACAGCATGTAGAAACAGGGTTGGACAAAAAGGGCCTGATCTAAAGCTAATGGACTGAGTGTGGAAACCCAGCCAGCCTGTCTGTCTAGATTCTTCTTGGCCTCTCTGAGCAGCGCTCTTTCCTTCTGGGTGTGAGGTGGGACCCTCTCTGGAATGGGGGTTTTAGGATCTACAGTCAAATAAGGTAGGTCAGGGAATTTCTTTATGGCTAGTTTTTACACAGAAAGGCAGAGGGAAAGTTAAAGTCCTATTTTTAGGTTTTATGGCTGGCTTTGGAGAGAAGGGTTCTGGTTTCTAGGACCAGCCAAGGGAAGGAGGGCTTCTAGTTTCTCTGAGGCCTCTGGGAAGGATGGGACTGAGAGACAGGAGGGCAGGAGAAGGTCACAGAGAGAAGTTCGCTTCCAAGGCCACTGCTGAGACCTGCATTTTGGGGCATTGTTTTCTGAGCCCCAACATGGGGTAGTGAGGAGTTAGTGATTGCTCTGGTTCTTTTTTAATGAAGGTGGGGACATTTTCACGGCATAGGTGCAAAGCGGCCACTCAAATGGACTTCTGGGTGAGGGAGAGCATCTGCTGCCACGCAGACCTGGATGGCAGAGCTGTATTCTCTTGGATCCTCTCAGAGCTCCAGAGGGTCACAGGGACGAGGCTGCAGCCTGCCTAAGAGGAAGGAGAACAGAAAGAAGAAGCAGAGTTCTGATGTCTTCAGGCAAGAAAAACATGCTGGGGACACCAGCTAAGGGGTGAGGGCCAGGATGGAAAGGAAAGGGCCAGGCAGGAAGCCAGAGTCAGGAGACAGCCAGGTCTAGCAGCATGGGGGAGGAACCGCGTGGGTCTGCACCAGATAGAAGGCCAGGGCGGCTGCAGATGCCTCTGTCCTCCTGTGGCAGCCGCTCTCTGGGAAAGGAGTCCTACAGGACCAACTCCTGCTTCCTGAAAGGAGGAACGTGACCAATTACCAATGACCCTCAACCCCTGAAACACGGCCCCCTACATACCCTCCCTAGACACAGCCCGTCTCTTTCCAGTCCAGAGAGAAGGCAGTGGTGCACTTCCCTTACCTTCCTCCAACCGGGAATCAGCTTCCACCCTCAGCCACGCTGTGGGAGCAGCACACATGAGGCCACCATCAGGGAACCTTGTTAAAACCAGCATCCCTGTTCCTCACCATCCTTAACATGCCTGAAGGTGGCTGGGTGGGTGCAGTGGCTCACACCTGTAATCCCAGCACTTTGGGAGGCTGAGGCAGGAGGGTCACTTGAGGCCAGGAGTTCAAGACCAACCAGGGCAATATAGCAAGACCCTATCTTCACAGAAAATACAAAAAATTAGCCAGCTGTGATGGTGCACACCTGTAGTCCCAACGACTCAGGAGGCTGAAGTGGGAGGATCTCTTGAGCCCAGGAGTTCAAGGTTGCAGCAAGCTACAATTGCACCACTGCACTCCAGCTTATGTGATAGACTGAGACCCTGTCTCTAAAAAAAAAAAAAAAAAAATATGAAGGCGATCCAGTCTAAAGGACTCAAACACAACTTTCAATATTTGGAATTTTATTGCTTATAACTCAAGAAGTTCATAAAGTGTTGGTGGAATGATTAAGAGAAATGGCAGAGTGAGATAATCTTTTTGCTCAAATTGTACAATTCTTTGATGCACTCCATCATTTACTTAGTTTCTATATAACAGGCATAGAACCAAGATTCACTCAATTTTAGTAATTTTAACTTTTACAGGTGGGTGTGTATGTGAAAGACAATATGTATGATGTGGTATACAAAACAGCAAGCAAAATTGAACAACACTTACATGCAAACATATCTACACAAAATAGATATTTTTATTTCCTATATTATATATAAAATATATATATGTGATAATTGTAGAAAAATGTGCTTTAAAGGACAATGATGCATTTCCTGGAAGAGTACAGCCTCTAGGATTATCAGATTCTGATTCTGTGGGACCAAACTTACATCCTCATAAGTTGTAGATAACTGAGTGCAAAATCATTCCTGTCTATTCATATGCAAATTATGTCCTGTCTGGTACAGTTTCAATTATTTCCTTCCCGAACGGTGGAAGAAGGTAGTTTTATGTTCTGAGGTTTCAATATTCCTGATCTATAAATGTGTCTGTTTGGAGTCGACTTTGAACTGGTTGCAACATCTTACAACCAGTTTCCTAACTCAAGAGTTAAATAAAGTCTTTAATACAGTTGATTTTTATAGCTGCATAGGTTTTTATTTTTCCTGCTTATGAAAATGATTATTTCACAAGTAACATAGCATTAGATATCCGATTGACATAATCCCACAAATGAAGAGAGGATTGGGTTTTATATACTGTATGCCTAATTATTTTGTGTATAACTCCTGTTTAACAATAATCTTAGCACTCATCACTGCAGTTTATTGAGTGTATACTATGCAGCTGGCTTTGCTCTTTAGCATTTGTATACAGTATCGTGTTTAATTGTCACAATCTTTGAGGCAGGTAGTTTTGTATTATATGAGGCGACTGAGCTCAAAAACTTTGATTTGCAAACAAAATGGGCATAATCAATGCAAGGAAAGGCTGGAATTTGAATCCAGGTCTCTGTGATATTCTAAAGCCATCTATTCTTTTCTTTTATGTATATTGTTTCATGGGTTATAACCATGTGCTTGGGGGTAAGAGAAACGTATCTTTTCCATGTCTGTTGAACCATTTCTCTAAATGTGTATTTATGAAAAATTTTTCTCCTCTCCAGTGTTTAAAAAATATCTTAGAGTTGCGTTAAGCCTGTTTTCATGAGCCAGAGCCTCTCTGACCTTCGGCTGCTTACTGTTTTAAAACAATACTTGGAAGAAAATAAATCGCTGCTCTCATGGAAGAGCACTTACGACAGGCTTTAGGGGATCATTATGCATTGGGAAGTCATTTTCCAAATGACACTTCAGTGACCCCAAAGAGCCTTAAATCAAAGAAGAGAGCCTTGGCCTATGACTATTTCATGCAAAAACAGTTACTGACTTCTGTTTGTTAAAATAATCAAGCAAATATCACACAGAGGACAATGTTACCTAGCTTTTAATTCTTTGGATGATTGCCTGGGCTTAAGTAGATATCACTGTTTCCTTGGTTCTTACGAATTGAGATGGTACTAGGAGGGGGAAAAAACTTAGGAAAGGTGTTATTATCTGACATAGCAGTTGAGAATACCTAAATGAATTATTGTAAAGCTAGATTATAAATTTCTTGGGGGAAAGGATCGTATCTTATTTGACCTTTAATCCATGGCGGCATGAACATCACCTCAAAGGAGCTCAACACTTTTTATTTATTTATTTATTCATTTATTGACTTTTTTACTTATTTATTTATTTTTTGAGACATAGTCTTGCTTTGTCGCCCAGGCTGGAGTGCAGTGGCATAATCACTGCTCACTGCAGCCTCAACCTCTAGGGCTCAAGCAATCCTCCCACCTCAGCCTCCCAAGTAGTTAGGACCATAGTTGTGTGCCACCACGCCCAGCTAATTTTTAAAATTTTTTGTAGAGACAGAGTCTCACTATGTTGCGCAAGCTGGTCTCAACCTCCCAGGCTCAAGCAGACTGTCTTCCTCAGCCTAACAAAGTACTGGGATTATAGGCATGAGCCACTGTGCCCATCTCAATACCCATTTCTTGAATCAAATTGGTGTATCTTCCCAAAGTAGGGAATCGAATCTTTTAATTGCTACTTGGTTTTCCTTTTGCTTCAATGGCTTAGTTCTCCTGAAAGTATATAGAATGTGCATTTCTCACCATTTCCTGTACATTTTCCAGAAAATAAGACATATGCTGATGCTATTTCAATTGAAAGAGGTTTTGACTACAAGTATTATGGCCATTTGAAAATAACTTGCTATTTGTATTATGCAAAAGACCTTGTCTAAAGCACTTTGTTTGTAAATAAAGCCCCGTGTTGCCTATAATAAAGATATCAACCCACATTTTACTTCCTAGAATGCTTCTAGAAAAAGTCCCTGAATAGGCGTGCTAATGCAAGCCACTTATCCCTGAGTGATTTGAACAATCGCATTCTTCTTGTTAGAAAATGTGACGAATGAAAAACCTGGCAAACACTCACCGAAGAGTCAATTCCTCCCACGAATATAGAGTCAGTTTTTTATAGTGCTGGCTTTAGAACCTGTATGTTTCTTTAGAACAACTGCAAAATGTTGGGCATGAGGGATTAAAACCAATAGCCCAAATATTGTGCATATGATCCGAAGGATTGGCATGGTGGAAAATCACTTCTGACGTCTCACTTTGAGCACAGCATTTGGTGGCTAGCATCAAGGTCCCCATTGTTTGCTCTCAGACCACCTGGTCTCACCTTTAGAGGTTTCACAAACACACCCCTGCGGATCTCTCAGTTACAGCCTGCATATTTGTTTATGTGAAAAACAAGAAGGTCATTTTTCTCTTATGTCAGCCCCTACTCACTTCTGATGCCAGATGTATGTGGGTTTTTCCCCCATAAACCAAGCAATTCTCCAATGAATACCCACTAGGTGTCCTATAATTCAGTTCCATCCTGACACTGTCTGCCTGGAGTTAGAGTGGGACCCTGCAGGTTAAGGGCTCAATCCCACAGGGCATTCAGACAGTATAGACAGAGGGCTGAGGACTTGGCTCAGTCATGTCAGAGCCAGGCTTTTTCTTACCTGAAGGAGGTAATAAATGCTCCTCAGGCATTCCCATTTCCAGCCTCCCTTTCTGTTAGCTGTGCCCATGTGACCACATCCTCCCAGGAAGAAGCCAAGCAGAAATGAAGCCAGAACCTCCTTATAAAAGTACCCCACAGATTCCCCTGCTACTCTTTCTTCCAGCTGACTGTGATGGTGATGCTCACAGGGACCCTTGAAGACATGAGTTAAAGATCGTAGAAGCATGACAAGTTGGATACCTGAATGACTGTGTGGATCTGAGTTTCCCAGTGCCCTGCAGTACATGATCACATTGTTTATGAGACTGACTATGTCTGAGCCAGAATTGATTGCATCTATTTGATGCTGCAACTTAGCCTGTGCTAAGACACTAGCTCTGGTAAAATAGTCTCAGAGCTTCATCTGCCGATTAGAGAAGATGATGGCACCAACATCTGTTCCACCAAAAATAAATTAAATAATGCATGTAAAATGCTTTCTAGTGTTAATTTGTTATACCAACACCTATTGTTAGAATTAAGAGAGATGTGAGAAATAATTTCTTATCAGATATATTTGAAACTCTAGATTTATTCACACAGAATGGTGTTAGAAATGTAGTTTTTAGAGAATTTACAAAGAAATCAACAGCCATATAAAACCAATTTTAAACCATCTAAACTTTAACATTGTATGGAACTCAAAAAACAAAAAGTAAAATCAAAATGTTTCTTTGCACATAAAGGAAACTTTTCTACTAACTGAATTTTATGGCATAAAAGTTTGCATTTTGAAGAGACTGTAATTACTTAGACATATGCTCCGGGACCCCTTTAACAAAATAAGACCTTTCCAAAGTGACTGTGTTATATAGAAAATGAGTTCATGCTGTAGAAATAATAGAATCAAATCCAAACAAGGGACTTTCTGGAATTGTCTTCTATTTTATAAGGAAGATTGAAAACTAGACAGAATATAAGGGATTAATACCTACAATTGTGAGCTTGTTAAATTTATTGTGTGTAAATGTGTTTGTAGACTCAAACACCGGGGTGTAGTATTTCAATCAAACAAATTCGATGAAATTATGCAGCTTAATGAGAAAGTGTGTGCTATTTTATTTGGCTTTTTTTTTAACCTCAGAGGCAGACCATGCTAAATTAAAACAGTGATCCAACCACAGTGACTGGCATTTCTACCACTGGTTAAAATTATACTTACATAGCACAGGGAATGAATTTTGTATGCTCAACACTCTCAAGAATGTTGTGGATTCTCCATACATGGAAAATTAAAATGATTGTTTTACTTGTTAGTTCTTTCAGATCACTAATTGATTTTCCTTTTCATATTTGAATTGTAGAGTACCCTTAAAATGTTTTATTAATTCCTACCATACTTCAGACTCCTTGAAAGCAGGTTTCCACTCTTCAGAAGCAGTTAACTTGTTTTTTGCATTATTTATGAAGGGTATGTTTATTCTTTCTTAGCATAAAGAAGACTTCTTGCATGTGCTGTGTTGCTATCACGGGTAAAGACCATGCACGGATATGGAATTCCAGAGCAGTGCAAGAATGAGGCTCTGGACTCAGACTCCCAAGTTCTGTTCTTGGGTCATGCACTGACCATCTATATAAACTTAGGGATGTAGCTTGAAGTCTCTGTGCCTCATTTGCCTCATTCATAAAATATAAATGGTAATCACAGTCTCCTTCCTAGAGTTTCTGGGAAGGTTAAGGAGAGTCATTAAACAGTTCTTTACTCCTTGTAAATGCTTAACACATGTGGGTAATTTTTTGGTTAATATTTGCTTATTACCTGGTTTGTTCATCTTTTCATGAAACAGTTGTTTAGCACTCCTGTGTGCTAGAGACTATGCTAGTTTCTTGCAAATACAGGGATGAATGCAAGCATGCTTTGGTGGATTTCATGCTTGAGAGGAGACACCAACACATGGGTAGTCTTTTTTATTTTTTATTTTTTTTTAGACAGGGTCTCACTCTGTTGCCTAGGCTGGAGTGCAGTGTCATTATCATGGCTCACTGCAGTCTTCACATCCCAGGCTCAGGTGATACTCTCACCTCAGTCTCCCAAGCAGCTGGGACTACAGGCATGGCTAATTTTTGTGTTTTTTGTAGAGATGGGGTTTCACCATGTTGCCCAGGCTGGGCTTGAACTACTGGGCTCAAGCAATCCACCTACCTCGTCCTCCCAAAGTGCTGGGATTACAGGTATGAGGCACCACACCTGGCCTACTTTTGGTGAGTCTTGAAGGATGAATAGGAGTTTGCCAGGTGGCATTTTGGTATAGGAAATAGTTATTAGAAAAAAATAAGGAGAGTGTAATTAAAATGAGTTTTGTATGTGTGGAATCCAGATCCAGCCCACATCTTGTTTTTGTAAAAAAAAGCTTCATTGCAACAAACCCATGCCCATTTATTTCCATATTGTGTATGGTTGCTCTCCCACCATAGTGGCAAGGTATGAGCAGCTGTTCCATGGATCATATGGTGCAAAACGCCTAAAATATTTACTGTCTGACCCATCACATACACAAAAAAAAGCTGGCCAACCTGTGTTCTATACTCTGTTGGTGGCAGCTGATTTCTAAAGCTACTGTCTCTGCATGACCTGATGTTTCATTTTTGCTTTTGTAGCTGTCAACACCTGTGTAATCAATTCCCTACATTCAATGTCCTCTGTGGAAATACCTAGTGTGATTCCTGGTTTTCTGGTTGGACCCTGTCATAGACTGATTTGTGCTGCTATAACAGAATACTGGAGTCTCAATAATTTATAAAGAACAGAAATGTATTGGCTCGCAATTCTGGATGCCGGGAAGTCCAAGATTGGGGGTCCAGCATCTGGTGAGGGCCTTCGTGCTGTGTCATCTCATGGCAAAAAGTGAAAGGGCAAAGAGGGTGAGAGAGAGCAAGAGCAGTAAGTTACAGAGCAAGACCCTGCCTCAAAGAGAGAGAGAACGAGGAGGCGGAACTTGGCCTTATATAAGGAACTCACTCCTGTGATAATGACATTAATCCATTCATGAGGGCAGAGCCCTCAATGGCCTAATCACCTCTTAAAGGTCCCGCCTATTAACACTATTGTAATACATTGAGAATTAGATTTCCAACACCTGAACTTTGGGGATACATTCAAACCACAGAATTCTGCCCAGGGCCTCCTGAATTTCTGTTCTTCTTACATGCAGAATACTTTTATTACATCCCAATAGCCCCAAAGTCTTAACTCCTTCCAGCACCAAGTCAAAAGTCCAAAGTCTCATCTAAATCAGATACAGGTAAGATTTGAAGCTTGATTTCTTCTGAGGCAAATTTCTCTCAGTTGTGAGCCTCTGAAATCAAACAAGATATCTACTTTCCAAATACAATGGTGGGACAGGCATAGGAGACACATTCTCTCAAAAGGAAGAAATAGGTATTTGTAAAGAACAGAAATTTATTGGACTTACAGAAATGTAGGTCCAAAACTCAACAGGGTGAACAACATCAAATCTTAAGGCTCCAGAATAGTATTTCTTGACTCTATATTCCACCTTGTAGATACCCTGGGGTGGAAGTTGGGCCTTGAAGGCCCTAGGGGCCCAATCCCCACCATTTTACTGAAGAGCACACAGTTTCTCTGATGAGTTGGGGTCAGGCGCCTGTGGCTTACTGGGCTGGCATTAAATGCTGGTAGCTCTGTAGTTCTGGGGTCTCAGGATTAGGGGGTTACTCTTCTCCCAAAGCTCCACTAGGCATTGCCCTGGTGGAGACTGTCTGCAGCAGCTCCTCCTCTGTCACAGGCCTGTTTCTGGGTCCCCAGGTTGTCATTGACATCCTTTAAAATTTGGGTGGCGGAAGCCATGCCTGCACAGCGCTTGCATTCAGTATGCCTGCAGAATTAGCACCACGTGGACACCACCAAGGTTCATGACTTGTGCCTTCTGCAGTGGGGAGTCAAGCTGAACCTAGGCTCACTTGAGCCACAGCTGGGGCACCTGAGGAGCACTGCACTGGAATGTGGGAAGCAGACACTTCAGGTGGTGCAGGGCAGTGAGTACTGTGGTCCCATGGGCACCATGGGCCTCTCTTTTGACATATTTCCTTTCCCCAGACCTTGGCACTCTGGGCCTGTGATGGGAGGGGCAGAATTGCTAATCTCTGAAATACCTTCAGGATCATTCTCCCATTGTTCTGCTGAATGGCCTCTGGCTTGTTTTATCATGTTAATTTCCTTATCTCTTGGCCACACCCCTGTTTTCCTCTCTTGAAAATGCTCTTTCATTCTTGACCTCCTAGCCAGGCTGAGAATCCTTCAAATCTCCAAGTTCTGTTTCCCTTTTAATTATAAAGTCTGCATTTAAATCATTTCTTTCTTCTCACATTGTATTATATGCAATTAAGAGAAACCACACAGCATCCTGAATGCTTTGCTGAATTTCTTGCTCATCAGTCTTAAGTTCTGCCTTATATAAAGTCTTAGGACATGGACACAATTCAGCCAAATTCTTTGCCACTTGGTAAAAAGGATGGCCTTTCCTTCAGTGTCCAATAAGTTGTTCCTCATTTCCATCTGAGACCTCATCAGAAGGACCTTTTCTCTTTTTTTTTTTTTTTTTTTTTGAGATGGCATTTCACTTTTGTTGCCCAAGAGTGCAATGTTGGCTGGAGTGCAATGGCGTGATCTCAGCTCACTGCAACCTCCGCTTCCCAGGTTCAAGCGATTTTTCTGCCTCAGCCTCCAGAGTAGCTGTGATTACAGGTGCCCACCACCATGCCTGGCTAATTTTTTGTATTTTTAGTAGAGACTGGGTTTCACCATTGTAAAAAGTAAAGTAGAGGTTCCTCTTCAAAGACTTTCCTCCCCATTTAATTAGGAATAAATAGTAACTTCTCTTAGAAGCAAAATTTATTCAAAGGCCTGTGCTAACATTCTTAAATACCGGCTAGCCATGATAAGGAAATTAGTGTACTTTATGTTCTTAGCTCCCACAATTTAGCCTAAATATTTGACCTGGCATACTTATACTGGTCCAAGCAAGCATTAGGTCATAGCCTGCTCCTCTTCCTTCTTTGAAGGTGTTTTTACCTTTCTCAGCATTCCACAAGTTACTTCCGCCTTCCTTTGTTCTCCTCTACCTTTGCCTCTTTTAAAAAGTTATAAGTTGCTAGCCAGTTGGAACAAATACAGAATATGAGGTCCCATTCCAGCCAATGGAAACCGGACACAGCAGTAGGGTGGACGCGTAAGGTTATAAATGACCCTATCTCCTTTGTTCGGTATACTCTGACAAAACTGCTGGAGCGTGTACCCTTTCTGTAGGAAGTAAAAATGGCCTTGCTGAGTAAATTAAATTTATGTTCAAGTGCTATTTCCTTATGGCACTGGGGAACAAGCATTTCAAACAACCATGTTGGTCAAGCTGGTCTGGAACTCCTGACCACCCACCTTGGTCTTCCAAAGTGCTGGGGTTACAGGCATGAGCCACCACGCCCAGCCTCTTTACTCTTTTCTACCAGCATTGTGATCACCACCACTTAAGTAATCTCTAACAAGTTCCAGACTTCCTTTACAACTCTCCTTTTCTGAGCCTTCATCAGAATTGCCCTTAACATTACATTTATGGCAATGTATACTTTTTCTAGCCTGCTCTTCCAAATTCTTTCCGCCTCTACTTATTACCTAGTTCCCGAGCCACTGCCAAATTCTCAGGTATTTGTTAAAGAAGCAACCCCACTTCTAAGTACCAGTTTTCTGTCTTAGTCTTTTCTGTGCTGTTATAACAGAATACCACAGCCTGGATAATTTATAATGAAGAGGAATTTATTGGCTCACAATTCTGGAGGCTGGGAAGTTCAAGACTGAGAGGCTGGCATCTGGTGAGAGACTTTGTACTGTGTTATCACATGGCAAAAGGCAGAAGAGCAAAGAGAAGGTGAGAGAGAGTGGAAAAGAGAGCTGAACTATTTTTTTTTTTTTTAATAAGAAACCCACTCCTGAGATAAACTCATTCCCATGATAAGGGCATTAATCCATTCATAAGGGCAGAGCCTTCATGGCCTAATCACCTCTTAAAGGTCCCTCCTCTTAAACCTGTTGCATCAGGGATTAACTTTCCAATGCCTGAACTTCCAGGGACACATTCAAACCATAGCCGACCTTGACTGATGGAACACTATCTAGCTCTCTTTAACCTTATCTTCAACTCCTCCCCTGGGCTCAGGCTGCATGCATCAGCAGTTATTTGGGATAAGGCACAACACTGATACTTCTAGTAAAAGGATAGATGAGAATTTCCCATTATGGAAGTGGTTTTCTTTAAATTTTTCATCTGCCTTTCATTGTTTAGTCATGGCTTCATTGGACATGATGAGGTGAATCCATTCTCATTCTCATCTCATCTGAGAGATGTGTGCCCTTAGGCTCACATAGGTGATGCTGTGTAGAAGATGCCAGGCAGTGGAAAGGAGGGGGCTTTTCAAAGCAGACCCAACAGAGTACAAAACACATAACTCACCAGGAAGTGACTCCTGCCATTAAGAATGGAATCAGGACCCTTCTATGGTGGCTTTTGGTTGCAAAGTCCATGACAAACAGAGTTGTGCCTAGCTAGGTTGGGCCATAGTCAGAGGGATAAAATTCAGTCTTGGTCAAGAAGTACTTAATGTTAGGCATTTTGTACACCGTAACAGCAAAGCATCCTTCTCTTTCTAAAAATGTATTTATAAAGAATTTGCTGAAAATGAACACTTTACAGTTGCAGAGACAGAAGCTAAGAACATTCTGCAAACAGGGTCACCACCTCCAGCCCAGATAGTTCAGACTGATGTTTTTCAACATCTTTCCTGTGTTTTGGGCATTTTCCCCTCCCCACAAAAGTTTAATACAGATATATTACATATCTGTTTATGTACTGCATGCATTTCTATACTTTACTGATAAAGATAGTTTGATTTTTTTTTTTTTGCCCTAAAAATCTATTTTGTTCCCTAAGGAGCAATGTTTGCCCCCACTGAAGATGCATACTTAACAAGAAATAGTAGTGGCCGGGCGTGGTGGCTCATGCTGTAATCCTAGCACTTTGGGAGGCTGAGGCTGGCAGATTGACTGACAACACAGTGAAACCCCGTCTCTACTAAAATACAAAAAAGTTAGCTGGGCGTGGTGGCATGCGCCTGTAGTCCCAGCTACTTGGGAGGCTGAGGCAGGAGAATCACTTGAACCTGGGAGGTGGAGGTTGCAGTGAGCTGAGATCGCACCACTGCACTCCAGCCTGGGCGACAGAGCGAGATTTCATCTCCAAAAACAAACAAACAAGAAATAGTAGCATTGAATGGGCAGAAAAGGAATTTAGACCAGATAGAAAGGAGATTTATCTTCATTATCACACTGGCTACAGAGTCTTATATGTTCCTGAGTAACACAATGCACAAAATGTCCATATATCTACACAAGTAGCTAATTATTGTTTGCATATATGTGTCGTGTATATGTTTATATTGTTCAGGGGTAATATACAAGCCCTATAGTTTAAACTATGTGTAGTTTAATTAATGAATGGAGTTTAAATTATTCTTAACATATTTTTCTGTCATTTTTTACATAACTCAGAAATAAAAGCATAGGATCCTCTAAATATTATGTTATATAAGTGACTTACTGAGTGGACAAATTCTGGTGCTCATTGTGAGCAAAACTGGTTAAGCAATATGTTTTAGGGAAAAAAGCCTCATTAAAATCTGTTTTCCCATCCTAATTATAAAAGCGACAATTTCTGTTGAAAATATGGATATAGTAGAAAAGCATAATGAGAACTAAAAAATTGTCTGTGATCCTAGCACTGAGAGAAACATCACGGTCAATGTCTTGGTGTCTGCATACACAAACATAATCTGGTTATGTTAAGAAGGCATATAAAGAACTAAAAGTCGACCAGCCTAAGCAACATAGCAAGACCCATCTCTACAAAAAACAAAAAGAATACCTGGGCATGGTGGCATGCACCTGTAGTCCCAGCTGCATGGGAGGCTAATGTAGAAGGATCATTTGATCCTAGGAGTTGGAGGATGCAGTGAGCAACGATCATGCCACTGCACTCTAGCCTGGGCAACAGAGGAAGACTATGTCTCTAAAAGGAAAAAAAAAAAAGGAACTAAAAGTTAAAAGAGGACAAAGGTCTCCAAGATAGACAGAAGTACCTCACTATGTAGTAAAGAATTTAATCTTGTTCAGCAAGAAATCTGCCCAGGGAGGTGATCCCAAAGCCCTTGGAATGTCAAGCCTGGTAGGATTGACTGCCTGATAGCCTTGGGTCACTGCATAGTTTAGTAATGTGATGTCAGGTAGGAGGCTGGTCATGCCAGAGTCTTATCAGTGGAATGTAGGGGGGCAGGGTCTTTGACCCATGCAGCATCAGCTTGACCTCCTGAGGGGCTGGAGATGGAGATCTGCCCCATGGGCAATCATCAATACCCGTGTGATAGAGCCCCAGTGAAATCTCTGGACTCAATTCTCAGGTGGCCTTTCCAGGTTGGACATACTCCATGCATACTGTCACATAGCAATGCAGGGAAAGCAACACTGCCCATGACTCCACAGGGACAGGACATCTGGAAGCTCAATATTTGCAACTTTTCCAGACTCTTTTCTGTATGCCTTTTACCTGGGCTGACTTAAATCTGTCTCCTTTAGCTGTAATGAACCATAACCATATGCATAACACCTTTCAGTGACTCCTGTGAGTCCTTTTAGCAAATTATTAAAACAGGGTAGTTTTGTGAACCTACTTGAAATTGGAGTGATTGTGAGAAGCAAGCCAGCCTGGAGGACTGCCCCTCTAACCTTGCAGTTGGCTGACACGGACTGACACGGAGCCATCTATATGAGAGTGACCACAAGAGGGGTAAAAGCCGAGAGGAGCCAGTATGTGGTGAGAAGGATGCAGTGCATGGTTCCAGCCAGGATGCTGGAGAGCTCTCCTGGGGGTTTCTAGCACAGCACTGTCAATCAGGACTGGAAAGTTCATCCCCTCTACAGTATGGCACATGCATGGACTGACCCTGTTTAACAAACTGGGAAACAAAGGAGCCCAGAATATTATCAAGTGCCAAAGAATGTAAGAAACAATGTGTTCAGTGTAAAAGGAACAGTTGTTGAGGGCTGTATTAGTCCATTCTCACCCTACTAATAAAGACATACCGAGACTGGGTAATTTATATAGGAAAAAGGTTTCATTGACTCACAGTTGCACAGGGCTGGGGATGCCTCAGGAAACTTACACTCATGGTAGAAGGGGAAGAAAACACATCCTTCACATGGCAGCAGCAAGGAGAAGCGCAGAGCAAAGGGAAGTGGGAAGTGGGAAAGGGAAGTGGGTATAAAACCATCGGATCTCGTGAGGACTCACTCACTATCATTGAGAAAAGCATGGAGATAACCACCCTCATGATTCAATTACCTCCCACCAGGTCCCTCCCATGACAAGTGGGGATTATGGGAACTACAATTCAAGATGAGATCTGGGTGGGGACACAGCAAAACCATATCAAGGGCATAGTGATCAACAAGAGCTTTCTGGAGGAGGTGGGCTTCAGCCAGGCTTGGAGGATAAGTGACATTTGGAGAAGCAACTTGGAGAATGGGGGCTATAGGGGTGAATGTTCAATGCACTGCTGCTTAGGGAATGTTCTTGCTGCAGGGCACAGACCCTGGCATTTCTGTAGGAGTGTGTCCGTGCAGTAGAACTCCAGGAATCAAATTTGAAAAGTTTATGGTTGATCTTGAACCTCTGGCTAAACAATCTGGGTTCTATCCTACCTATTTTATGACTTCCTCTCTTTCCCTATGGCCTCAGGAAATTGGTTTCTTCATTTGAAAAAAAAAGTGGTGTATTAATATTTAACTTACATTTCTTATGAAATGTAAGTAGGAAATGTATATAAAATATTTATTAGACTCCCTCATACCTTTTGAGATGCTCAAAATATGGGTTTTCTTTTATCCCAACCATGAACAGCCTCCAGGTTTAAGCAGGAGAGTTCTATGAAAAATGTGATGTTTAATTTTTTTTCTAGACGAAAGAAAAGAACAAAGATGGAATTGAATTAGAAATAAATTGAAAACAGAAAAAATAAACTCAATTGAAGTAAGATATAAATATAACACCAGATATTTTTAAATTAACATTTCTTTTAAATTTCATGGTCAAAACTAAACAAGGAGTAACTAACAGTGGGAAAACTTCACAGACACTGTCTTTACCAGGTGATCATGGCTAACATCATAATGATAAATCATGTGAACCCCTAATATGATATGATGAAAAGTGCTCCTCACTGCTAAGATCTTCTTCCCCAAAACCTATAACTCTAGTTTAATCATCAGAAAATATCAGACAAACCAAGATAGAGGGACTAAGACAAAATATGTCTTAGTCCATGTGTGCTGCTATAACAAAATACCTTAGACTGTGTAATTTATAAACAACCGACATTTGTTGTTCACAGTTCTGGAGGCTGGGAAGTCCAAGATCAAGACATGACAGAGTCTGTGTCTGGTGAAGGCTCACCTCCTGGTTCATAAATGGTGCCTTCTTGCTGTGTCCTCACATGGTGGAAGGGCAAAAGGGGGGAACAGCTCCTTACCACCTCTTTTATAAGATCATTAATCCCATTCATGAGGGCTCCACCCTCATGATCTAATCACCTCCCAAATATCTCACCTCCTAATACCACCACACTGGCAACTATGTTTCAACATGTGAATGTTGGGAGAACATATTCAGACCACAGCAATATCAAGGTCACACAAAACAAGGAATTCTGAGAAACTCTTACAGTATAGAGGAAACTAATGGTGACTAATTGTAACAGTGTCCTGGATTGAATCCTAGAATAGAAAAGATCATTATTGGAAAAACTGTGGAAATCCTAATACAGCCTGTAATGCAGTTAGTAGTTCTGTAACAATGATGGTTTCATAGTTTTGACGAATGTGCTTTGGTTGTGTAAGATGTTAACATTAGGGGAAGCTAAGATATATGGGGAATCTCTGTACTATCTTCATAACTTTTCTGTACATTTAAAATTATTTCAAAATAGAAATTTTACTCTAAAAAAATTACTACCAAAGGAGAAAAGAGTCAAGGAAAAGAAAATTGTTCCTAATCCACTGTGGACTGTACAAATATATGTAATGCCCATTGAACACTTACTTTCTGTGATATTCCATTTTCTCAATAATGGGTGTTTCCATATAGCAGGATTGGAGATGAGCTTATTGAGTCCCTAAATAAAATAGTGATCCAGGAATATTCTGGGATGACTTCAGTTGTAGCTCCTGTATTTAACAGTTATCAAGAGTGAAATTAACTACCCAGGTTTTAGTTTTAATATGTGTCTTCTCCCACAGGGCCCAAATTCCCATGAAGTTATTGGTGCTGCAAACTCTTTCTTCTCCTCTAAGAAACTAAGGGCAACAAGCATTTGTTGTCATTGTTAGCTATCCCTGGCATTGACATTTTATTATAAACATTTAGGATCTAATGAATAGATATTCTGAAAAAGTTCCAGCCAATTCAGAGTGTTCTGCAACCAAGGAAGGCATGCCGACTGCAGCACTATAACACATCAGCTGCAGTTGTAAGCCAGGCACTGTGCACAGTAGCGGTTTGCAGCAAGTTGTAGAAATGGGCCATTTCCACTCAAGAGCATCAACCACCATTGCATTTATGCCTGGCTGAGCTGGGGAGGTTGTCTTCATGCAGGCATCTTCTAAATGGTTTCAGGTGTCATTATCCCTCCACTGGTAGAGGCCATGGGGAATGTGACCATAGCATAAATAGAAGCTCCAGTTCCCATTCCTTTGGTAGATATTTTCATGAAGAGCAAAATATGGTGCTGGAGTCCTCTTGAGATGTCATGGAACTAGAGCCATAGGATCCCTAGAGTAAAGAGTTGAGTAGAATAAGGATTTATCAGTTATTGGAAGAATACAGAACAAAATATCCAGCATTTTGTTGGATGGCTCGATAGATAGATATGATGGATGGGTAGATATAATGGATGGATGGATGGATGGATGGATAGATAGATTAGATAGATAGATAGATAGATAGATAGATATGATGGATGGATGGATGGATGGATGGATGATGGGTAGATAGGTAGATAAATGTAGATAAATGAGATAGATTTTAAATACATGATACTTATATCTATATTTAGATAGAGATTCATTATAAGAAATGGGTTCATGCAGTTGTGGAGGCTGACCAGTTCTAAGATCTGCAGGGTGAGTTTGGAAGCTGGGGATCCAGGAGCACTGATGATGTTGTTTCATTCCAAAGTCCTGCAGGCTTGAGACCCAGGAAGAGCCAGTGTTTCAGTTTGAGGCTGAAGGCAGGAAAAAAAAAAAACACACAACCAAGGTCTCAGCTCAAAGCTAGTTAGGCAGAAGGAGTTCTCTCTTACTGAAGGAAAGGTCAGTCTTTTTGCTCTACTCGGGCCTTCACCTGATTGGACGAAGTCCACCCACAGTAGAGTGGGCCATCTGCTTTCCTAAGCCTACCTATTTACGGGACACTGCCATCCAAACCTATTTAAATGTTAATCTCATTTTTAAAAACATGACTTCTAACCAATAGAAATGACTAACTGATGGCCAGACGCAGTGGCTCACGCCTGTAATCCCAGCACTATGGGAGGCCGAGGTGGGTGGATCACGAGGTCAGGAGATCAAGACCATCCTGGCTAACATGGTGAAACCCTGTCTACACTAAAAATACAAAAAATTAGCCGGGAGTGGTGGTGGGTGCCTGTAGTCCCAGCTACTCTGGAGGCTGAGGCAGGAGAATGGCGTGAACCCGGGAGGTGGAGCTTGCAGTGAGCCGAGATCACACCACTGCATTCCAGCCTGGGCAACAGAGCAAGACTCTGTCTCAAAAAAAAAAAAAAAAAAAAAAGAAATGACTAACTGATGAGAAATAAGTTAAGTTATAAAACTATGACTCCATCTTTTTTTTTTTTTTTTTGAGACAGAGCTTTGCTCTGTCACCTAGGCTGGAGTGCAGTGGCATGATCAAGGCTCATTGCAGCCTCCACCTCCCTGGTTCAAGTGGTTCTCCTGCCTCAGCCTCCTGAGTAGCTGGAACTACAGGCATGCACCACCACTCCTGGCTAATTTTTGTATTTTTAGTAGAGACAGGGTTTCACCACGTTGGCCAGGCTGGTCTTAAATTCCTGACCTCAAGTGATCTGCCTGCCTCAACCTCCCAAAGTGCTGAGATTACAGGTGTGAGCTGCCACACCCAGCCTGACTCCATCATTTTTACCAGACTCTTTCTATTGGAAGCGAGCAGCCATACTGGAGACAGGGCAAGGTCCCATTTCCACATGGCCAGGAATTGAGGGTAGCTTCAAGCCAATAGCCTACAAGGAATCACATCCTCCCAAGAGCCATGTGAGTTAGCTTGGAAGCAGATTCTTCCCCAATGGAGCCTTCAGATGGATGATATGAGATCCCAGCCCTGGCTGGCACCATGATCACTGCTTCATGAATGATCCAGAAGAAGATACTTAGTGGGCTAAGCTGTGCCCGGATTCCTGACCCAGAGAAACCATAATACATGTGTGTTGTGTTAAAAAGATAAAATTTGGATGTAATTTGTTTTTCAGCAGTAGACAATTAATACAGGGAGTTTTGACATTAACATTTAACATAAGGGTAATGAAAAGCAATATTTATAAACAGAAAAAGAAAGAACATTTTATTTAATAGAGTTATCTGCAGAAAGATTAAGCAATTAGCAGTTGGGGGTGAGAGATGAGCCTTAACTGATGTACAAGAGGAACAATACATGGTTGCTGAATAGTCTCTTAAAGAAAAGCAGACCCTTTGGTTTTATGGAGCATGGAGTTTAGTGGTGTATATGGGTTTAAGGGCTGTGCTTCACTGGAAAGATACAGATCATCCAAGGAGGAAAAGGATAAGGAGGAGGGAGAATAGGAGCAAGAAGATAGTGAAAAGCACACAAGGTGATAAAGATCTGGAGGACTGAGTCAAACCCCTCCATCTCACTTGTGATACATTTAATAAAGTTTTCATAACAAATCTCAAAGTACTTAGTGGGAGTGGACTTCTCATGGAAAGCAAGGACAACAAATTCTGCATGCCATTTGTCTCAGGCCACTCGGATGAAGAGACCGCCTTCTTTCTGGGTTGTTGATATAGTGTATGTATATGTCAAGGACCACCCAACTCCAGATATATGATTTCAGTAATATGATTTATGTTTCTGTTCTGATATATCATGGTGCCATGGGTTGACCTAATGTGTCACCATCTCTGACTTCTGTGCAATGGCAAAGGATTGGCTTAGGAAACACCAACATCATGTGCCCCCATTGCGAACACAGCTCATCACCACTGTCCTTAAATTATATTCCAGTTCTGCCTCCTCGCTGAGCATGATACCAGCCTAGTTGTTTAAATTTCCATGGAAGTGGACAGTTCCCTTATGCTCCACAGACGCTAGATTGAAAAACCCTGGAACATCCATGTCTTTACTGTTTTATCCATTTCAGAGACATTCATTGTGTTGGAATGACCCAATCCACATTCTGGGATGGAAAATGATCCACAACACTGCCTTGAGCTGAACACACGATATGCAAACTATGGAAAATGATCATGTACAAGAAAATATTCTTGTTTTCTTTAGCATCATCTAAAACCTTAATATTCAGGCACAGTCTGGGACCAATAGCGTGGGCTTCACCTGGGAGCTTGTTGGAAATGTGGACCATTGGACCCCACCCCAGCTCTGCTGAATTAGAATCTACAATTTTAACAAAACTCCCCAGTGGATATGTGTGCACATTAATGTTTAAAAAGCTCTGTTCTCAAATAAGAAACATGAAATATCAGTTGCCCCCACTGATAAAATGGGAAGCGAGCAAAAGAGACCAGAGTTGGTATTTAGGAGTCTGACTGAGGGGCTGGAAGGGCAGTGTCTCAATCTCTCAGCCTCTGCATGCTCTGAGAGTCTCAAAGGAGTAACGTAGAAGACAAGGTGTCGGTTTCACCCAAGGGCACTTATTTAAAGAGTGATTGAGAAAGGCACTCCTTTCCTCCCCTTTTCTAAAGCCTGCAAATAGCTGTCAGAACCAAAGAATAATTTTAGGTGAGTTCTCTCCTGAGTCAATATAAAAATAGTGCTTTTGTGTACTAGGAGAATGGGCCTCACTCTATCTAAAACTTCTTCGTTTGTTTTATCTGCAGCCACAAGTCATGGAGGCAGGAAGGGCAGGGAATCATGTTAGATGTCTAATATTCCTCCTTTTTGTTTTTCCTTTTAAGAGGCTGGCTGTGAAAGATAGTATCATTTGAAAGCCCAAAGGACAATATTGTGGTTAGATGCTTGTTCTGTTTAAAGGACAAATGGAATTGCTCAAATTTTAGCATCTGTCTATAACTTTAACCACTGTCAAATTATGAATGATATGGTATATAATTTTCATGGGATTTATGTGCAATTCAAACAGCTTTATTTTTATTTATTTATTTATTTATTTATTTATTTATTTATTTATTTTTGAGACAGGGTCTCACTACGTCTGGTGTGATCACAGTGCACTGTAACCTTGAACTCCTGAGCTCAACTGATCCTCCCACTTCAGCCTTGCATGTAGCTGGGACCACAGGAATGTGCCACCATACCTGGCTAATTTTTAAATTTGTTGTAGAGATGGGTTCTCACTATGTTGCCCAGCTGGTCTTGAATTCCTAGCCTCAAGGAATCCTCCTGCCTTGGCCTCTCAAAGCGTTGGGATTACAGGCGTAAGCCACTACACCCAGCCTCATACAGCTTAATATTTTTTAAAGCACATTTGATGTGGTTACTACTTCAATTAATAACTTTTGGGTCCACCTTAGTGATAAAATGTAAGCAATCTATGAATCTGTTCATTCCCAACTGCCATTTGTAGTTGCACCCTCCTCAACTATGCCATTTTTGTGTATTTGTTGAGACCAAGACAATATATAATGCAACTTTCAGCCGGGTGCAGTGACTCATGCCTGTAATCCCAGCACTTTGGGGGGCCGAGGTGGATGGATCACCTGAGTTCCACTTGAGGTCAGGAGTTCAAGACTAGCCTGGCCAACATGGTGAAACCGCATCTCTACAAAAATACAAAAAAATCAGCAGGGCGTGGTGGTGCGTGCCTGTAGTCTTAACTACTCGGGATGCTGAGGCAGGCGAATCACTCGAACCCAGGAGGCGGAGGTTGCAGTGAGCCAAGATGGCACCACTGCACTCCAGCCTGGGCAATAGAGTGAGACCCTGTCTCAATTAAAAAAAAAAAAACAAACAAACAGAAAAACAAACAAAAAAAAACAGACAATATAGAATTCAACTTTTAAAACAGCTTTTCTTTTTCAAAGCATCAAATTAATCCATGTTTACTTTACACCTAGAAAATACCTATAAGCATAAAGAACACTGTGAAGACTAACAACAAACCCACCACTGGAATGATTCATGTTTCATATATGTTTGTGTGACCTTCCATACTTTATTCAGTGTAGCAAAACTTTTAATGTTTTTCCATAAGACAGGATCATTATGTAATCGCTGCTTTGTGATTTTTTTTTACATTTCAGATATGATTCACGTCTTTCTGTATAATACACATAATTCTTTGAGATCATTGGTTTTGGGTACACATTACTCCATTTGAGAGCTTTCCACATTTTGCCTCCCCTGTCCCAGTATTGGGCAATAAAGTTGTTGTCAGTTCTGCTAAAACAACCTTGTAGCTAAATCATTCCTTATATTGTCAACTGAAGAAAACAAGGTACATAAATTTGGAAAGAAGAGCTTTATTTCTTATAAAGGGTTGTAGCCTGTAGGGTGGCTGTTCTGACAGACTGGGAAATGTAGCCTGTGGCCAGAAGACAGAAACAGACACTTCGAGGGAGGGGCAAAGGGAACAGGAATTTATGCTGAGCAGGGTGGTTGAATATACGTATTCAATAAGCTATAAGAGGCATCACAGATATTCATGAAAGAAGAAACGTGTGTATTTGCAGTGGAGCTTCATGCCCCTTCATGTGTCCCATGTACAAGGAATGGTGATGTTAGCATGATCCCAGGATTGAGTTCTCAGCCTTCTGATGTCAGAAGGTGAAGCAGAAGACACTAACACCCTCATTGCACATTCTCCATAGACGAGCCAGAACCACTCCATGGTCAGGGTCTCTTATCAGGAAGAAATACTGGTTGGTTGCTGTGCTGAAATCACAAAGGGTAGGGGCAGCATCGGGCGGTTGGTTGATATCAGCAGTGGAGTCTTTGGAAAGGGCTGGTTTCTATTTAACCCTTAGGGAAGCAAGTCTAATGGTGGTTAGCGAGGGATGGGGTATAACGAGGTGTGTCTGACACCCCGTCTCGTCGTGGCCTTCAGTTTTCAAGGTTATTCTGGGGTCCCTTTGGCTAAGAGATGTTTCATTAAGTCAGTTGTGGGGCTTAGAATTTTATTTTTAGTTTACGATATTCATGTTTATCTCTTCAGGCTGAATTCCCAAAGTTTGAGTTTCCGAGTCCAAGTGTGTGCACAACTTTATGATTTGCTTTTTTTTCTGTGTTTCTTTTTTTTCAATTTATGCATTTTTCTGCAAGGTGTAGAAGTCCCCATACTGGTGCTTTCCTGAAAACTCTTGGGAACCCTCTTAAAAACATTCTTGCAATTTTCATAAATTGAAAAGGAGTAATTTCATCTTTTTAATAAACATTTCTTTGATTTCTTTGTGTATATTGACCATTTAGATTTTATTCATCAATGGTTGCCTTACCTTCCTTGGCCACTTTTTCATTAATATTTCCAAGTAGCTATAGTTTAAAGACAGACAAAATACAAACATATTAGATTTTAAAGCATATACAGAAAAACATCTAAATATTTGTTTTTAATGACAAAAAAGGGGAAAAAACACAGGTATGTTTGTGCACATTGGAAATCACTGCCTCCTGATTCCCAGGCTTCTTCTAAGTCTCTCCTTCAACTTTGTGGCTTGCTGATGTAACCAAGTTGGGTCTAGGAGCTTCTGGATCCTTCCACATACAACACACTGTTGACATCAAACCGAACTAGGGTCCACTCACCCGGTACCCCAAAGCCAAACACTGACATCAGGATTGCAGTAAGAGGAAGTGAAGTATTTATTGAGGGCAGCAAGCAAGGAGAATCAAGCAGCTCAGGCTTAAGACCTGACCTCCCTGATGGCTTGCAGGTGGAGGTTTTAAAAGGCAGGGAGGCAGAGGTTACAGGCAAAGCCATAAGTTAATACATGGAGGCCATACGTCGGTTTTACCTAAAAAAGGTGAGACATCTCGATTTCAGGGGAGTGGCCTACAGGTCATAGGTGGATTCAAAGTTTCTCTGATTTGTGATCGGATAAGGAGGGAAAGTTTTGTCTAAAAATTTGGGATCAGCAGAAAGGAATGCTGAGCTCTGGTCCATGGGCATGACTTCCTCTAGGCCCCTCAGGAAGAAATTTAGAACAAAGAGTTGCAGTCGGAGCTCAGTCCTCAGTTGCCCCTTGTCTGAGGTCTACATGCCAGTGGATCCATTTTTTCAGGGATCCAGGCTTCTGAAAAACAACTCAGGAACATATGCTAAGATATTATCTTTTGTTTCTATAGGGACCCAAACAACTCTTGGCTATGAGCTTCCTTGGCTATTGTTTTAGGCTACTATTCCCTTCTGGCTTATCAAGTTGCTCTGTTACTTCTCAGGGCCAGCTAGGTGCCTGGAATTTCCCTTGAAGGAACTCTAGATTTTGCCTTATTTCCATGCTTGGGAACAGGGGATGGGTGGGGGGTGGGCCCCTAAGAGGGGTCCCTGATGTATCTCACTCTCAATATATATAGCATGTTTTTCAAATAATGTGGAATCATTCCATGTATTAGTTCATTTTCACACTGCTGTAAAGATACTGCCCGAGACTGGGCAATTTATAAAGGAAAGAGGTGTAATTGACTCACAGTTCTGCATGGCTGGGGAGGCCTCAGAAAACTTACAATCATGGCAGAAGGCAAAGAGGAAGCAAGCAACTTCTTCACAAGGTGGCAGGAGAGAGAGAGAACCCCAGGGGAAAGTGCCATTTATAAAATCATCAGATCTCGTGAGAACTCACTCACTATCATGAGAACAGCATGGGGGAAACCACCCCCATGATCCAATCACCTCCCACCAGGTCCCTCCCACAACACATGGGGACTACAGTTCAAGAGGAGATTTGGGTGGGGACTCAGCCAAACCATGTAATTCCACGTATTCTTTTGTGCGTAGATCTTAGATAGTTGGCTCCACAAAAATGACCAAATGGAAGGAATGAAATTTGGACTTCTTTCTTTTTAATTTTTTTTTCTAACTCTGTTCATTTAAAATTGTGCAGCCATGGCCTTAGGTTACAAATCCTTGAACGGCAGAGAATGGATGTGTTTAACTGTTTTATTGAGAGGGAATAAAATATTCATGGCTGCCTCCAGTGGCAGTGTGTTCAATGCTTTGTGAAGTGTTGGAAATGCAGCACCATTTAGGAGGAAAGCAGAAAAGCAGCTTTTCTTTACTGGTGAAATGCCAACATCATACTCTTGAGTATTAGATATTGTGAGTACAGATAACACCTACCGGAATATTTCTGGTATTAATAAAAACATCATTTTCTAGAATGTCAGGGTTTTATTCCCAATATATCTGCCTAAATGTCTTGTATTTAGGGTAAATATTGCCTACTTTTTCAACATCTCACACTGGATCAAGTGTGGGAGCAAAATTTCCATTCAATTCCAAATTTCTGAACCATAATAACAAAAATTCAAATTAACGAAAAATCTGGGATAATAAATGGAATGGCTTTGCTTCTGAGCTAAAATACATCTTTGAGTCACAGCTCCCTGGCTGCAAAGAATTTCTACCGAGATGAAAGAAACCTTTAAAATATTTTAGATATTAAAGTAACTGCTGAAATGTTAATTGGCAAAGGAAGAAATGTTCTATTATTCTATTAAATATTTTAGAAGTACTAGTGATGAGGGCTCTCTGGGGATGTGTAGTTGGTAGCATAACTTGGAAATATACGTGAAAGTCTTGAATTGTACGTGCCATAGAAGGCCCCTCATGGTGTCCTGCTTATGTTAAGGCCTCCAGAATTCCTACATTGTACATCATAGTTCTGAGGCACTGGGTAAGGACTTTCACCATGCACAGAGATAAATGTGGCAGGTGATTACTAAAGGGGGTTGATGAGATGTTTCTTTGGGTGCATCGGTTTCATTTGGCTGCTGAAGCAAAGTACTGCAAACTAGGTGGCTTACAACAATGGAAATTTATTCTCTCACAGTTTAGAAGGCCATGTGTCCAAAAGTCACTCTTGTCAGCAGGACCACGGTCCCTCTAAAGGCTCTAAGAAGGAGTGTTACCTTGCCTCTTCCAGCTGTGGCCAAGGTGGCCCCATCCTTGGCTCCTTGGCTTGGGGCTACACCACGCCAATATCTGCCCCCATCTTCATGTGGCTGTCTTCCCTGTGTGTGTTTCTCTGTGTCTTCCCCACTTCTTATGAAGACACCACTTACTGGATTTAGGGCTGACTCTAACTCCAGGATGATTGCATCTTGAGATCCTTGACTCATGAGATCTGCAAAAAGCCTGCTTTCAAATAAGTTCACTTTCTGAGATTCCAAGTGGATATCACTTTTTAGGGGACACTATTCATCCTTAGGGTACCTAAAAGGTATTAGAATACACCACCCCAAAATACACCATTTGGCCCTAAGAATTATTTTGACCTGAAGGCAATTAAGAAGCAGCAAATGCAGAAAGAGCAACTTATCCTTCCCTATCTGGACAGCCAGTTCTCTGATAGGTCTCAGATTACGTAAAGGAAGTCTGTCATCTTAAGATTGTAGGAAACTAGGGCCTGTGGTGGTCCCTAGTTTCATTTCTTGTAAATGTAGCAAATTGTTACTTTTAAATATTAAAGTTTTCAAATATATAATTCAGTATTAGAATAATTCAGTATTACAACATTGGACAATATATTTGAAATTTGCTAAGAGAGTAGAACTTTGTTTTATTTTTAATATTAATTTTTAACATTTTTATAGATATAGTGGGTAAAAGTGCAGATTTCTTACATGCGTATATTGTGTAGTGGTGAATTCTGGGCTTTTAGTGTATCTATTGCCAGAATAGTAAACATGGTACCCAATAGGTAATTTTTTAACCCTCCCCTCGCCTCCCTCCTCCTGCCTTTTGGAGTCTCCAGTGTCTATTATTCCACATTCTGTGCCCATGTGTAGCCCTTGTTTAGTTCCCACTTATATAAGGGAGAACATGCAGTATTTGACTTTCTGTTTCTGAGTTGTTTCACGTAAGATAATGACCTGCATTTCCATCCATGTTGCTGAAAAAAGATTATTTCTTTCTAGAGAGTAGATCTTAATTTTTCTCATACACACAGAAAAGCAGTAAGTACATGAATTGATGGATATATTAATTAGCTTGATCGTGGTAATTATTTCACAATGTATACATATATCAAACATCACATGTATACCTTAAATAAATACAGCATTTTTACTTTGTTATTTATGCCTCAATAAAGCTGGAAAAAAAAATCCCAAGTTTTGTTCTTATTTTCCACAAGATGACTCAACCTTAGAAAATAGAAACCAGGCCAGGCATGGTGGCTCACACCTATAATCCCAGCACTTTGGGAGGCCAAGGTGGGAGGATTGCTTGACCTGAAGAGTTCAAGACCAGCCTGGGAAACAAAATGAGACCTTGTCTCTACAAAAAGTTAAAAAATTAGCCGGGCATGGTAGTGTGCACCTGTGGTCCCAACTGAGGCAGGAGGATAGCTTGAGCCCAAGAGGTAGAGGCTGCAGTGAGCTATAATTGTGTCACTGCACTCCAGCCTGGGTGACAGAGCAAGACCTTGTCAAAAAAAAAAAAAAAAAAAGACAGAAAAGAAAAAGAAAAAAGAAACTGGAAATAAATTATCATCCTTGAACTTGACTAGTCTTTATTTTTTTAGAGGTTGAGTCAGCATGGGGTGAGGAGATTGGAATTTCCTTCCCTTAAGAGGTCAACTCTTACAATAAAAATCTCCACTGACCATGTCACATTAGGTACATAGTAGATACACAATCAACATTTATCCATTGATTAAGTGGATTGCAGAAGGAATACTGTACTACACTCTATTGTAGCATTATAACATCTATGCTATGTCACCACCCAATGTTTGTAAGTTTGGGAAGAAAATGGGAAAGAGGGAGGGCCATTGCAACAAGATATTGTTTGCTTCACTTGGGCTTGGCCTTGTCATAAAATTGCTTTAAAATAATATATAAGGTTTTTGTCAGTTTTTGCCAACTCTGAAATTGATCTTATCACTCAGTGAAAATTGAAATACATATCTAAATATCTGTTTTTTGCAGATTTTCATGTTTCTAAAAGACACACTTTGTACTTGGGGCTCCACTGCACTTAGGAGTCAACAGTGGTGTGCAGGGACATGGGAGTGGAAGTTTGTAAACAAGAGCACCCAGATAGTTTGTAAACAATGGTCCTTAGGAGGGCAGGGACTTGTTACTCTCGTGTCTCTGTTTCCTAATCCTGCAAGGAAGATGGCTCCCAGCAGGTACTCCATCATAGTTCTTAATCAGTGGGTGAGGAGTAAAAGAGTGATGAATTACAGGGCCAAAGTCTGGAGTTCTAGTCAGGCCTCCAACTTCGCTATCTTCAAGAACAGCTGCAACATGAAAATCACTCTGAATTTTGGTAAGCTGGAGTGAGTGCTTCTAATTGCTGGCTGTAATTTTGCCTAGTGATGAAGCAGAACAACTTCATTCACTCTGGCCTGATGTTGCTGATTCCCATCAACACCTGTAATTGCCTCAAACTAGGGGTCAGGCAGTGTTTTCTCTAAGTGTCCAGAAATTAAATAATTTTCTCTTTGTGAGCCATATGGTCCTTGTCGCCACTTCTCAATTCCGTCATTGTAGTGTGAAAAAAGCCATGTGCAATATGTAAGCAATGTCTGTGGCTGTGTTCCAATAAAACTTTATTTGCAAAGACAGGCAGAGGGCCAGGCTTGGCCAATGGGCCATAGTTGGCTATCCCCTAGTATAAGCTATGAATGAAGCTGACCCCTAAAAAGAGTTTTGAAGATTCTTATTTTACAGAGGAGAGGCTAAAGGTTATAGTCTCAGTATTCCAGGACAGTACCCTTATATCTGTCTCAGAATGTCTTTCACTTCTTGATTTCAGTTAACACAACTGTATAGAAGGAATGATGCCAACAGAAATAATGATACCAAACACAAATGATCATATGCAAGCCTTTTCATTTTGAAAAGATATTTATGGGATTCCTTCTTTAACAGCTATCCAGAATATCCAGAATTCTTTTTTCTTTTCTCTTCTTTTTCTTTTCTTTTCTTTTTTTTTTTTGAGACAGAGTCTTGCTCTGTCACCCAGGCTGGAGTGCAGGCCTTGACCCTCCTGGGCTTGAGCGATCATATGAGCTATGATCCTCCCTCATAGCTGGAACTACAGGTGCAGACCACCATGCCCACCTAATTTTTTGTATTTTTTGTAGAGACAGGGTTTCACCATGTTGCCCCAGGCTGGTCTCAAACTCCTGGGCTCAAGTGATCCTCCAGCTTTGGCCTACCAAAGTGCTGGAATTACAAGCATGAGCCACTGCACCTGGCCTCAGAATTCTTGAGTTTTTTTCATGGAATAAGATTTCCGAGTTGTAATAATAAATATGTCTTTTTTATAAGCACTGGGAAATGTCTATTAAAATAATAGATTATTTCATCTAATGCCATGGTTTTTGTGATGACTTTAAGGAATCACAAAATAATGTATCTATTATAGATTAAATAGATTAATAATATTAATAATATATATTAATAATATTAATATAGCATTAAATATTATATTTACAATATTAATATAGATATTAAATAATTATTAAATAGATGAATAATAAATCTAATAAATAATAAATCTAAAATAATATATTACTTTATCTAATGCTATGGTTTTATGGTTTTTCTGACTCCTTTAAGGATTCTCACAGATAGTAACATATTTTCCTTCCACACTTTTTCAAGACTGTTGATAAAGATAAAAATCTATCTTGTCTAGCTGGAAAAGCAATTGGATTTCCTCCACTTCCTTAAAGGTAAAAGTTTTCACCAGATCTCTTAAAATGAGGAATGAAACCTAGAGATAAAAAGCCGTGGTTTGCATAAATCAAAAGAACCAAAGAGTTGAGAATGAGTTTGTAAAAAGATAATTTTTGGCATACATTATAATTAGTCCACCAGAATACTTATCCATTATCTGCTTTTTTAAGTTATTACCAATTATCTGGGACATAATGGATAATTGTGCTTAGGAATTTGAAAGTAAAATGTGACATTTGCATAAAGGTGTCATGTTCGCCTTCATACCTCTTAGCTTCTGCCAGGCTAGTATTGCAAAAAAAAAAAAAAAAAAGAAAGAAAGAAAAGAAAAAGAAAAAAATGTGCTTTAGGCAGGTGGTTCTTAAATTGGCATAATTCATGCGACTCCTGACCAAAAATAGGCAGTTTGTTCTCTTTCGTGAGATTTAGTCCTCACTTTAATCCTCCCAGCTACTGGATTTTTTTTTTTTTAATTTAAGTTCTAGGGTACATGTGCACATTGTGCAGGTTAGTTACATATGTATACATGTGCCATGCTGGTGTGCTGCACCCACTAACTCGTCATCTAGCATTAGGTATATCTCCCGATGCTATCCCTCCCCCCTCCCCCGACCCCACAACAGTCCCCAGAGTGTGATATTCCCCTTCCTGTGTCCATGTGATCTCATTGTTCAATTCCCACCTATGAGTGAGAATATGCGGTGTTTGGTTTTTTGTTCTTGCGATAGTTTACTGAGAATGATGATTTCCAATTTCATCCATGTCCCTACAAAGGACATGAACTCATCATTTTTTATGGCTGCATAGTATTCCATGGTGTATATGTGCCACATTTTCTTAATCCAGTCTATCATTGTTGGACATTTGGGTTGGTTCCAAGTCTTTGCTATTGTGAATAATGCCGCAATAAACATACGTGTGCATGTGTCTTTATAGCAGCATGATTTATAGTCCTTTGGGTATATACCCAGTAATGGGATGGCTGGGTCAAATGGTATTTCCAGTTCTGGATCCCTGAGGAATCGCCACACTGACTTCCACAATGGTTGAACTAGTTTACAGTCCCACCAACAGTGTAAAAGTGTTCCTATTTCTCCACATCCTCTCCAGCACCTGTTGTTTCCTGACTTTTTAATGATTGCCATTCTAACTGGTGTGAGATGGTATCTCATTGTGGTTTTGATTTGCATTTCTTTGATGGCCAGTGATGATGAGCATTTTTTCATGTGTTTTTTGGCTGCATAAATGTCTTCTTTTGAGAAGTGTCTGTTCATGTCCTTTGCCCACTTTTTGATGGGGTTGTTTGTTTTTTTCTTGTAAATTTGTTTGAGTTCATTGTAGATTCTGGATATTAGCCCTTTGTCAGATGAGTAGGTTGCAAAAATTTTCTCCCATTTTGTAGGTTGCCTGTTCACTCTGATGGTAGTTTCTTTTGCTGTGCAGAAGCTCTTTAGTTTAATTAGATCCCATTTGTCAATTTTGTCTTTTGTTGCCATTGCTTTTGGTGTTTTAGACATGAAGTCCTTGCCCATGCCTATGTCCTGGATGGTAATGCCTAGGTTTTCTTCTAGGGTTTTTATGGTTTTAGGTCTAATGTTTAAGTCTTTAATCCATCTTGAATTGATTTTTGTATAAGGTGTAAGGAAGGGATCCAGTTTCAGCTTTCTACATATGGCTAGCCAGTTTTCCCAGCACCATTTACTAAATAGGGAATCCTTTCCCCATTGCTTGTTTTTCTCAGTTTTGTCAAAGATCAGATAGTTGTAGATATGCGGCGTTATTTCTGAGGGCTCTGTTCTGTTCCATTGATCTATATCTCTGTTTTGGTACCAGTACCATGCTGTTTTGGTTACTGTAGCCTTGTAGTATAGTTTGAAGTCAGGTAGTGTGATGCCTCCAGCTTTGTTCTTTTGGCTTAGGATTGACTTGGCGATGCGGGCTCTTTTTTGGTTCCATATGAACTTTAAAGTAGTTTTTTCCAATTCTGTGAAGAAAGTCATTGGTAGCTTGATGGGGATGGCATTGAATCTGTAGATTACCTTGGGCAGTATGGCCATTTTCACGATATTGATTCTTCCTACTCATGAGCATGGAATGTTCTTCCATTTGTTTGTATCCTCTTTTATTTCCTTGAGCAGTGGTTTGTAGTTCTCCTTGAAGAGGTCCTTCACATCCCTTGTAAGTTGGATTCCTAGGTATTTTATTCTCTTTGAAGCAATTGTGAATGGGAGTTCACTCATGATTTGGCTCTCTGTCTGTTGTTGGAGTATAAGAATGCTTGTGATTTTTGTACATTGATTTTGTATCCTGAGACTTTGCTGAAGTTGCTTATCAGCTTAAGGAGATTTTGGGCTGAGACAATGGGGTTTTCTAGATATACAATCATGTCGTCTGCAAACAGGGACAATTTGACTTCCTCTTTTCCTAATTGAATACCCTTTATTTCCTTCTCCTGCCTAATTGCCCTGGCCAGAACTTCCAACACTATGTTGAATAGGAGTGGTGAGAGAGGGCATCCCTGTCTTGTGCCAGTTTTCAAAGGGAATGCTTCCAGTTTTTGCCCATTCAGTATGATATTGGCTGTGGGTTTGTCATAGATAGCTCTTATTATTTTGAAATACATCCCATCAATACCTAATTTATTGAGAGTTTTTAGCATGAAGGGTTGTTGAATTTTGTCAAAGGCTTTTTCTGCATCTATTGAGATAATCGTGTGGTTTTTGTCTTTGGCTCTGTTTATATGCTGGATTACATTTATTGATTTGCGTATATTGAACCAGCCTTGCATCCCAGGGATGAAGCCCACTTGATCATGGTGAATAAGCTTTTTGATGTGCTGCTGGATTCGTTTTGCCAGTATTTTATTGAGGATTTTTGCATCAATGTTCATCAAGGATATTGGTCTAAAATTCTCTTTTTTTGTTGTGTCTCTGCCTGGCTTTGGTATCAGAATGATGCTGGCCTCATAAAAAGAGTTAGGGAGGATTCCCTCTTTTTCTATTGATTGGAATAGTTTCAGAAGGAATGGTATCAGTTCCTCCTTGTACCTCTGGTAGAATTCGGCTGTGAATCCACCTGGTCCTGGACTCTTTTTGGTTGGTAATCTATTGATTATTGCCACAATTTCAGATCCTGTTATTGGTCTATTCAGAGATTCAACTTCTTCCTGGTTTAGTCTTGGGAGAGTGTATGTGTCGAGGAATTTATCCATTTCTTCTAGATTTTCTAGTTTATTTGCGTAGAGGTGTTTGTAGTATTCTCTGATGGTAGTTTGTATTTCTGTGGGATCGGTGGTGATATCCCCTTTATCATTTTTTATTGCATCTATTTGATTCTTCTCTCTTTTTTTCTTTATTAGTCTTGCTAGCGGTCTATCAATTTTGTTGATCCTTTCAAAAAACCAGCTCCTGGATTCATTAATTTTTTGAAGGGTTTTTTGTGTCTCTATTTCCTTCAGTTCTGCTCTGATTTTAGTTATTTCTTGCCTTCTGCTAGCTTTTGAATGTGTTTGCTCTTGCTTTTCTAGTTCTTTTAATTGTGATGTTAGGGTGTCAATTTTGGATCTTTCCTGCTTTCTCTTGTGGGCATTTAGTGCTATAAATTTCCCTCTACACACTGCTTTGAATGCGTCCCAGAGATTCTGGTATGTTGTGTCTTTGTTCTCGTTGGTTTCAAAGAACATCTTTATTTCTGCCTTCATTTCGTTATGTACCCAGTAGTCATTCAGGAGCAGGTTGTTCAGTTTCCATGTAGTTGAGCGGCTTTGAGTGAGATTCTTAATCCTGAGTTCTAGTTTGATTGCACTGTGGTCTGAGAGATAGTTTGTTATAATTTCTGTTCTTTTACATTTGCTGAGGAGAGCTTTACTTCCAGCTATGTGGTCAATTTTGGAATAGGTGTGGTGTGGTGCTTAAAAAAATGTATATTCTGTTGATTTGGGGTGGAGAGTTCTGTAGATGTCTATTAGGTCCGCTTGGTGCAGAGCTGAGTTCAATTCCTGGGTATCCTTGTTGACTTTCTGTCTCGTTGATTTGTCTAATGTTGACAGTGGGGTGTTAAAGTCTCCCATTATTAATGTGTGGGAGTCTAAGTCTCTTTGTAGGTCACTCAGGACTTGCTTTATGAATCTTGGTGCTCCTGTATTGGGTGCATATATATTTAGGATAGTTAGCTCTTCTTGTTGAATTGATCCCTTTACCATTATGTAATGGCCTTCTTTGTCTCTTTTGATCTTTGTTGGTTTAAAGTCTGTTTCATCAGAGACTAGGATTGCAACCCCTGCCTTTTTTTGTTTTCCATTTGCTTGGTAGATCTTCCTCCATCCTTTTATTTTGAGCCTATGTGTGTCTCTGCACGTGAGATGGGTTTCCTGAATACAGCACACTGATGGGTCTTGACTCTTTATCCAATTTGCCAGTCTGTGTCTTTTAATTGGAGCATTTAGTCCATTTACATTTAAAGTTAATAGTGTTATGTGTGAATTTGATCCTGTCATTATGATGTTAGCTGGTTATTTTGCTCGTTAGTCGATGCAATTTCTTCCTAGTCTCGATGGTCTTTACATTTTGGCATGATTTTGCAGCGGCTGGTACCGGTTGTTCCTTTCCATGTTTAGCACTTCCTTCAGGAGCTCTTTTAGGGCAGGCCTGGTGGTGACAAAATCTCTCAGCATTTGCTTTTCTGTAAAGTATTTTATTTCTCCTTCGCTTATGAAGCTTAGTTTGGCTGGATATGAAATTCTGGGTTGAAAATTCTTTTCTTTAAGAATGTTGAATATTGGCCCCCACTCTCTTCTGGCTTGTAGGGTTTCTGCTGAGAGATCCGCTGTTAGTCTGATGGGCTTCCCTTTGTGGGTAACCCAACCTTTCTCTCTGGCTGCCCTTAACATTTTTTCCTTCATTTCAACTTTGGTGAATCTGACAATTATGTGTCTTGGATTTGCTCTTCTTGAGGAGTATCTTTGTGGCGTTCTCTGTATTTCCTGAATCTGAACGTTGGCCTGCCTTGCTAGATTGGGGAAGTTCTCCTGGATAATACCCTGCAGAGTGTTTTCCAACTTGGTTCCATTCTCCCCGTCACTTTCAGGTACACCAATCAGACGTAGATTTGGTCTTTTCACATAGTCCCATATTTCTTGGAGGCTTTGCTCATTTCTTTTTATTGTTTTTTCTCTAAACTTCCCTTCTCGCTTCATTTCATTCATTTCATCTTCCATCACTGATACCCTTTCTTGCAGTTGATCGCATCGGCTCCTGGGGCTTCTGCATTCTTCACCTAGTTCTCGAGCCTTGGTTTTCAGCTCCATCAGCTCCTTTAAGCACTTCTCTGTATTGGTTATTCTAGTTATGCATTCTTCTAAATTTTTTTCAAAATTTTCAACTTCTTTGCCTTTGGTTTGAATGTCCTCCCGTAGCTCAGAGTAATTTGATTGTCTGAAGCCTTCTTCTCTCAGCTCGTCAAAGTCATTCTCCATCCAGCTTTGTTCCATTGCTGGTGAGGAACTGCGTTCCTTTGGAGGAGAGGCGCTCTGCTTTTTAGAGTTTCCAGTTTTTGTGTTCTGTTTTTTCCCCATCTTTGTGGTTTTATCTACTTTTGGTCTTTGATGATGGTGATGTACAGATGGGTTTTTGGTGTGGATGTCCTTTCTGTTTGTTAGTTTTCCTTCTAACAGACAGGACCCTCAGCTGCAGGTCTGTTGGAGTTTGCTAGAGGTCCACTCCAGACCTGTTTGCCTGGGTATCCGCAGCGGTGTTTGCAGAACAGCGGTTTTTCGTGAGCCGCGAATGCTGCTGTCTGATCATTCCTCTGGAAGTTTTGTCTCAGAGGAGTACCCGGCCATGTGAAGTGTCAGTCTGCCCCTACTGGGGGGTGCCTCCCAGTTAGGCTGCTCAGGGGTCAGGGGTCAGGGGTCAGGGGTCAGGGACCCACTTGAGGAGGCAGTCTGCGTGTTCTCAGATCTCCAGCTGCGTGCTGGGAGAACCACTGCTCTCTTCAAAGCTGCCAGACAGGGACATTTAAGTCTGCAGAGGTTACTGCTGTCTTTTTGTTTGTCTGTGCCCTGCCCCCAGAGGTGGAGCCTACAGAGGCAGGCAGGCCTCCTTGAGCTGTGGTGGGCTCCACCCAGTTCGAGCTTCCCGGCTGCTTTGTTTACCTAAGCAAGCCTGGGCAATGGCGGGCGCCCCTCCCCCAGCCTCGTTGCCGCCTTGCAGTTTGATCTCAGACTGCTGTGCCAGCAATCAGCGAGACTCCGTGGGCGTAGGACCCTCCGAGCCAGGTGTGGGATATAATCTCGTGGTGCGCCGTTTTTTAAGCCCGTCTGAAAAGCGCAGTATTCGGGTGGGAGTGACCCGATTTTCCAGGTGCGTCCGTCACCCCTTTCTTTGACCTGGAAAGGGAACTCCCTGACCCCTTGCGCTTCCCAAGTGAGGCAATGCCTCGCCCTGCTTCGGCTCGCGCACGGTGCGCGCACCCACTGACCTGCGCCCACTGTCTGGCGCTCCCTAGTGAGATGAACCCGGTACCTCAGATGGAAATGCAGAAATCACCGTCTTCTGCGTCGCTCACGCTGGGAGCTGTAGACCGGAGCTGTTCCTGTTCGGCCATCATGGCTCCTCCACCACCTCTATGGCTACTGGATTCTTTAAGGATGAAGACATGGGGGTTACCAAGCACAATGGATGAGCTATGCACTTTCAAAAAGGGGCCAGAAAAGGGAAAATCTGTGTGCTTCCACCTGTACGATTAGGAACTGCTGAAACACGCGCCTCACACGTTTAATCATGGGAGGAGAAGCCCTCCCGGCAAGAACAATCCATCATCCGACAGACGCTTGATTGTAACAGATGACGGAGCACAGGTAAGCCCACCTCTGTCTGCTCCATATCAAGTCATCTGCCTGCCAGGAACGCTCGGCTTTTTAACTGTGTTAAAAAGCAGTTGCCAAGCCCAATACCAAAGACAGGCAGGGTTTTGTAAGTTTGCCTTACGAACTTAACTTATGTATGGTGCACACATAAACACACACACATATTTGTGCGTTTATTTATAAGTATTTAATTAAAGAAGCTACTTGCATAAGATATTTCCTGAGATAAGGGATGAATTAATTTTTACTGATTTAAAAGCATTTGGGTGTGAAGCAGCAAAAGAGTTAAACATCTTTAAGTTAGCATTTCAAAACCTCATTAGAGAGGTTTTTTAAATAGTGAAGTCTTTTGTTGTTGTTGTTTGTTTGTTTTTTTAACCTACTCTCTGCAGCTAAGACTATAGATAGAGTAGGGAAGAACCGAAAAGGGACATGACTGATCTTTTTTATCTTGGGATTGCGTCCTCCCGGTACTGCAGTCTGGATGTCGTCTGGGTCCTGTCCACAGGTGCAAGGGTTCATGGAATCCTTCCCTTTCAGCTGAGCTTCTTTGAGTTTCAAGATTCCCACACAGGAGCGCTGCTCCTTAAATTTTCTGATTTATACTGACTGGCTGGCTCTGCAGCAATTAGGAACGGACACAGAAATAGCAAATGCAATTATTTTATTGGCTACATACACTTCCCTCCTATGGAGTAGAACAAATCTACCTAATTATTTCCTTCGTGTTAGACGCTTTTGCTTTTAAATATAATGCAAAGCTGGTCACGGTGGCTTGTTCCTATAATCCCAGTGCTTTAGAAGGGCAAGGCAGAAGGACTGCTTGAGGCCAGGAGTTTGAGACCAGCCTGGGCAACATAGCGAGACCTCGTCTCTATAAAAAAGTTAAAAAATATTTAATGAAATTGATGACATTCCAAGTCTGGCTCTTTTTTGAGCATTCTCTGTTGCTGTGACCAAGACCACCATCCATTCAGTTATATAAACCAGGAACACAAGAATCTTCCAAATCAATAAACAATGACACCCAGGTCCTGGCGCTAATAATAATTCCAATCAATGCAGAGATGGAACGTGTGTGAGAGGCACAAGACATTTGAGGAATGGAACCAGAACCTTTCTCTTTCTTGGGACTACTATTGAGTTTGGAACATGACTTCTATCCTTCAGGTCACAGGATAACTGCAGCGGCCAAGCATCACACACCCGAATAAAAATATAGGGTACACAGTTAAATTTGAATGTCAGGTAAACAACAACAAACTTTTTTTTTTTTTTTGTATAAGGATGCAACACTTTTTTTGACATTCAAATTTAACTGGGTGCCCTCTATTTTGTTAAGAAACTTGAGGCAGGAGTGACCAGAAGTTCCAGGAGAAACAAACAAGAAAGCAAGGTCAGGAGATTTAGAGCTCAGACCTTGATCTAAAGGAATTGTCACTGGAGAGGGCTCCCAATTCAGACCCCAAGAGAAGGTTCTTAAATCTCACACGAGAAAGAACTGGGGGTGAGTCTGCAGAGTAGAGTGAAAGCAAGTTTATTAAGAAAGAAAGGAACAAAAGAATGGCTACTCCATAGGCAGAGCAGCCCCATGGGCTGCTGGTTGGCTATTTTTATGGTTATTTCTTGATCATTGCTGAATGAGGGGTGGATTATTCATGAGTTTTCTGGGAAGGGGGTGGGGTTTTCCCAGAACTGAGAGTTCCTCCCGCTTTTAGACCATATGGGGTAACTGCAGGACGTTGCCAAGGCATTTGTAAATTGTCATGGTGCTGGTGGGAGTGTCTTTTAGCAACTAATGCATTTGAATTAGCATATAATGAGCAGCGAGGACAGCCAGAGGTCACTTTTGTCACTATCTTGGTTTTGGTGGATTTGACCAGCTTCTTTACTGCATCCTGTCTTATCAGTAGGGTCTTTATGATCTGTCTCTGGTGACACCAGTCCTGCTGACCTCCTGTCTCATCCTTTGGCTAAGAATGCCTAACCTCCTGGGAGTGCAGCCCAGCAGGTCTCAACCTCATTTTACCCAGCCCTTGTTCAAGGTGGAGTCACTCTGGTTCAAACACCACTGACAAAGCAACACCCCCCCACCTTGTCTTTGTCTTCTCTCAGGTAGCCTAGGATCACCTTCATCCTGGAAGACCCTGGAAAGTCCTATCCTATTTTTCAACCACCTGCACCTGTGCTGCTTCCACCACCTCCTCTATACTCTTGGGGTACCACAAAATTCTCTTCTTAACCATGGCCTGGTGCAGAAGGAGATGTTTAGTAATGCAGTGAATTCTCAGTAACACAGCCCTATCATATGAAAGGATAAGCCCCATCACATCAAAGGAAAGAGGATTGAGACAGGACTGGGGGCAGGAAAAGCCCTAAGAGTCATAGAGTTTCTAGACAAAACACAGGGCACCCAGTTAAATTTGAATATCACGTAAATATGGGGCATGTGTATAATAAAATATTATTTGTTGTGTAAGCCAAAAATAAAATTCTAAGCCCCCTCAGCCATCTGAATGGACCCCTTCTCTTGACCAAGGGCATTCCGAAGTTAACCTGAAAAACTAGTTCCGGCCCTGACAGAAAAGGGGAGCTGGATGTGCATCAAGATTCCCTCCTCCCTTTTGGAATTACCAATAGAATTGGCTCCTTATGTCTGATAAGAAACATTTACAATCTATTCTCTCTGAATGAGAAAACCTTGGTCTCCACAACCCCTTGTCATAACCCAGGCATTCCTTACTATTGATTCCAGGTCTTTAGACAATAACTCTTTCAACCAGTTGCTAACCAGAAAATCTTTAAAACCACCTGTGACCTGGAAGCCCTTGCTTCCGGTTGTCCCATCTTTTTGGACCGAGCCAATGTTCATCTTGTATTGACTGATGCCTTATGTTTCCCTAAATGTATAAAACCTAATTGTAGCCAGGCCACCTTGGGCCTTGTTCTCAGGATCTACTGAGGGCTGTGTCACAGCCATTGGTCACTCACATTTAGCTCAGAATAAATCTTTTCAAATATTTTACAGAGTTTGACTCTTTTCATTGACAGTTGTTTATCTGACATTCAAATTTAACTGCGTATCTCATATTTTTATTTGCTGAATCTGGAAATCTAGTAGAAAGTAGCTCCTGTGTAATGTGGTATTGCCTTCTCGTTTCTGGCGTGTGCTGTACATGATTGATACCAATGAACAGGAATAACTATGTACATCTGATCATGTTTTTCTAGGACCATGCTTTGCAAACTGAGGTCCCTAACATACGTCAGAGTGTTCCAGAGCACACAAAGTGATAGGATAACTATGGCTCTGGGTTTTGTTTGTTTGTTTCTTGAGACAGGGTCTTGCTCTTTCACCCAGGCTGGAGTGCAGTGGTGGCACGATCTGGGCTTACTGCAACCTCCGCCTCCCCGGCTCAAGAGATCCTCCTACCTCAGCCTCACTAGTAGCTGGGACCAGAGGCATGCAACACCACACCCGGCTAATTTTTT
This sequence comes from Homo sapiens, assembly GCF_000001405.40. Lineage (NCBI taxonomy): Eukaryota > Metazoa > Chordata > Mammalia > Primates > Hominidae > Homo > Homo sapiens. Next base: position 6,928,742 of record NC_000023.11, on the reverse strand, counting down.
TTGTTTTATTGGTAGAGACCGGGTCTCACCATGTTACCCAGGCTGGTCTCGAACTCCTGAGCTCAAGCAATTCACCCTCCTCGGCCTCTGTTTTTTGAAGTGTCAATATTAGGAAGTGCTAAGTCATTTATAGTACATCATTTTGAAGGTGTCCACTTGATTGTAATTTATAATTTTAATTTTATATTATACCCAATATTGGGATGTGATTATAAAGTGGAATGACAAATATTTGAATTTTCAAAAATGAAACATAAGATCTCAAGGAGATTTCACAAGCTATTCCTACTGTTAGAGCTCAGAAACCAAAAGCCCAAAATCTGGCGTTTGGACACGCTGAGCTGAAGAAGCCTCAAGGTCTCTCTGATGTCCTCCCCAAACCCCTGTCTCTCCCATTGAAACTGAAGTTCCTTTATCTGCCTAAAATCCAGACCCACCAAGGAGAACAGTGGTTTTTTTCTTTCCCTCCAAATTATCTCATTGTCTATAACAGAAAAGAAGACCAAGATGTGGCCAGGTGCGGTGATTCACACCTGTAATCCCAGCACTTTGGGAGGCCGGGGTGGTGGATCACTTGAGGCCAGGAGTTCAAGATCACCCTGATCAACATGGTAAAACCCCATCTCTACTAAAAACACAAAATAAGCTCGCCTAGTGGTGTGCACCTGTAATCCCAGCCACTTGGGAGGCTGAGGCAGGAGAATCACTTGAAGTGAGCCGAAATCATGCCACTGCACTCCAGCCTGGATGACAGTCTGTCTCAAAAAAAAAAAAAAAAGAGAAGACCACACCTGCCTTTTCCAAGAATGATGAGTGTCTCTAAGGATCATTTAACTTCCAAAGAGAACTCTTTACAAGTTAATCTCTGTTCCTGATCCATTCCTTCCCTCTAGTAATCCCCTCCATAGAATTCTCTTCTCCCCCAGCCCACCACCTGTTTCACCAGGATCCAAGTCGCCATTCTTTCTGTAACCTCAGATGGTATATAAGCTTCTAGACCTGATTGGGGAGTTGGGCCTTCATTCTGAAGGCTCCTGTGTATATGCGTTAAATTAATCTGTATGCCTTTTCTCCTCTTAATCAGTCTGCCTCATGTCGGTGATTTTTCAGTGAACCTTTAGGGGCTAAGGCTCCCTACACATCCCAAGAAGCTCTCTGTGCTATGGGCACAGCACCTGAGAAGAACTGGTCTGCAGGTGCCCACAAAGTGAGATGCAGTTAGAGCTGATGTGAACTGAGTTGATGTCTGCATAGGCATCTTAGCACTGGGACAACTGAGGATCCCAGCTATAAGTGTATCCACTTTCAACAGCATCGTTATCTGATAAGGAATATAAGAATGTTCTTTTCTTTAAAGGAGAGGAAATTACTTCCCAGAATTTTCAAAGTGATTCACTAAACACCTAATTAAAAACACGGGGTAGCTTTTTGTAGATGTCTCATTCTATGCCTATAGCATAGTAATTTTAACTTTTTAGAGCTGGAGGCACTATAAAGAATTGTCTTCTTGGCCAGGCACCATGGCTCATGCCTATAATCCCAGCACTTTGGGAGGCCAAGGTGGGAGGATCGCTTGAGCTCAGGAATTCGAGACCAGCCTGGGTAACATATTAGGACATCATCTCTAATAAAAATTCAAAAAAAAAAATTAGCCAGGTGTGGTGGCACACACCCATAGTTCCAGCTACTCAGGAGGCTGACGCAGGAGGATTGCTTGAGCCTAGGAGTTTGAGGCTGTAGTGACCCGTGATTGTGCCACTGCACTCCAGCCTGGGGGACAGAGTGAGACACAGTCTCAAAAAAAAAAAAAAAAAAAAAAAGGAATTGTCTCCTTGTGTCCATTAGAGGTCATGGCTAAGAACATTTGTGGAAAAGACAAACAAACAAAAAAACCAGGGTGCCAGTCACTTAAAAAAATGATGGAGGATTCATTTATCCAAAGCAAATCAAGCTCACTGGTAGACTCCTCAAGAGTAAGTGGTAATGTGAGCTCATTCTATAGGAAGCATGGAAATGCTATTGGAACAATCCTAGTTTTATTTTTGGTAGCTCTGAATGCACAATAAAATGGTTTTGTAAAAGAACAGAGAGCAGTTAAGGAAGGACAGATATAGCTATCTTGCAATTTCAATAACTGTTTGTAGACTAAAGAACAGGATGGCATTAATTAAACTGAATTAGTGCGGAGCTGCCTCATTTTTCTCTTTTAAAGGGTTACATTCAGTGTTCATGGAATTAGCATCATTAGAAAAAGGAGAACAGCGCCTTCCAAGAAAAGAGCACGCTTTTCAGACCTCTAATTTAAGTTTTGCTGTTCCCATTTAAGTGTATCCACAATTCGTGCCTCCTTTGTGTTTTGCATTGTGTGTTTATTCAGCTGTATTTTTAGGTGCTCTAATTCCACAGTACACTCCTGTCTGACTGTCAGCAGAAGGCTGAGAGGCAGCTACGGGTGCGGAATTCGTGAGGGCTTCCTCTGGCAGGGCTTTCTCAAGAGCACTTTCTTTGTCTTAACGCACAGTACCATCTTGGAAAAGAGCATGGTGTCCTATGCAGGACCCTACCCAGTGTCAACTAAAAATAGAATCCTAAGTCCCCCACCAACTGAATGGACCCTGTCTTGGCCAAGGGGATCCCAGAGAAACCTGAAAAACTGAGTTCCCGGCCATGATGTGATGGGGGATCAGACACACCTTATATCCTCTCCCTTTTGGGGCTTAGGCACAAGTGACCAGCATTCATGTTAAAATACAGATCATAAGACTGACAAAACAGACTCTTTGTGGCAATAAGATACCAAATTATCAACAGGACCTAAGGCTGTGCTGGGCAAGAGTTAAGTCACCCCTACAGGCCATCATCAATCTTGCTACACAGCATCCTTATCTTAACAGAAAACATCCCTTTCTGCTCACTCCAGGTTTTAGACAGAGCCTTACTGCTTTACCCAGCTGCAAATTAAAGCATCTCTGAATTCACCTATAAACCTATAAGCTCCCATTTCAAGATATCCCACCTTTATGGACTAAACCAATGTACACCTCCTCCCATGTATTGATTTATGTCTTTGCCTGTAACTTCTGTCTTCTTAAAATGTGTAAAACCAAATTATAATCCGACTGCCTCGGGACCACTTGCTGAAGGCTTCGTGGGTTTGTGTTTTTCCTGGGCTGTGGTCACTGCTATTGGCTCAGAGTAGGCTTCTTTAAAATATTTTTCAGAGTTGGTTTTTCCATTAACACCAGGGACCTTGAAGCATGAGGATCCACTGATGTTCCTGCTGCCCATTCCTTTTGCTCAAAAACCAAACCCTGTCACTGCAGATACAGTTCTCAGCATCTGCCTAATCATGAGACATCTGACTGAATGGGGCACAGGGAGAGACCTGTTGCTTAAACAGGCTTTGAAGAGGGAAGACACAAATGAAGAAATGTTATCCCTGGCTTATGGCAGATCAAAATATGAGAGAAAGAGAAGAATCCTCACTGCAACCTCCACCTCCCAGGTTCAGGCGATTCTCCTGCCTCAGCCTCCTGAATAGCTGGGACCACAGGCGTGCACCACCACACCCAGCTAATTTTTGTATTTTTAGTAGAGACAAGGTTTTGCTATGTTGGCCTGGCTGTTCTTGAACTCCTGATTTCAAGTGATCTGCCTGCCTTGGCCTCCCAAAGTGCTGGGGTTACAGGCGTGAGCCACCATGCCCGGCCTTAAATTGTATTTATTTTAAGGCAAGATGTGCACCTTAGTTCTCCTTGGGCATCATGTTTACCAGCTGGTCTCATGCTCACACATAACAGCAGCTCGTCTTCCCACGAGCATTCTGGCATCTGAGATGCGCATAGCCAAATCCCAATAATTGGGCCAAATGAGTATAATGCCCAAATGCTTACAAAGAACAACAAGGATATTCAGGCACATTGCATAGCTCTAGTTCATATTTAAATAACGCATTGTTTTTTTAAGAAATGCAAATATAGGTTGAATATCCCTAATCCTCAAATCCAAAATTTGAAATGTTCCAAAGCTTTTTGAAGGACAAAATGACATCACAATTATAAAACTCCACATCTGACCTCCTGGGAGGAGTCACAGTCAAAATACAGCCACTCAACATGTGGTGTATCCAGAGTCCCGCAAGGGAAAAATGAAATTAACTTCAGGCTCTGCATATAAGGTGTCTATGAAACATAAATGAATTTTATGTTTACACTCAAGGCCTCATCCCCAAGATATCTCATTATGTGTATGCAAATATTACAAAATCCGTAATCTGAAACACTTCTGGTCCCAAGCATTTCAGGTAAAGGATACTCGACCTGTAGCTCTAAAAAGCCAATAATGCAAACAGTCCTCTTTCAACCCCCGTTCTATTTCTCATTAGCAACTACCCTCAATTCTCCCAGCTATTTCCTTTGGTACTTAACAGATAGTTATAAAGCAACTCCTTGTCATAAGAGATACAATAGTGAACAAAACAAGTAAAAATGCATGTCATTCTGGGGCTCACTGTCTCAGGTGGGAGGTAGGTAACAGATGTAATAAATACATAGAAGATACAGCATGTTAGATAGGGATGGGTACTAAGAAGGACGTATCAACAAAGAAGGGAGTATGGAGTGTCAGGGCTGGGGTTGACATTTTGCACAACGTGTCTGGGAAGGGCTCCCTTAGATGGTGACTTTGCAGGAGGACGAAGGAATGGAAGGTGTGAGTCAGGTGGATGTTATCAGGATAACATCTCAGCCAGCAGCAAGAGAAGGTGGGAAGGCTCCATGGACATGGTATGAGTTTGGGGCTGGCAAGGGAGAAAGGGTGGCTGAACTGCAAAGGGGAGTGTGTGGGTAGCAAAGTGTGTGTCCCCGGATTCATGAGGGACCAGATGGTGCATGACCTTGAGAGTCACAGTCAAGCCTTTGGCTTTTACCTTGAGGAGACGTGGAGCCACTAGAAGGTGTGAGCTGAGATGGTTCACGATGTGTCTTTAACATTTTAGCGGGGTGAAGAGATGAGAAGAGGCAGTTGATGGCAAGAGTAGAAACAGAGACCACTCAGGAGACACTTGCAATAATTCAAGGAAGCCATGGTGCTGGCCAAGACCAGGGCGATGTCCTGGGGGTTCCTGAGAAGTCACTTGATTTCTGGATACATCTTGATGGATTTCCCAAGAGACTAGATGAGGACTATAGGAGAAAGCACTGACCCAAGGATCACAAGCAGATTTCTGCCTGGACAACTGGAAGAAACAAATGGAAAAGCACTAACAGAAGACTGCAGGAGTTGCTGGTTTGGGAATGAGACGAAGACCTTGGTTTTGGATATGTCTTCAACTTGACAATCAGATATCCATGTGCAGAGGTCACATAGGAATTGGTTGTATATTTTTGAAATTCAGGGGAGGTGTCTGTCTGGAGTCATCAGAATATAGGTAGTATTTAAAACCGTGAGGCTGAATGAGACACTTAGTAAGTAAGTGTAGGTAGAGAGAGAAGAGGCATGAGAACTGAGCACATGACATCCTGTTAAGAGGGATAGGAGGAAGCACACAGAGAAAGGCCATCCAGAAATGCAGGAGGCAAATCAGGAGAGATAAAAGAAAAGACATCAAGGAGGGAAAGCAGTCCACTGTATCAAATGCTCTTGAGAGATCAAGTTAGGTGAGGAGTGAGAAATAACCATTGGATTTACCAATGTGGAGGTCACTGAGGACTTTGAGAACTATGGTGGTGGGGAAGTGATTGGGGGTTGATTCAGGACAAATGGTAGAAAAGAAAGTGGCAACACGATTTTAGATAATTATTTCAAGGAGTTTTGTGGCAAGAACAGAAGCATGTGATGTAGCTGGAGGATGAAGAGGGCTCAAGAGAGGGTTCTGTATTTATTTTGTTTAAGATGAAAGAAATAATAGCATCGTTGTTTGCTGTTTGGAATGGATCCAGTAGAGAAGGAGAGAGAAGCTGGTATTTCCAGAGGCAGAGATGACATTGCCAGAGCATGAAACCAAGTGGATGGAGAGAGGTGGTGAGATTCTTTGGACATTCTCTTCTAAACCTTTCCATTTCTTTCTGTGAAGTCAGAGCAGAAGTCAACATTGTAAGCTGAGAGTGAGGATGGGAATGGAGATGCTGAAAATTAAGGAGTAAGAAAGAGTCATTAAGAAAAGCGGGAAAACATAAGGTCTAGATAAATTTAATATGCTTACTGGCCGGCATTAAAAACTTACTTGGGAGTAGTGATCCAAATTTAAAATGAAGCCATTCGGCATGATCTTGTTTGCCTATTTGTTTGCTTGTTTGCATGTTTGTTTGTTTTTTAAATATCTATTTATTTTTTAATTTAAAAAATTTTTGTGGGTATATAGTGGATGCATATATGTTGTACATGAGATGTTTTTATACAGGCATGAAATGTGAAATAAGCACATCATGGAGAATGGGGTGTCCATCTGCTCAAGCATTTATCCTCTGAGTTACAAACAATCCAATTACACTCTTTAAGTTATTTTAAAATGTATAGTCCAGTTATTATTCATTATAGTTATTCTACTGTGTTATCACATAGTAGGTCTTATTCATTTTTTCTATTTTTTTGTAGCTATTAACCATCCCCACTTGCCCCCCAGCATCCCCCTACTCTTCCCAGCTTCTGGTATCCATCCTTCTACTCTCTGTGTCCATGAGTTCAATTGTTTTGACTTTTAGATCCCACAAATAAGTGAGAATATGTGATGTTTGTCTTTCTGTGCCTGGCTTATTTGTTTTTTTCCAACCATATTCATCTGAGCCACTTCAAACATGGAGTAGGTGAACAGTACAATTTAAGTGTTTGGTTTGACAGATGAGCCCGGGGAAGTAGGGAAGAGGAAAGAGAATTGAGGGCATAGGTCAGGAAACACACAATTGAAGGAAGAGAAGGAAGAAAAATAGTTCATGGGAGCCATGGGAAACAGTGAAAGGTGATAGGGCCAATGGAGGGAGGGTTCTCTTTGGGTAAATGATTGTTAACTTTGGAGTAGTCGGCAGAGAGGGTAGAAAAATTAGGAGGGAGTTATCTAGGATGGGATATTTGAAACTGACTTTATGAAGAAGAGAAGAAATTGATAATTGTGAGGTCTAGGGTATGGCCATGGGAGAGAGTGGCCAAGATGTGTGTAGGACAAGACCATTGAGGTACAGAGGTCACAGAACTGAGACATCATCAGTCATTAACAAGTCATCTAATTATACATGCATGAGAGTTAAGAATGCCATAGTTTTTAAGGAGTGAGTGAATTAGAATAACAGGGAGTTGTTGAGTGTCAAAAGACACCAACAACAATGAGAGTTGTGAGTGGTATTTTTTTTCTTTTTTTTGTTTTTTGAGACAGGGTCCTGCTCTGTTGCCTAGGCTGGAGTGCAGTGGCATGATCGTGGCTCCCTGCAGCCTCAACCTCCAAGGTCTCAAGTGACCCTCCTGCCTCAGCCTCCTGAGTAGCTGGGGCCAGGGGTTTGTGCCACCATGCCTGGGTAATTTCTTGATTTTTTGTAGAAATAGGGTCTCACATGTTGTCCAGGCCGGTCCTGAACTCCTGAGCTCAAGTGATCCTCCCACCTCGCCTCCCAAAGTGCTGAGATTACAGGTGTGAGCCACAGTGCCTGGCCATGAATGGTATATTCTGATGACCCGTGACTCAAGCCAAGGACTTATTCAGGAGGTGGGAGAGATATGCTACTGAGGAACAAGGAGGACACTCACCCCACTCTCAGGCCCAGTGGTCCATGGGGTATATAAGAGAGTGATCACTACTTAGGGGGCTGCAGGGGAAGCTGTGTCCTAAGGATAGAGCTGGTTTTAAACAGAGGAGGAATGTTAGAGGAATTGTGAACCCCAAAATTTGAGACAGGTCTTAGTTAATTTAGAAAGTTTATTTTGTCAAGGTTGAAGATGTGAGTCCATGACACAGCCTCAGGAAGTCCTGACGACGTGTGCCCAAGGTGGTCGGGGCACAGTTTGGTTTTATACATTTTAAGGAGACATGAGACATCAATCAATTTATGTAAGAAGTACACTGGTTTTGTCCAGAAAGGTGGGGACAACTTGAAGCAGAGAGGGGGGCTTCCAAGTCACAGGTAGGTGAGAGACAAAAGGTTGCATTCTTTTATGTTTCTGATAAGCCTTTCCAAAGGAGGCAATCAAAATATGCATCTACCTCAGTGAGCAGAGGGATGACTTTGAACAGACTGGGAGGGAAATTTGCCCTGAGCAGTTCCTAGCTTGAATTTTCCTTTAGCTTAGAGATTTTGGGGGCCCAAGATAATTTTCCTTCCACAGAATGCACAGAAGAGTTGAGGATGAAAGGTATTTTGCATGAGATGGACCTAAAATTTCAGAAAGCTCAGACCAAGGATATCAAGAGATGAAGAGTGAGAGATGAGGATCAGAAAATGCAGTGTACAATGGGACTAGAACCTAGGTGATGACCAATGACCAAGAACCTAGGTGATGACCAATGACCAAGGGCTCTGGACTTTTCAGAGTGACTCACAGAAGCAGAGATGAGGGATATGGTAATATTAGAGCTGAAGGTTCCAAGGGGAAGACTGCTTGAAAGGATGCGATTATTGATAGCAAGGGGGTGGAGTCTTTTCTTTCCAGGAGATGGTAACTTCTAAAGCCCCTTGCCCCATTGATTCTAGGAGAGGTAAACCTTGCCCCAAGCAGCCTCCTGAGCCATGGCCATGGTGTTCTGCAGAGGGAGGTTATACTCAGCTCTCTCTGGGATTCATCTTAATACATCTAAATCACATGACTATCCTGTTTCCTGTTTTATTCAATGCAAGCACGATCCATTGGTTTCCAGACATTCTTTTTTTTTTTTTTTTTTTTTTTTTTTTTTTTTTTTTTTGAGATGGAGTCTTGCTCTGTCACCCAGGCTGGAGTGCAATGGCTCAATCTTGGCTCACTGCAACCTCTGCCTCCTGGGTTCAAGCGATTCTCCTGCCTCAGCCTCCCACGCCCGGCTAACTTTTGTATTTTTAGTAGAGATGGGGTTTCACCCTGTTGGCCCAGCTGGTCCAGACATTCTTTCAAATATTCAGCATCCCCTCAGTACAATCACAGTTTTGGCCACCTACTTTCTGAAGTTAGGGTTGGATCAGAAACCTACGGGTCTTTGTGCTTTTTTATGGATTCTCAAGTCGTTCTCCTGTTTTCAACCTGTGTCTCATTCTCAGCCTTTTACAGCTTTGAACCTCAAAGTCCAGAGGCTTTTCAGGGTTGACAGGATAAATTGACTTCTTTCCCTTCAGTGCTCCACTTGGCAAGCGCTTAGAGTTTGGAACTATGATGCCAAATAACAGCCCTCCAGGGCTTTTCATCTTTTGAATACCTGTTGAAATATTCACTGTGGGTTTTTCTTGGTAAATTTATTTATGTTTTTCTTAATTCATTGTCATTCTAGTTCAATTTTGAGAAGATGAAAAAATGGATGTTGGTGGTCAGTCCACCCTATTTAAGCCTGGCCGTATATTTGCATTTGAAAAAAGAAAAGAGTACAATGTATATGATAAATATTTCAAACTCTTTGAAGACTGTATTTGGGAGAAGGTCTGAATTCCACAAAACTTTTCAGACTCTCTTTATCCCTCTTTGTATTAAACATATCTAAAGCAAAAAAGAGGAGCCTCTATTTTTATGAGCCTCCTCTTGTAGATTTTCACTAGGGGTCGAAAGTTGTTCTCTCCTAATTCTGTGTTGCAGAATTAATGGAGACATGAACGTAGATCAAACAGGTGGCAAACCAACAGAATTAAGTAGAAGTATCATTTTGTTTCTGAATTTGAATGATAAATGTATCCTTGTGTAAAGATTTACATTGTAGGATTGACTGAATATTTCTGCTCCCCAAATTTACATATTGAAATCCTGATCCCCAAAGTGATGATACTACGAGGTGGGGCCTTTGGCAGGTGATTGAGTCATGAGGGCAGAGCCCTCATGAATGGACATTTTCACCTTTATGAAAGAGATCTCAAAGAGATCCCACTTCCACTACGTGAGGTTACAGTGAAAAGATGGCTGTCTGTGAACCAGGAAACAGACCTCACTAGACACTGAATCTGCCAGCACTTTGATCTTGGACTTCCTAGCCTCCAGAACTGTAAGCAATAAAGTTCTGTGATGGGTACCCAGTCACCCTGTCTGTGGTTTCTTTTTATAGCAGCCAGAACAGACATTAGCAGGTTAAGCCTGTAGAGGCAGGAGATTTGTGAAGGCCGTGATGGTATAAATTATGTTTTTTTTTTTGTATTTCAAAGAAAAGCTCATGATAGATGATTTTCACTTGCATACTGCAATGAGGATCAGCTTACACATAGTAGGGGTTCAGTGAATGCCCATGGAACTGGGGGACATTGAATTTCGTTTCTCTGAGACTGGTTTACAAATGCTGATGTCATTCGAGGCTTAATGACTTCCTTTGAACAATAAAGGATCACAATATTTCTAATACTCTTATTTTAGATGTTGAAATTTCCCACTGAATATGCATTTGTTGACTGCCTATATCCAAAGAGCTGTGTGTGGAAGCGTGGGAAATCAAAGAAGAGTCAAGAGCAGATTAATAAGATCTGGTATCTCAGGCATCATACATAATTAATATGTCCCTTTTAGGCTTATTAAAAAGCAGGAAATGTTATGGAGGCAAGGTTTAGATTTGATGTTGGCTAGAGGTGAGATGGCACATGTCTTTGCTGAAGAGCTGTGACTTTTCCTTTAGCAATCATTCATTATGAACGCATGTACTGGCTCAAAGGAGGAAGGACTCTGGTTTGGCGTTTCTTTGTTTGCCCCATGACGTCCAAATTACCCATCGCCACATTATCTCTTTATGTTCTCACGGACCTTTCTTTGTTTGATGTGATTTGGCCTTTCTTTGGTGCAATTTCAGCAATGCGTTAGAGTGGTCAAACAGCAAGTGGCTCAAGTGACTTTTTATAATTGCAAAGTAACCCTATTCAAGAGTTCTTTAAGAGGAAGGTCATTAAGTTCTATTTTGTAATAATTCACATTTAGCCACTCATTTAAATGATAATTACAAAGGCATTATGCATTACATCTGAAGTAACAATGCATTAGCTTTGAATAAATAAGAATTATAACTCATAAATCCACAAAGCTTGTTTCATCATGTGTCGGCCCTATTTTATATTTAGATAATTTTTTCAACAATTTCTCTTGTTTTCTGACTTGACGTCTTCAACTAGCATGTTTAACCACAAGATGTATGAAGTTTTACATTTAAAATCAAAGTCAGAATGCAAGAAGAAAAATTTTAGTTTTGTTTGCCTCCTGCAAACAAACTTTTAAAGTATTTAAGTTTTTTTTTTTTTTAATTTTGAGTTAGGGTTTTCCTCTATTGCCTAGGCTGGAGTGCAGTTGTGCGATCATGGCTCACTGTACTTTCGACCTCCTGGGTTCAAGCAATCCTCCTGCCTCAGCCTCCCAAGTAGCTGGGACTGCAGATACGCACCACAATGCCTGGCTAATTTTTTTAAAATTTTCATAGGGATGGAGTTTCACTATGTTGCCCAGGCTGGTCTCAAACTCCTGGCCTTAAGCCATCCTCCTGCCTTGGCCTCCCAAAGTGCTAGGATTATAAGCATGAACCACTGTGCCTAGTGGAACTTTTAAGGTATTTTTAAGGCAGGTCTTCCATAAACATAAAAACAATGAAATGTCACATTTCCTTTCTGATGTACCCTGGATATTGTTTCTTTTTTTTCCCTGCATAGATACACACATCAAATACAGGAACATCTGCATAGATATAGAAACGATAATTTTATTAATTGAAACCTTGTTTTACTAAATGCTTTTCAGTTCACATTGGAAGAGAACAATAGATAACATTAATGCTGACCATTAAATGGAACCCACATGTTACAGTTATTTCAATGTAGACAAGCTTCTAGGAAGGAAAGACATCAAAATCAAGTCAAAATACTAGCTGAATTAGTGAAAAGGTTTATGGATTTTCAGGGTTAGTTTAGTCACCCCAGAATGGCATCAACAACACAAGCTTCACCTTATCTTCCTGCTCTGCCACCTTTACCATGTGGCTATTGACCTTACGGTCCCATGATAGCTGCTGCACTTCCAGGCATCACATCCGTATTCAAAGGAAGAAGAAAAGGGCAAAGGAGTAAAGACGAGGGAAACATGCTGAGTCTGATTCTCTTAGTAAACTTAATAAGCTAGAGAATCAACCCATTAATTTTTATTTACTCATTTATTACATCTTATTGGATAGATTGGTTCTGATGACTACTCATAATTGCAAAAAAAAAAAAAACTGGGGATGCAAGAAAAGAAAGGAAGGAAAAAGGTAGAATGAATGGTTTGGGGAGGCACGACACAGTGTGTAGCATAATCAGGCTCAGCACAACTTACACAATCATGACATGGACTGTTTGATAGGCAAGACTTGAGTCCCCAAATTTACCAGTTCCCCAGGGTGTGTGTGTGTGTGTGTGTGTGTGTGTGTGTGTGTGTGTGTGTGTGTGTGTGTGTGTAGAAAAAGCATGAGTTGGTGGGTGACTGGGTAGAAATGCATTGACATGAAGGAGATAACAGTACATGTGTATGTGTGCGGGGAAGCCTGTTAAAAACAATAACCAGTTTGGTGACTTGAAGGAAGGATAGACACTGGGAATAGAGCAAAACAGTGCTTTGGTTTCAAGTTAAAATGGATTAAAATCCTACCCTAACAGCCACTTGCTGGATGACTTTGGCTGAGTTACTTAAACTTTCTGTGCTACGGTTTCCTTCTCTATACAATGACAATCATATTTGCTGCCCCAGAGACTCCTTCTGTTCTGATATTAATATTCTAATATTAGTTTATACCATTAAGTGAGATCACATATTATAACACCTAGGGCAGTCATTATTGAACAGATGCTATTGTGGACAAAGTATCAGAATTTGAATTATCCATATTAGAAGATTTTAGATACTTTATATTTAAATGGATAAGTTGAAATACTCAAACACTTTAGTATCTTTTTTAGTTTTTAGGTAGGGTAAACAAAACATATAAGAAATGTACTCTGTTTTCAAGACCTTGAAATCTATTTAGTAGGCAAGACTGACACATGGAGAAGTGGGTGGGACATGGCATATAATCACAGGTCTATATACAAGGTCCACATAACTGTATTTGCTTGTAAGTAGACAGAGGCACTTTCTTTTTGCCTTCCTTTCAGTCTTTCTCCTTCTCTCCCCTCTCTTTGTTTCTCCTTCTCTCCTTTCTCCAAGGTTGTATAAGTGAGACCAGAGATACTGAGGCATCCCTCTAAGCAGGAGTATGTGTGAGGACAAGGGGATGGACATTTGTGAATTCATAAATTCGTTCAAAATATATTGTGTCTAAGGAGAAATCCATACACTTTTTTTGAAAATATGGGAAAACTGGAGGCAAAATAGCAATGAAAATATATAATTACTCTGTTTATATAATGACTGAAAACAAACCATGTATTTGTGAGTGAAACACATAAAGGCAGTTTTTAGAAAAACGTCTATGGGAAAATGAGTAGCTATTCAAAGCAGCCCTTCAAAAAGAACTATTTAGAAATGGCAATGCAGAGATACAAAGGCTAATTCTCTACATTCGCTGAAAACAGAGTCTCAATATAGTTAAAGGGGTTTGTTTGAATGACATTTTTTAAAAATGTGATACTGGGAGCTTATGTTGCTATACATGGAAATTGAACACCAACATGCTTTATGGAATCATGTTCCATGTGCTTAGTAGTATGTTAACAATTTTTGAATATACCATTACTTTCAGATTAGAACAAGAAAAAAAAAGATTCCTTCTAGATTGTTAACAAATTGTAGAGGGTGGTTCACTTTATATCGACGTGAGAGCACAAAGTAAAGAATTGGGCTCTATTTCATTTAGTACCTTATCACTGTTGATTCTTTCGGTACCATAATAATGTGAGCATGAGATGTGCTTGTGTTTAGTCTTACAAAAATCAGTCACTGCCAAGGAGGTGGAAGGGAAATATTGTAGGAGACACATAAACAGACAATTTTGCCTAGAAGCTTTTCTGAGCGGTGCTCCAGGTCCAGCGTGCCTATTTCTAGACGGCCACCATTGTTCCTGCAGGGCCATTGCATGCAATTTGAATAAATTCGAGGATTCACCCGAACTGACTGACTTTTAAACACACTAAAAATAAGATGTGCATGATGTTCTACAAGGCTCTTTAGAGACACCATGGAGAGTCCTTGTCAAAATACCAAGTTCTTCACAGACTGCGTCGCGAAAAGGAAATGAAGCACTTCCCAGGGCGAATCTATTTCATCCTTGTCAAAGGGTCTAGGTCCATGATTCTGTATGTGGACAAGGGAAATTAATCACCAAAGCAGATGCAAGAAAACAAGAAAACAGTGTGTCCATCTTCCTGTTTAACTCACTTTAGCTTGTTGGCCCTTTCTTTTCTATGTTCTGTGTCTATGTAACTGTGATTTTTCTTCTCTATATAACTGTGTCTATGTAACTGTGATTTTTTTTTTTTTTTTTTTTTGAGACGGGGTCTCTCTCTGTCACCCAGGCTGGAGTGCAGTGGCACAATCTCGGCTCACTGCAAGCTCCGCCTCCCAGATTCACGCCATTCTCCTGCCTCAGCCTCCCGAGTAGCTGGGACTACAGGTGCCCGCCACCACGCCCGGCTAATTTTTTGTATTTTTAGTAGAGACGGGGTTTCACTGTGTTAGCCAGGATGGTCTCTACCTCCTGACCGTAACTGTGATTTTATATTTAAAGCTATATGCCAGTGGCAGTTGGGGGGGCACAGATCTTGAGAAACATTTTAAAACTCTTCATTTGTATAATATTTCTATACAAATTGGAGACAGGGGGACAAAGTAAAACTAACAACACTAGGAATGTTTTCAGTCTCCCAAGTGAGAGAATTTGGAAGAAGGGGTGCCCATTGCTTTTTGAAGTATTTTTTCTTTGAAGTTAGAGTGACGTGCTGCACATTGGGAATCTAAAACTTGAAATAACTTTGTGATAGAGTAGATGAATAGAGGTATTTTATGTATTTTTTAGACAAAATATTTCCAAAAAAGTTTTTGATGGAAGACTGGAGTGGGTAAGATGAAAAACAATGCTCTTTTGAAAGAAAAATCCATCTTTTGTACAAGAGATTTTAAGGATAACTATCTCACTAATCTTTTGTTATGCTTGCAAAAAGATTACTATTACCATGCCTAGATTATGGTGAAATTAGGACTTGGAGTATCTCCCCAAAAAAGGTTCTTCAACATTTAAAACATTTTAAACAATGTTTTCTTTATGAATATTTCTAGGGTTTTCCACAGAGTCTTTCCACAAATTAGTAAGTTTTGTAGATCCAAAATATAATATATATTAAATGCATGTTATCTAATGCAGATGCTAATTTCTTCAATCCAAATCATTTACAGAGCAGCACATAGTTATTCCAAGGGTAAAAGGAGAGAGTCACTAATAATCTAAGTAAGACATAAATATATTGATCTCTTTGACTCAGTAATTCCATTTGTAGAAATTCCACTTTAAGGAATTTTTCATGGTTTGTCTAAAAAATATAGGCCCTAGGATTTGTAAGCGATATAAGTATCACTTATAAAAATGAAGGATGAGAAACAATTTATATGCCCAACCATAGTGGATTGACAAAATTGATTCTGCTATATTCATGTAATAAATTATGATATAGAAATGATATATTGACTTGGAAAAGTGTTTATGATATTCAGAGGGAAAAGCAGTATTTGAAACATATTTTGTAAGGTGTATTTGCAAACGTAGGCAGAGAAAATGATTTGGAATGATGTATATAAAACTGTGGACAGTAATTATTTCTGGGTGAGGGTATTAAGAGCATGTTAGGTTTGTTTTCTTTTGGTTTATTTTTATATTCTAATTTCTCTAAAATGAAAATGTGTGATATTTTAGTAAGAAGCTTCCAGTCAAAATAGTTCGCTTTTCCTTTAGGCTCTTCCTTAGATCAAAACACATGGGAATAGTAACATGAAATCAGAAAGAGAAAATGAACAGGACAAAACTACCTCACACACAGGATCATTGTCCTGGCTGACCAGGAAGTGTGAGCAACTCAAGTTGGCTTTGCTAACATGCTAGAGATGGTGATTCTGAAGGAGAAATGTAGACTCAAGGAGAAAATGTGGGATGCCTTAAACAGCCAGGAAGAGGGAAAATATAAGCCTCTTGGCAAATTTAATTAACTAGCAGTTAAGGAAGAAAGAAAACACTGAATGAAAAGGTGTGATTCAATTCTAGTTAACATTATTGAGAGAGATTGGGTAGCATGCACACTGGTATGATAAAATCACACCAAGGCATTTTTCTTATATGCAAGAAAGATGCTAATAGCAAAAAAAGAACAGGTGTATTAAATCTGTAGCTTCTGAATCAACAAAGGAAATCTTAAACCTACTGTAGAAAGCAATCAACCCAACAGAAATCAGGAAAGCAGAAAAATAAAAACCAGAAAAAGGCATAAGAGAAAATCAATACAAATACAGCAGTATTTAAAAACAAAGACAGACCATTACTTAACATAAAAGGAACCGTCTAGGAAAATCTAAAACAATTAAGAAGCTTTGTCCATTTGACCCATAACTTCAAAAAGAAAAAAAGTGAAAAAGTAACAGAATTAAGGGAAACTTTTAAAATTGTAGGTTGTACTTTTAATATAATACTCTCAGAAAATGATTGATCAAGCAGAACAAAAAATACTAAGGTTATAGGAAATGTGAATGATAAGATAGTTTTATCCGGACAAACAAAGAGAATTCACGTTGTTTTCAAGGACACACAAAACATTTATAAAAATTGCACATTGGTGGCTTACAAAATATCAAATAATTTCAAAGTATTGACATATTAGGCCACTTTGACCACATGGAAATTGAATTAGAAACTAAAAATAAAAAGACAAAGCAAATAAATACTTGACAAATAAGAACACACTTCTAAAATAAATTTTCAGTTAATAAAAAAATTAAAAAGGCAATTCAAACATTAAAACCTTAATGACAAATTATGTAGTATACATTCAACATGAGGCATGGTAAGTAATGTAGAATTTTAAAACATGGCCTGAAACACATTTATTTAAAAAAAGAAAGGCCAGTAAAGTAATACAATTAAAGATGCAAAGAAAAGCTTAGTAGAATAAAACCAAAGAGGCCAGGCACGGTGGCTCACGCCTGTAATCCCAGCACTTTGGAAGGCTGACGTGGGCGGATCATTTGAGGTCAAGAGTTCGAGACCAGACTGGACAACATGGTGAAACCCTGTCTCTCCTAAAAATACAAAAATTAGCCAGGTGTGGTGGTATGTGCCTGTAATCCCAGCTACTGGGAGGCTGAGGTAGGAGAATCCCTTGAACCCTGAGGCAGAGTTTGCAGTGAGCTGAGATCATACCATTGCACTCCAGCCTAGGCAATAGAGTGAGGCTCTGTCTCAAAAAAAAAAAAAGAAAAAGAAAATCAAAGAAAAAATCAGAAAGTAAATATATATTAAAAAAATGAAAGTTTATTATCTTTTATTCTAACAAAATTTAGGGAGAGAAAACTCTACCCAAAGCAAAGGGCAGAAGTATCTATGCACTGGGCAGGTGTGTGAGGTGGAATGTTCCACATGCATACATTTATCCATCCTTACTCTGTTAAGCGAACTGAATGGATATTTCCTTGCTTTGCAGCCAGCTCTTATGAATGAGATTATAAAAGAGGCTCCAGAGAGCTCCCTTGCCCCTTCCACCATGTGAGGATACACCAAGAAGTCACCATCTATGAACCAGGGAGCAGGGCCTCACCAGTCATTGTATTTGCCACATCTTGATCTTGAACTTTCCAGTCTCCAGAATTGTGAGCAATAAATTTATGCATAGGAATGGTGGGTCCTTGAACCCTGTGCTCTGTGATTTTTGCAGGTGTGCACCCCAAGCAACGCCTGGTTAAACCACTGTGCCTTTTCTTTGCTCACACAGTTTTATCCTCCAGAAACACTTCCTTTTTTTAGTCCTGTCTCCTTCCTCCTCCAGGGAGCCTTCAGCTGCATGACCAACAGTACAATACTGTTCATCTCTATTCCAGGACTCCTCAAACTTGGAGACACTTTCTTTCTCTGACATCAAGTCCTAGCTCCTTGCAGGATGGGTCTGTGTTCTGTATCCTATTCTGAGAGAGCCTGGACTTGTAAAACCTGAATATGTGCCCTTTGTCTGGTACATCTCACTCCCACACACTATCTAGGTCTGCTTTCAGGTTGGTTGTACTCAACTTTTTCAAAAGCTGCTGTTCATGACTCACTACTGCATGAAGGAGGTTGGAATAGTGTCTGATGAACAGGGCCAAGTTTAATCTGCTGAATGAAAAAGATGCTATCATACATGGGTTAAAACACATGTTTTCTCTCTGCAGTGCATTAATCCCAGGCTGAGCATTCTTATCACAGTTAAGGTTCTGCTCCCTGGGGCTACGGGGAAACTTCATCCACTAGGCTGTTCATCTTCTGTCTGATAAGCTCAGGGCACTTCCATCTTCCGTGCTGCAGGAAGGGAAGGTGAGTACAACCATAGCATGTGCATGGCCTAGCATAGCAGAAGCTGTTTCCATCATCTCCACTCTCTTCCCCATAGTGATGACTGAGTCCACATGGCCAAATTCAGCTGCAAAGACAGCTTGGAAATGTAGCCTTTGGCTAAGTCTCTCCTTGAAGACAACACCTACTCTGTTTCCACAGAAGAGGAGTGAGAAAAGGCTTTAGTGGGCAACTGGAAATCTCCCCCACAGAGTCTTAAATCAGAATCAAATAATACTGAATAGGACTTGACACATTTTCCTATAACTAAAATCCATCAATCAGCTTGAATACTCTTACGGGGAGGGGGACATGCCCTTGAGTGCAGGATTTCTGGAAGACAGTTTTCCACTTCTCAAAATCCACGCTGACTCCTATGCAAAGGCAGAGGATAACCAAGCCTTTAGACCAAGGTGTAGCTAACTTTTCCTGTAGAGAGACATACTTCGGGCTCTGTGGTCTGGGTGGTCTTTGTTTCAATGACTCAACCTTGCATCTGTAGCCTGAAAGCAGCCACAGATCAGATGTGAAGGAATGGGCATGGCTATGTGCCAAAAAAGCTGTATTTACAAAGACAGGCAGACAGCTTCAACCTGCAAGCCAAAGTTTGCCAACCCCTGCTTTAGACTAATGAAGAAAAAAGAAGGTGAAATGGATTTGGACAACCTTGCTTAAACTCCCAAGGACCCTAGTGATCTTGGGCGATGGCTGTTTGAAGAACTGAAGATGCCATATGAATGCTACCATACTCAAAGTACTACCATACTACCATAGTCAAAGCAGACAGGAAGAAATCTTTGAATTTCAAATTATGTTTCAGCTTTGTTCTTTTTTTTAATACCATATTACAAGCTTCAAACTATTCTTTTAATTATATGATTTTTAAAGTTCCAAAAAAGAAAAAAGGCAGATAAAATATATATATTTGAACTTACTAAGACATTGCTTTCATTAAATACTGATTTTTATAAGAAGATATTTAGATATCTGTATGCCTTCAGTCTAAAGCATGTGGGTCTCTTTCAGTGAAAAGCATAGATCCAGGTATCTTTGGATCAGAGATACTGATACAAGTTGATCTCATATCTAGCTACTTAGTAGAGACTCCCAAGCTCTCATCTATGGATTAGGGCCTGGTCCAGGCACAAGAATCTCTTGGAGGTGTTCTTACAGCTATCGGCTTCTGGTGTCTAGCCATGGAGGCTTGATTTTGTAGGTCATGAGTGGGAACAAGGAATCTCCCTAGATAATCTGATGAGATGATGGATTTGGAAAACCACAGGTCTGTATTAGTTCTTTTAGGCTGCTATAACAAAATACTATCAACTAAGTGGCTTATAAACAACAAATATATTACAGTTCTGCTAAGGCTTAGTCATGCTAAGCCTCTCTTTACTGTTACAGGTGTCCAACCAATTTTATATGATAGAGCTCTGAGGAAGACTCGACACCAAGGTTCAGGCGAGCTTCCCTTATTGTCATATTCCATGACTATTTTCACACATCTATGTCCAAAAAGTAACACTGTTCAAGACTCCACAAGTTCAGGACCACTGGAAGTTCCACATTTGGAACTCTCCTGAATTCTGCCCTATGCTGTTTGTCCATTGACTGCTTTTTAATTCTCACCCCTTCCCTGTAATAAACCATAAGCATGAGTATTACAACTTTCAGTGAGCTTTGTGCATCTTTCTAGCAAATCATCAAACTTAAGGGTGCTCTTAGGGACCTTTGAGCTTGCAATTGGCATCAGAAAAGAGGGGCAGCCTTGTCGACTGTTTCCTCCAGTGCTTCATTTAAAAAACAAATTCAGGACTGTAAAGACTAAAACAGAATAGTACGTGATATGTAGGAGTGCTCGGGTTTTATCAATCCCTGTCTCCTGGAAAGGCTAGTCTAGCTATTTGCAGTGTGTCAGCTCTCTCTCACTTTCAGAATTTCACCTTCTCTGGAATCCCCAAAGAAGCCCATGCGGGCATGCTATGGTTGTATTGTACTGGGTGGCCCTGATTTAGTGGCTGTTTGCCCCAAAGCTGGACCTCGCAGGTCGCTAGAGTCTGCAATGACATCCATTCATTCATCCAGTATGTTGTCCAGCATCTGATGAAGGTGAAGACCAAGCAGTCTCTGGGGAGATAACAATGAACAAATTAGTCAGGGTTCCTGCTCCCATGGAGTTTGGAAGTGAGATATTGGCAGCTCATGAAACATTCCATCCTTTTCTTACTTTTCTGTTTATGTTGCCCCCTTTGCCTTTTTCTCTTAGGAAGCGGGTACCCTTCACCCTCTTGCCCATCCTGGTCTCTCCAGTGAAGCTGGAGAGAGGTTTTCCTGCCTGACATCAGCCAGCTCAATGTGCCAGGTCTAGACTTGTATTTCCATTGAGTTATCTGCTTTCTTTAATGAAAAACCCCAGAGTAGACCTTGCTTTAGGTCTAATTCATTCCTACAGTGACTTTATTGAGCTCTTACTTTGTGGGAGGTGCTCCTCCCTACTGGGTTGTAGCTGAAGACAAAACAGGGCTTTCTCCTCTGGAGCTTCCATGGAAACTGACATTAAATGTGTATGTAGCATGCCTGGACATACTAAGTGCTGTGGAGAAGATAAAACAGGGTAAGGGATAGAGAATGATGGACACATGTGGGGACAGACATGGAGAGCGGCTCATGAAGGAAACAATGTTTGAGTAGTGTATTAGTCCGTTCTTACGGTGCTATAAGGACACACCTGAGATTCGGTAATTTGTAAAGGAAAGAGGTTTAATTGACTCACATTTCCACAGGGCTGTGGAGTCCTTAGGAAACTTACAATCATGTTGGAAGGGGAAGCAAACACATCCTTCTTCACATGGTGGCAGCAAGGAGAAGTGCAGAGTGAACACAGGGAAAGCGCCTTATAAAACCATCAGATCTTGTGAGAACTCACTCACTGTTATGAGAATAGCAGCATGGGGGTAACCGCCCCCATGATTCAATTACCTCCCACCGTCTCCCTCCCATTACATGTGGGATTATGGGAATTATGGTTCAAGATGAGATTTGGGTGAGGACACAGCCAAACCATATCAAGTAGAGACCAGTAAACTGAGGGAGTGTGCCTAAGACTCAAAGGAGAAAGTTTTAGCAGCAACAAAACCGACTGCTTAGCACATTCAAGAAAGTGCAAAGAAAATCCTAGTGCCTCAGGGGAAGCCAAGAAGCAGGAAGGAGCTGGACCATTTCCAGCCATGTCTTCCACAATAGGGTTTGCATTTTCAGTGTGCTGGAAGCTGCCACAGGTGTCTCAGCTACAGTCTGATGTTCCCACATGTGCTAGGCATGTGGTTCTCTCAGTCTGGAAACAGGCTGTCTGTTTTGTTTTGTTTTACTTTTCCCCCCAGCTGAAATTGGACTGGGGTTGTCATACCCTCTTTGATGTTGCTGATGCCTCTCTGTGCTTTGGGGCCTCTTCCCCAGCAATTTCAGATAATTTACAGCTCTCATTCCTGCCTCAGTTTAGCTTCTTCATGCCCAGCATGTCTGTTTCCAGGAGTGTCCAATAGCATCTTCGCTCTGCCAGTAGATGATTCTCGACAAGAAGCGCCTGCGTTCGAGGCCTCTGCACAGAGCACATAATTAAAATCTCACCATTTCTCTACACTCAATGCAATTTTCAGTGCAAACACGGTTGGGGGGCGAGGTCAGAGAGAATACATAATCATTTCTTTATCTCCTCTTCTTGGCTTCATATAGTTTCTGTCTTTTGCAACTCACTGTCCCTAGAGTCGTGTTTTAAATTTTTCCCTAAGTTATTGGAAACTTGTGCCTGTTGTCGTCAATTATTTCGTGTCTTATGGTATGAAGCTGAGAGGGCCACCAGGAGGAGAGTCAACATGCAGGTGCTTTTTGGATATCCAATAGCAGCAGTAAACAACAGATGTTTCCAAACTGGCTTATCTCCAGATGCAACACCTTGCCCCCCAGAGCCATGGCATGGGAACATCTCACATTGAGCTCTTTGAATAATGTCCTTGGGCATAGGGCCGCATGGAAGATAATGAAAAGGTTTTGATGAAAAGGTTTTAGGCATAGAATGCGTCAAGTTTGAGAACATGAAGATTACTTCCTGAGGAATGGAGAGGAGAAAACAATTCAACATAGCCAGAGGGAAAATTTCCAATGTTATTGGTGAAAATTGTTTCAAATTATTCTATCTTACCTTTGGCTTAGGGCGTAAGTGCATTAAAAATAATAAATATCATTGCAATGTTTTTATTTTGCATTTAAGATACCTCTTATATGTGATTCCCTCATGGAAATCATGAGGTTTTCTTCATGAAAATAATACTTACTCTTTGCTATTTTGTACACCGAAGTCTCTGGGCTGATCGCTATATGTGTGCCATTTGATATGATTTGGCTGTGTCCCCACCCAAATCTCATCCTGAATTGTAATCCAATTGTAATCCTCATGTGTTGAGGGAGGGACCTAGTGGAAGGTGACTGGATCATGGGGGAGGATTTCCCCTATGCTGTTCTTGGGACAGTGAGTGAGCTCTCACAAGATCTGGTTGTTTCATAAGTATCTGGCACTTCCCTCTTCTCTCTCTCTCTCCTGCCACCTTGTGAAGACTTGCCTTGCTTTCTCTTTGCCTTGCGCCATGATTGTAAGTTAATTAACCTTCTTCCCTTTATAGATTATCCAGTCTCAGGTATGTCTTTATGGTGCTGTGAAGATGGATTAATACACCTTTGTATAATCTTCGTCATCTTCCTTTGTACTTGCTACTATGATCCTGATGTTGCCATTGAGTGCACCTCAGGGTTAAGGAACCTGTGATTACTCAACTGGGACACATATGAGCCTCAGAGTCCAGTGAATGTCAGAGCACTGCCTCATATCCAAAACCTCTGACTTCAGATCCAACATTTTTCTAAGAAACAGAGTTGTAGGATTCAATATCCAAGTTATCACTGTTAAGATGATTAGACTTTTTTCTTCTATGTCAATACAACCTTCAGAAGAATGTAAGCAGCTGTGAGAAAGTGCACTACCAAGGAGATGAAGTAAAGAAGAGAGCCGTGGTTGGATTTATTCAAGCAGTCAGGGATGGACAGGCATTGACCATGAGGATCTCAGAGCAGTGGACAGTGAGTGTTGGCATCCAGGAATCCGAAGTGAAATAGCCTCAGGCATCAGATAAGTCAGTGCAATGCTAGAAAATTCAGTGTGCTTAGAGGGCTTGTGTGTGTGTCTGTCATTCTTGCCCTGCTTTCTCTCCCTCCTGGGCTGCCTCGCATGGACACCATCCACAGGGCTTCTGTACTGCTGGTGTCCTGGAGAGTTTGGCCAATGGGGAGCCCCAGTTGGACAGTGAGCAGGGGAGAAGAAAGAATTGAATTATATATCTCTTCCCTTGGCTGCTCCCTTCCAGGGCACGTTGAGCTTGGCTGAGCCTCTCAACCAAATGCCGCAGCTCCTCTCAGAATGGCTGAGAGTACAAACCTCTCCCCATTTCCAGTACCAGTTGGACTTCCTTCCCTCATCCTTCTGAGCCTGGTGGTGGAGACAGTTTGGTAGCTACTGGCCTTGGGTTATTGCCAGCTCCCCCTTGTTCCTATAAACCACAGTTGCTCAACCTTGGCACCTGTTGACGTTTAGGGATGGATAACTCTTGTTTGTGTGTGGAGGGCTGTGCTGTGTGCATTGTAGGCTGTTTCGGAGCATCCCTGGTCTCTACTCACCAGATGCTGCTATCACCTCCCTCCACAGCAGTGACAAACCCAAATGTCTCCTGACACTGACAACTCGCTTCCTGTTGAGAACAGCTGTTCTACACCCACATTAAAAAAATTATTTTAGGGCCAGCCGTGGTGGCTCATGCTTGTAATCCCAGCACTTTGGGAGGCTGAGGCGGATGGATCACCTGAGGCCAGGAGTTTGAGACTAGCCTGGTCAACATGGCAAAACCCCGTGTCTACTAAAAATACAGCAATTAGCTGGGCACGGTGGCGGGTGCCTGTAATTCCAGCTACTCGGGAGGCTGAGGCAGGAGAATCATTTGAACCCAGGAGGCAGAGGTTGCAGTGAGCCAAGATTGAGCCACTGCACTCCAGCCTGGGCGATGGAGTGAGACTCCATCTCAAAAAAAAAAAAATAAATATATATATATTTTTTAAACTTGGGGGTACATGTGCATGTTTGTTACATGAGTATATTCCATAGTGCTGAGGTTTGGGGTACAAATGACCTTGTTACTCAGGTAGTGAGCATAGTACACAATAGGTAATTTTTCAGCTCTTACCTCCCTCCTACCCTTCCCTCTTTTTGAGTCCCCAGTGTCTATTATTTCCATTTTTATATCCATGTGGACCCACTGTTTAGCTTCTACGTATAAGTGAGAACTGCAATATTTGATTTTCCATTTTAGAGTTAATTCCCTTAAGATAGATGGCCTTCTGCTGCATCCATGTTGCCGTAAAGGACGTGAATTCATTCCTTTTTCTGGCTGCGTAGTATTCCATGGTGTATATATGCCACATTTTCTTTATCTAGTCAGCCATTGATGGACACTATGTTGGTTCTGTGACTTTGCTATTATGACTAGTGCTGCAATGAACATACAAGTGCAGGTGTCTTTTTTATATAGTGATTTCTTTTCCTTTGGGTAGATAACCAGTAGTGGGATTGCTGGGTCAAAGGTACACCCACATTTTTATAAATAGACCTTTTGTGACTACATCTGTCTCTCATTACCCTGTCTGTGGGCCACTGAGACACTGACTGATTCAGTGAAAAAAGAGTAAAGCAAAGGAGATCATTAATTCTTTGGAAGGTGAAAGGTGATTTGAAAGTTTCTTATATAGGATTCCTGAAGAGGATACCTAAGGAATGGGTTGTAATAAAAGCTGAAATGGGATTATTTAGCTGTAAGAAGTTCATGCTCATTTGCCAATAGAACCTTTGTTTTCAGAAATGTGACATTGCTGCATGTGGCATCATTGGGTTTAGAAGCATACTTTCAATATTATAGTCAAGTTAAGATAGATTTAGAGCAGTGATTCTCAAGTGGGGAGATTTTCTTCTTGGGGGACATTTATTAATGTTTAAATGTATTTTGGTGGGGAGGGGGACAGCTATTACTGACATTGTAACCGAATACCTTGTTTTTAAAGAAAAAAATGAATTTCCTCTTTTCCTTTTTCCCCCTCCTCCTACTTAGCTCTTTAGGAATGCAATTGTAGCCTTTACCTTCTCTCCAGCAGACACTCCCTACATGGCAAGCTTTTGTAACTATGTGTTAACTTAGAAGTTCCAGAGAGCGAACACTGAAGCAAACCAGGCCCCCCTGGAACTCTCTCTCACCAGGAGATTGTGTCAGTTTACAGGCTAGCTCTGCCAGTGATGGCACCAGCCAGACCACCAAATAGATAAGACATCCCAAGCAAGTCACATAGACCCCACATCTCCTTGCCTTCTCCCTTGCATGCCATTTACGCCCAGTGCCTCTTTAAAAGCCCCTGCCCTCTGCCCCCAAATACAAAGCAATACCCTTAAGGCAGGAGCCTCTACCTCTTCCCCTCAGCTAAGTTCTGGAATAAAGTCACTTTCTTTATACCGAACATGCTCTTTCTAACTGGTCTCTGCAATTGGTGAGCAATTGGACACGCATTTGGTTACAGTGTCTAACAGGTGGAAGCCAGGATGCCACTAACCATCCCACATAACACAGGACAGCCACTTCCACCAGGAATTGCCCAGCCCAAAGTGTTAATAGTGCCAAGGTCAAGCCTGGTTGAGGGAAACAGAATTGAATTGGGAACACAGACTGGCTTCTAGTACTGTCTGGTCACAAGACCTATGTGATTTTAGCATGTAATTTACCATTTGAGATTTCTGTTTACCAGTTATGAAACCCAAGTGTTGGAAAAGAGTATTTCTGGCTCCTGCCTATAATCCCAGAACTTTGGGAGGCTGAAGCAGGAGGACTGCTTGAGGCCAGGAGTTTGAGACCAGCCTGGGCAATACAGTGAGACCCCCGCCCCCCGCCATCTTTACAAAAAAATTTTAAAATGAGCTAGGAATGATGGTGTGTGCCTATCGTCCCAGCTACTCAGGAGGCTGAGGGGGAAGAATCGCTTGTGCCTGGGAGTTTTTGGCTGCGGTGAGCTATGATCGCACCACTGCACTCCAGCCTGGGTGACAGAGCAAGACACTCTCTGAAAAAAACAAGCAAACAAAAAAAGAGTATTTCTCATGATCTGCCCAGCTCTAGCTTTGCAAGAAACCAGTTACATTTTCCTGGAATTTAAAAAATTATAAAATCAAGTATTTGTATATTGCACATGTCTCCCTGCCCAATGCAGGGTCTTTGTGGCAATACCGTTTCCTCTTATATTTAGATATAGTTATTTAGATAGAGTGATGCATCGCACCCAGTGGCTTTTAATTATAGTGTGACTATCTGGAAAATTGTTATCGCTATTTTTCAGATGAGTGGAGAATTCTTATTATCGACTGCATTATTCAACAGATTCAGCCAGGAGACAGGTCAGGCTGCGCCCCGTGGAGCAAGCATGTAAATAAGTGGAAAGGCTGGGTTTGTCCTTCAGGTAGAGACACGGTTTTAAATAACCACACAAACAAGATAGCAAGGTAAGGAGTGTCCTGGCATCAGTGTTTGTTGACTCAGCTGTAGACGTCCTACCTGTAAGAAACCTATCTTTGATCGTTGGCTGTAGATGTTTCGTTGCTCTTTTGTTAGGCTTTCCAATATAGGAGGCATCTCCTTGAGTGTTTTTACAATTATGTTAAGAGAAATCTTGTTAGAGTTCCCTAGGCCCAATGATATCTAGGATCAGATTTATATTTGATCTGATCTTACATCATCTCTGCAGCCATTTGTTCAGTGTCTATGAGACACAGACAGACTGTTCCAACTCCAGCAAAAAGTTGTCCAGCTGATGAGAAAGCTTATCTTTTCATTTTGGGTCAAGTCCTGTATTAGTCCCCATGGAGCAATTTAAAAATAATTGGTCGGCCGGGCGCAGTGGCTCATGCCTGTAGTCTCAGCACTTTTGGAGGCCGAGGCGGGCGGATCACGAGGTCAAGAGATGGAGACCATCCTGGCCAACATGGTGAAACCTTGTCTCTACTAAAAATACAAAAATTAGCTGGGTGTGGTGGCACATGCCTGTAGTCCCAGCTACTCAGGAGGCTGAGGCAGGAGAATTGTTTGAACCTGGAAGACAGAAGTTGCAGTGAGCTGAGATCGCACCACTGCACTCCAGCCTGGGAACAGAGCTAGACACCGTCTCAAAAACAAAACAAAACAAAACAAAAAAACAAAAAAAATTGGTCATCTGGTATGCCCTCGTGTCCTCAGTGGTTGACTCCCTCTCTAAAAAAGAAAGTACAGAGTCCTTTTACGCCATAGCGATTTAAAAGCAGTGATTTAATTTCCTGAAAAAGTTACTTAAAGGGAAGGAAATGCCTGTTAGCATTCTCTCTCTCTCTCTCTCTTTCTCTCCCTCTCCGTCTCCCTCTCTCCTTCTCTCCCTCTCTCCCTCTCCGTCTCCCTCTCTCTTTCTCTCTCCTTCCCTCTCTCTTTTACTACCTCACTTTCTTGCTCTTTTGTAAAACAGATTTCTCAACCTTGGTACTACATTGCCATTTGGAGACACATCATGTTTTAGTTGGAGGCGGGGAGCATCCTGTGCATTGTAGGATGTTCAACAGCATCTGTGGCCTCCACCCACCAGATGCCAGTAGCAGCGCCCCCCCCCCCAAGTGGTGACAACCAAAAATGTCATCAGTCATTTCCTCCAGTTTTTTAGGGGAAAAAAATAGCTCTATTTATAAATGACTACTGTAAGGAAACAGATTATTATTATTTTTTTAGAGAGAGAATCTTGCTCTCTTGCCCAGGCTGGAGTGCAGTGGCATAATCATAGCTCACTACAGCCTCAAACTCCTGGGGTCAAGTGATCCTCCCACCTCAGCCTCCTCAGTAGCTGGGACTTCAGGCATGCACCACCATGCTAGGCTATATTGTTTTATTTGTTGTAAAGACACGGTCTCACTATGTTGCCCAGGCTGGTCTTGAACTCCTGGCCTCAAGTGATCCCCCTATACTGGCCTCCCAAAGTGCTGGGATTACAGGTGTGAGCCACTGCACCTAATATCTTAAGATATTAAGATTTTAATATCTTAATTTTTCCAGTTAGGCCTGAAGTAGCAGTTTGAGAGGGATTCATATTTGGGGACTTTAAACATTTTTCATCCAGAAGGGGCATTTCCATCTGATATAGCCACAGTCAGCGTTAGTATGGAGGGATAGAGATTTCAAATTTACAAAGTTCATCAATTAACCAAAATTATCGTACATGGTTACAGTTCATCTTCATCATCATCATCATCATCATCATCATCATCATCATCTCTATCACAGATTTGTTTTACGAGCTAAAATCATTTAGGGTGTTTTAAATGTACTGTCTTTGTTTAAATCCTTACAATAACAATCTTAAAAAAATTTTTTTGGGACAAAGTCTTGTTCTGTCACCCAGACTCGAGTGCAGTGGTGTGATCTCGGCTCACTGCAACCTCTGCCTCCTGGGTTCAAGCAGTTCTTGTGCCTCAGCCTCCCGAGTAGCTGGGATTACAGGCATGGGTCATGCTAATTTTTGTATATTTTGTAGACACAGGGTTTTGCCATGTTGCCCAGGCTGGTCTCTAACTTCTGAGCTCAAGCAATTCTCCCTCGGCCTCCCAAAGTGCTGGGATGACAGGCGTAAGCCAGTGCACCCGGCCCACAATAACAATCTTACCAAGTATGTATTATGATGATGATTGTATAGACAGGAAAACAAAGACTTGAAGTGGCCAGTAAGAGCTGGAGATCAAACCCTGTTTGGCCCATCTTCAAAGCCATTGCAGTTGTCTTTATGATGAGTGTGTCACACCCTGTGATTGACAGAAATTTATAAATATGACAGTAGCCTGTGTCACACTGAGCGATTGACAGATGTTTATAAATGTGGTTAAAGAGACTGGAGGGAGTTAGACAGGCTACACAGAACAAGTGGATCTTCAACCAGCCCTCTTAGGACTGGATTTAAGTAGGTGCAAATGAAGGGGTAAGAAAGACCTTCTCTTGGGTAGGATAGTAAGACAGAAATCTTAGAGACCCTGGACTCTTATACTGAAGAGAAGCGTGGATTCCATCACTTGGACAGTTATGGCCCAAAAGCTAAATCCAGCCCACCACCTCCTTTCAGTGTTCTTGCCTACAAGCTAAGAATGGTTGTTAGATTTTTAAATGATTGGCAAAAAAGAATCAAAAGAAGAATATTTCTTGACACACAAAAATTCTGTGAAATTAAAATTTCAGTGTCCAGAAAAAAAGCTTTATTGGTCCTCAGCTGCCCCATCCCTTTCTGTGTCGCCTGTGGCTGTTTTGCTGCTAAGCTGGCAGAGTGGAATACTTTGACACAGACCCTGTGGCCGACAGAGCCAAAAATAATTTTGCAATCTGGCCCTTGACAGAAAACATTTGCTGACCCCTGCTTTAGTTGTTTAAAAAGTAACCAGAGTCACCTCGTTGGATAAGCAGAAGGATGAACCCATGATCATACCCATTAATCAAATCTAGGCCTTCCAATAATAACTGGGGTTGTTTAAGGCAAGACCAGAAAATCAGCAATTGTGTTTGGCTTCTCTGTGTTTGAAACCTTCTGATGTTGAAAAAATAAAAATGCATGAACTCGATGAATCTTGACATGTCTTTTGCCGAAAGAAAAACAGAGTTGAGTTGAAAGATGGCCAGGTGTTATTTCTGCATTTATGCAGCTGCCTTCAAGAGGTGTCTACTTCCATGATGGGGAGCTGAGGATGCTCAGAACATGGAGCAACCAGGAAGACCTGTGGACTCATGTGCTCCCTGGGCTCCATGGGCTTAGCCTCCCTTCCTCAGCCCTTTCACCTTCACATCTCACTGCAGGTGGCTGTGACAGCAGAAGGAAGACACAGGGTCTTCTCAAAGTGCCACTGCATGATACCCTGAATAATAATATTGGCTACCAGAGAGTGAGTGAGCACCTACTATGCGTGAAGTACTTCTCTCCATGCAGGGTTTACATATCTCATCTTCTATGTGAAACCTACAATGCCCCAGGTGCAAATATAATCCCTTTTTGCAGAGGAGATGCTGTGCTCTGAGCGTCGGTGTCCCCTGCAAGTTTTTGATGTTGAAATCCTCACCCCTAAGGTGATAGTATCAGGAAGTGGAGCCGTTGGGAGGTGATAAAGTCATGAGGACTCCCTTACACCTCCCACCATGCGAAGACACGGTGAGAAGTTGCCGCCTATGAATCAGAAAGTGGGGACTCACCAGACATTGAATCTGCGGGCACTTTGATCTTGGACTTCCAGCCTCCAGAACCATGAGAAATGATGTCTGCTGTTTAGAAACTGCCTAGTGTATGGTATTTCATTATAGCAGCCTGAATAGACTAAGATGGGGAAACTGAGGCAGGGGGCAGTTAAACGACCTGCCCAAGGTCACAGACACTAGTTCATGATGGACTGAAATTCAACAGTCTGACTTGAGACACTCTGTGTTGAACCAAGACAAACTGCATCCTACAAGAGAAAAATGAATGTTGAATCGTGAATCCTGTGACCATGGCTGCAAGGGGCTACTGCAAGGAGTATTTTGATTTCTTCTGTTAAATGCTGAATAATATATAGAGATTTTGGAGTCTACTCCAATATCTATCTGGCAGTGCACACACACACACAAGTATATTATAATTTTAAGAATCATATATACACTAAAGAAATCAAACACTATTGAGTTATGTCATGTAGAAATATTGGTTTTCTACAAATGATGTTTAAATTACCTAGCAGTGGAGTAGCTTTCTCTCCCTATGATGTGCTGTCTGCCCTCTTCCTGACTTGCTGACTTCTACTCCTGACATCCTAAGAAAGGAGACCATAGCCATCTGAGGATTAGGGCAAGCAATGGGTCTGTCCCGGGGTTTTTACTACCTTATGAACATGGCCAACAACCCCAACACATCTAAACCACAAACTCTTATATTCACCAACTACATAGACCTGGTGATATATGTTATTTAAGCCTGGCTTTAAAAACAGGCTTATAAAATACTTAGCAGAAACTCCCAAACAATGGAATTGCAATAATTATACTACTCAGAATTTAAAAAAACAAACAAACAAACCCCAGAATGTGTTAGCAGTCTTCTGTCCCGCCACATCTATCATCCCTAACAACTCTGTAGAAGCAAAGGCCGGAACAGCCCGGAGACAGAAAAGTCTACATCTCCATGTACCAGGGTCACATTAAAATTTAACTCCAAGTCCAGGACTCTCAAGACATCTTCTGTGAAGCAGAAAATAAAAAATAAAAAAAAACTCACCTGTGTTATACTGCAGGAGGAAGGTGAAGGGAGCTCCTGGCTACATCACATATGGGGACAAACCAATTAACCACATTGAAGGGTGAAATTGCACATCCGCCTTAGACAGTGGCCAGCATCCCTTGGTCCTTGAAATAGAGCTAGGACATCCACCAGCATTCAAGTGCAATGTATAGGCACTTCCATATTGCATTACCTGCCCTTCTGTGAGTGCTAAGATGCACAGGTAAAACAATCTAATGTTCAGGCAAAGGAAAACATTTACTTTTCCATTTAAACAATGTTAAGGACCTTAGCACTTTGTTACTACATTAGATGTTCAAATTCACTCGGCCTCAAGAGGGACTCATCTGAGACTGAAGATGCGCTCAAGGGTCTTCTCCACGTGATTACTGCCCATTAAAGAGCAAGAAATGAAAGTGCAGATCAACGACAACAACTCAATGCATAACAACCCATTCAATAATCTGCTGCTAAAGAAAAAAAATCAAGTTTCAGCCTATAATATAAACTGGAGTAGGATTCTAAACTCCTGCCTGTTGAGGTAGATTGTAGCGATTTCACAAATCCACTAATGAAAAGGTCCTTGCTATAATCTGAACATCTGTGTTCCCCCAAGTTCCTATATTGAAATCCTCACCCACAATGTTTTGGTATTAGAGGGTAGGGCTTTGGGGAGGTGATGCTATCATGAAAGTGGAGCCTCATGGACGGTATGAGTGCCCTTATAAAAGAGACCCCACAGAGCTCCCTCGCCCCTTCCCCCACGTGAGGACATAGTGAGAAGGCGCCGTCTATGAACTAGGAAGCGAGTCCCCACCAGACACTGAATCTGCCATGGCTAGATCTCGGACTCCCAGCCTCCAGAGCTGTGAGCAATAAACGTCCGTTTTCTTTAAGTTACCTAGTCTATGGTATTTTATTATAGCAGCCCAAATGGACTAAGGCAGTCTTATTAAGGAAAACTATTTGATCTACTTTTTATTTTGATCTGCTTATTATCTGCTTAGATTTATCCCTTCACAGTGTTTATATGAGTTTAGAGTTTGGCAATTTGACTCATTCCTTGGGGACCAATAGCAGGCAGTTTTATTTTAGCTTATATATCAAGGTGGTAGGTGATTTTGAAATTTAAAAATGAATTTTAAATTGTCAGGCTTCTCTAGAGAAAAAATATAATAACATATTAGTATTATGTATAATTACTATATTACTAATATTTTACTAATAGTAATGAGTAAATTACTATTATTTGCTAATAATAGTAAATAACAAATAGTAATAGTATAATAAATAAATAGTACTAAAAATATTAGATATTATAGTAATATATAATAGTATATATAATAATTATGTCCAATAAATGTATTACATTTGTTAATTATATAATATATAGTAATTACATACAATAAATATGAAGAATATATAGTATATATATATATTATATACAGCCTACACAATATTTGGTGGTAGTTGTGGGAAATTAAATATTCTACACTCTTGTTTTATCTTCTCTCTTGCAAATATAAAATATTTTTAATCACTTTCCCAACTAACAGCCCACCTCCTCAGGACCGACAGTCAGCCTATTCTGAGATTCCTGCACTTTCTCTCTTTGCACCCATGATCAGAAATAGCAGTCGGCTTTTCTGGTGGTCAGCATTTAGACAAGAAACTGTATCTGGCCTGTTGAGTAGTAACAGCAACCTACTGGAGACCAAACACACCCTCTTTTTTGAAGTAATTGTTGAAACGTGCACTTTGGAAAGCATCATTTAATTTTGTATGCTATCTCAAGACTTCCCACATAAATAGATTTAGAAACAAAGAAAGAAACCCATGCATCCTTTTCAGGGTCGAACGACTGATTCCCTGGTTTGGGGTACATGTGAGTTCCTCCAAGTAGCCTCTGTAACAGATGGAACCTTTTGAGAGATCAAAACCAACCCCCCCACACCATCCTTGGCTCTGCTGTCCTGTTCCTATACCTTTATCAACCTGAGGACTAGCCTGGAGATCCACTTCACACAAATGATTGCAAACTGCTCCAGTGAGTCTTTTTTGGCTGTTTGTTCTCAGAAAATGGAGCTGATGTCAGACTTGTGATACAAAAATAGGACTTTGCATTGTCTCACAAATCTCACTCCAAGAGCTGAGGCAGATAAACTTTGCACGTCTCCGCTACAGAAACATCACTGAAGGAATTGAGAGCTGAAATCTTTGGAAGCTCTTGTTATGAAAGATTGTATTAGATGAGTTTCTTTGCTGTATTTGTGGAGGTGGTTGTGGTTAGGAGTAAAGCCAGCAGAGAACAACCATTCCAAATGTATGACAATACCTGCATCCCTTTACTGGGGATTTTGAGAGTTAATTGGTCCTAAGGCTCTAAATTTTTTTTTCCTTCAACTTTTATTTTACGCTCCGTGGTACATGTGCAGGATGTGCAGGTTTGTTACATAGGTAAGCATGTGCCATGGTGGTGTACTGCACAGATCATCCCATCACCCAGGTATTAAGCCCAGCATCCCTTAGCTATTTTTCCTGATGCTCTCCCTCTCCCATCCCCCACTCCAACAGGCCCCAGGGTGTGTTGTTCCCCTCCACGTGTCCATGTGTTCTCATCCATCAGCTCCCACTTGTAAGTGAGAACAAGCAGTCTTTGGTTTACTGTTTCTGTGTTAGTTTGCCAAAGATAATGGCTCCCAACTTCATTCATGTCGCTGCAAAGGACATGATCTCGTTCCTTTTTCTGGCTGAATAGTATTCCATGGTGTATATGTACCACATTTTCTTTATCCAGTCTATCACTGACAGGCATTTGGGTTGATTCCATGCCTTTGCTATTGTGAATAGTGTTGCAATGAACATACATGTGCATGTATCTTTGTAATAGAATGATTTAGATTCTTTTGAGTATATACTCAGTAATGGGATTGCTGGGTCAAATGGTATTTCTGTAGGGCTCTAAATTTTTTAAATTTGCCTTTCTAACTAAGTTAATAATGGTTGCATAGAATAATGTTACCAATAGGAATTTTCATCCTAGGGAATCATCTTCATAGCATGCATAAATACTACCATATAGTGATTAATTACTTCCCTGCTTTTTTCAGACAAGTAAGTACTTTTTATTTCCCTGGCCCTTGCAGACATTTGCAGAAGGACTCATAATGGTCCCTTGTGACTAATTGTATCAGGCTTTGTAATTCACAATCCATGAACACTTTTCTTGATATTTTAGGGGGAAAATGGTAAAAACAAACAATAACACATCAGTGACAGTGACGTGGAAGAGCAAGACATGAATGAATTCATGTGATCATTTCTACATTAGCTTCTCCAGGGCATTTGTTTACCTTTCCTTGACTTCTCTAAAAATCTGGTTCTCTCTTCCTCCAAAATCGGGTTCAAGGTCACGTCCTTGGCATCAGCATCAATTCATCTAACCTGACTTGGATCACATTTTGTGTCTCCTCAGCCATGATATTTACAGATTGCTTTCTATACATTTACCTTTGATAATAATTTCCTCACTAAGGTTTAAATCTTTTAATTGTGTATGTTTCCACTTCACAGTTAAGAAGCTAGAAATCTGCTACTTTTGTATTCCTTATAAAGTAGTTTTTTTTCCCCAATGACATAGCAAAAATTAAAAACTTGTCAGTAGGTATATAAATCAGCACAGCCTGCCATAAAAAAATACCACAGACTGAGTGGCTTAAATAACAGATACTTGTTTTGTCACAGTTCTGGAAGCTGGAAGTCCAAGACCAAGGATCAGTAGAGTTGGTTTCTGGTGAGGGCTCCCTTGCTGACTTGCAGATGGGCTACATTCTTGCTGTGCCCTCTCACATGGTGGAAAGAGAGAGTTCTGCTGTCTCTTCCTCTTTTTGTAAGTGCACTAGTCCTATAGAATTAGAGTCCCATCCTTATGACTTCATTGAACCTTTATCACTTTCTCATAGGCCCTATCTCCAAATACAGCCACACTGAAGGTTAGGGCTCTGATATGGTTTGCCTGTGTCCCCATTCAAATCTTATTTTGAGTTGTAACTCCCACAATTCGCATGTGTTGTGGGAGGGACCTGGTGGGAGGTAACTGAATCATGGGGACGGGTCTTTCCTGTGTTGTTCTCATGATAGTGAATAAGTATCATGAGAGCTGTTGGTTTTATAAAGGGGAGTTTCCCTGCACAAGTCCTCTCCTGTCTGCTGCCATGTAAGGTGTGCCTTTTGCCTTCCACCATGATTGTGAGGCCTCCCCAGCCACGTGGAACTGTGAGTCCATTAAACCTCTTTTTTCTTTATAAATTACCAAGTCTCGGGTATGATTTTATCAGCAGCATGAGAACAGACTAATACAGGTTCCAACTTAAGAATTTTGTGGAGAGCACAACTCAGTCCATAGCAGTAGGGTTATCAGACTTGGCAAATGATAATATGGAACACCACATTTAATTTGAGTTTTTATATGAACAACAAATCATTTTTAAGTACAAGTATATCTCAAGCAATATTTGAGTTAGACTAATTCTAAAAAATGCATTTGTTGTTTATCTGAAAATGAAATGTAAATGAGTATCCTATATTTTGTCCTGCAACCCTAATTGCAGGAAGTCTCAATTTGATGGAAACAGGAGCAAAGTTCAATCAGCAACTGTGCTGAGTGCTGTGGACAATCCCAAGAAGCACAAAGAGGTTACCGGTTCTTCCCATAAAAAGTGCTTGGCCATGGGATCTGTCCAAACTGATGAGGAAGTTGACTTGGTTGAGAAAGTTGACTCGGTTAGTTTATTACATTAGTGCCTTGGACCATAGGACCTCTGAGAGTATGGGGATAAGGGAAAGCGGAAGGTAGGAACCATAGAGGTCTTCATGGAAGAGGTGCCCCTTCCACTGGACTCTGCAGATGGTGATACATCTCACTGGGTGGAAGGGAAGGTGGAGGACACTAAGAGCAGAAGTCAATGACTTGTCCAAGGCAGAAGGCAGTGGCTTGTGGAAAGGCAGAGGGCAATGGCTTGTGCAAGGACAGAGAGCAATGACTTGTCCAAGGCAGAGGGCAATGGCTTGTGCAAGAACAGAGGGCAATGCCTTGTCCAGGCTGACAGAGAGGAGAAAGGAGTTGGGAGCTGGGGAGAACAGCTCCTATCAGATGGCAATGATTCAGCTATCAAATAGGTTCCAGGAAGGGAGGATTGCTTTGAGAATGGAAAGAAAGGGGAAGGCAGAGAGCCTGTGAATCGAGAATTGTAGAAACCACATGTTAGCTTGCAGGTGAAAGAAGGCATAGCAATGAAAGACAGGCTGCACCTTAGTGCAGGAGGTTGGGAAACAAATGCTGGGAAAATAGAGCACAGTTGATTCTTGTTATTCATGGAAGTGATACTCTATATGTCATCCTAAACATTGAATTAGCAAATATTGAATATTGCTCCTAGGGGAAGATACAGAGTTAGGTTCCTGGGAACTTCTGGTTACATTTTCATCAACTGATCAATACATAACATTGTTTTATGTGTATTTCTGTTGATTTATTTATTTACTTATTTATTGACACAGGTTCTCTCTGTGTCCCCAGGCTGGAGTGTAGTGGTGCAATCAGCTCACTGCAGCTTCCAACTCCTGAGCTCAAGTGATCCTCCCACCTTGACCTCCTGAGTAGCTAGGATACTACAGGTGTGTGCCACCATGCCCTGCTATTTTTTTTTTTTTTTTTTTTTTTTTTTTTTTGGAGAGATGAGGCCTCATCATGTGCCCCAGGATGGTCTTGATCTGCTGGCTTCAAGTGATCCTCCCACCTCAGCCTGTCAAAGCACTAGCATTACAGGCATTAGCCACCATGCCTGGACTGTATTTCCATTTAAAGACACCTTGTGGCATGTATATTGTTGATTTATTCACGTGGACTCCACAGCCAACAGCACTATGACTCATCCTGAACAAAGCGTCTCTAACATGTATTTTCGCTATACAGCACATCCCAGCCTTCTTGAACATGGGAACTCTAGACAGCACTGCAGCAGTCTACTCTTGGGAGCTGTTTCAAACAAGGAAAGTCACCAACAAAGAGCACAAAAATGTGGAAAATGTGCCACTATATTGATATAAAAAAGGATACTTGTTTTAGGTCTGAGGGTTGAAACAAGAAGGCAAAGTGTCTCCTTATTCAACCTCAGCTGGGAACCTATGCATCAGGTGACTAGAATTTTTTACTGCTCTGCGTTTGCCAGCAAATGACCTCAAAACTGCTGTAGATATTGATTTGGGGTTCCAAATAAGTTTTACTAAATAAGTTTGCAAAGACTCAATCAGAATCAGTAGTGTGTGAGTTTAGTTATAGGTTACTTAAGGTGATGGGAGAAGGCTAAATTCTAAATGTCCAGGGTATTTGAAGAGCAATAGTTCCACCAGTGAATAGTTAAAGGCTGAAAATTATAATGGAATCTTTACCTTGTGTATTCCTTCAAAGGCGATGCATACTTGGTCTGCCACAGTGGGGTCCTTGGTCAATGCCCGGCAGAATATGCCCTGTGGAATCTGGCATGTGGAAACCATACCTCTGACATGCATGCCATATTTTCTCTTGTCTTCCTGGTTTCCAGCACTGATTAACCAAACTCCCATCTTAGCTTGCTACCCTAGTTAGTGCTTGTCTTACCTTTCATAACTGTGCTCACCTGTAGTATCTAGCTACCTCCTGTACTGCTTAGAAGTGACCTCCCAGCTCAGCAAATCATGTCTCAAATCCTGTCTGCCCACACTCCCCAGTTCTACCTGTTTCCTCACAGCCCGTGAGGATGACTCCTGCCCTTATTCTCTGTTGCCTGTAGTAGATCTTTGCACCCACCCATTCTGCTGATCATAATGTCATGAAATGAGAATGGATGAGGCATCCAAAGATGGGAAAACAGCCGAGTGATGAGTCTTAAGGATCATCCAGAGATTATGTAAAGGAAGTGGTAATTAAGCCAATACAGGTAAAACAAAGAAGACAGAAAGGAAGGAGAAGAATATGGAAAAAAAGGGATAATTAATGAATTACTTTATTCATTCATCAATCCAACAACTATTTATGGAGTATGCAAGGTACTGAGTTAGAGTCTATGAAACCAAAATGTCGCATGACAAGCCAGAAGAGAATTTCAAAGGCATAATGATCAATCCTATCAAATTCAATAGAAAGATAAAGGAAAATGTCTGCTGGGCTCAGTGGCTCATGACTGTAATCTCAGCGCTTTGGGAGGCTGAGGTGGGAGGATGGCTTGAGCCCAGGAGTTCAAGACCAGCCTGGACAACATGGCGAGAACTCATCTGTACAAAAAATAAAAATAAAATAAAAAGCAAGATAAAGGAAAATGTCAATCAACGTGGAGGGAGAGAGGGAGAATCAGAAAACATCACAAATATGCAAGAACTAAGGGCACACTTATATTCCCTGTCACATTCATGCAGAGAGGAAAAAAACCCAGCAAGTAGTATGTTTGCCTCTGAAGACAGTAATATAATGAGTTAGAGTCACGTCTACATCCAGCACTGCCTTGTACGGAGAATGCATCTTGTGTAATGATTCACAGTGTGTGTCCTGGGTAATTAGCTCAGTACGTCATGTTTAATTTCTTCTTATATTTCCAAAACTCTGTTTTCTGAGCCAGTGGCCAAATCATACGTTTCCCTTGCCAGAATCCATGTGAACTCTCAGACCTGTCTTTTGTCCAGAATGCATTCAACGGTGTCTTCCTGTTGGTAGTGCAATATCTCGTCAGGGGCGATCTGGCCGGGAAATGATGGGGCATTCTTAAAATGGAATTTGGAAGCACTGTTTCTGGAAGGACCTTTCTGCTTTATGCATAGCCACAACATGAGGTTTCTGTCCTCTGCCATGTTCAGTCACTGGCGTCTCTCTGGAGTCATTAATGAGGATGCCAGACACTGTCAACCATGATACCTCTTCTCGTGGATTCTATGCCTGTGAAACAAATTTCCTCCTTTTTTTGTTTTTGTTTTTGTTTTTGTTTTGAGATGGAGTCTCACTCTGTTGCCCGGGCTGGAGTGCAGTGGTGAAATCTCGGCTCACTGCAACCTCCACCTTCCGGGTTCAAGTGATTTTCCTGCCTCAGCCTCCTGAGTAGCTGGGACTACAGGCGTGCACCACCATGCCTGGCTAATTTTTTTGTATTTTTTTTTTTAGTAGAGATGGGATTTCACCATGTTGGCCAGGCTGGTCTTGAACTCCTGACCTCAGGTGATCCACCCACCTTGGCCTTCCAGAGTGCTGGGATTACAGGTGTGAGCTACTGCACCTGGCCCAAATTTCCTCTTGATAAAAAAATGTTCACGTACATGTGATCAATTACCTTTTCTGGGGCCACTTAAATGAGATTTAATGCTGTGTTCTTTCCCCACGAAACTGAAGGGAGGCAGTCAGCTGTTGTCACACAGCATTCCACGCTGCTAATCACACATATTAGCAGCGTGGCAACTTCCAGGAATTATTCTTAGGGCGGCCTCTAGCAATGAATTTTAATACACGGTCTTGATGTTCAAACTTTAGTCAAGTAACAATTATTAATATTTTGGAATCATTGTTCTCGCTCTCAAAAAGAGCACATTTCAGGTTAATGTGGCCACAGGTATGTTTTCCAGAGGACTGACTATAGATGGGTGTCAATCCCTAACTTCGTTCCTGTGGTTTGGGCGAGACTGTCTGCCCTGTCTCTGAGCTTAGCTTCTTACCCCATCTTTTTGGCTTTTCAGAAGCTGTTCCTATAAAATTCCAGGGTCTGTTTCCCAAAAGGCAAGCCCTCTTTCCACACTACCATATTGCAGTTCTCAAATTTGGCAGAAAGCTGACAAATGACTGACTTTGGCATGTTGCTAGGTACTTAGAAGTCTTGGCCATGGAGTGAAGGTGAAGATGTGGATTTCAAACAAATGGTTTTGAAGCTGTATTTATAACAAGGCATTGTTACTAAATGACTGATGCTCATTTGCTGAGGTCCTTTGTAATGAATCTGTCCCTTACTATATATTCTATTCATGGCCTTTAATTTTGATGGCTGTGATTTACTTCTGTCCAGGGTACTCTAACTTGACTGTTGGAATGTGAAAAAAAGCTCACGCCCGAGACCCACCCATAGACATTCAGGTGCACCTGGGTCAGGTTGTGGGCTGGGCATCAGGATTTAAAAACCTCTCCAGGAGAGTCTTATGTTTCGCCAGTGTTGAGGGGTCCTGCCTTAATACGGCTCTCTTTCTACATCTTAATTTACCATGAAGTCATCAAGATATTTCTACCATTAAAATAAAAATTCAAGGAGGTTTCTTTCAAGGAATCAGTCCAAAAAATCTTTAAAACCTATACTAACAAGAGCTAAGAGCACATTTGGAAATGTACATATAAATAATATATCATAATTAATATATAATAGATATAATGCATACAATAATATATTTATTTGTAAATAAATATATTTAATTATAAATAAATATATTTAATTATAAATAAATTAAATTAAATAATTAAATTAAATCAAATATACTTATATATCATATAATATATTATATATTATATATAATTTATCATATAAATATACAATACATAATATATCATATATTCATATATAATTTATCATATAGATATATAATATATGTAATCTATATTATATGCAATATCATATATATATATTTGGAGCTGCATGTTTCTTTGACTATCCTTTGCCACTTTTAAGAAACTAAGATCCTCCTGGTACAACCATGATGCAGAAAATGTGTTTCTAATTTCAAGAAATATCATCAACTTCATTTTTCTGGAATGCAAGGCTGTTTCTTAAAACACGTGCACTCCATCAGACAATAGTTTAGCTAAATGATATGATTCTGAGTACTCAATTTTTAATTATAAAAGAGACATAGGGATTTTGTAGTCCTTGTTCAACTCTTTGTTGAAGATAAAGAGTGTCTGTTAACTCCAGTCCCTGTACTAGGTGCTGGGCAGCTGCTCTCTCTATCTCCACAGAGATATCTTGGATTTATTAGTTCTGTTGTCCTTGTATTAACTCAGCACACTAGAAAGGGGTGCTTTTTGGTGAGTTAAAAAACTAGAATCCAAATCCTGTCCATCCAAAAATAAAGAGATAAACTTTACTTAGAGAAGTCTGTCAATTGTCAATGACAAGAATTTCTTGGACCATGAGTACCTGTTATAAATGCAGAGGGAAATACTTTATATCCACACTTCCATGATGCTTTGGAAAATTTCCTTGAAAGAAAAATTAACCTACTTTACTGTTATTTCCAAAGTAAACAGTTCATCTGATATCAAGACAGGTGGCATTATAATTAAACTCATTGCCTTTAGAACTTCAATTATCAGCCTTGTGAAAAATTTTGTGTAAATTAGTAAAGGACCTGCCTCTTTTATGGATAAACCCATTTTAGAACAACTGCCATAATTGGAGTTTAAAATTATATACCCTTGGAATTTATTCTGGGAAATGATTCAGCTTAATGCAAATTATATCAGTAGAAGAATGTGCTCATATTTGCATAGGTGCTTCTGGAGAGCTGTTTATTTTACAGTTAGATGCAGATGGCCAGGGAACCGTGATAGCAATACAACATAGACGATGTTTCTGTTTCTCCACTTCACAAGAAGGCCAAGACACAATAGAAATGTTTGTACAGCAGAAAAACAATTGGAATTTTAAGTGATCAATTATACATTATAAAAAGCCACTCCATACATTCTTAGAAAGCAACTTGATAGCAAACTTAAAGGAAAGTGTAACTGTATCTCTGTATTCAGTTCCATTTGTTTGGTGTTGCAATATCACCTTACACCTGCTATACCTGATGTATAGTTATGAGCCTTTGTTTCTTTTTTCTGCAATGTATGCTGCTATTATATAAGTAAGAGTTGGCCAACTCTTTCTGTAAAGGGCCAGATAGTCAATATTGTTGGTTTAGCAGCTGTACAGCTGCTGTCTTCACTACTCACTGCCGATATAGTGTGGAAATAGCACAGACACTGTGCAAACCAATGAGTAAGGCTGGATTCCAGCAAAACTTGATGAACAAAAACAGGTGGTGAGCTGGCTTTGGCTTCTGTGCTGTTATAAACAGGGACCATTGGATGATCCCCCTTAAGGTTTGTATTGGGTAGGAGGAGAGGAACCTTGTTGAGTGCCATGACTTGTTCTGATAACACCCTTTAGAAATAACCTGTAACTCTCTCTTCTCACGGGTACATCAAAGTCTAGACCTGTTTCAAACTGCTCTTCAGTAGATCCAAAACTCCACCACCAGAGGCGAAAGTTTTAATCTTCTTCTGTCTCATGCATTGTCACAGGTTGCAATTTGTAAAAAGTAACCTTGATTGTGTGTCTTCCAAAGGAGACTCCAGGCTCCATGGACATAGAGACAGCAGCTGCCCAGCACCTAGTACAGGGACTGGAGTTTAAAGATACTCAAATATTCATTGACTTGGACTCTAAGTTCTCAAAGTTTCTTTCCACTGCTTTAAAAAAGGAAAACAACTGTAACTGTCCTATCTCCCTTCTCTGTGAGCATTTCTATGGCATCTAAGGCACAGATGTTCTGCACTGATTTATCTATGTCAGCTTCTTCTCCATATTGCTAGAATCTCATTTTCATGCTATCACCAACTGACCACCTGGAAACTTTCCATCTCCTTCATCCTAGATTTTTGGTTTTGTGCTCACTTAATGCCATCTCAGTCTGATCTGGGAGCAGCAGATGGCACTATACAGAAACACTCACTGGGTTGGTCCAAGTCACGTCCCAGCACAGATGTTCATAAAACCCTTATTCCTTTCAAAGTGATCACTTTCGGAAACCAATATTGGATATTTAATCCAGAAACTTCTGCAGTGATAGGAAGTTGCATGTGACTTCCTTGTTGAAATTGATATCAGGGCTTGAACATGTCCAATACTTTTAGCATTGGAATGCCCACGTTGTACCTGTTTCTGGGCTTAGCGCTTTCGGTTGGAGAGCTGCAGGCAATAGTATTGAATAGGGCAGGTCTCTCATGTTGCTGACTTTGTGTCCATTGTAACATTCTCCATGGCGATTGTCCTTCTTGGTGGATGAATTTGCTTTCTTGTATCACTCAAATAATTGCATCCAATTCTGGTGATAAAAATAGAGATTAATCTGGCTTTTGGTGAGAATGCACAAAGATGTGAGCAGCATGGTCTTTTCTCTCATGAGGCTTACATCCTAGCCCATTGCCCCAAAGTGGTGACAGTATGCACCTTGGAAACACTCTATGGGCTATTCTAATAGATCAACATTTGGGCACAGTGATTCCCTTCCAAAGGTGACTACTCTGAGGAGGATGTCCTCATTTTGAAACACTAGGTTGGGTATATTTCTTAAAAGAAAGGAAAGATGGAATCATGCCAAGTGCCTTTCCCAAAACTCAAATTGTTTGAAAACGTCAACAGAAGCCCTCACAATAAGAGTAAAAAGGAAAGTGTGAAATGGAAATAAGAATGAACATTAAGGCCCGGCACGGTGGCTCACGCCTGTAATCCCAGCACTTTGGGAGGCTGAGGCGGGCGGAT
Source organism: Homo sapiens (assembly GCF_000001405.40). Classification (NCBI taxonomy): domain Eukaryota; kingdom Metazoa; phylum Chordata; class Mammalia; order Primates; family Hominidae; genus Homo; species Homo sapiens. Next base: position 6,884,078 of record NC_000023.11, on the reverse strand, counting down.
CACGACGTCAGGAGATCAAGACCACCCTGGCTAACATGGTGAAACCCCGTCTCTACTAAAAATATAAAAAATTAGCTGGGCGTGGTGGCGGGCGCCTGTAGTCCCAGCTACTTGGGAGGCTGAGGCAGGAGAATGGTGTGAACCCGGGAGACGGAGCTTGCAGCGAGCCGAGATCGTGCCGCTGCACTCCAGACTGGGTGACAGAGTGAGACTCCGTCTCAAAAAAAACAAACAAAAAAAAGAATGAACATTAAAAATGTGGACAGAATTGATTTACTAATACCTATGAATACTACCTCTATTACTCATAGGCATTAATAAAATAAGGAAAACTGAGCACAAGGAAATAGAATACAAAACATAATAATTATTATGAGATAATTTTTTCACTTGTTCATTTTTACTTTATTAATTTAAAAACATTTCTGAAAGTCCCTGCTTGTAGAATATTTAGTCACTAATCATTCCCTACTTCTTGTGTAATAGGATCAATGAGACGAATTTGTTACTTGGCATTTATGCAGATTGTTTAAAATTTTTTTTTTTTTTTTTTTTTTGAGACAAGGTCTCACTCCATCTCCCAGGCTGGAGTGCAGTGGCTCGATATTGGCTCACTGCAACCTCTGCCTCCCAGCTTCAAGTGATTCTCTTGTCTCAGCCTCATAAGTATCAGGGACTACAGGCGAGCGCCACCATGCCCAACCAATTTTTGTATTTTTAGTGGAGATGGGGTTTCGCCATGTTGGCCAATCTGGTCTCAAACTCCTGACCTCAAGTGATCCACCTGCCTTGGCCCCTCAAAGTGTTGGGATTACAGGCTTGAGCCACTGTACCCGGCCTTATTTAAAATATTTTAAAGTCACCTTCTTTAAATAGGCACTCCTATGAAAATTGGAAAAATTGGAAAAAGTGATTGATGCAGTCCATCAAAGAAGGGGAGGGAATTGATGTTTGCTGGGTGCCCACATGGGGCCAGATGTGGGGACCAGTACCTTTAAGAATGTGTGTGTCTCACAGTAATTCTGTGAAATTGGTATTATTCTCACAGTGATCAGAGAAACCAAGGCTTCCAGAAGGGAATTCAGTGTCCACAGTCTTAGGCAGAGCCAGCCCTATCCTACCCAACACCCTCTGTCCACAGGATGAAATCCAACCTCCTTGGCTTGCCTGCTTTTCTTAGGTGGCCTCTCTTGCCTAGAATCCTGATGGATCCTCCTTCCCTGGACCCATCACCTCAGACATAGCGACCCAACCCAGCCTCAGTGCCGCTGCAGGACTCTTGCCCCGGCTGCTCCTTCTGCTTCCATCATCATCGCCCTGGATAATTGCACAACTAGATCCATTCCATATTTCCATCTTTGTTCCCATCTCCACCCCAGGGATCCCTGATATAGTCGTTGTCTTTCCTGATACCCAGTTGGATTTTCTTTATTGCCTTAACCACCGCTCATGACTACTCCTGATGTTATGATCCCACCCTGCAAGGCTTAATTTCTTAATAAAAATAGAAAAGCCAAATTGTATTTGATAGGTTGAATCACATGAAATTACCTTTCTGTAGCCCCCCCGAAAATGGTTGCATAACATCATTTTCATATGGTTCTTCTCAAACACAGACAGCCATGACATTCAAAGGGGACTGCTAACCATTACATTTCTTAATCAATAGAATGGGAGTGGCTAGAACATCATTCTCCAGATTTTTGTGGTCACGTATCCCCATGATAAAACAATAACACTTTCCTGTGCTTAGCTATTAGGTTGGTGGAAAGTAATTGCAGTTTTCACCATTGAAAGTAATGGCAAAAACCGCAATTACTTTAGCACCGACCTAATATTATTTGTAAATTATAAACACATCCAACTGTTATCAAATGTCTCACGTGATACACAATACAGGAGTGGTGAGATTCCCCATCTCCACTAAAAATACAAAAATTAGCTGAGTGTGGTGGTGTGTGCCTGTAGTCCCAGCTGCTTGGGAGGCTGAGGCAGGAGAATCGCTTGAACTCAGGAGGCAGAGGTTGCAGTGAGCCGAGATCGTGCCACTAGACTCCAGTCTGGTGACAGAGCAAGACTCCGTCTCAAAAAAAAAAAAAAAGTAAAAAAAAAAAGAGATTCCTCTATCATGATAGCAGATGCAGATCACCCCATTACATAGTCTTCCAGAAAATTCAGATTGTTGTTTGGAGTGGGAGCTAAGATTTTATCAGATTTTATTGGAGAGTTGTTGTCTTTCATTTGAAAATGCCCTGACAAGGGTTAGGTGATGCGTTGCCTCCTTGTGCTTGCATGATTCTTAGCAAATTCACTCTTGTTTTTTTGTAGGGGCTTTAAGTCACTCATCCATTTTGTGAGGATTAATATACTTAAACCCAGGTGGCATCACCAGCAAATTCTCTTAAGCAGGCACTTGTTAATGAAAGGTTGCAATCTGCTGAAAATAAAAATGAGTAAAAACAAGTGAGGCACTCCTATCCCTACTGGGGAGCCCCATCACATCTTACATCTTGCATGAGGGAGGAAGCATTAATCTGGACTTGAACTATTACTATTTACTATTCATGAGATACAAAGTGGAAATCCTCACATTTCCTTCCCACTCACCGAGGGATATCTCTGCAAACACCCTGAGCTTGGTGCATCCACTCTAAGAACCACTGGAACAGAGAATATTTATAATTCCAGTAAAAGATTATAAACAGAGAGACTGTTGGGAGCAAGGTGTTAGGTCTGAACTTGGCAAACTACAGTCTTTACTTATAAGATGCTCTTCCTAGGTTGCTGATGACCTGAAGTGAGCCTTGTAGTTTAACGACATATGCCTGAAAACTGCTCATTATAAAAATTGCACTTGCTGTCTTAAGTTATGGAGTGTGTTTGTAATAGGAAATTCAATTTGCTTACATAAGCTCTAAATGAGCCCACTGACCCTGAGATCGTTGACCATATAACTCTGTATAGTGTGTGGATTCTATGACTACTGAGAAAAGCCCAGACTTCTAGTTCAAGTTTGCATTTTGCAAATTGTGCCCTGGCAGACTCAGATCCAAACAAAAAGTAAAGTTTCATTCTCTAATAATACATTCTGGTTTGTTTACTTATTATCTTTTTCTCTGCCAAACTACAAGATTCATGAGAGAAGAGTACATGCTCTTCACAGGTATGTGCACAAAACTTCACCAGTGTCTGGTACAGGGTAGGTAGTTAATCTATATTTGTTAAATTATTGAATAAATAAACAGATGAATGAATGAATGATATAGTAGATGGCAGAGCCAGGACTGTAATTCTAGTCTTCTGACAGTAAGAAATAACACAGTCCTGTGTTATTTTCCAATTCTCTGTAAGGCTCATTATTTGGAATAGGCATTGGCTTTAAAATTACTTCTTAAATGTTCATGTTCATACAGAAATCTCATATTAAAAAGAATTATAGACTTGCAGAGTGCTCCATACCAGACATAGAGTAAGATTGGTAATTTAGTGCCAAGCTGCCTGGGAAATTAATAGTAAACAAGAAATAGTTAATTGTGTCAAAATATATTTTATAGTCCCTCTGTTTTTGTAAACTAAGGCAATAAGATTTGAAGGGAAGACATTTGGACAATCTTAAATTCTGGGCTGGATAATATTTTCAATGATAGGACAATGGCATTCACAGCAACCTGTTGAAATTGGAGACCATTATTCTAAGTGAAGTAACTCAGGAATGGAAAACCAAACATCATATGTTCTCACTCATAAGTGGGAGCTAAGCTATGAGGACGCAAAGTCACAAGAATGATACAATGGACTTTGGGGGCTCAGGGGAAATGCTGGGAGGGGGATGAGGGACAAAAGACTACACATTGGATACAGTGTACACTGCTCGGGTGATGGGTGCACCAAAATCTCAGAAATCACCGCTAAAGAACTTATATAGTCAAACACCACCTGTTCCCCAAAAATCTATTGAAATTAAAAAAAAAAAAACCTTAACGATTCCTCTGTCATTCTAACTGAATTGTAATTCATCTGTTTCCACTGATGCAGGACAGTCCTTTGAGTAGTCTTGGTTCTCCCCTCTTTTTTTTCTTGGAGTTCTTAAGAATAACTATAGAATGTGCTGGGAATGCAACATCTTGAGATAAGGGGGAGTTACCTAGAACAGTCCAGGCTCTGTTCCAATCCCCTCATAGAAATAGGATGTCCTTCAATGCTTTAGCCCAGCGGGTCCCATGGCCCCAGGTGTGAAACCCAGGGCAGGCTGATTTATGGGGTCTCTTAGCTTCAGTGCAACTTGGGCATGCACAGAAGAGACCCCCATCTACCCGGGGCAGCTTTTCTGAGCCTTGGAAGAGTGGCTTGCTATGAAGTCCCAGCTTCTATTGCTTCTTGCTGCCTAGTTGAAAGTAACAAACCCACTTTACTTACTCTGTGCATGAGTGTTCTGTCTCACTGGATGCAGACAAGTGGGTCATCAGTGCACAGTGAACCTGCTTCACAAATGAGAAAACTGAGACCCAGAGGTATGGAATGACTTGCCCAAGATGCCATAGTGAGTGGTAGGATTTAAGCAAAGAACCCTAGAATGTTGCTCTTACATTGGACTCAATGCATGTGATGTACACGTGTGTGTGTGTGTGTGTGTGTGTGTGTGTAATTGTGCTGTCTGTTACATCTTCACTTCCAGACCACATGCTGAATGGCAGAGGGAGGAACAACAACAACAAAATTCAAGGCCATTCTGCAAAATCAACACATATGATCCCGCTTTAATGCAAGCATAATCCAATCTTAGCACAGTAATATGGCTCACGGACATTTCACCCAAAACACTGCAGTGCAGAAGTCTTTTTGAGCATTATCCTCCTTGGCCTCTGCCTTTTTCCTTCACTGCATGTAGAACAGTAACCATGGGGTAACATGGTCCTGGGCCATGAGGAATGGATTTAGACTTCTCCAGTGATTGAGGGTATATGTTACATGCTCTTAAGTTTTTATTTAGAAAAGCTCTTTTCCATCTAGGAGGCTATTCAATAGACACTTTTCACCATGAAACTGACCATGGAAAATTATTTTTCAAAGTCCTCATACCATTTTTTACTGCTTCATGAGGTGTCCTGACAAGAGAGGAGGCTGAGATTGAGCCAGGAATCGGCCTTCTAAGCAATAGCTCTGATGGTTAGTGTATGGCCAGGCATGCTTCTATGCAAAGTATTGTTTGATCTTTAGTGCAAGGAGCTCATCAAGGCACACTGCACTGAAAGTAGAATAAACACTGTTGTCTGTACCCAACCAGCTGTTGCCACTGTTGGAAACAGGTCTGCATTGCCATCTGTTACTGGATGTAAATTATCTTATGAAATCTTAACTAATAACTCAAAATTTCATCCAGCTGAAAACTTTGTAACATATGCTATCAAGAAAAGTCATGAAGACCAGGTGTGGTGACTCACGCCTGTAATCCCAGCACTTTGGGAGGCCAAGGCGGGAGGATCACTTCAGGCCAGGAGTTTGAGACCAGCCTGGGCAACATAGTGAGATCTTGTCTCTATGAAAAATTTTCAAAAATTAGCCAGGCATAGTGGTGTGCACCTGTAATCCCAGCTACTCAAGAGGCTGAGGCAGGAGGATTGCTTGAGGCCATTGCAGTGAGCTATGATTGTGCCACTACACCTCAGCCTGGGCGACAGATTGAGACCTTTATTCTAAAAAAAAAAAAAAGCCAGGAAAACTAAGTAATGTTTTATAATATAGGATGGCTCACATGGTACTTCAATGGCAGGAATTTCATGTTATTCATGATAACTGAAGATGAGCAGATTCAGAGAGAAACCTAATATTTATTCTACTACTTACACAACAAAAGTTAACACTGCTCTTTGATTTAAACTTGAGCTAAACAAAGCAGACCCTTCTGGGAAAGGATAGTGGCCCAAAATAATATGTGAAAATCGTGTGTGCTTCCATTTTATAAGAGTGTGGAGGAGGTTCTCCAATATACCATGCCAATAGCTTTAAGTTTGAAATCTAAAAGTACAAGCCAGTTTTAGAAAATGTCTTTTTTCCCTGCAAGAATGCAACTCCAGTTTCTAACTAGAGAAAAATCATAAACTGGAGAAGGTTGTGTTCTTTGCTTTGCATGAGGTTTGCCTAACCCGCGTTCTTGTCCCTTCACCTCCCCCATGGCATTGTCCAGCTTCTCTACAGTAGCGACTCAGCCAGCTTTTATCAGCATTACTTGAGGGAGTGGGGACAGGTTCTGTAGTCCAAGCCCAGGATCTTGAGAGTTGAGGCTTGAGACCTTTATTTTAAAAAGCTTCTCAAGAGATTTTGCTGTACATGAAATACTCAGCTGAGTAATTACTCGTAACAAGCTTAGTCACAGTTTTGCAGCCATTGGGAAGTGCCTGCCTATCAGAGACATTGTGAGCTCTCTGATAGATGCCTGTGGGTATTGCTTATTGAACTGGCTGAATCAATGACACTCATGGGCTGACTGCTGGGACTTCGTCGTTGACTCTCAGCACCATCCCCTCTCCACCCCAGATCTGCTGAGAGTGCTTGTAGGGAAATCTAATCCTTCCTTGATAACACCATAGGAAAACTTCTCACGTTATGGTCCTCCTTTGCCCTGGCACCGCATGCTTCTCTGCCATATTGCAGATCCCGTAAGTCTAAGAGATGAGGTTCAGAGAGAATTTTTGGTGTTGTAGCCTTTCTATTTCTTTAAAAACTGCTCCATATTCTTTTTTATGTTAGGATGAATAATTGATAGTGTTGTCCTCTGAAAGAAGACCCAAAAGTACAGGAGTTTAAATATACAGATGCTTGGCTGGGTATATAGTGGCTCATGCTTATAATCCCAATGCTTGGGGAGGCTGAGGCCAAAGAATCACTGGAGGCCAGGAGTTCAAGACCAGCCTGATCAACATAGAAAGACCCCTCTCTCTTCAAAAAATTAAAAAAATTAGCCAGGCATGGTGGCACATGCCTATAGTCCCAGCTACTCGGGAGGATCACTTGAACCCAGGAGTTCCAGGCTACAGTGACCTATGATCACACCACTGCACTCCATCCTGGACCACAGAGTAAGACCCTGCATCTAAAGTGTTATGTGTGTGTGTGTGTGTGTGTGTGTGTACACATATATGAATGTATATATGTGTCTATATGGATAGACACATATATATGTCTATATGTATATGTGTCTATATTTATATGTGTGTGTATACACATATGTCTATATGTATATATGTCTATAGGTACACACATATATGTGTATACACATGTGTCTATATGTATATATGTCTATAGGTACACATATATGTATAGACACAAACATGCATACATGCACATGTGCATCTACATGTATAGACATATATGTATAGACACATATATGTACATATGTGTGTACACAAACACACACACACACACACACACACACACACACATAACATTTTAGGTGCAGGGTCTTGTTCTATGGTCCAGGATGGAGTGCAGTGGTGTGACCATAGGTCACACATAGGTATATGTATGTGTGTGTTTATACATATATGTGTGTATATATATGTATATGTCTATATGTTTATGTGTATATGTGTCTATATGTATATGTGTGTATATACATATATATGTGTGTGACTGTATACATATATGCATATACACACACACATGCACACACACAGATATTCCTCAACTTATGATGGAATTACAGCCTGCTAAACCCATTGTAGGTGGAGAATATCCTAAATTGAAATGCATTTAATACACCTAACCTGCTGAACATCATAGCTTAGCCCAGCTTGCCTTAAACTTGTTCAGAACACTCACATTAGCCTACAATTGGGCAAAATCATCTAACACAGTCAGATTTATAATAACATGTTATATATCTCATGTAATTCATTGAATATTGTATTAAAAGTGAAAAACAGAATGGTTGTATGGGCACTCAAAAGATAGTTTTTACTGAATGCATATTGCTTTCACATCATTATAAAGTCAATATATCATAAGCTGAACAATTGTTAAGTCAATGATCATCTGTATAATTGTGTCAGGACTTAACTTTATGCCTGCTTAAACATAATACAATTTGAAAGGCAGATGGATTAAAATGATCCCACATACTAGAAAAAATAATGAACTATGTAATAATAAAATACCATTGCTTTTCAAATAACAAACATGTTGGCAGGGAATAAGCCTACATGTGGAGTAGTTTTGTGGGAAGCTGTGGTTAACTGACTGACTTGGCATGTATTCCACATCATTCAAGTGTGTAGTCCAGTACTGCAAAGGATGGAAGGCCAACAATGCCGTTTCCTGGACTCCCTTGCAGCTAGGGTTCCAGATGGGATTTAGCTCCACCAATCAGGCATTGTCTTAACACCTACCTGCATTAGTAGTTGAGGCAGATGGAGAGAAAAGTGGTCATGCCAGGGAAGGTCTGGAAGGTGAAATAGGGCTCTGAATGAAGTTGTAGGGACAGCCTCCTAGTCTCCCACCTGTGGCAAAACCCGCAATTACCCTGGAGGGCTGTTTTTGTTAACGTTGGTCTGGAAGTCCTTCCTGGAGACCTAATCATGTTCTTCATTAATTCCTTTCTGCAGAAAACAGCTGGGGTGGTGCCTGAAAAATCAAAAGTTTATGAATGTGTGCTCATGTGTGGGAGATGGGGGTGAGAGGTATAACTGATGAAAATCATTGCCCCATTTAATTTTTCTTTAAAAGTCCTTTGGGCCGGGTGCAGTGGCTCATGCCTCTAATGCCAGCACTTTGGGAGACTGAGGCTGGGAGTTCAAGACCAGCCTGGGCAACGTACCGAGACTTTGTCTTTACAAAAAATATAAAAATTAGCCAGGCCTGTTGGCGCATACCTGTAGTCCCAGCTACTTGAGAGGCTAAGATGGGAGGATAGCTTAAAGCTGGGAGTTCAAGGCTGCAGTGAGCCATGATTATGCTGCTTCACTCCAGCCTGGACGACAGAGCAAAACCCTGTCTCTACAAAATAAAACAAAATAAATTTAAAGATAAATAAAATTTTAAAAAACATTTGATTTTGCAGGGCACAAGCACTCACGTAAATGAAAATTAATTGCTGGAAAGTGTAAGAAATGCATTTAAAACCACATACATTTCTTATTGTCTCAGGTTGTTTCTTTCTCTAAGACTTTGAGTCATCATTGGACTGAAAATGGAGGGTAGTTTCAGATTTTGAAATTTAGGTTTTAATATCCAAATGAGCATCATTTCTCAGAGAAAAGATGTCTTCTGGAGGGAAACATTGCTTGAGTTTCCCAAAAGAAACATTAGTCAATAGTAACAGTATATTTATTTAATCCAAGGGAGAGAACACCGTGGGAAACTTAGCCACATGGCTAGCAACACACCTAGTCAGAAGAGAGGATACACTTCTTGTTTTCACTTAACAGATTTGATTGGCATCTAGATGGATCAACTTCACCAGCATGGTACAACTTCACACTTCATTTGGCGTGTATAAACACAGCCTATAGTTTCCCAGTTTGAGTTTTCTCCTGGGCAGCTGAATGCTACAGAGTGCAGTAATTGGACTGACATCTACACTGATAACAGAATTGTCTGCAGACAACTGCTCATCTTTTCAAAATGTTTACATCTCTATTGGTGGTCTGTTTCCTCTCTACTTGGTCTGAAACAATTTATGAGACATTTAACAAACAATAATAAATGAACCCTATTAATATACTCAGATGGGGTTCTTGACTTCTATTTTCTCTGTGAAAGGATGTCTACTGGTAGATATTAAGCGGTTAGTTATGAAAGCAGCTTTCATATAAAGTGGATAAAATATTTTTGTAATCTGTAATAGAATGAGACCCCCCCTAAAAGGGGCAAAAAGGTAGAATGTACAGTCAGCATTTGTGATTCATGCTCAGGTTGGAAAAAAAAATCCTTTCTTTCTTTTTTTTTTAAGAGATGGGGTCTCTCTCTGGTGCCCAGGCTGGAGTGCAGTGTCGTGATCTGAGGATCATCACTCACAGTAGCCTTGAGCTCCTGGCCTTAAGCTATCCTCCCAACTCAGCCTCCCGAGTGGCTGCAATTACAGGCATGCACCACCATACCTGGCTAATTTTTGTTTTAATTTTTTGTAGAGATGAGGTTTTGCCTTGTTGCCCAGGCTGAAAAATTATTTACCAGAGCATTTACTTGAATTCTGCTAGAAGTGTTTAAACCTTAATTTTTCTGATTAGTGTTTTTGCTTAATGGATAAACAACTATATGATCTTAGGTTATGTCAGCATATAATGCAATTTGATGTAATGGCAATGTACAAGAATAAATTGGTTGCTCCATCCATCTGATTGACAACTAGTTTTTATAGTGCTCGTAAAAAGTGGGTAATTACCTATTGCTGATGGGGTTTGACAGATAATCTAATACCAGGTGAGTATAATATATAGTTGAGGTTTTTGTAGCTAGCATACTTTTAAAGTACATAGGATATGACATTATATAATTGCCAATTCATTATTTTATCATAATACTGATCAATTTCATAGGCTTACTCTGTAAAAACAAAATCTATGAGCCATTTTAACATAGATTTAGTCAATGAAATCCTGTTCGTGGTTTCAGGGCGAACTACTCAGTGTTTCATTATGAATGAATGGTTTTTAGACCAGGAGCATGTTACCATTTATTGAAGCAAATGTTTACTCAATGTGAATCTAGTAAACCAGAAGAAATAATTTTCTTTTAGAAAATATGTTATTGGCATTTGTCTTTGATTCGTAGTAACTTAGAACTAAAAGAGTAAATAGCAATTCCTTGCTACTCCTTTATTTGTCCAGTGAGGAAAACTTAGATTCTGAGGATATTGGTCACATAGTCAAAGCTAGTTAATATTAAATACCAAAGCCAGGAATGGATCCAAGAGCCCCTAAGTTAAAATTCAAAGCATCTGTACAAAAACAAAAAGTTTGATGACCAAAGCGCTATGCCGTTTGAGTCTTCCTGAGGCACATGGAGGGATTTCTCTCGTGCTTGGGAGCTCTTGATTTTCTGTTTCTTATGAACTTAGAATGTTTGTTCCCACCTGATGTTTTTATGTGTCTGCCTTGATTCAGACACCTCTGGAAGTAATTCAGTTCACTAATTGGGTTGATTTGATTTTTAATGTAGCCATGTGTCACAGGATCTGCAAACTTCCAGGGGATACCTCGTATCGCTAGATCTTCCCCCTAATTTCTGCTCCCTGACTTAGTTACCTGGTTAAAGCCTTTATGTATGGTTATGGATTGAATTTTACCTTCCCCCATCCCAAATAATATGTTGAAGTCTTAATCCCTAGTACCACGGGAACGTGACCTTATATTTAGAGATGTGGTCTTTTTTTTTTTTTTTTTTTTTAATGGAATCTTGCTCCTTTGCTCAGGCCTCAGTGCAGTGGTGCAATCTCAGCTCACTGAAACCTCCGCCTCCTGGATTCAAGTGACTCTCCTGCCTCAGCCTCCCAAGTAGCTGGGATTACAGGCACCCACCACCATGCCCAGATAATTTTTGTATTTTTAGTAGAGACAGGGTTTCACCGTGTTGCCCAGGCTGGTTTCCAACTCCTGACCTCAAGTGATCCACCCTCCTCAGCCTCCCAAAGTGCTGGAATTACAAGTGTGAGCCACTGTGCCTGGCCCCAGAGATGGGGTCTTTACAAAGGTAATCACGTTAAAATGAGGTCATTAAGGTGGATCCTAATCGAATAACACTGGTGTCCTTATAAAAAGGGAAGATTTGGATACCAAGGTATGCATAAAGGCAAGGCACAATGAAAACTTGCTGGTAGAAGACAGCTGTGTGCAAGCCAAGGAGAGAGGCCTCACAGCCCTTAGAAGGAACCAACTCTGCAGGTATGGACTGAATGTTTGTGTCCACCCCCTGCAAATTCAGATACTGAAACCTAACCCCCAAGGTGATGATGTTAAGAGATGGGCCTTGGGGAAGTGATGAGGTCATAAAGATGGAGCCTCATGAATGGGATCTGTGCCCTTATGAAAGAGACCCCAGAAAGCTCCCTTTCCCCTTCCACCATGTGAGGACACAGCCAGAAGGCACTGTCTATGAACCAGGAAGCAGGTCCTCACCAGCTGCTGAATCTGCTGGTGCCTTAATTTTGGACTTTCAGCTCCCATAACTATGATAAATAAATGTAAGGTTTTTTTAAAAAGCTATCAGTTCATGGTTTTTTGTTGTGGCAGCCCTAAGAATCTAACACATGCCTGGAGAGTGATTTTAACATGAGGGTGACAAAATCCCAGAGACAAATGCAAACTTCCCACAGGTGATCAAATTTATCCTGGTTTGTGTGGGAATCTCCTGGTTTTGACACTGAAAATCTCATATCCAAGGAAGCCTCTCATTCTGGAGCAAACAAGGGCAACTGGTCACCCTGGCTGGCACCTGGACATTCAATAATGTTCCCTTTGGCCTTTGGGTGTTGACCACACTGTCTCCCTGAGTTGGTACCTTGGTTCTTAAGAACAACAGGTCAACAGGAAGAATGACAGTCATTATCTTTGAAGGAAATATGGTTAAGTGATTAGGATAGGTCTTGTGAATAGCTGACATCCTTCAAAAGGAGTGATGAAAAGGCTTCCTGTTTCAAAATATATTCCCCACAGCCCTGAAAAAATCTAAAATTCCACTGCCCTTTTGATTTTTTAATAGATTCCCAGCCTCACAGTCTGTTTTAGGTCAGATTCTCTAGAAGCAGTCTGAGATGAGGACTCATGGGCCAGTGATTTATTGATGGAGGGCTCAGAGGAGAAACCCCTCAGGAAATGAGGGAAGCAGGAGTGGGTGGAGAGAGAAGGCAGTCAGAGATCTGATTACAGATGAAGCCTCAGCTTGATTCCATGAGGAGTTGTGGAGCAGAAATAGTGCTACAGATTTGCCCTGCCTTGTGGTAAAGGGACTGGTCTCTAGTCCACTGCGGTGGCTTTAAAACACAGCAATTTCTTTGGGAGGCTGAGATTGGAGGACGAGACCAGAAGTTTGAGACCAGCTTGGGCAACATAGCAAGACCAGGTCTCTATAAAAATTTAAAAATTAGCTAGACGTGGTGGTGCCTGCCTGTAATCCCAGCTACCTGGGAGCCTGAGGCAAGAAGATCGCTTGAGCCCAGGAATTTGAGGCTGCAGACAGCTATGATTGCACCAGTGCACTCCAGCCTGGGAAACAGAAAGATTCGGTCTCTATAAAAAAAACCTCCACCTGAAAATAGCAGCAAATTTATGACACTTCCCATCAAGAGACAGGGTTTGCATCCCCTGCCCTTGAATATTGGCAGAAGACTGATTGCTTCCAACAATAGAATATGGTGAAAGTGACATGATGTGACATTTTAAAATAATTTTTAATTGTTGTAAAATACACATAACATAAAATTTACCATCGTCACCATTTTTAAGTGTTCAATTGTATTAGTCCATTTTCACACTGCTGATAAAGACATACCTGAGTCTGGGAAATTTACAAAAGAAAGATTTAATCGACTTACAGTTCCATGTGGCTGGTGAGGCCTCACAATCATGACAGAAGGCAAGGAGGAGCAAGTCACATCTTACATGGATGGCAGCAAGCAAAGAGAAGAGAGCTTGTACTGGGGAACTCCCCCTTATAAAATCATCATATCTCATGAGACTTATTCACTATCACAAGAACAGCATGGGAAAGACCTGCCCCCATGATTCAGTTACCTTCCACCAGTTCCCTCACACAACATGTGGAAATTCAAGATGAGATTTGGGTGGGGACACAGCAAAACCATATGAACAGTTCAGTACTGTTAAGTTTATGTTGTTTTACAATGACCACCACCTCCCATCTCCAGAACTCTCTGCACCTTGTAAAACTAAGACTCTGTATCCATTAAATAATAACTTGTCTTTCGTGACTAGCTTATTTCGCTAAGCATGATGTCCTCCTGGTTCATCCAGGTTGTAACATGTGTCAGAATTTCCTTTTTTTTTTTAAGCCTGAACAATATTCTACTGTATGGGTAGACCAAATTTTGTTTATTCATTTATCCATTGATGAACGCTTCGGTTGCTTCCTCATTTTGGCCATTGTAAGTAGTGCTGCTATGAACATGAGTGTACAAATATGTTTTTGATACCCTGATTTCAGTTCTTTGGAGTATATATCCAAAAGTAGAATTGCTAGAGCATATCATAATCCTATTTTTAATTTTTAGAGGAATTTCAATATTGTTTTTCATAAGAGCCGCACCATTTTACACTCCCCAAATAGTACAAGGGTTTCAATTTTTCCACTTTCTCAGCAGCTTTTGTTACCTTCTGGGTAATTTTTTTTTTAATAGTAGTCATGCTAATGGGTGTGTAGTATATCTCTTTGTGGTTTTGATTTGCATTTCCCTAGTGATTAGTGATATTGAGGATCTTTGCATGTGCTCACTGGATACCATGTGACTTTTAAGGCTGGATTGTAAAAGGCCAAAGGAGCTCTCCCTTGTTTGCTGACACAGTCACTGCTGGAATTTCAATTCACCACAGTATAAGCCCAAGTAACCAGAAGCTGCCATGCTGTAAGGGAGTTCAAGCTACACAAAAAAGCAATCTGCAGTTGCTCTCAACAGCCCCATCTGAGCCCAGATTTTTAGTTTTGCCAGCCCAGGCGCAAGAAAGTGAGGGGAGAAATCTCCAGGTAATTCCAGTTTCCAGTTTTTCAGGTCACTCCCATTCATTGGAGTCTTCCTCATTGAGGCCGTAGACATCATGGAGCAGGACAAACTGCCCAATGTGCCCAGTCCAAATTCCCAAACCATCTAATTTATGAGCAAAGAAAACGATAGTTGTTTTATTCCACTAGGTCTGGGGTGGTTTGGTATGCAGCAGTAGATCACTGGAGCACTGTCAGTCATGGGCTTTGGGACCTTCTGGGGAGGAATGTAAACTCCAGATATTTTCATTTGGCTGAGAGCAGGTGGTGCAGCTCTGAGCTGCTAGCAGGCAGTATTCTTCTCAACTGGCCAATGGGTATCCTGGGGGATAAAATGCCAGCATGAACCTGAACAGAGCACCAACAGTCATTGCTACAGAGAACCTTTAGTAATTCTTCTTCTCTGGGTTTGGAATTAATACTTTGCCAGGAAATTAGCACTGTCAAGTTGAAAGTAGATTAGAAAAGTAAATGAGGATTAAGACAAAGACTGACAGGGAAGAGTGACTGAGATGCTCACCCCATAATTTTTCCATTTCACGGCCTAACACCAGGCTGGTGGCTCCTAATTTAAAGACACACAAGAACAGCTAAATCAATAGTTAGGAAATTGCCAGAAAAAGTCTATTTTCTGCAGATGACATAAAATTTTGCAGAGATGTTCTCAAGAATATAAAGATGCCAGAATAAATAAAGTAGGCTTTCTACTTACAGCAAGTTTATAGGAACAGAAAGACTTTCTAGAAGCTTAAGAAAAGACATTTGTATAGAGAGACACAAAGTGGACTTTAGAATAAATGTTAAATGCTAATTTGAATCTTTTCCCCTGTGTAGAGTTTATGTGATGTGATGGAAAATATTGTTATGAAAAATTCTCAAATGTTTATAGAGAAAATGAGATTATAGGAGAACCAGCTCATTCATATTTTGACCATAAGCTTTATAGGAGCTTATTCTCTATTGCTAATATTCTTGAACCTTTAGACCTGTTCAATACAATCTTAATCATGAATATGGAGCACAGGGTCAGGCCACTCAGCTTTGAGATCTTGGCTTAAATGTCACTGTGTCTGAGAGGTCTTTCTTGGCCATTCATTTGAAGTAGCAGCCCAGGTCCACTTCATTACGTTTTATATTTTCCACTTTGTCTTTAGTGTATATAGCTGTTATTTTTCTAGTACACTAATGTGCTTGTTTGTTGCCCAACTCCACAACCCCACTGCCACCTGCACTGTCACCTCTACCACCAACACTACCAACCTCACTGACACCACTGTTGCTATGGTTTGAATGTGTTCCCCAAAGGTCATGTGTTGGAAACTGAAATCCCAATGCAACCAGTGCTGGAAGGTAGGGCCTAAGAAGAGGTGATTAGGTCATGTTGTCCTTATAAATGAGATTGGGTTAGGTATCCTGAGAGTGGCTTTGTTATAAAGCAAGCTTCATCCTCTTGCTCTCACCCTTTCTTGCCCTTCTGCCCTCCATCATGGAATTATACTGCACGAAGTTCCTCACCAGATACTGGTGTCATGCTGTTGGAATTTCTAGTCTCCAGAACCATAAGCCAAATGCATTTCTGTTTGTTGTAAATTACCCAGTCTGTGGTATTCTGTAATAGCAACACAAAATGGACTAAGACCACCATTGTCACTACCATAAACACTACCACCTCCACTTTCGGCACCACCACCACCACCATTATGACCACTATTATCACCACATCATCAGTATCCATCAACACCACCATTGCCATCAACATCACCATCACCAACAACACCGTCACCACTACCACTACCATCATCACCATCCACCATTATCACCAACCATCATCAACGTCATCACCATCACCAACACCAAACCATCACCAACATCACCACCATCATCACTACCACCACCACCATCACCACTATTATCACTACTATCACTGCCATCATCATTACCATCACCACCACCACCACTACCACCACCATCATGCTGGCTTCACTGTGACCCCCATGAAAGTGAGGGTGCTGTATTCCTTGCTTAGTGCTGAATCTGCCATGCCTGGAGCACTACCCAGCTCAAAGAAGACATTTAATAAAAAGCATTTGTTGTTGAACATAAAACAACAAGGATACAGCAGCTTTGACAATAACTTTGAAAGGTAGGGGGCAATGTGTTCTCAGGGGAAGATTTGGTAGAGTGACTTAGATGACCTAGATCTTATTTACAGAAGGCTTCTTAGGGCTCTCAGCAATTGGAAAATGGAAAACTTGGTGGAAGCATTCAGTATAGGCAGGTATCTTGGAATACTACTAGTGCCTTCTGGAGAGCAATGAAAAGAATCTGAACACATTATGAGTATGGAGCCTTCCTCTGATTGAAATCATGATTGAAATCCATGCCCATCCTCTCAACCTGACCCTACGCCTACCCTCTGGGGCCTGATGGACTTCTTTTCTCACCCCAGTTCCAGCTGAAGTTTTCATTCCCAGAGCAAGTTGGGTGATGTCCCGCTGTCTGTAAGTTTCCGTGACATTTTATTTTTCTCCACCATAATGTGAGTCCCATAGAGCTGGGAATCTCATCTATCTTGTTAACTGCTGTACCCCAGTTCTCAAAGTGATGACCACTACAGTGAATGTTCTCACACACAGTCGTCAAAAGAATTGACTGAATCTGTGACATGCCCTTCCCCTAGGACTGGATCTTCCCTGGTCTTCATCTTTGTGCCTGCAAACTTGATCTGCAGGTAGAGGCAGCACCAGCAGTGCAGCCCTTAGGAGTCACAAGGAGGCACCATCTTCCTAAGGCAAATCTCAAATTGATGCCCCTCTCTCTCACCCTGGCAGGCCAACATGCGCTCACTTGTTACAGGGCGCAGCTTCCCCAGTTCCCTGAGACAGCCCTGGAGCTAAATAAATACCAATGGGTGAAATGAATTCTCTTTATTTGATATTTAAAAACACACTTTTGCTCCTGTGGCAAGGGTGCACTCCTTGTAGCAAACATTGAATTAAAAAACAAGTTTTGGGAATATTTGAATTTACTTTTCTATTTATGAATTTTTAAAAATTTAACAACCGTATACTATCTTGCATTCTGTGGTATAATGTAAGTAATACAAAAAAAAAAACCATAAATTTTAAATTAAAAAAAAAAAAACTTTCAGCTGGGTATGGTGGCTCATGCCTGTAATCCCAGGACTTTGGGAAGCTGAGACAAGGGGATCACTTGAGGCCAGGAGTTCAAGACCAGCTTAGGCAACATAGCAAGACATTATCTCTACAAAAATAAAAAGAAAAAATAGTCCTGCATGGTGGCACGTGCCTGTAATCACAGCTACTCAGGAAGCTAAAATGGGAGGATTGCTTGAGACTGTGAGTTTGAGGCTGCAGTGAACTACGCCTGTGCCACTGTACTCCGGCCTGGGCAACAGAGAGAAACTGTCTCTTAAATTTTTTTTAACTTAAAAAATAGAAAAACAAACTTACATTTCCATTGCTGTGCGTACTTGTTTTGAAAGCAGATATGATGTCCTATTTTACTGTGAGCTATAAATTTATTTCTAAACCCTCAAGAAAAATAAAATCTGTTTTTTTTTTAGCTTAATCAGCTCAGCATGCTTAGATGTGTCTATATTTTGACTTATGAGGTTTGTGTAAATTTGTTCCACTTTTTTTGCATATCTGCCATGATATAGGCATCTGAGGGAATGCTCCATCAAATGGCAATTAGTTATTTTCTTTTGTCTAAAAAAAGTTACCCTCATTTAAAATTCAATGACTTGTTCACATAATTTTAAGAAGGAATGTGCTCTTCTGAATGTGGAAGCTCTAGAGATGTTGCTAATGGTAAGAACATCTACTGTTGAGTTTGTGGTTCAGTTCCCAAAATTGACACATTTACCAAGTGACTAAAAGTGTTATAATATTTCTTGGCTTCACTTCTTCCATATGTCTTATGGGAAAAATCTTTCTGTGCTCTGATGCAACAGTTGCAAGTCTCTGAATGAGAGAGAATTTAGAAAGATATGTTAGAAGGTATTTTTGATGGGGAGGTTGAGATGATTTTATGTAGATAGTTGCCTTTACAGAAAATCAGCTACTTATTTTAAAACTAAAAAATATTTAAGACACAATAATCACTTTAGTCCAGGAAAGAGCTGGATTAACCCTAACCCTAGCCCTAACTATAATAACCCTGATCCTAACCCCTAAACTATAATAAGAGTGAAAAATAAATAGTAAGAATAGTTGTCAATAAATTAAAATATACATATACTCTAGAGGCAAACACTACTTTAGTTGGGCATTTCATTTCAGAACATAGGGCTTCAGCAAACACAACAGCATCGACAATGAAAAAGAATTACAATGGAATGCGACTGAGATTGACAAAATAATGACACCTCTATCCCCAAACATCTACATCTTAATTACGAGGACCTTTGAATATGTTACTTTACATGACAAAGGTAATTCATGTGGAGATGAAATTAAGGTTGCTAATCAGTTGACCTTAAACTGGGGAGATTAACTGGATTATCTGGGTGGACTCAGTGGAATTGCAGGGATTCTTTAAATGGGGAAAAGGGAAATAGAAGAATCAAATGATGTGATTTGAGAAATACTTGGCCAACATTTGCTGGCTTCAAAGATGGAAGGAGGCCAGGAGGCAAGGAATATCAGTCTGACTCTAGAAACTGGAAAAACCCAGGAAATACATTCCCCCCAGAGCCTCCAGAATGAACGTCTTTACTGACACAGGTTTTAGCCCAGTGAGATTCACTTAGGACTTCTGTCCTTCAGAACTGTGGGATGAGAAATGTGGCACTCAATTTGTGATAATGTATTGCAGGTAGGCAAAGGAAACCAGTATGGCCCCCTACTTTGATTAGGGGAACAAAGACCAAAGATACAGTGAGTGGGAAATAGGGACATTCCTTGGCAAGTGTTATATTGTGTGGTTCCAAAAAGTGGGGCTGGACCTAGACCAACTCTTTATTCTCCCAACAATTGAAGTACCTTCTACACTCAAAGCTTCCTTTCTTATCCTTTTAACTTCATCTAATTTCACTTTTTCAGAATGTTCCAAACCATAGTTTTTCTGCCACATGACAGTCAGCCACAAACATGGACACCAACAGAGAACTCTGTTATTACATTACGAGTAGGAGAGATGTAGCACATTAACAAAAGGAATCTCCAGTGGATGAAACATCTATGGAAGATATTCTCTTCTCTATCTTGAATCCTATTCACCGATTTCAACTCTACCCTCCACCAAGATCCCCCACAAGATAAGCTGGTCTTGAATGACCCAATATGGTGGCCACTCACTACATGTGGCTATGGGCTCTTAGAACATTGTGAGTCCTGGGATCTGAGAGACCAAAACAGACCCCACTCTATCAACTAAGATGGACCCCAAGGTTAAGGAGACAAAAGTTAGTAGGACCTACTGGTCAAGGGTTCAGGGCTAGGCTGGAATGACAACTTCCTAAATCCCTGCAGCTGTCAGAACCATACCCTTGCTGAAGTCCTTAACAAGAGGAGTTATCAGACCTCTCCCAATTCTGGTTTACAACCCAGACTAGTGTAACTGATTGGACAGAGGACCACCCTTACAAACATTCTTTTCTGAAAAGCAACCGTAGACCGTATGCCAATTTCAGCTCGCCTATAGAAGCTATACACAAATTGGATTTGGGTCTTATAGTTCACCTTTCCATGTGAAGAGCCAAATTCTAACTCATTTTAATGGGAAAACCATGCCCCAAAGTGAATATGAGACATAAGTTACATGTATGTTTACCCATTGCACATGCAGTCACCCCGATTATAAATATGTATAGCTTTCCCCCCAAACCTGCTGAATATGTGTAACTCCACTGTGTAATACAGAACCTGTGAGGCATAAAGCCTAACCTGCCTCTTCCATCTTTGAAGACAGAGCACTTTTGGTCCACACCGGAGACTATCCTCCCCAATTTACAATCTGATATCTCCAGTAAAGCTCTCTTTTCTACTATTTAGCCATCCTCGTCTTCTTTTGGACAATAGTCCAAATTGAGATGTGTTCTATGTGCAAAATACACACCAGATTTCAATGATTTAGTAGAAGAAAGAGAATGTAAAATATCTCAGTAATTTATAAAACATTATTGACAGACATATAGCCAGGCACTGTTGCACATGCCTGTAGTCCTAGCTACTTGGGAGGTTGAGGCAGGATAATCATTTGAGGCCAGGAGTTTGAGACTGTAGTATGCTATGATCATGCCTGTGAATGCCACTGCACTCTGGCCAGGGCAACATAGCAGACTCCTTCTCTAAAATAATAATAAAATTATTTACATAATGAAGTGATCATATTTTGGGTATATTGGCTTATATAAAAGTACGTTATTGAATTTAGCTTCGCCTGTTCTTTTTACTTTTTAAAATGAGGTTACGGGAAAATTTAAAATCATGTGCATGGCTCCTGTTTGTGGCTCGTGTTATGTTTCTATTGGATGGTGCTAGTCTTTAATTAATATTGTGAGCGACCATCACCCCATCCACCATCCTTTGCAAATTAATAATCAGCCAACATTGGCAATGTTGGCCATAGAGTTTTAAAATTTCAAACTATAGATGTAATCATGGAAAGGACCTTCTGGAAATCATACCATGGTGTCTAAAATATAGTAATGGCTGTGCTTCATGCCTATATACTCTCCAAGTTAACCTTTGGGAAATTCTGTTACATGGTTGTCTTCCTATAGAGAACTTAGAGTGAGTTATTCAAATGGAATTAAGAAGATATAAAGACACCGTGGGAAAAACCCCGTCCCTTTTAGTGGTTCTTTTTAAAATTTTCACTTTAATGACTCATTTTATGTGCTTTAAAATGACATGAAAAAAAAGTTGTTGGAAAAAAAGCATTTGTTTCTTCTTTCAGACTTCTGAATGTAAAATGAACATCTTTAGGAATTTCAGCAAATGATCTGCTATTCGTCTGAACTGAATGTGTAGGAGATGGTGGTATTCATCAACTCATGCCTTCATTTAACAAAAGGATTGAGTGCTTTCTTGGTATGAGACATATTGCCAGAACAGAAGACCTGATGTCTGTCCCTTACAGCCTTCTTATTTTTAGTAGGGGAAGCTTGGGGCCATAGACCGGTGGTCTTTCCAGTCTGGATGGTGCTAAGGAGGGCCCTTAAAAAGGACAGAATTTTGTTTGGCATTCTGAATCCTTAAAAGGGAGACCTCTAAATAAATATATCAAGGATTACTTTCAGCACAGTCACTTAAGCTCCATCTGTGGAAGGTGCCTGGATGCTCCACCCTCATTCCCTTGACCGTTCTCAGTTCGCTAGCAGGTGCACTAGAGGGTTCACAGCAAGCTGACAGCCTCTCACTAAGCATGTCTGGCTTCCTTCTTCTCAGCTCAGGGCTGACTCTGTCCCTAGGAAACTTACTCAGCGGCACGTGGGTCAAAACCCCTAAGATAGCCCTCAGACACTGGAAAAGGGAGTCGGAGGTCAAATGCCTCCTTCCCTGGGGTGGGGGTGTGTTTCCAAGACCATACCTTCCTTCCCAGGGGTGAGAGTGACTAAGCCCCTACTTATTAACACATTCTCTTTACTTCTTCTCTCTCACTCCCCACTTGCCCAGTGAGCTTCTTGGATAAGCTCTTGCATAAGCCACTGCATAAATAAGGCCACTACACTCACCTCCTTGTCTCGGGGTTGACTCGTGGGAGAATTCAGACTAATATATCTGTAAGAACAATCTACGTCAAGATTTTCAAGCTGATCTTGGCAGAATTTCAAAACTGTCACATTTTCTCAAATTGTGCTATGTGCGCACTTTGAATATCACAATTTCATTTTTAATATTGCATAACATTAACGACACATGGAATTATGACATATTAAGCATTGCAGTGTCATGTGATGGAATTTCTTTAGAAAGCATTAGGGGAAAGGTGATGGGGAGAAACCATGAGTCCCATACACAGTTAAAAACCTCCCTTTAATATATGTATTAGAAAGCCTCCTCATCTTGCAGTGTTTCAAACTTTGGAGCATGCATCTTGCTTTTTATGGAATGGGAGTATATCAGAGACTCTAGTCATTGAGCCCACGGATAGCCTTGGGGACTTCAATGCCTAAACCTCCTGGGGGCAGATCAAAAGACTGGCTCCTCCACAGAGATGTAAATTATGCAGGAGCTGGAAGAGAAGTAGAGGGTATTACTTGATGAAACTTTCATCAGATCCTTCTAAAGTCAATATAGATGGGATTTCCAAAGCTTTTATCATGTTGGAAAATGTCTGCATATGCAAATATGACTCCTGGGATCATCACAGCTATATTTCTTCCTCTATAAAATACCAGATAAATTACTTAGATTTACAGCAATAGAGATATACCTGTGGTTGTGATTATTTCTTTTATTATAGTGTCATGTACGTTTTTGTTTACTTATTTCTCTTCCAAGGGTTGAACATTTTTAACCCTTCTATTATGATTAAAATCATGATATGTCATTAATATATCTTCCTTGAGTTTGGATAACACATTAGCTTTTCATTAGGAGGCAGAACATGAGAGTGTTAAGAACATGGGCTGGCTGGGCGCAGTGGCTCACGCCTGTAATCCCAGCACTTTGGGAGGCCGAGGAGGGCGGATTACCTGAGGTCAGGAGTTCAAGACCATCTTGGCCCACATGCTGAAACCCCGTCTCTACTAAAAATACAAAAATTAGCCGGGTGTGGTGGCACACGCCTGTAATCCCACCTACTCGGGAGGCTGAGGCAAGAGAATTGCTTGAGCCTGGGAGGCAGGAGGTTGCAGTGAGCCGAGATCATGCCACTGCACTCCAGCCTGGCCAACAGAGTGAGACTCTGTCTCAAAAAACAAAAAACAAAAAACAAAAAACCACACACAGAAAAACATGGGCTTGGAGGCACAGTGGCTCACGCTTGTAATCTTAGCAATTTGGGAGGCCAAGACAGGAGGATCACATGAGCCCAGAAGTTTTAGATGACCCTGGGAAACATAGTGACACCCTGTATCTTAAAAAAAATTAAAATAAAAATAATAAAGAGAAAAAATAGGGGTCAAGCACAATGGCTCACACCTGTTATCCCAAGATTTTGGGAGGCCGATGAGGGAGGATTGCTTGAGCTCAGGAGTTTGAGATCAGCCTGGGCAACATAGCAAGACTCTGTATCTATAATTGTAATAATAATTAAAGAACATGGGCTTGAAACTGAGCTACATGGGTCCAAAGCCTGGCTCAACCACTCTCTGACCTTGAGCTGATTATTTATTCTGTGCCTCAGTTTCTGCATCTGCAAAATAGGGTTTATAACAATATCTACCTCTATAATTGTTTGATGAGTTCTTCCTGCCCACTGCACAGACAAAATCAATTCACTGAGATACGGCATTGCAGTAGAGAGAGAGTTTAATTGATGTGAGGCCAACCCATAAAGGAGAAACAGAGTTATCATTCATGTCAGTGTCCCTTGGAGGATAGTATTTTTATGGACAATTTGGTGGGCAGGGGATTAGGGAATGGGTGCTGCTGATTGTCTGTGGGTAAAATCACACAGCCAATCAGCAGGGGTGTGGAAAATGGTCCTCATACATTGAGTCCACCTCTGGGTGGGGCCATAGGAGCAGCTAAGTCATGAGTCATGAGTCCTGCTGTGGTCAGTCTGAAAAACAACTCAGAAAAAAACAATTTAAGGTTCTACAATAGTGATGTTATTTATGGGAGCAATTGCAAAGGTCACAGTTCTTGTGACCTCTGGCCACATGACCCCTGAGCAGTAAGGAATTATAAAATCTATGCCTAAATCTTAGCACAGTACAAGCCCTTCCCATAATCCTATTCTTGTGGCCTTTCAAAACTGGTTTAGTTTTGGGGAAGACCTATAATCATTCTTGCTTTAATGTCAAACTACAACCTAAATTTCCCCTAAAGTTAGCTTGACTTATGTCCAGGAATGACCAAAGCAACTTGGAGGTCAGAAGCAAGATGGAGTCAACTATGTCAGGTTTCTCCCACTGTTATAATTTTGCAAAGGTGGTTTCACCTCCAATGGTAATGGGAGTATGTGTAACTGGGGTGTTGTATTAGTCTGTTCTCATGCTGCTAATAAAGACATACCCAAGGCTGGGTAATTTATAAAGGAGAAAGGTTTAATTGACTCACAGTTCTGCATGGCTGAGGAGGCCTCACAATCATGGCAGAAGGTGAGGAAGGAGAAAAGGCATGTCTTACATGGCAGCAGGCAAGAGAGTGTGTGCAGGGGAACTCTCCTTTATAAAACCATCAGATCTCCTGAGACGTATTCACTGTCATGAGAACAACACAAGAAAGACCTGCCACCATGATTCAATAACCTCCCACTGGCATGTGGGAATTATGTGAGCTACAATTCATGATGAGATATGGGTAGGAACACAGCCAAGTCATATCAGGTATTATTCTGTTGCAACCCCAACTGAGTGTACTGCCATTCAGCTTTCGTGCTAATCATCCAAAGTTAGCTCAGACCCCACAAGTTAAAGGATTTAATCCTCAAGAAGACTTCCCATGCCATGGGCACCAGCCACACTGTTGGTATCCAGGCCACCTGCACTTTGTACCAACTTACTATAAATTCAGGGGTTCCTGTGAATCCCTCAAGTTCTGTAATTCACTAGAACTTACTAAATCAGGAAGTACTATACTTAACAGTTATAGTTTTATTACAAAGGATACACATAGGCTGGGTCCTGGGGCTCACATCTGTAATCCTAGCACTTTGGAAAGCCAAGGTGAGAGGCCAGGAGTTTGAGACCAGCCTTCACAACATAATGGGACTCCATCTCTACAAAAAATTTTTAAAAAGTTAGTGGGGCATGGTGTGTGTGCTGTGGTCCCAGCTACTCGAGAGGCTGAGGTGGGAGGATGGCTTGAGCCCAGAGATTCGAGGCTGTGGTGAGCCATCATTGTGCCACTGCACTCCAGCCTGGATGACAGAGTGAGACCCTGTATCAAAAAAAAAAAAGAAAAAAAAAAAAGAAAGAAAAAAAAAAGGATGCACATAGGGCAAGATCCGGGAGGGAATTGGGAATTCAGAGCTTCCGTACCCTCTCCCCATGGAATCAGGGTACATCCTTCTCCCAGCATATCAAGATGTTCACCAGCCAGGAAGCTCTACTGAGTTTCAGTGTCCAGAGTTCTTATCCATGTTTTGTTTGGTAAGCATGATCAATTAAGTATTAGCCATGTTCTTGACTTTCATCTCCTGCTGTCTCCCATCGCCAGAGGTCAGGCAGATGAAAATCCCCCCAACCCTCCAATCACATAGTTGGTCTTTCTTGTGACCAGCCCCCATCCTGACGCTATTAACTTCAGTGCACCCTGAGTCACCTCATTACCATAAGGAAGACACAATTCTCTCAGGAAATTCCAAAGGTTTCAGAAGTTCTGTGCTGGGAACCCAGGACAAAGACCAGGCAAATTATTTACTGTCTCACATGAGTTAATAACCTGTAATAAAGGCTGGCACAGGGTGAGTGTTCAACATATGGCAGCCAAGGTTCTGTAGGAGGGCATAGAAGACCAAGAGACATATTTACATCTCATTTTTAAATCCCCACCATTTGCTGGCACAGAGGGTGGCTCACAGGTGTAATCCCAGCACTTTAGGAGGCCTAGGTGGGAGGACTGCTTGAGGCCAGGAGTTCAAGAGCAGCCTGGACAACGTAGCAAGAACCTGTCTCTACAAAAAATAAAAATATTATACAGGTATGGTGGCATGTGCCTGTAGTCTGAGCTACATGGGAGGCTGAGGTGGGAGGATTGCTTGAGCCTAGGAGGTTGAGGCTGCAATGAGTTCTGATGGTGTCACTGCACTCCAGCCTGGGTGACAGAATGAAACTGTCTCAAAATCATCATAATAATTTTAAAAAATTCCCATAATTTGAAACATATTTAACAGGTGCATTTAAATGTCTCAATTTCCACGGTTTTCTCTCTCTACTCAGAAGAAATTCTATGAGTGCAGCTTTATCAACCCCTTGTGTGCTCCTCCAAATATTGGCTTCCGTGGGGTTCCCCCAGTTTGCCACATTATATTCTGATTATTCTGTGGTTCACGTTCCTTTGGGAGAACACTTTTATTCTTCATTCTCTCTGCCTGAAAGTATTTCCCATGCTCCAGGGTAAATGCTCTTGGTAGAGTGTTGTTGTTTTGTTTGCTTTTTTTGAACAAATAAATCAATGTTCACTAAATTTCCTCAGATTTTAACCTCTTGGTTTTGTTCTAAACACATCGGTATGGAACATGGACATTCTTTCGTTTAGTATATCTGTAATTCATAACAGCAGCCAGATCAGAACCATCTAACTAGCCATGGTTACTTTAAAACAGTTTAATACAAGGTATATACAAATTTCAATTTAATTTGAATATACGTATGGATGCTAAAACATCTGTCTTCTTAATTGGCTTACTTAAGTCAAAGTGGCAGAAATCAGGTAGGAAATCAATGGACTGGATGAAGGATACCCACACTGGGGAGGGCGATCTGCTTTCCTCAGCCTCCCAATTCAAATGTTAATCCCATCCTGAAACACCCTCACAAAATAATATTTAATCAATTGTTAGGGCACCCTGTGGGCCCGTCAAGTTGACGCATAAAATGAGTCATCACAGGTGGAGAGGTGCCTGACATGCAAGGTGTCAGAACCCCAGCATCAGAAAGTGTTTTGCGACAGTGTAGGTTTGAAAAAGGAAAATTTTATTAGAAAGAAAACTCAGCAAAAGCATGCAGCTGGGTGCCTTGGCAAGAGAGGACTGTGTGCCGAGGTGCATTTTCCTTAGCAGTTATGGAACTTAAAGCGGGAACTGAGAGGTAATTTGCATGATAAATGATTGCATTTGTAGGCATTTTGGTGCCCTAATGTGAGCAAGGGTTGCACAATGAATTTCGGCATGCATGCATTCCAGAAATGTATAGAAATTCTAGTCACCTATAAATTGTAAGTTGAAAAGAAGCCTGGAAACAGGTGCTCACTGCAGATAATAGGTGAGTCTAATTACTTCTAAATCCCTCTGATAAGGAGTTTTTGTCTTTGGATGGTCACCTGCTTGGTGGTCACCATGTGATCTTTGCTTTCCTGAGGGTCCAGTTACCTCCATCCCTTCTTTGAACAGAGCAGCTTTCTTTTCCTATTGCACCTCTCCAACATTGGTAATGCCTGCAGAGTTCACATGCACGTAAGAGCAATATTAGAAAGTAGACAAGTTTATCTTCAGTTCCTCCGATCTCAAAGCCACAGGGCTTCCCAGAAGCCTGGTTAATGTCTGCAAGTCCCCTTCTGAGCTCAGTTCCCCTTAGCTCACCCCCCAACTGCTAGCCACATTTGCTCCTAGATATATTTTTCATTCTAAGGTATAAATATCTGGCAAGAACTGAGAGAATCATTTCCACGGCCTGCACTGAGGAACCTTAGCCCAGGGAGAGGGTTGTTGAAGCAAGGTTCCTGAGACTAAATAAAACCAAGAAATGTTCTAATGTCTACCCCTATCATAGAACACTAGTATACTCAAGATATGCAAATCAGGAAACCTTGGCGGTAAGACACTGGTTGAAGCTTGTTTTAATTCAGAATTTTTAGACTCATTGCATCACCATTCTTCCTCCACTATCCCCAATCCTAGCATCTGTCAGTGTCTTTCAAAACAATTGTTCCCCCGACTACATTTTTTAAAATGCTGGTCAAAAGTGTTGTGGCCACTCAAAGTGATGTTTGAATTGAATATAGACGGAGGATTCAAACTAAAGACTCAGTATCTAATGGGGATTGGGGGCTTGTAGGACATAGCATGGATAAACATCTAAGACAGGGAAGGGAAGGCTACCAGCTCTATGAGGGCATCGAGGGAAGCCCAGCAAATTGCAGAGGTTAGGGACATCAACACCTGTGTAGTCAAAAATTCAAGTATAACTTTTGGCTCCTTAAAAACTTAAACTATTAACAGCCCACTGCTGACCAGAAGCCTTACTGATAAGATAAATGGTCAATTAAAATATGGGATTTATAAATTATGTGTACTATATACCGCATTATTGCAATGAGTAAGCTAGAGAAAAGAAAATGTTATTAAGAAAGTCATAAAGAAGAGAAAATACATTTACTATTCATTAAGTGGAAGTGGATCATCATAAAGGTGTTCATCCTCCTTATTCTCACTTTGAGGAGGCTGAAGAGGAGGAGGAAGAGGAGGGGTTAGTCTTGCTGTCACAGGGGTGCAGAGGTGGAAGGAAGTCCACTGATACTTGGATCCTCACAGCTTAAACTCATTGTTCAAGAGTCTACTGTAACTCATTTAAAAAACTAAGTCTCATGAAATTATACCAAGGTGTCAATTTTACTTTTGCAAACTAGAGAGTTGAACTTGAAATAGATAATGCACATTTATCTTCTTTAACTTTCTTTAACCTTTAACCTTATTGAACAAGGAGTTTGAGGATCCACTTATCAGTGAACTTCCTTCCACCTCTGCACCCCTCTGACAGCAAGACTAACCCCTTTTCTTCCTCCTCCTCTTCAGCCTCTTCAACGTGAGAACAAGGAGGATGAAGACCTTTATGATGATCCACTTCCATCAAATGAATAGTAAATATAGTTTCTCTTTCTTATAACGTTCTTAATAACATTTTATTTTCCCTAGATTATTTCATTGCAATAATACAGTATATAATACATAAAATATATGTTAATTGGCCATTTATAGTATCAGTAAGGCTTCTGGTCAACAGTAAGCTGTTAGTAGTTAAGTTTTTGGGGAGCCAAAAGTTATATTTGAATTTTTGACTAAACGGGGAGTTGGTGCTCCTAACCTCTGCAATGTTCAAGGGTCAGCTCTATTTAGAAAGGGCTTAGCACTGGATTGAAAAAGTGGATTTCAATTTTGAAATTCGACAAAATTACACAGACCAATCTTTGTAACCTGAGATGACTGGTAGTAAGTAGCTCCACATTTCTAGCAGATTTTTTTTCTTTTTTTCTGATTCTGAATGTTTTGAAAGTTGGAATCCTAATTTCTTTAAAGAGTGTATGCATCACAATTGCTCTGGGATAAAAAGTAGTCTATGAGTCAGAGTGTTAAAAAAGAAAAACTGCATGTGAAAGTAGAGTGGTCTTTATTTGATATACACATTATAGAAGATTAAAAACTAAAGGAGATGGAATATTGTTCAGTTATAAAAAGGAAGGAAGTACTGATATGTGATACAACATGGAGGGACCTCAAAAACATGCTCTGTAAGACCAGGTGTGGTTCCTCATACCTATAATCCCAGCACGTTAGTAGGCTGAGATGGGCAGATCACTTGAGGCCAGGAATTCAAGACCAGCTTGGGCAACATGACAAAACCCCATCTCTACTAAAAATACAAAAATTAGCTGGGTGTGGTGGTGCATGGCTGTAGTCCCAGCCACTTGGGAGGCTGAGGCAGGAGAATCACTTGAGCCCAGGAAGGGGAGGTTGCAATGAGCCAAGACTGCGCCATTGCACTCCAGCCTGGGAAACAAGACAGAAACATTGCCTTAAAAAAAAATTTAAAAACATGCTCTGTAAAAGAAGCCAGACACAAAAGACCACATATTGTATGATTTCATTTATATGAAATATCTATAATTGACAAATCTACAGAGATGGAAAGGAGATTGGTGGTCCTCGGGAGTGAGGGACTGGGAGAATGGGGATTGACCATTTAGTGGTATGAGTTTTCCTTTACAGGTGACAAAAATGTTCTGGAAGTAGATAGTGGTGATGGTTGCATAACAGTGAATGCACTAAATGCCATGGAATTAATTGCACACTTTAAATTGTTAATTTCATGTTATGTGAGCTTAATCCCAATTAAAAAAAAAAACACACACAAAAGGGGGGAATATTTTCAGAATTGACAAGACCACTTACTGTTCATGGATACCAGTGACTTTGGACTTGGGAGCTATGGGAGGAAATTTTTAACATGAGCCCGGAATTCCCACCAAGTTGCCATAATGACTATGTTCCATGTGAGAGAGGAGAAAGAAAAAAACCCCATCAGGCAGGCAGGCAGTTAAGGTGGGTCTTCTGTTGAGTTCTTTCAAACAAAAGAACAGCCTGTAGACATAGATAAGGGAACTTGCACAGGGGGGCTTGCCTAAGACATGCCGACAGCTGCATAGATAACAAAGTCTACACAGGTGACTTGCCCAGACGTGCCTACAATGGAAAATTCTGTCCCCTGACACATGAGCAATAAGAGGAGCAAAGCAATGTGGAGTCTAAGGGCTTGCATGTGCATTAGTAGGAAGTGGTGGAGCTACCAGAAATGTGTGCCTTATGCAAAAGAGATGCCTGGCCCTCATCAGTTTCCTATAAAAGCCGTTGCATTCAACTGTAAAAGTGGTAACCCTTTTCCAGATCCCCTCTCTGCAGCAGAGAGCTTTCTTCTTTCACTTATTAAACTTTTGTTCCAACCTCATCCTTTGTATCCATGCTCCTCAATTCTCTTGGTTGTGAGACAAAGAACTCCGGGTGATACCTCACAATGAGAGACTGCTACATTGTGGTACATTGATGAGACTGTAACACATGGATGATACATTAAATATATTAGTCTCTTTATTAAAAAATATTAAAAATAGTGTTTACAAATATTAAAGATATTAGTCTATTTTAAAAATCACCTCTTGTTTTCTCTCTTTCTGAATAAAATGACGTGAGCTTAATGAATGGTTTTCACAATTATTGTTTGAGAATGAATTTGCAATCATTTAGTGAAGTTGGCTGTTTTACAAAACTTAAGCACTTTTTTAAGCTATAAACAGACCCTAAGGAGCATGAGGATCATGGAGCTGGATGGCTTTGTCCTTTTCCTGGTGAGCCCTACACCCAAGTGCTGTAGGTTGGCTGCAGAGCAGACAACACCCCTGCCAGCCTGCAAATACCATCAGCAGCTCTGGCTGCTGGGACCCAGCAAAGGGATGCTGAGTATGCATCAGCCCGATTGGCCTTGCAAAGTTGATCTTACCCTGACAGGAACACATTACATTCTAATTTTGGGGGTGTACTGAGTGAATTCTGCCTGACACCAGTATGCCCTTCCAATGTCTTGCAGGGAGAGCTGGACTTGTGGGTGGAGACCATGCTGTGTCTCTCTTATTTCTGCTGTTTCTCCTGTAGCCATGCACAGAGTAGGTGCTCCTGGAATTATGCAAGCCTGCTGGTCAAATGCATCTGTACAGGTTGTTACTTTCTTCTGCATGAATTCCTCAGCTGTCAGTAGAAAAAGACCAGAGGCTTTATTTGACATATAGAAATGAAGACATTGTCATCTGCCTTACCACATGTTCCAAATTCATTCTTCAGAAACACCCTTGGAGCTGTTGGAAACAGTCAAAATTAGTTAGTATTAAGGCACCGTAGACTTGGAAAAGGTTTCTGGGGATGATGTGGTATCACTCCATCATTGCATGGACAAAGGGACTGGTGACTTGGCCAAGGTTTTTTGCTATTGGGAGTGGAGCAAGAGTTGGACTCTGTGTCCCTGATTCCACAGTTGGTGGTGCCTGTGTTAAGGTGATACCCATATTGCTTTCTGGTTTTCAGTGCCCATGGGATAGCTGTGGTGTGACATTCTTATGGTAGCCTTCTTTTGTGGCCACATCACAGAAGATACGTATGATAGAGTTTATCATTGTGTGTTACATGCTAAAATGGTTTAAAATGCCCTGTAATTATCGTAACTAGGAAATAACATTTCAAAATAATGCAATTAATAAGGTTTATTGTATATGCATAGCATCTAATTCCTCGCTCCCTTCTCTCTCTCTCTCTCCCTTTCTCTCCATCTTCCTCTCTTTCATCCCACCCCACCAAGGAAAAATTATAATAAGATTCTGTTCTACCCCACTTTATTTTAACAATGACAAAGTGCCACCTGCAAGATGTACATCATAACCGACACGTCTGCAATCTTTGGTAATGAGATTCTGAACAGAAGAAATGAAGGATAACGTCTAATTGCTTTCACTTCTCTAGAAATCTTCAGACAAATTTTAACATCTGGCATTGTATCATTGCTTGAAAAGTGATTGGATTTTCTGAGAGCAGCCCTTTCCTGATTTTGCAAATTCTCCTCCCTCTTCAAAGATGCTTCAGAATTCAAGAAAGGAAATAATGATCTTTTCATATAAACGTGATTTTTCTTTGATAGATTCTAGGAGGTGTCTTCTCTTAAAGAATGGTAATTTTCCAGGGGAAGAGATTTCAAATATATATTTATATATCTGTATGATTGCAAAGCCTACAAATAAGTTAGATGCCTGGGAGATGTGATTAAAAATGAACTTTTCAAAATATTCAATGGATTTTTCCCTTTATCTTTTTCCCTAAGGAGGCTACACTATTACTGTCAGATGAATAATCATATGACTGTGTATTTTATTTTCCTATATAGTACATCATGTCTACATTGGGTTGTTGGGTTAACCTCAGATTAATGTTTCTGTATATGTCTCCAGAGGGTGACTCTACCAGGTGTCAGCTATTTTCATTTAAATGTGTGTATTTGGCAACAGCAAATGTGCATGGCTATACATCTTTGGAGAAGCCCTAAAGAATACTGCTAATTTTTCACTCCTTCGGGGATTATGAGCAAATATATTATAAGACTCCAAAGTATTAGGCTGCAAAATTTAGAATAATGTTGTTTATAAGGTAAATTTCTAACACCACCAGTATTCCCATTTATTTTTCTTTCTTGTGTGAATTTTCTGCTCATAGGTGCTGCCTGCGCAGTTGAGATTCATAGGCAATTTATCATTTAGATTAATTAAATACTCTGATTCTGTGGATTTCTTTAGGATCTATGACAAATTGGTGTTGGCTAGATTTTCAGTTTTCAGTTTAAAAACAGTAATTCTTTATCCTAGGACGTTGTCTGGAACAACCACCACCCGTGTCTCCAACCTTGCATCTTATCAATCCTATTTTTTAAAATAAATGTAGCTGCAGCAAAGCTTCCTTGCCCATTGGATATTAAATTCCTGAACAACTGACGTGCACTTTATTTTTCTGTCCAGGGACTCAGAGTGGAGCGTGATGACCGCAGCATGTAGTGAAAGTGTTTGTGGAAACCTGCACAGTCATGTAAATTTTGAGGAAGTTGGTGGTTTTCAAATGCTTATTCTTTTAGAATTCCAATCTCCTTTTTTTTTTTTAATTTATGTCTTGCCCCTTCTAGAACCACAGGAGTGTGCCTGAAGAAGATAAATGTTGTCTTGATCAGGAATTTAGAGAAACTCATGTACATTTTAAGAAAGGTGAAGCAAAAGCCTTCTAAAACCTCCAACACTTTCCTGCTTTGATTTACAATGCTAGAAATAGAATGCTATGTTTGGAATGGAGGCAGTTTGGGAATGTGTAGTACTGTAAAGAATGATGTAAGCTCACAGTCAGGAAACTGGATTGGTTTTTTTTACTGTGCTGTGGACATAACTACTTAGCATTTTAGAGTTTGTCCTATATGCAGTGAACTTACAGAAATCTCATTCTTTATATTTACTCATCAGCACATCCATCCGCTTCCTCCTTTCTATGGTAGGTTCATAGTAGATTTTACCTGGATCAGTTAGAAGAGAGTGCCTGGAATCTAAGAAAATTAGAATTGGCTTTTTGGGGCACATGGGGGCAGGGCTCTGTATTTATGCAAGAGATGATTAAATGCATATGTATAACATTTTACTCTTTTTAAGATATGCTCATCCATTACTCTATTTAAGCCTCCAACCAACTTGTAAGTTTGGCCAGGTCAATATGATCTAGGATACCAAAAAGGAAACAGAGAGCTTGAGTCTCTTGCCCAGGTCCTACCACTCAAGCATAAAGAATCCAGAGTGTCCACGTAGAGGTCTTTCTACTCTCACACCAGATTTGCACAACTTGAGGCTTTCCTAAGATGCACCAAGCTGGATTGAAAAAACTCATATTCATTAAATGATGCTCACATGTTAAGATCATTCAAGTCAAGGTACAAATTATTGGGTGGTGAACGTTGGGGGAACCCTGAGACACTTGCTCGCATGACCCACTTTCCCTTCTCAGGTCTGAGCTAGGCGCCTGATGTAGTCTTCGGTACATCTCACCTTCAAGGAGCGGCATCACGCTCTCAGAGGGCTTCCAATAGAGGTCACATTCTTCACACTGACGTGCGGGTCTACCACCCCACATACTTCCCAGCTCCAGGGAAATGGGAATCACACTCTTTGTAACTTCCCCAAAGGAACGTGCCTTCCACGGTTTGATCCATTTTCACGTCCTTGATCTGGCGAAGGGATCTGAGAGTTAGGGAATACTTCCTTTTTAAATTCCGCATTCCCAACTGTGTTAGGCCATTTTTGCATTGCTCTAAAGGAATACCTGAGGCTGTGTAATTTACAAAGAAAGCTGGTTTAATTGGCTCATGGTTCTGTAGGCTCTACAAGCATGGCTCCAGCATCTGCTTCTGATGAGGCCTCAGGAAGCTGGCATATCAAATGATGAGAGTGGGAGTAAGAGAGTGGGGGGAAGTCCCAGACTCTTTTAAACAACCAGATCTCGCGTGAACTAATTGAGAACTTCCTTATCACCAAAGGGATGGCTAAGTCATTCAAGACGGATCCACCCCCATGATTCAATCACCTCTCACCAAGCCCCACCTCCGGGACACTGGGAAGCACATTTCAACATGAGATTTAGAGGGGAGAAACATCCAAATCACATCATTGTCTCACCTCATTTTTGTTTGCAGCATCTGTTACATTCTGGTGTTGCCACAGTCACAGCTTCAGTGTTCACATTCTCTCCATCTGTAATGTCTACAAAATTTTCAACAAATAAGCCAGATAAAATCCGTAATATTAGTCCCATATAACAGAGGTAAAACGGCCTCTCGACTGCAGACTTTGGAGTCCCACAGACCTATTTTCAAATTACTAGTTGCCTGATGGTGGATAACTTGTTAAATTATTTCAGCCTTGATGTAATTGACTGATTGCACAAACTGCCCTGTTGAACGGCCACCCTATATCCACACCCTTTGCAACTGGCTGCCTACAGTTCAGATCTTCAAAGGGCTTTGTGAAAAGTGCTTCTCTGTCTGCTTCCTGTGGTGCATGTTTATAAATTTGATCAGCAGGACAACAGCCACTTTCTTGACTCTAAACTAGGTAAGGATTAATTGTAATTGTTTAGTGAAGATGTACACAGGATCCCTTGGTGTAAATTTCATGAGGCAAGGTAGAAAGCACATGCACGGGATTCAGACCCGACTCCTAAACCAGCCCAGGACTCAGCTATGTTGCAGTTTCTCTTATTCCTGATCCTGGACTTAGTCTTGTAACTTGCTTTGGCCAATATCACATATGCAGAGGTTTCACAAAGCACTTTTTCCCTTCTACTTCCTTTCTTTGACCCAATCACTACTATGAGAACAAGCCCAGGCTAGTCTGAATGCAGGATCAAGGCCACCCAAGACCAATAAGCTCATTCTAGATCAGAAATGCTTCTGATTCTGATGCCAGCTGATTCACAGAGATATGTGAGGAATAATAAATGGCTGTTGTTTTAAGCCACTAAGTCTTGGAACCATTTGTTATACAGCAATAGCTAACCAATACACTTATTTTCTTCATTTGTGTAATACTGGATATTGTGAGAAGTCAATGAGATCCTGATCATAAAGAGTTTTGTCATTGTCTGGGACACACAAAATAGCCAAGTGGCAGATATGATTTTAAGGTTGATAATATATGAAGGTTGGGATCTTTTTGTGTCACTTAAAAGTAAGATTGTGTTGGCTCAGACAAGGGAGAAAAATAAAGTAAGATTGTGATTAAACAGATTTTTAATGGGAGACAAGAATTCTTATTTTCTCTTTGTCCAAACTGTATTGAAATTTTAGATTTTATGGTAATTCTAAAAGAGTTTGAGTTTAGGCAATTTTTTTTTTCTTTAAATTCCTTTTTTTGGGGGTGGGTACTGGCAGTACACAACTCTAAAATCATTTCTGTTTTGGATCTTTCTACTGTAATTTAGTCTTAGAAAATAGATTTGCATAATCAAATGTCAATTCCTGACAACCTGCCTTCGAGAAAGGGAAGGTATATAAGTGACATTTTCATGATTCTGCAAGAGCCACAGAGTTTTCATCAAAATTTATATCCTATTTAAATAATGCCTTTAAAATCATTCATTTTACTGTTTAGCAAAGAACCTTTGCAATTAGCTACTTAGAATTCAGATCTTTAAAGGGTTTTATGAAAAGTGACCACAGAGCTTCCTGTAGAGCACTTTTTATAGTTTTAGGTCAGCATAGCTGGACTTTAGATGGATTATGACCCTGAACTAGGAAAATATTAAATTATAATTATTTGGTGAAACTAGGCATGATCCCTGCATATAAATTATGACAGAGCACAGAAGGAACATGCACTGGTCCCAAACCAGCTCAGGCATACTGTCTATAGACTCCCTTTCCTTGTCTATAAGGTGTTTCACCTCCCTCATGGCTATTGTAAGGGTAAAAGACAATATATTAATATATAAAATACTCAGTAGTTGTTAGAACAAAGTAGCTCATCAGTAATACTCATTTTTTCTTAATACAAGTTAGAATTTTGAGGACATGCCTTTTTTGAATCTGAAGTGCATAGTTTAAGATACCAAAGCTAAGGTCAAAACTGATGACAAGAGCAATGGAAGGTCCAGTAGGGTTTGGTGGAGATTTAAATGCAAAGGGTGGGGCAGTAGAGATCCCAGGGAGGCCAAGTGAGAGCAGGTAGGAGAGGGAGTCTCACAGCCATGCCCCTGTGTCTACCTGAGTTACCACACTGGAGAGATGGAAAAACATCCAAAACTGACACTTTTCTTTTTTTTTTTTTTTTTTGAGAGGGAGTCTAGCACTGTCACCCAGGCTGGAGTGCCGTGGCACGATCTCCGCTCACTGCAAGCTCCGCCTCTCGGGTTCACGCCGCGCCATTTTCCTGGCTCAGCCTCCCGAGTAGCTGGGACTATAGGCGCTCGCCACCACGCCCGGCTAATTTTTTTGTAGTTTAAGTAGAGACGGGGTTTCACCGTGTTAGCCAGGATGGTCTCGATCTCCTGACCTCGTGATCCGCCCGCCCGCCTCGGCCTCCCAGAGAAAACTGACACTTTTCAAAAAAAATTTCCAATGTTTCCAAAACCAATGTTTACAATGTTTACAGTACAGTTTTATAAATAAAAACAAGTTTTGAGAAGGAAGAAATAGAGACCTACAAATACAAGCTCTTATTTTTACTATTAGATTCAAGAGCTATACAATTACTCTATTGAAGTGCTGTACATATTTTAAAATGCTTACTCTCCATTTCTTTACTTAACTCGTTGCAGATTGGTAATGACTTGGGAATAGCAGCCATCCACAGACTCCACTTTAGGTAGCAACATCCTAAAAGGCACCCCAGCAAGACTTCCTCACAATGCAACCCTCCCTTCTATAGTATTTCTCGTAGTTTTCATATCATCATTAAGGGGCTGAATATTTCTAGGGAAGGACTATTTGCTATTTCACAGGATTGTTTCTTCTACTTTTGAAAATATTCAATCTGTCCTTTCAAGATATCAGTGAGTGTAAAGAAAAGAGAGGAAGACATAGCTGAGTTAAGGGAACACAATCCTTCATGCTGGGAATGCTCTAAAAGGAAATTCAGGCAAATCCAAGGACTTGGACTGGGATGGTTTTACCAGGTACTAAGAGACTGGGATTGAAGGATGTTATTCCAGCCCTTATAAGGACTTGAAACATTGGTCTGCAAATTAAAGCATGCAATTAGGGATGGAAAAGTTGCCATTTTTGGAATGGACTGCGAGGTTGATTGTCATACAAGAAAACAACAAAAAAAGAGCTTGTTATTGGAATTAAGGCACAGGTAACTGGTCTTCTTGCCCCCAGCTTCTTCGTTTTTTGGTCAGAGAGATTGTTTTCACATGCAGGTCTAATCATGTCCTGCCCCAGCTTCACGCTTCTCAATACCCCTATTTATTTTTACATAAGGACTCCAAGTAACTTTCCTTGTAGGTCTTATATTCCATATACCTTTACCTGGAGCTCAATATCTTACCATCAGCATTCATTTGTGTAATGGTTCATTGTAAGTGTCGACTTGACTAGGCTAAAAGAGGCCCAGAGAGTTGGTAAAACATTGATTTCGGTGTATCTGTGAGAGTGTTTCTGGAAGAGATGAGCATTTGAATCAGTAGACTAAGTAAAGAGGATCCACCCTCACCAATGTGGGCAGGCATTCTCAAATCCATTGGGAGCCCAAATAAAACGAAAAGGCAGAAGAAGGGTGAATTTGCTTTCTCTTCTTGAGCTGGGACATTCATCTTCTTCCCTTAGACATCCCAGCTTCTCGTTCTCAGGCTTTCAGACTCTGGGACTAGTGGTCCTCCCTGATCTGAGGAATTTGGCCTCATACTGGGAGTTACCCATCCATTCCCCTGGTTCTTAGCCTTTCGAACTTGTGCTTAATTATACTGCTGGCTTTCCTGGTTCTCCAGCTTGAATATGGCATCATTGTGGGACTTCTTGTCTTCATAATTGTATGAGCCAATTTGCATAATAAATCCCATCTTGTATATCTCCATATCTATATCTGTGTTTATATCTATACCTATATATCCTATTGGTTCTGTTTATCTGGAGAATCCTAATACAATTTGGCATCAGAATACTTGTTCTTTAAGATTTAGCTCAAATGCTACCTCCTTGAGGAGACTTATCCAGCTGATGTCTCCGACTCATGTCTTCTATGTTCTTATTGGGCCGTATGGTTGAAATATTTGGTTGCACACCATTTTCCCCGTTAGAATTGGAGACCCAAGATGGCAGGGCAAATATTTTATTTACTGTTGTATCTCTGGAAAAAAGTAAGCTATCTGTAGCTGGCAGCATAATGGTTGCCCAAAGATGTCCATGACCAAATTGCCAAAACCTGTGAATATGTTATATGTTGCATAGCAAGGAGGAATTAAGGCTGCAGATGGAATTAAAGTTGTTAATCAATTGCTGAACTTAAAATGAGAAGATGATTCTGGAGTATCCAGATGGACCCAGTGTAATCACAAGGGTCCTTATATATGGGAAAGGTGGATTCATCAGAGAGAACCAAATAGGTTCAAGGTGAGAAACACTCAATCAGCCATTTCTGGCATTGAAGATAGAAGGGATCCCTGAGCCAAGGAAAGCAGGCAGCCTCTAGGATCTGGAAAATACAATCAATGGATTCTCCCCTAGGACTTCCAGAAAGGAATTTAGCCCTACTGATACCTGAATTATAATCCAGTAAGATCCTCTCTGGACTTAAAACCTTTGGAACTGTAAGGTTAAAATTTTATGTAGTTTTTGTGGTCATTTGTTACAGCTGCAATTGGCAACCAACACAGTGTCATAAATATTCAATGCTTCCTAAATATTTGTTTGGACAGGTAAATTCAAGTTTCACTCAGAGGAGAGCAGGAAGACTGCACTGATGGTTAGTTAGCAAAACTATGATGCAGAATTTTCTTCATGGACAGGATTGGAGTTTGATTTCAGGACCATATTGAATCTGGAGGGGCATGGTTCCCATAGGGTGGAGATTTCCACGTCAGAGTGGCATGCTGATCTTTTGGGACTGCACCTTCCATCGCTCATCGACATGCTGTTGATTCACCTTTTTCTCAACACTCCCATGACATTTTTTAATATAGACAGAACAGTGCTTATTTTTGTGTATGTGTGTGTGGCTTAGTTCCTCTTATTACTACCCTATTAATTGAGCAATAGGACCTAGGGTAGCATTCACAATACTCCCTTTCTTTTTTTATAGGATATTTGTGTCTTGTTTCTCATTAACACCCTCCACTGGGGCCACTGGACCAGCTGAAGGGTTTTCTGACAGTTCTCAGACTGAGTTTTCAGTTATCAGGGTGACTGGAGCCCAAAGTGGTGTTTAATTCACGGAAACACTGCCATTTCAAGGGCTCAGGAGACGCAGAATTATGTCTTACATTCCCAAGGGCTCCAGGAGGATAAAGTCCATTCATTAGAGCCAGGGTGCCCCTGTTTAGCCTGTTCTTAGTCACTTTGAGCTTTGCCTTTGGTCCATTGGAGCTTCTGGACACCACAGGTGAAAGAAGATGGCTGTATTAGTTATCTTTCACTGCATAATACATTATCTCAAAACTCAGTGGTTTAGAATGACCTCCCCAAAAAACTCACACACTTTTTGTCTTTCCATTTCTGTAGGGTCAGAAAATTCTGGAGCAGCTCAATAGGGTGATTGTGATTCAAGGTCTCCCATGAGGTTTTAAATCATTTGACACGGGAATAAAAGCAGAGGACATTTTAAAGAGCTTAGACCCATTGTAACACTCTCTGGATAAGTTGGCAAAAATGACATGACCTTTAATTGATGGTCCGAAGCCAATGAGACTAAAAACTGTTGGAAGAGGGGTGCTCATAAAGCTGTAACCAGCAGATAGTGAAGTCATTTTATATTGCTTAGTTAAACACTAGCTATTAAGAAATGCCAGTGTTTGGTACTTTTGTTCTATTTCAGTTGTACTGATGTACAGATATCTTGGTGGATATATTTTCACAATATATGTAATAGTTCAAATACAAGTTTTGAATTTACTTTTTCCTACCTAAGTCCATCGTTAGGAGGCAATGCCACAGATAGGACTGTGTAATTGTCAATATACATACATTTAACATTTGCATTATTTTAGTTTTTTTCTTTTGCAGTTATAGAAATTCTATTAAATACTGCTAAGACACAGAACCACTCTTTGTGCCTTGGGTCTTGTTTTTAATAATCTAAATAGGTACAATTTGGTAATACCCAGTGTCAATATTAGGTTTACCATTGCAGATAGAGTGTCAGCAGTAAAGCCACAGTGGATTTTTCCTACACAACAATATAAATAAATGTGAGGGTTTTAAAAGAGATTGAATGAATGCCTGAGACTGACAAGGAGGCATTTTATATTCAAGTATACATATAAATACATATGTAAGTGTATATGTTACGTTTTTCATAATAGTAACATATATTTGGAAAGTATGTCTCAAAAATGAAAATTAAACTGGCTGAAAATCTCATTTATCAGCTTTCTCCAAATTGGTCTTAGCAAGAGGAATATGAGATTTTGAGAGATATTATGAGCTATTCACATTGAAACAAATGTCCTATCGTGTCTCTTCCAAGATTCTTTCATTGAAGAAGCTTGCAAATTGAACGTACACAGCATATACACAGTTCAACATGCGCAGCACACACATGCAACAGCACACACATGAACTCCCCACATAGCACACACAACACATAATACATAAAACATACACACACATAACCCCCCCCACACACACACAGAATTGGCATGTGTGACTATTTCTTTTAGTTAATCAGGGTTTTCTCAATACTGCAGACAGAACAAGATAAAGAAAGAAAGTTGATTCTGGGCAACACAGTGAGATCCCATCTCTAAAAAGAAAAAAACAAAGAAAGAAATTTGACCCGGAAGTTGATAAGACTGCAAGTCATCTTTAACTGTGGATTTCAAGCATTTATGCACATCTCAATAACTCTATTGATCTGGTTCATTGAACTTACATTAAATAAATATTATGTGTTAATTTCTATAAATAAAATGCATTTTTTTTGAGAGAGAGGGAGAGGATCTCACTCTCACCCAAGCTGGAGTGCAGTGGCATGAACATGGCTCACTGTAGACTTGACCTCCTGGGCTCAAGCAATCCTTCCACCTCAGCCTCCAGAGTAGCTGGGACTATGGGACTACAGGCATGCACCACCACACCTGGCTAATTTTTGTATTTTTTTGTAGAGATAGAGTTTTGCTGTGTTGTCCAGGCTGGTCTTGAACTCCTGGGCTCAACTCATCCACCCGCCTCACCCTCTCAAAGTGCTGGGATTATAAGCATGAGCCAGCACACCTGGCCAAAATATTTTATTCAAATGCATTTTTTTTTTTTTGAGGCAGAGTTTGCTGTGTCACCCAGGCTGGAGTGCAGTGGCGCAATCTCGGCTCACTGCAACCTCTGCCTCCTGGGTTCAAGCAATTCTCCTTCCTCAGCCTCCCAAGCAGCTAGGATTACAGGAGTGCGCCGCCATGTCCAGCTAATTTTTGTATTTTTAGTAGAGACAGGGTTTCACAATATTGGCCGGGCTGGTCTCGAACTCCTGACCTTGTGATCCACCCACCTCGGCCTCCCAAAGTGCTGGGATTACAGGCGTGAGCCTCCGCGCCCAACCTAAAATGCATTTTTTAAATGTTTTTTTAGAGTCAGATTTTTAGAGTCAGATTACCTTTTTTTTAAAAGACTATTT
This sequence comes from Homo sapiens, assembly GCF_000001405.40. NCBI lineage: Eukaryota > Metazoa > Chordata > Mammalia > Primates > Hominidae > Homo > Homo sapiens. The sequence goes on along the minus strand of NC_000023.11, from coordinate 6,840,921 downwards.
TTTAGAAATTTGTTATGTTCACAGCAAAATTGAGAGGAAGGTACAGAGAGTTTCCATATACTTCCTATCCCCACATATGCACAACCCCCCCATCCCCATTACCAACATCCCCCACCTGAGCAGTACATTTTTTACAATTGATGAACCTATGAGGACACATCATTGTCACCCAGAGTCCAAAGTTTACATCAGGGTTCACTCCTGATGTTGTACGTTCTATGGGTTTGGCAGATGGATAATAACATGGATCCACCATTATAGGATCATACAGAGTAATTTCCCTGCCCTAAAAGTCCTCTGTGCTTCACATATGCATCCTTTTCTCCCCACTAACTCCTGGAATACACCAATATATTTTTACTGTTGCTATAGTTTTGCCTCTCCCAGAATGTCCTGTAGTTGAAATCATATAGTATGTAGCCTTCTCAGACTGGTTTATTTCATTTAGTAATATGTATTTAAGTTTCCTTCATGTCTTTTCATGCTTGATAGCTCATTTCTTTTTAGTGCTGAATAATATTCCATTGCTGGATATACCACTGTTTATTTATCCATTTACCTACTGTATTAGTCCATTCTCATGCTGCTGATAAAGACATACCAGAGACTGGGTAATTTATAAAGAGAAAGAGGTTTAATGGACTCACAGTTCCACGTGGCTGGGGAGGCCTCACAATCATGGCAGAAGGCGAAAGTCACGTCTTACATGGCAGCAGGCAAGACAGAATGAGAGCAAAGCAAAAGGGGAAAACCTCATGTAAAACCATCAGATCTCATGAGACTTATTCACTACCATGAGAACAGTATGGAGGAACCACCTCCATGATTCAATTATCTCCCACCAGGTCCCTCCCACAACACATGGGAATTATGGGAGCTACAATTCAAGATGAGATTTGGGTGGGGACACAGCCAAACCATATCACCTACTAAAGGATATCTCGGTTGCTTCCAAGATTTGGCAATTATAAATAAATGCACTAAAAAATCTAGGTGCAGTTTTTTTGTGTGTATGGGGGAGGGGGGGGCATACATTTTTAACTCCTTTGGGTAAATACCAAAGAGTGCAATTGCTGGATAGTATAGTAAGAGTATGGATAGTTTTGTAAGAAACTGCCAAACCGTCTTCCAAAGTGGCTGTACTATTTTGCATTCCTTCCACCAATGAATAAGCATTCCTGTTGCTCCACATCCTCACCAGCATTTGATGTTGTCAGTTTTCGGATTTTGGCCATTCTAATAGGTGTGTGGTGGTCTCTCGTTGTTTTAAGTTACATTCCTCTCATGACATATTATGTGAAGCATCACATAAGTTTTCATTTGAATGGTAAATAATTTTAACCCTAATGTGAAAAACCCGTTGGTTTAGGGTATGTGAGCAAAACAACTTTCATTGACTCACAAAGAATGGTCCAAGGCAAGAAATTTATCATGGTCGGGGGAGTGGTGGTGCTCAGGGACATTTTTGGGACAATTATTTCCTTCCACACCCCAAATTTCTAACGACTGCTCCTCTTTTGGCAAAGACAGCTTTTGGGCAGTGCCTACAGATGATCTAGAAAGTCCAAAAATATAGGAAAAAGGAAAATCAGACATGAGGGACCTAATCCTAGAAACCAGATCAGATTTGTGATCCCTGAAGAAACAGAAACGGGAGATATTACAGAGTCCTAGGCCCAGAGGAAATAACTCTGTTAATCAGTTTGCCGCACTCCCTACTACTTATTGCCTCAAAAGAAGGCAATGAAAAAAATGTGCAATAAACACTGAAAGCTGCATTGACTTAGGGTTTAATCAGACTGGATGAGATCATCAATGTGCTATTCCTTAGGAAGCTGTTACCTGTGTGTAGTTACCTATGATGCAGAAGATAAAAACATGGTTGTGTTTATTCTCTGAACCAATTTGTCAGAAAGACTTGACATAGATAGCATGGCTATGGCTGACAGAAAGGGAGTCTGTGCTATTTCAAGAATGTTTAAGGAAGAAACTTCTCTTGTGGACCCCAAGAGCCCAGCTGAAGCCCTTTAGACATGCATGACTTGATGGAGCACAGTCACTTTCAAGTTCAATGTCTTTATTCTACTAGCAAAGAAATACTGAAGTCCAGAGAAGGTAGAAGTTTTGATAAGGACATCTTGCAGACAAAATAACAAACAACAAAAGACAGACAATCCCCAGATAGCCAACTTCCCATTTTAATGCTCCTTCCATGACAAAATTTTCCCCCTTCTCTAGCCAGCTCATGTTATTCATCCAGCTGGACCTCCTGTATCAATTTTGTGATAATCTGAGTTAATTGCCAATGAGTGGCAATAAGTTGTTGAGTATTTTGAATGCTGCGGTTCTGTAATTAAGCCCAAAGAGTTTGGATGGGGGAGTTGAAGGTTTTAGAAGCACGTAGAAAATTATTCAAAAATATGTATCATACCCACACCCATCTGCCATGGGCAACTTGAAATGTCATCAATGCAAAGTTCTTGCTACCTTGACTCTAGCCTAAGTCTCTCAGAAATTTTTGCTCTGAGCTATCTGCGTGACAATTTTAATTCTAAGAGACAGATGGCAGTGAGTGGACACCTCCATCCACCTGCCTTACTTTGGGCATTCATTCAAGCTCGATTTGCAGAGGCAAATGAGTTAACTCGTCTAGATTTTAAAATCATATTCTAAAGAGAAAGAATACAAATTATCTGAGGATTTTCTCCTTGACCATATAGCACTTTCTTTCCAAATAATTAAAAGGTTCTGGAAAGAATATTGTATGTAGCTAACACATCCTCACTGGCGAGGGGGATAAGAAAGCAGACAGAACAGGTCATGTCCATCCTTACCTTCTCTGATTCACATGGATCTCTGGCAACAGGGTAGTGGATGAAAATTATTTTGTCTTTATTTTTCTAGAAAAGCATGATTTAATGAGAACCTAGCACATCATTTACATTCTGATTATACATTGATATTTCTATTGTGTTGAGATAATTACAAGTTATGGCACTCCTTGAGTTATTTACTTATTTTTTTTTTTTTGGTAGAAATAGGTATATATCCCATCTGTTGTTTTATGTGTCCTAGGATGGCTGATTCCCTTGATGGGGAGATGTTAACCAAAGAGTCATGAAGGCCAATTTCTAGCCACAGAAAGGGCTGGGGCATTTTCCAATGAGAACTACAGATGGGTTGCGCATCAGTGTACATACTTGTTCAACATGTGTGTGTTTCTAGAATTCCAGATTCCAGAGCTGGAAATGAAAAAGGCCTTCTGACCATGGCAGTAAGTTCCCACCTAAACACGTGGAATGCGGGGCCAGGGGGAAGAAATACCAAGGCTAGAAGGTAGACATTGGAGCCAGGGTGAGGTTGCTGGAATTCTAACTCCCTTCCAGGATGTGTGTGCTTGTGTTTGTGTGTGTGCGTATGCACATGCTGATGAGCACAATTTGCTAACGGTAGGCCATTCTCTGAGATTTCCCAAGTGCGACAAAAGTCACCTGACATCAGGAGAGAAAGCTCCATCATGCCATTATGGCAGGGCTATTCTGCCCCTTCCATCGTAGCTTTGTGCTGGCGATTATGTGGAGAAATCTGCCTTCTCATTGTGCACACTGTCTGATGTGATAGCAGATCCTTTCAGGTGTCCAAGGAAATATTTTCTCCTCCTCAATCCATGAGATGTATTATTTGTTCTTGCCTGGAGGTGAATGATGTACTCAAAGACAGGGAGGATCGTCACGGCAACCTTTTAGGAAGCCTTAAATTCACTTTCTGTGTTTCATAGACTACTGACTTGACTCAATTCCATATTCCCTTATGCATGTTCCTGTTGAAACAAGGACACTGAAACTACATTTGTGACATGGATTGCACAATTTAAATGCGCTCATTGGTGCCCAAATGCACATGTAGCAGTTCTGTTTGAATATTGACTTGACCAATGCATACTACCCCACTATCTCCTTTTCCTGCTTTTCCTCAGTTTTTATCACAAATGGCATGGACAGAAAATAGGAATTTGGGCTTTCATGTCTTCTCTGAGCCTCCAGTAGAGACCAATCACAGTTGAATTTATAAGCAAGTCACTAAGTGCCTGCTTTCTGCCCAGTGTAGACTGTAGGGAAGCTGTTTATATTCTACTCCCCAGAACTTATGAATGTTTTCTTACACGACAAAAGGAACTTTGTAATTGTGATTAAATTAAGAGTCTTGATGTGTGGAGGCTATAAGAGATTAGCCAAGTATGTCCAAACTAATCACATGAGTTTTTAAAATTGGAAAGCCTTTCCCAGCTGTGGTGAGAGGGAGATGTGACTATAGAAGAATGGTCTGAAAGATACAATATTGCTGACTTTGAAGATTGGCAGAATTTATTCCTTGCAGTTCTGTAAGTCAGAAATCTTACACAACATTGTTGTGTTCTCTGCTCAGCATCTTACCAAACCATGAGGCAACGAATGCAAGGAACCTCTAGAAGATGGAAAAGTCAGAAAACAAATGCCTTCCTCCAGCCTCTAGAAGAAACACAACCCTGACAACACCTTCATTTTAAACCAGTGAGACCCATGTCAGGATTCGGACTTACAGAACTATGACATGATAAATTGGTATTATTTTAAGTGACTGAGGTTTTGGTAATTCATTACAACAGGGATAGAAAATTAAGGCAGTGAACTGGGGTGAGATGGAGGGGAAGTTCAAAAGGAAATTACGAATCTGTAATAGTATTTACAGGTTTTCTGACATAAATATGCATGTGCATATTAAATATAAAAAACACAAAAGAACTTATGCATAAAATACAAATTTTAAAATAGTATTATTAGAACATACAACTTATTATAGTGCAGGTAATATAATATAATTAAAATAATATTATAGTATTATTACTAAATGCATAAGTGGTGACGGCCGGGTGTAGTGGCTCACACCTGTAATCCCAGCACTTCGGGAGGCCGAGGCAGGTGGATCACTTAAGATCAGGAGTTCTAGACCAGCCAGGCCAACATGGTGAAACCCTTGTTTCTACTAAAAGTAAAAATAAAAAAAAAAAAGCCAGTGGCAGTGCACACCTGTAATCCCAGCTACTCGAGAGGCTGAGGCAGGAGAATCACATGAACTCGGGAGGTGAAGTTTGCAGTGAGCTGAGATCGCACCACTGTACTTCAGCCTGGGCAACAGAGCCAGACTCTGTCTTAAAAAACCAAAAAACAACGTAGCAATGTATAAGTGGTGAAATTAACAGTCTCTCCTACAAAATTGGGAGAGACAAGGGAATCTTTCTTTCTCCCTGGGAGAGTAAATGATGATCTTTTATTCTCTTGGGAAAGAGTCAGATTTCTCAGGAAATAATCTTTTCATTGTTGTTTATTATATTTTAACTAGATTTCCCTATGCATTCTTGCTTATAGACATGCTATATTATAATACATTCCATTACTGTTTTAGATTTCTGTTGTGACATTAACAAATTCCCATATATATGGGAGCTTAAAACAATGCAAAGTGATTATTTCACAGTTCTGCAGGTCAGAAGTTGGCTATGACGTTGCTGTGTCCTTTGCTTGGGGTATCGTCGGGCTAAAATCAAGGTGTCCACCAGGCTGAGCTCTAATCCAGAGGCTCTGGGACAGCATCCACTTTCAAGCTCATTTGAGTTATCATCAGAAATCGGCTCCTGGTAATCATCAGAGTGGGGTCACTGTTTCTATGCTGGCTATCATCTGGAGTTGTTCTCAGCTTCTAGAGGCTCCCCAATTTCTTCAGTTCTGGCTGCCTTTCTTCATCTTCAAAGTTGGCAAAGATGGGCAGAATTCTTCTCCTGCTTCAGATTTCTCTGGTCTTCCCTCAAACAACCTCTCTCTACTTTGTCTTCTGCTTCTTCTTCTAAGGGCTCACGGTATTACATGGAGCCCACCCAAACCATCCAGAACCACCTTTTGCTATGGTTTGAATGCGTCCCCCGAAAAGCATGTGTCGGAAACTTAATTCCCAATGTGACCTTGTTGGGAGGTGGGGCCTAATTGGAGGTGTTTGGGTCCTGGAGGCTGCACCCTCATGAGTGGATTAATGTTGATTACAAATGGGCCTGGGGCTGCAAGTTTGATCTCTTGCACTCTCTCACCCTCTCTTTGCCCTTTCACCATGGGATGATGTAACAAGAAGGCCCTCGGCAGATGCTAGCTCATTGATTTTGGACTTCCAGCCTTCAGGACCTTGAGTCAATTGATTTCTGTTATTATAAATTACCTAGTCTGTTGTATTCTGTTATGGGAGCACAAAATGCACAAAAACACTTTCCTATCTGAAGGTCAATGAATTAGTAACTTTAATGATAGCTGCAAAGTCCTTCTGGCCATGTAAGGTGACATATTTCACAGATCTGGGAATTCAGGCATGGAATTTCTTGGGGACCACAATTACATTATATAACAATGTAATGATATTAATATTATGAAATAAAGTATGGAGACCCGATGAGCCAAACCAGAGGCTAGGCAAAATTTAACTGTCACCTAAATCCTGCCTGGTGACTTAGGAACCAGGTCCTCAGGGCTGTCCACAGACAAGGCAGAGAAGGTGCACATTAAAATGATCTGAATGATTAGAGAACATGAAGAAAGCAATAAAGTCAGCACTAAATAAGGTAATGCTTGAGACATTTCATGCAGTATGGTAATTGCATCTCCATTCAGAAGAGAGCACATATTATTTCACTCATATTGGGTCATTTTGATAGATTAAAAATTAAACTCTCGCTTTTCCTGTTTGTTTCCTTTCCTGCCCTTACCTTATAGACAAAAAGATCATGTAGATCTGTTCACGGTCTAACTCTCTGTGTATCTGTTTTTATTCCTTTAAGGAGTACAGTTATATAATACTCTTGGTCATCCTAGTTTTTCTTAAAATGTAATGTACAATTATAGGACACACATATTTTCAGTTTGGGATTTGATTTTCATTTGCCCCCAAATAGTACAACATTTAGTGCTGCTTATTTTTAAAGAATGTCTTTATGAGGTAATGTAATTTTAAATTGGAAGGAAACCATCAATTTTTTAACAACTCTTATGGGTCAGGCTCATGGAAAATAATAGCTATTTGATCTTTGCAAGAAGTAGACTGAATATATGTTATTATTCCTGCTGTACAGATGAGGAACTAAAGCTCAGAGAAGTTATGTCATCTGTCCCAGATCACAGAGCTGTAAATGTTAGATTCTTTTTGATGAGTGAGTTCAAAGACCAACTTATCCAAATAGCTGTCAGTCAGACTATCCATGTATCTATTTCTATAAACTTTTCTCTATCCATCCATTCATCCATACATCCGTCCATCCAACCATTCATCCATTCACCCACTCAGCCTCACGTCTACCTATTCATCTATTACTTTGTCCATCCATCCAGCCAGCCATTTAGCTATCTATCCACCTATTCATTCATTCATTTGTGCCTTCATTCATCCATCTATGATCTATCCATCTATCTTCCATTCATTCGTCCATCTATTTATCCATCCATCCATTTATCCACCCATCCATCCATTTATTCACTCAAACATCTATTTACCCACCGATCTTCCCATCTATCCACCTACTTATTCATGCATTTGTCCATCCGTCCATCCCATCCATCCATCCCATCCATCCATTCATCCTTTCTTCATCCATCCATCTACCTACCTACATTATAATTGTAAATAAATGTGTACATTAGATATAAACTTCATAAGTATATGTGTTCATTAGAAAGAAACTTTTTAAATAAAATTGGTACAGTGAAAATGTAGTCTTGCATTTCTTTTTACCCTAACTTACTATTTATAACATTTTTTAACATGCTTGTGAGTGGCCATTTTTAATAGCTTGTTATCTAAATACTAAGCTAAGCCTTGATCATGTTTAGTTAACTGGGTGAAGTGTGTGTGTGTGTGTGTGTATGTCAGAGAGAGAGAGAGAGTGACATGAGCAGGCAGTCTGAGATGACAGTAAATTATTTATTCTAAGGCAGATCTTGATTCAGCTCCGGTTTGTGCTAGAATTAACCATTAGGAATGTGCAGAAGGGCCTCCACAGCATATTCAGAATTTGGGCAGCAGCTGAGTAGTACAATTCTAGGCAGCTGAGGGGCAGAAGGACAAGCATTTTGCCCCAAGGCAGAACCCTATGGGTTCCATGCCTAGCTAAGTAGGGAGTGTATCCTGGCTTCTGGGGCAGTTACTCCCCGGAAGGGCTTAGCTTCTCTATTGGGTTGTCCTTCTGCTATAATCCTACAGCTCTGAAAATAGCTTCAAATATATCCATCCTATCTCTTTCACAGTTAGCTCTTGTGCTTCAAGATTCAGGAATTCCCAGCCATCCCATCCTTCTCCTTTACCCCAAATGGAAGACTCTGAGATTGCCGTTAACATGCCAGTTTAGAGAAAAATTGCAAGTAGTGGTAGTGGCCAACTTTTTGTTTTTTGTTTACCACATTGCCTTGGCGTCCCACTCATAGGGAGGCTTTCCCACTTCTTGTGAACTGTCCCCAACCTTGTCCTTTGTAGGTCCAAAGTAGAGGATGCTATTTGAGTTTTCCAGATTATCTTCCATTTGCTTTCTCCAAAATTACACCCATCTTTCAAAAGGAGGAGTTGTTGAGCTGCTTCTGGGTGACCTCTTTAATTTGGGCCAATATGCTCTAAACAGAACTTCTTTGGTGTTATGTTGGTTGCATTTCTTGGTGCCATTTGCCAGTCTGAGGATGGCAATTGTTTTTATTCCCTCTTTTCTCTTTTCTTTGGTATTCTTTTTTTCCAGTTTCTATAGGTTTTGTTAAGTAGGGGCAGAGGGGATAAAGAGCAGTTTTTGGCCTGTTATTTTCCTCCAAATATTTGTATTTGTTTTTGTTGGTTTTCTTTTTAGCACATTTTGAGAGTCTTTGTCTGTTTAGGTGGGAGTTTAACCTTTACCTTTTCCAACAGAATAAAATATATGATTGGCTTCACTTCTGTCTCCTTGCCTAATGAGTGATTTTAAAGCTGCCTTGCTAGTTCCTTTGTTTTCTGTCTTTTGCCATATGATTATGTCTTGCTTGTTTGGGTCTTTTCCAAAGATTAGAAAGCAGATTCTGCTTTGTAAAATGTACTTGTTCTCTTTTACTATTTCAAGAAGGTTATTGAACCCATATTGCAAATCTACAGGTAAAATGCTGAAAATGACTGGCACCTAGTAACTGTTCAATACATATTGATTATTTTCATTCTTCTTAACATCTAAATTGTTCAATATGATGAATGACATGGTATCTTTTAATTCTCACTATATGCAGTGAGGATAATTTGTCTCATTAACTTGTATTTTTCCAAATAGAATACTGAAACTGTCTTTGCAAAAATTATAACTGAGAAAATTATGACAGTGAAAGGGATCTGACCTAACTGAGTCCATCTTGCTTCTGACCTCCAAGCTGTCCTCGTTCATTCCTGCACATAAGCCAAACTAACTTTGGGAGGAACTTAGTTTGTAGTTTAACTTTGAAACAAAGTCAGTCACAGCTTTTGCCTAAGACAAACCCCTTTCTTACCTGGGGACTAGACTGCCTTTTCAAGGCTAACAAATTAGCCACAAGATTAGAAATTATGGTTTAGGAGTCATACAGCTGGAAGCTGCAAGATTCTGAACCTCCCCAAATTGCTTCTGGGAATAACATCACTATTGTCAGACCTAAGATCAGTGCTTGAGATATTTTGCAGACCCTGCACTTGATAGATCGGCTGCAACCACCCAGATCAATAAACTGGCTCATTTGATCTTGTGGCCCCCACCCAGGAACTGACTCAGCACAAGAAGACAGCTTCGATTCACTATGATTTCACCTCAGACCTGACCAATTAGCACTTCCCACTTTCCAACCCCCTACCCACCAAATTACCCATAAAAGCCTTGATTCCCAACTTTTTAGGGAGACTGATTTGAGTAATAATAAAACTCCAGTCTCCTGTACAGCCGGCTCTGTGTGAATTAAACTCTTGCTCTATTGCAATTGCCCTGTCTTGATAAATTGGCTCTTGTCTAGGCAGCGGGCAAGGAGAACCCATTGGGTGGTTGCAATATGGGATTTTAAACTTAAAGTATATTTTATTTAGTTAAGTTACAATATTTACACTCTTTTTCAACAATTTTTGGCATCTACTTTATTTTGATAACTACACTTAAAATTCTTTTTTGTGCAAAACACTGTGCTAATTTGGCTACAGTAGTAACCCCTAGGCTTCGTATCTCTTAACTTTTGCATTCTTAAATTTTTCTTTGTGTTTCTCCTCTTGATGAATTGAGACAGATTTTATTTTTGAGAAGTCTATTTGGTTATAAAAAATGAATCCTTAGATATTCGATAATGGTTTTCCTCTTGCTTCTACTTATGATAGACTTCCCGGTTGGGCATAAAATTCTTTTGTCACTAACTTTTCTACTTTAAAAGAAAAAAGACATTTCAAATTCAGGATTCTGTATGACATATATGAGTACCACATAATTCTGACTTCTTGCAGGTAACCTGTTTTTCTTCTTCTCACTTTTTTTTCCTGCCTGAATGCTTGAAGGATTTTTTTTTCCCTTTATCATTTTACTTCAGAAAACGAAAAATGCCAATTACATCTTGGTGTGAGAGAGTCCTTCTCAGCCTCCAGGTTGATGTTGTATTCCCTTGTTTTTACTGTCTTCTTTTCCTAGATCCGTGTTGCTTTTTCACTTTTTTCTTTATCATTTGAATAAAGAGAGACTTATCTAGGCCTGATCTGTGCCAAGAGACCGGGTATGTGTCTTTGTCTTAGCTCTTCTTTCTGCTTGTTGGAGTGGAGGTTTTTTAGATTCATTCTCAGGGGTGTATTTTCTGGTACTGACAGGCATTCCCTCATGCAGGGCTGCAGTTTTCTGTGAAAGCTCTTCTTATCCCATTACTAGATTATTTTTCAATTAATGTTCTGGATTAATGTGGTGAATCCCTCAGCTCACCAGTTGCGTGAACGCTGGAGTACTGCCTCCCTCAACCCAGCCAGCAGCCGAGATCCTGAACTCACCTCCTAGGACCTTCTGAGCTACCAAAAGCCTCCTTGTACCTCTTACCCAGTGGCTTACCTGAGAGTTGCCATCTCTGAATGTAGAGGAGCTAGGGGTGGGAGGTGGAAAGGATCAATATTCTGTCTTAAAAAGCAACAATATCCTGACTTTAAAATGGGCTCAAGGTCATAACAGACACCTCACCAAAGAAGATATGTAGATGGCAAATAAGCCTATGAAAAGAGACTCTATATAACAGGTTGTCAGGAAAGTGCAAATTAAAACAACAGGAAACCACTACATACCACACTTGCTAGAATGGGCAAAATGCAGAACACCAACAGTACCAAATGCTAGTGAGGATGTGGAGCAACAGGAACTTTCATTCATTGATGGTGGGAATGCAAAATGGAACAGCCACTTTGGAATACAATTTCTTATAAAACGAAACATACTCTTTTAAAAATAAATATACTCTTATCCTACGATCCAGCAATCTCAATTTCCATGGTATTTATTCAAAGGAGTTGAAATTTATATCCACACAAAAATCCACACATGGATGTTTGTGGCAGATTTATTCATAATTCTAAGAAGTAGAAGCAACCAAGATGTCTTTCTATAAGTGTCTTAATCCATTCAACCTGATATACCAATGACAAAACTCATAGATTTGCTGGCATTTAAACAACATAAATTTATTGCTCACAGTCCTGGAGGCTGGAAGTCCAAGATCAAGTCATGGCACATTCTGCATCTGGTGAGGGCACTTCCTGGTTCATAGATGGCTCCTTCTTGCTGCATCTAAGTGCACGAATCTCTTTCATGAGGTTCCACCCTCATGACCTCATCACCTCCCCAAAACTCCAACCTCCTAACATCATCCCTTGGGGGTTCGATTTTGACACAGGAATTTTTAGAGGGACACTAACATTCAGTCCATATCAGTAGGTGAATACGTAAATGAACTGTGATACAACCAAAAATGAAATATTGTTCAACACTAAAAAAAAAATAAGCTATCAAGCCATGAAAAAACATGGAGCAAACTTAAATACATATGACTAAGTGAATGAGCCAATTGGAAAAGCTTACGTAGTGTATGAGCCCAGCTGTATGACACTTTGGACAGGGCAAAACTATGGAGAGAGTAAAAAGAGCTGTAGTTAGGGGGAGGGATGAATATGCAGAGAACAGAGGATGTTTAGGGCAGTGAATCTACTCTGCATTATACTCCAGTGGTGGATCCAATGTCATGATACATTTGCCCAAACCTATAGAATGTACATCATTAAAAGTGAACCCTCATGTAAACTATGGAGTCTGGGTAGTAATGATGTGTCCATGGAAGGTCATTGATTACAACAAATTCACTACTGTGCTGGAGGATGTTGATAGTAGAGGAGGCTGTGCATGTGTGGGTGCTGGGGGTAGGTGAGAATTCTCTGTACTTTCATCTGAATTTTACTGTGAATCTAAAAGTTTTCTAAAGTATGTTTACACACACACACACACACACACATATATAGCAACAGTGTCATAAGTTTGTGTGTGTAGGGGGAGGTTAAGTTATCCATTTTCTGTTCCATGTGAATTCTGAATCAGTAGACAAACAAGTATGCAATGTGCATGGATCTCACTTATTTTCGCTGACATCTTTGTTCCAGTATATATTGTAAACTGGGTGTTGGCTATGAAACGGTGTTGCAAAAAGGACTCATCACAGATATACACGAATATGTATTTATGAGCTGTAAAATACTAGTTCCCCAAAGATGCCTGTAGCATCTTTCCTGTGGCAGCAGCAGGAAACTAATGCATGTGTATATGCCTATTGTTAGAAAACCCTGTTAGTGCATACATTTTTAAAGCACAGAGCTGAAAGTTGAAACATTCTCCTCCCTGACTTAAAATGGTGCCTGATCCCCATGCCGATACAGTATAAAATACATGTGTTACTCACAGTAATAATGAAAGAGAACTTCATTTAGTCCTGCAAATATCCAGTATGAATTGTAGATAAACTACTCGAAGTGTGTATCTTCCTTTGAGCTGTGCATCAGATTGTAGATGAACCTGCAAGTGACAATATACAGGCTCTTCTGTGTTTAAGCTACTCAACAAGGATGCAGACGTTGACAGAATAGGGTGGCTTCAGATTGTAGAGTGGATGGCAGTGCTTCTCAATGGGACTTTTCTTTGCTCCCATCCCTTGCTTGGAAAGCACATTTGTTGACAAAATTCTGCACAAATGTGGATTTGCTCTAGTTGAGAAAGAGGTAGAATTTTTGCTGTGCACTTTTAAGGCAGGAAAATAGGGTCTGGAGCCAGGGAACATAAGGGCAATTCACACTTCAGCTATGACAGGAAATAACCTCTCTATAGGGCAAACTCCGAGTAAATGACTTTGTAACTTTATTCATCCTCTCCATTTACATACGGCATACACCAAATAACCAATAGAATCCTCTAGAGGGTATTTAAACTCCCAAAATTGTGTGACACAGCTCTTGAGCCCCTATGCTCGGGCCCGCTCCCACACTGTGGAGTGTACTTTCATTTTCAATAAATCCCTTCATTCCTTCCTTGCTTTGTTTTTGCATTTTGTCCAATTCTTTGTTCAAGACACCAAGAACCTGGACACCCTCCACCGGTAACACCTTCCTTTTCATAATAATGAGCTTGGGTCACCAATCCAGAAGGATTTACACTAACAACACTGAGGTTTATGTAAGGAAGTAATTGGGCAATGTGGGATCCAAACGCAACCTCAGCCCAGCCACATTCTTGTTTGAGAGTAGAAGGTAGAGTCGCCACTTAGGCATCCCTGAAAAAGAGCTGAGCATCCAGCTGTCTGGAGAGCTGTGTCCATGACAATCCCTAACAATCACTGCTTCCATGACATCTACAGTGTGCTGGCCTCTGTCTTAAATCCTTGCTGCTGAACAGTCTCAGAGGGGTGAGATTCCTGCCCTCCCAGAGCCCACAGACAGTTAAGGGGACTTCACCCTAGTTTCTCCAGGAGTTTATGGTCAATCTGTGGTTTTCCTTTTACATGGAAATTTACAAGAAGACAGAGGATACCTTAGAGAGGATCTTGTCTAACAAAAGGAAAATCAAGAATGAGTGATGTACCTGCATTTCTGAATTAGTGGTAAGACTTTATATATTTTCTTAGATATTAAAACCTAGGACCTATAACTTGTTGCTGAATTAGCATGAATATCAAAGGTTCTTGACATTTTCTTCTTCTTTTTTTGCTACGTTGTACATCCACATAAATTTATGCTACTATATCTATATAAGTTTAGTGTGGACATCCATGTGAGTTTGTGCTACTATATATTTTCATATATGTTTATACTACTATGTCTATGTATGTAAGTTTTCAGCTACTATTAAATAAGAGCATTCCCTGTACCTCCTTGTCTTTCAATTGTCCCTACCTGGTGTTCTGATCAAAGGGTAGAGACTTTGGAGAATGACTAAGATAAGGACCTTCTTAAATAATGAGACATTGAATCCCTCTGTAAGGACTTAATTAAGCTTATAAGTTAAAAAATAAATGTGGCACTTGCTATTTTATATAAATTGTACATTTGTTACAGTTATGCAAGTTGCATGTAGGTATTATTTTATGGTATATTAGAATTAAAAAAATAGACTTTCCATTTAAAAATACTTAGAAAATTTCTTAAAGCTCCAGCTCAGATTTGAGAAATGAGAGGAGTATGGGGGAAGGGGACTTAAAAAATCTAGCATACTACTTCTGATTATCTTAAAAGTATTTGCAAAAGTGGTACTATGTGTTTTGACTTAGAATTTATATGAGATCAGAGACAATTTTGCAAAGACAATGAGAATTGTCCCTATGGGTTTTTGTTAAAAAAAATTTCTTAGTATTAGTTTAACTTTGTTTTCCTAAGTAAGACCAAATCAGTGAGTCGATTTTGGTTATGTGCATACCCCAGCCTTGTTGCCGCCTGCTTCTTTGGAGTGGGTCTTAGGTATAAACCAACCTATAAGAAATAACCCCTGTTTCTGACATGTGGGTCTGCTGGAGAAGGAACCTTGAGGGATAGATCTGTTCTCTTGCACAGCAAGCTGGGGTGGGGCTCAGCTTGCATTCAGGATGGGAGAGACAAGAAGGGAATTCTCTGGGAAGCTCCATAGCTCCTGTACTCTGCTCACAGACTGGCTGGTATCCTCAATTCCTCTTGTTTGAATGCTGCTAGAAACCCCACACTCAGCTTCCTGTGGCTCTCCTCTCTCCATTCCAAGCTGGAGACTTAGAGGTGGGAGTCAAGGCCCCCTAAGTCATATTCCAGGAGGTGCCAGAAACACCATGTCCATCACCTTTTACCAAGCTCCCAAGGAGCAGAATACATGGTTTTTGATATTATACCATCTGCCAGGGGACCTCCTTTCCTTTTCACTACATCTAGCACATTTTCTTTTTGCAAGGGCCCGGAGCAGAGAGCTCAGTGTGATCAGACCACGCGGGTGGGCAGGGAATGACCCGGTGCTAAGCTGTTTCTTTCTGCCCCAATTCTCCTCGTTCATTTGGAAGCTGTTTTGCTGCAGGGTGATGTGTGATTTTCATTTCTCTGTCATTGGCAAGGTCTGATGTGTGTTTCCTAGTGCTGCTCTGAACCATCTTGTGGGACAAGTTGCCCAGGGATATATTTTTTTCACCCTATATGATCCTAAAACGTTATGTGCAGTAACAATATTTAGTCCCTCTGCGTGCTCTTGTAGGATCCCATTTCTCGTGGCTGAATCCCTTGCTCCATGGCTCCTTCAATAAATGTCTTAATACTTTCAGGCTGCCATGACAACAACAACAACAGAATCCCATAGACTTGGTGGCTTTTAAACAACGTAAATTTAAGTTTTGGCTTGAAGTCCAAGATCAAGTCCAAGATCACCTCTCCCTTAATTGCAGTAAACAACAAACCGTCTTCCACCTGGGTGCTCTTTGAAGTTATAGGAGAGTTGCTTTCCTGAACATGTTTATTTTTATTTAGTGAATTTTAAAAAGGCAACATTTTAAATTTGATTTTTCATTATATATGCCCAAGTGGGGGCCATTGCCTTTGGCTCCCTGGAAGTTCACTGAAAAGCAACTGACATGAGGCAGATTGATTAATAGGAGAAATGGCATACAAATGTATTTAACATATATACATGGGAGCATTTAGAAGGAAGACCCAACCCGACAATAAGGTACAGAAGCTGATATACCAGCTTCAGGTTATGGAAAGAATGCAGACTGGAGCATAGCCAAAAACAGGTTACGTTGGTCAACCAGGTTTAGTGTCCAGACAGGTTATGGTGTCAGGGGCCTTTGAACCAGAGTGACTCCATCTTGAGTATGGGCTGAGTAAAATAAGACTGAGACCTATGAGACTGCATTCTCAGGAGGTTAGACATTCTAAGTCACAGGATGAGATAGGAGGTCAGCACAAGATACAGGTTGTATTAGTCTGTTCTCATGCTGCTAATACAGACATACCCGAAACTGGGTAATTTATAAAGGAAAGAGGTTTCATTGACTCACAGTTAAGCATGACTGGGGAGGCCTCAGGAAACTTACAATCATGGTGGAAAAGGAAGCAAAAACATCCTTCTTCACATAGTGGCAGCAAGGAGAAGTGTCGAGCAAAAGGGGGGAAAGCCCCTTATGCAATCCTCCGATGTTGTGAGAACCCACTCACTATCACAAGAACAGCAGCATAGGGGTGGTGACTGCCCCCATGATTCAATTACCTCCAAATGGGTCCCTCCCACAACATGTGAGGATTATAGAAACTACTATTCAAGATGAGATTTATGTGGAGACACAGCCAAACTATATCACAGGTCGTAAAGTCCTTGCTGATAAAACAGATAAAGAAGCCGGCCAAAACCCACCAAAACCAAGATGGCAATGAGAGTGACCTCCGGTCCTCCTCATGGCTGATTATATGCTAATTATAATGCATTAGCATGCTAAAACGCACTCCCATCAGTGCCATGACAGTTTACAGGTGCCACGGCAATGTCCGGAAGTTACCCTATATGGTCTAAAAAGGGGAGGAACCCTCCATTCCAGGAATTGCCCACCCCTTTCCTGGAAGACTTATGAATAATCCACCCCTTATTTAGCATATCATCAGGAAATAAGCATAAAAATGGGCAAGCAGCAGCCCTTGGGGCCTCTGCCTATGGAGTTTCCATTCTTTATTACTTTACTTTCTTAATAAACTTGCTTTCGCTTTACTCTATGGGCTTGCCCTGAATTCTTTCTTGTGTGAGATACAAGAACCCTCTCTTGGTGTCTGGATCAGGACCCCTTTCCAGTAACAATGGGAGCAAGAAAGAAAGAGGACTGGCTAGTAAAGCAGACTTTGTTGTGTAGGTGAAGCCTAATAGGTCACCATTCTCAGAGAGAAGAGATGGTAAATATTTCTTTTCAGACTTAAATGTAAAGGTGTCAGAGTCTCAAGCTCTCCTAGATCCTGGAAAGGCATGGAAAAGGCCTGCATACATTCATGGTGATTCTCTGTAGATGCAAATATCCCCCCACAATAGACAGCCTTGCAAGGGTACATCTGTTTGCTGAACCTGTGACAGCCATTTCAAAATATGTCAAAGATATATCTATCGAGGTAAAGGATTTTTTTTTCCTTCACCCACTACATAGACAGTTTTATTTATTTATTTATTTTAAGACAAGGTCTTACTTTGTCACCCGGGCTGAAGTGCAATGGCAAGATCATGGCTCACTGCAACCTCACCTCCCTGGGCTACAGTTTTTGTTTTTGTTTTTGCTTTTTAATGTCTAAAAGTAATTGCACATGTAGGAGAAAAGAAATACCTTTTCTTCCCATCCTATACTCATGCCTGAGGCCCCTTAAAAGAAAAGACAGATTAACTTGGGTAAAGCAAACACATTTCTTTAATGTTAGTTTTTATATCACACAGGAGCTTTCATGAGGAAATGAAAACTTAAAAAACAGGGAACTGGGGTCTACCTGAGAGTGGAGGGTGAGAGGAAGCAGAGGAGCAGAAAAGATAACTGTTGGGTACTGGGCTTAATACCGGCGTGATGAAATAATCTGTACAGAAAACCCCCATGACACAGATTTGCCTATGTAACAAACCATCACGTGTACCCCAAAACCTAAAATAAAAGTTAAAAAAAAAAAAAAAAACACTTTGGGAGGCCGAGGCGGGTGGATCACGAGGTCAGGAGATGGAGACCATCCTAGCCAATATGGCGAAACCCCGTCTCTACTAAAAATACAAAAATTAGCCAGGCATGGTAGCACGTGCCTGTAATCCCAGCTACTCGGGAGGCTGAGGCAGAAGAATAGCTTGAACCCGGGAGGCGGAGCTTGCAGTGAGCCGAAATCGCGCCACTGCACTCCAGCCTGGACGATAGAGCGAGACTCCGTCTCAAAAAAACAAACAGGGAAACCTGCAAGTTTTCACGCTTGTTTAGGTTTGATGAAGAGGGGGGCAGGCATGGAGAAGTATGATTGGAGGACGAGAGGCTGTGACCTCATGGAAACAAACTTGGGGGAACTTTAACAAGACCTGTCTTCAGATTCTTCATCTTCGGAGATAAAGATATACCTTTACCCAGGTATGAGGACGGCCCCTCTTGAATGAAGGCCTTAGTGAAGTGGCATTGTTGTCTGGGGTAAAACCTGAGGTTTGTTGTCCCGTGGCCATGGAAAACTAGGACGCGGTCACACCAGAGTGAGGTTAAGAGTGGAAGTTTAATAGGCAAAAGAAAGAGAAAAGCTCTTTCTGCTGCAGAGAGTGGGGTCCTGGAGAAAATGGGTTGCCAGTTCCGTGGTGAAATGCAGGCAGTTTTATAGATGAGCTTGAGGAGGTAAAGTCTGATTTACATAGAGCACAAAAAATTGGTTGGACTAGGTGTGCCGTTTACACAGTACACAAAGAAGCTGACTGCCCCACCTTAACCTTTTATTATGCAGATGGGTTCTCTACCTGGTCAGCGCCATGTTGCCTGGCCCTTACTGTACACGTGGTGAAAAGAAAAGGGAAGACGGAGGCTCCATGCTGAACACCCCTGGCTTCCAGGTAGCCCTGCTGTATTGGCATGGCTGCCGGCATTCACCCATGCAAACTTGCAGCTTGCTTATCTGTGTCTGCAGCTCGATTTTTCAGGCTGCTCTTTGTGAGAAAAGAAATTATGTGGGGCTGCTTTTTATTAAAAGGGAAGCCTTACCGAGGACTCCTTTTACCCTAACTATCTGCCTAAATAATTTCTTTCTAGCTCCTGTATCATTAGGGCCTGCTTTGGGGAAGGTCAGAAAATCCTTCCTAGGTTTCATGGCCTGCTTTGGAGGAGAAGGATGAGGGGAAGGTGAACGTGGGTTTCCTGCTCTGCCTGTTTTCCCAAATGCCAATAAGTGAGTGCTGGGGTTCAGGATATGCCACCCTGAGCCCCAAAACTCACACGCTTTCCAAGCAGTCTCTATTCTTGATCCTCTTTGGAACAGGGCAGTCTCACCCCTTTTCTCCTTACCCTACCTTCATCAGATAATTGGACCTGTGCCTTGAGCCCCACGCACAGGCTGTGGGTGTCTCTCCTGTTCCTGTCTTCACTTATAGAGTCCCGCCCTTTGTGAGGATGCAGACTTACACCTCGTGTGGAGCCAGTTCTATGTGACTTACATCAAGGTGTC
Source organism: Homo sapiens (assembly GCF_000001405.40). NCBI lineage: Eukaryota > Metazoa > Chordata > Mammalia > Primates > Hominidae > Homo > Homo sapiens. The sequence continues at coordinate 6,821,184 of NC_000023.11, read as the reverse complement.
TTGCTGCTTTGTAGGGTGAATCTCTCTCCCATGGCCGCCCAGTCTCAGTGCTTTAAAATTATCCCCTGGGTGGAAGTTCCAACCCTTGGCAGGGTTGGAACTTGCAGGTACACAAAAGTCAGGAATCGAGGTTTGGGAACCTCCACCTAGATTTCAGAAGATGAATGGAAATGCCTGGATACCCAGGCAAAAGTTTGCTGCAGGGGCAGGGCCCTCATGGAGAGCCTCTGCTAGGGCAGTGCAGAAGGCAAATGTGGGGTAGGAGCCCCCACACAGAGTCCCTACTGGGGCACTGCCTAGTGGAGCTGTGAGAAGTGGGCCACCGTCCTCTAGACCCCAGAATGGTACATCCACTGACAGCTCGCATCATGCGCCTGGAAAAGCCGCAGACACTCAATGCCAGCCCATGAAATCAGCCGAGAGGGAGGCTGTACCCAGCAAAGCCACAGGGGTGAAGCTGCCCAAGACCATAGGAACCCACCTCTTATATCAGTGTGACTTGGATGTGAGACCTGGAGTCAAAGGAGATCATTTTGGAGCTTTAAAATTTGACTGCCCTGCTGGATTTTGGACTTGCATGGGCCCTATAACCCCTTTGCTTTGGCCAATTTCTCCCATTTGGAACAGCTGTATTTACCCAATACCTGTACCGCCATGGTATCTAGGAAGTAACTAGTTTGCTTTTGATTTTACAGGCTCATAGGCAGAAAGGACTTGCCTTGTCTCAGATGAGACTTTGGACTGTGGACTTTTGGGTTAATGCTGAAATGAATTAAGACTTTTGGGGAACTGTTGGGAAGGCATGATTCGTTTCGAAATGTGAAGACGTGAGATTTGGAGGAGTCAGGGGCAGGATGATAGGGTTTGGCTGTGTCCCCACCCAAATCTCAGCTTGAATTGTATCTCCCAGAATTCCCATGTATTGTGGGAGGGACCCATAGGGAGGTAATTGAATCATGGGGGCCAGTCTTTTTCCCGTGCTATTCTCGTGATAGTGAATAAGTCTCATGAGATCTATTGGGTTTATCAGGGGTTTCTACTTTTGCTTACGTCTCATTTTCTCTTGCCGCCACCATGCAAGAAGTGCCTTTTGCCTCCTGCCATGATTCTGAGGCCTCCCCAGCCATGTGGAACTCTAAGTCCAATTAAACCTGTTTTTCTTCCCAGTCAAAAAAAAAAAAGAAAAATTTATGGCGAAAAAAATATATATATTTTATGTCTGGATGGTAGATTTGTGGATATCTGTTATGTTATTATCTGTACATTTCTGCACACCTGACGTATTTTCTAATAAAAATACAAAATACAATTATAAAATTATCCCCTGTGTGTTCTCTCTTCCGCTCTCAAAATATTATGCAGCTGGTAAAGACACCATGGGGCAAACTGCACCTCATCTGCAGCTCACCTCAAACTACACCTCATCTGCAGCTCAATATCAGTGGCAAAAGGAAAATTCTTTTACAAAAATGAAAAGACTGCAAAGTCCCCTGTCAGATCCCTACGATTATGAATGGAGACAAAGTATTACAAGTGAAAACCTACTTTAAAAAACATACCATGGATCCATGAAGACGTGTTTCAAATATGATTTTGAGTGAATCCGTTCTTCCATCGCCTCCTCCATTCTATGGAGATAAAAGGGGGAACTTTCAAATTTCGTTTAGTAGCACTCAAATCTTGGCAATGTATGGTGCTCCAAAGGAGCCTATGTCATATCTCCAAGGACCATTTTGTGTTGCAGAGAAGAAATGAGTATTGAATCCATGAATTAGCAAGTGTGGAATTGTACCATATCTTCTTGAATGAATAGTACATCTAAAATTCAGGATAGAGGGAGTGAGTGTATGTGGGCTTCTGTTTGTGTGCATGTGTAAAATATTACTAAGGCTCAGGGTGAGGGGACAAATAATTGTAAGAAGAAAGCTTTCATGGAAAGCAATTTTCAGAACTCTCTTCTCTTGAACAGAAGACCCAGTCTTTGTGTTGTTGGCTTATGCCATAAAGATGCCCAAATCCCACCCCAGTCTTTAATATATTGCTGGGATTTTCATTCTTTATCCACATTTAAGTGGTGTCACTTGAGTATTAAAATTCTGGGGGTCTCCGTACATTTTACCAAGTTTTTCCAGTAAGAAGGATATCTTTCTGGAAGAAATTTTCTAGTGAGCTCTAGAAACAGCAAGAAGGAAGAGAATGAACAACTTTTATATACCGTTTGTTCTTTGTTTCTTCAACATTTTGAACTATCATCATCTTTAATATTCCTAGTATTAAAATTTGTTAAATCATGGGAAAGCAGGCTTACGAAGAATCAATGATTTATACACATTTCTGAAGTGGTTTAATTAAATTCAGGTGTATACTCAAATCTGTATAAATCCAAAACACATGATGTTTTCACCCAGCTACAGGGATATTATATTTTACCTGTGGCAGGTGATAGAAGTCAAAGGAAGCAAGCCAGCCTGGATTTACTTGATCGTAAATGCTGGCTGTGTTCTGAGCTTATTCCCAAGATGCATTCACTATATAGACACCCAAGGTAAGTCCAGTATGGACTTCACAATAAAGATGTCAATGACAGTGGTTTGTATTTCCATTCTGAGGAAAGAAGGAGGATTGACTGACTTGGTGTACATTTTGAATACATGAAATATTAAATGTAGAAAATTGGAAATTTAGAGAGTTTATTTGTCCTATTAGCTTTAGAATTTGCACAGTCATAAATATGCATCTTTACAAATTCATTTACTTTAAGTTGGGAAGCTATGGCTGACAGGTGTATCCATGTATTAAATCTTGAATGCGATGTTTGGCAGGACTATTACAATGGCAGCCCCTCTGTGACAGAAAACAGACCAATAAAACTAAAAATAAAACCCTTTAGTCAATTCTAAATGTAAGATCATCTTTATAGACTTTCCTCAGCTCTGCTGAGAGTTGCTCAGCATGTGCACTTCAAACTGCTGGGATTTGAAGGAAGAGCTCAAAATAACCTAAAGGATACTACTCAGGGTGTGTGTGTGGTACTGTGACTTTCTGTGTGTGTCTAAACATCAAGGATTTTGGAGAACAAAGCTTTCCCAGCTTGAGCAATGAGACTTCATATAGAATATGGGTTTTGAGACATCCAGCATAAACAAGAAAAGAAAGTAGTTGGAGGGTGGAAATAGCGACACACACTTACACAGGCAGCCTGCTTATCTAAGTTGCTGCTTGTGGACTTATGTGGAAAATATCCTAAATTTTGGGGAAGATTCAAATAACATTTTCTAAATTAAAACAAAAAAACAGGGACTTGGGGGAAATGAAGAGACAGAAAGGCATCCCTTTTGGTTTTATTTTTGAATGAGATATGAGAAGAGCCATGGCTAAATGTCTAAGTCCAAGTAAGGACTAGTGCAGAGTATGAAGAAATGCAGACCTGGGCTTCCTGCTGGAGAGATGATTAAGGAAAGTGTGGACCCGGAGAAAAGAAAACAGAGCCACATATGTGGTAGGCGGCCTTCAAAAATGTATCCAATCATCCCTGCCTGCTGAAATTGGTGCTCTTGAGGATCCGTTTGCACTTGTGTGTGGGCAGGACTTAGTGAATCTTTCCCATTGACTAGAATATTTGTAGCCTATAAGAGATCTTCTTCTTGAAATGGAGAACCCAGGTGACCACATCCAGACCCTCAATTTGCAGAAACCTCAAGGAATGCTTTTTGTTTTGGGTCACAAACTTGGAGATAGTTTGATAATTGGTTAGATAGTGACAGATAATTAATACAACAAGGTAGCTCTTTTCAAATACTTGAAAGGCTTAAGGCGGGGCATGGTGGCTGGTGCCTGTAATCCCAGCACTTTGGGAGGCCAAGACAAAAGGATCACTTGAGGCCAGGAGTTTGAGACTAGCCTGGGTAACACAGTGATCCCGTATCTCTGAAAAAATAAAATTATCTGGGCATGGTGGCATGAACCTGTATTCCCAGCTACTCAGAAGGCTGAGGCAAGAGGATGGCTTGAGTCTAGGAGGTAGAAACTGCAGTGAGCTATGATCACAACACTGCACTCCGGCCTGGGAGACACAGTGAGATACTATCTCAAAATATATATATATACACACACATAGTATATACTATATAGTGTATATATATTGTATATACTATATAGTATATACTATATGTGTATATATATTATATATACTATATAGTATATACTATATGTGTATATATATTGTATATACATATAGTATATACTATATGTGTATATATATTATATATACTATATAGTATATACTGTATGTGTATATATATTGTATATACTATATAGTATATACTGTATGTGTGTATATATTGTATATACTATATAGTATATACTGTATGTGTATATATATTGTATATACTATATAGTATATACTGTATGTGTATATATATTGTATATACTATATCGTATATACTATGTGTGTATATATATTGTATATACTATATAGTATATATAGTGTTTATATGCTATATGGTATATATAGTGTATATAAACTATACAAATATAGTATGTCTAGTATATGTACATGTATAGTATACATACATATAGTATGTATTGTGTATAGTGTACGTATATTATACTATATATGTATATAATATGCATACTATATACACATAGTATATGTGTGTATATACTATAGTATAGTATAGATGTATAAATATAGTATATAGTATACCATATAGTATAGTATGTAGGTACTATATATAGTATATATGGTATAGTACAGTACATTAGTATAGTGTAGTATAGTACATATACTATACATATACTATCTATAGTATATAGTATATGTACTATATGTATATATAAAAATACATACGTGTCACATAGTACATATATGTATTAATATATGTACTATGCATATAGTATATATACATATATACTATACATGTAATATATATACACTGCATATACTATACTATGCATATAGTGTATATATGTATATGTATGTATAGCTAATTCTAAATGTAAGATCATCTTTATAGACTTTCTTTTTCTCTTAGCTATTCCTTTGTATTGTTTGTGTTTATGTTTATTCATGTTTATGTTTAAGCCTCTCAGCAGATTGTAAGTATATATGCATAGTGTATATGTAGTATATATGTATGTATATACTATATATAATAGCTATATACTGTCTCAAAAATATATAGTATATACATTACATGTATAATGTATATACTATATATAATATAGTGTGTATATATACATATATATAAAGCCCCATATATATGGGTTTAAATGGCGAGGAAGGTTTAGATTTGCTCTGTTGATTCTCCAAGAGCAAATAAGTGACAATGAGTAAAAGTTATGGGAGGATTTGGTATAGTTGATTTAAAACAGTAAGTATATTTCAATGATTTGAGGTTTCTGAAAATAGAATAAAGTTCTGTGAAAGGCAATGAGTTTTTAATTAGAGGATTTCAAGCAGAGACCAAATGGCCATCTCTCAGAAATGCCACAAGTCTATCCACATGTTTTATGGAGGCTGGGCTATAGTCTAGGTTCTCACGCCTGGACACGCATCAGAGTTCTGTGGGGAAATTTTAGAGATTGCCCAGTTCTAGGCCTCACCCTCAGAGATTCTGATTTGGCAAGGTAGCCAAGAGGCCCTGAATTGCTTTTTTGATGTTTTTTTGACAAATTCTTTATCTCTCTTTGATAAATCAAATTAAAGGACTGATATTTGAAATTCTCTGGACTGGCAACAGTCTAAATAACCTTTTAATTTGAGGTTTTCAGTTTGAATGACTATAACGGATGTAGTTGGTGTCTGTTGTTTCCAGTTTTTTCTTCATAGACATACCTTTACTTTTTCTTTATTATGTATGCTTTTTTTCCCTTGTTTACAGCAAAGTGGACTGGGAGAAGAGTTGGAATCAGAATTTCTTTTCCAGAGAAGAATGTGGCATATTTGGGGCATGTTATTTTCATCACTTTGCCAAATGGACAGGCTGGGTTTCTTTCTTTTTTTTTTTTTTCATTTTCAATAAGTTATCATTTAGGTACCCTTTCTGACAATCTGATTTTTCCCCCAAGCATTGGTCAGGAAAATGAGAGAAGAAATGTCTGTCCATTCACTTAATAAACATGAAGCCGTCGTGTTGTCACTGAAACAATCATGAATAGCAACAAGAAAAAGTGTCTATATCCAGGGAACCTGGAGTTTAAAGGAGACACAGAAACATTCTGACATGATAGAAGAAGTCCAAACTGCTATGAAAACAGGCAAAGAGGTCCCTAATCCTGACTTCAGGAGAGAAAGAAGAGATGAGGAGAAATGGAAACACCCATTAAGCTCTAGTGGAGCATCTTTATTTTAAGGGCATTTTTGGTTGTGCTGAAAATTTTTAAAAAGAGGAGTAACATAATCACATTTCAAAAGCTCCCATTAGCTTTGGTTCTCAAAAGATTAGGAAGCAGGATGTTGTGTTTAATTTTATCTGAAAAATTACTCACGTCAGAATTAAACGTCAGATCTCATTTTAAAAAGGCTTATAGCAAAAAAAACACATTTTCTTATCCCAGCTTTCTCATTTTTTATTTAATTGCTTTCCCACAGGCCATCAAACTTTTTATTGTTTCCTCTGAAATTTAGAGGGGTATATTTGCCCATTGGTTAGTTTGGAGGTGGACGTTTTATTATTAATATTAAAACAAATTTAAAACAATCATGAAAATAAACAGAACCCCCACCCCTCCTAACTCACTGTACCTCATCTCAATATCTGATAATATTTGGTGGCATTCGTGGCGATTTGGGAGATGGGGATGGGTAATAGTTGAAAGAATCTTCTGAAAAACTGAGAGTTTTTTTTCAGAACAACTAGAAAAATGAGTCTTGCATGAAAAGATGGCTCGCATTTCATTGTAAGAGATAGAAGAAAAAGATTTGTAGGGTTTCAGATAAAATGTTGAACTGGGTGCCAGGATAGTTCACAAATGAGGAAGTCATTGGGACATTCAGTAAAAAAGAAACCTGGTGCCACGTGGCTTAAAGGGACAATGTGGGCTGATGTTTTCAGGTTGTTAAGTCCTAGGTGTCTGGACCAACCAGAATGAGAACCCAGGATCAAGAGGAGAGGGAACCGTGTTAGGGGAAACGTGTGTCTTGGAGCTGTCCGTGGTGCTGTCTCACCTCCCATGTTTCTCCCGCAATGGCAGCCAAGGGTGAGCCAATGCGTTTCACTCCTGCCTTTGATGAGCCTGAAGCCCAGATGTGACTCCTTCACGTGAACCCCCTTGGAAGCACTACAAAGTCTAGCATAGGGCTGGCCACTTGAATCTTTCAGTTAATCTCATTTTCAATATGACTTGACCAATCCCTGACAATTGCTAAGTCATGAATCTCCTGACAAGTTGTGCTGGGCTGAATCTGCTGAAAACACAACAAAAGTTACACCCAAACCAAACACCCACCCCCCATCATCTGATCTGTGACCTACTACAGCAAAACGAGAGTGATAGCTGAATAGGGGTGCTGAGAGGATGCGGACTGGCTGCTGGAAAAATCAGAAGCAGGAGATTCGGGCATTAGTCTCAAGTGTCACCAGATTCCATTTTTCTGTTTTCCAATTTTTTGCTACGCCCTACGGGGGGAAAGGAGAGAGTAAGACCATTTTTCTCCTCTTACACATTTTATTAGACTGGCTACTGGGTGGGTTGCAGGAGAGAATTCTTTGGAAGGAAGTCTCTGTTCCAAAGAAGATGTTTGAAAGAAAAACTGTTTTTCTTCCAAGCATTAACCAAGAGGGCCCTGAGCTGTTTATCATGAAGTCTTTGGAAGAGTTACAAAGCTCTTCAGCATTTTTTAAAAAAAGCCATAGTTGAATCTTTTTCTCTTAGCTATTCCCGTGTATTGTTTGTGTTTATGTTTATTTGTATTTATGTTTAAGCCTCTCAGCAGATTGTAAGGACCAAGTCCCCTCCCTCCCTCCTTCTTTTCTTTTATTTTCTCTTCTTTTTTTTCTCTTTCTTTGTTCTTCTTTCTTCTTTCTCTTTCTTTTCTTCTCCTTCTCCTTCTTCTTCTTTTCTCTCTCTTTCTCTCTCTTTCTTGCTTTCAAGACAGTGTCTCTATCTGTTTCCCAGGCTGGAGTATGTTAGTGTGATTATAGCTCACTGCAACCTTGACCTTCTGGGCTCAAGCGAACCTCCCACTTGAGCCTCCTGAAGTGCTGGGATCACAGGCATGTGTCACCATACCCAGCTAATTTTTTATTTTTTTGTAGAGACTGGGTCTTGCTATGTTGCCCAGGCAGGTCTCGAATTCCTGAGCTCAAGTGATCCTCACACTTTGGTCTCCCAAAGTGCTGGGATTACAGGCATAAGTCATCACATGCAGTCTTTATTTATTTCTTAAAGCTGAGATCAGTTCTTTAAAAAGCAAAGATACTCCATTTTTGTTTATTGAGCTATCTTTCAAATTTGAAGTTGCTGTGTCTTGGGGTAGGGAAAAACACAGGGTGTTGTTTTGTTGATTGTTATCAAAACTTGATGGCAGAACTTGAAACCCTATCATACTTTTCTATTTCCCACATGTAAGGAAAAGCTTAGGTCTCTCATACATAAAATATCACATTAAAATCGTTTCTTTGAGTAATGTCTCTTCAAACTTTCTTATTGAAGACATCATTTTTAAACTTTATATCCTTACCCACCTCCACTGCCCAAGGCATGGAGAAACTACCTGAGAACCATAGTAACAGGTAAATAGATGTCTTGGGGAAGGTAATTTGCATAACAATGGAAAAGTGCAATTCCACTTGTTTTAAAGAAAAAAATTACTGGAACTTTCAAGTCACTTAAGATTTGAAGGGTTTGACAGAATTGTCAAAACTCCTATTCATCATCCTTGCAAGATGAGTTTTGCAGAGTTACCTGTCTGGCATCACTCCCCAGCTCTTTGCAGTGTTTGTTGAGACATCTCACCCTCCTTGTGCTTTGAGTCTGAAGATGGTGGATGAGAGACTGTCTGTGCACACCTTTCTCACTGTAATTTACAGTCTCGATACTCACCTGGAGATGCAAATCCTTCTCTTGAGAAGATGCTATGGTGAGATTGCAGGGCTACCGTGCTGTTTTGCTCCTGACTTTGTTCCAACCATGTTGAATTATCTCAATGTTGATGTCTCATGCTGCCTTAGTCACCATTCTTTCTCACATCCCCTGGTACCTTCTATTTTCTCTTTCCCTCTGAATGACCTCTTTTCCTGGGGGCCAGTCCCTTCTTTCTTTCTACATCTGAATTGCATGTTATGGCAGCCCCTTCGGGGCCCAGCATATATTTGCACTTAAAATGGAGATGGACTCTCTGGGTTAGAGCTTCCTCCCTCTCACAAGAATGAGCTGCAAGCATTAACAGATAAAAATAACAGGCCAGGTATCATGGCTTACTCCTGTAATCACAGCACTTTGGGAGGCCAAGCCAGGAGGATCACTTGAGCTCAGGAGTTTGAGACCAGCTAGGGCAATACAGTGAGACCCTGAAGCTAGTTTTTAAAAAATAAGAAAAAAATAATTAAAAAAAAAAAAGGCCAGGCGTGATGGCTCACACCTGTCACACCTGTAATCCCAGCACTTTGGGAGGCCTAGGCAGGCAGATCAATTGAGGTCAGGAGTTTGAGACCAGCCTGGACAATATGGTGAAACCCCATCTCTGGTAAAAATACAAAAATTAGCTGGGCATGGTGGCATGCACCTGTAGTCCCAGCTACTGGGGAGGCTGAGGCATGAGAATCGCTTGAACCTGGAAAGTGGAGGTTGCAGTGAGCCGAGGTCACACCATTGCACTCCAGCGTGGGTGACAGAGTGATACTCTGTCTCAAAATAATATTAATAATAAAAAATAATGCCCACAGAGAATGGCACTGGTGGGAGAACATACCTGTTTGCTTAATGCTCCATCTCTGTTCACAAGATCAGTCAGTCCTCCCCAAATGTTAAAGACATGGAAAGAAATAAGAACTTCGTCAGTGCAAGTGTATCAATGCTATCTGAACCATTTATAGGTTAAACCTGTATACACTCCTATTTTTGAGAATCGAAGCCTGACTTTTTGACTATGAGTAAGAGCAGCAAGGGGTTCTTAGTGTTGCTGGGCTATGCTTCAGGACAAAGGAATGTCTTTGAGTTGCATGACTCTTTTCTCCATGTTTGGCTTGGTCCACCTCCCTAGCAAGGCATAAATTACATACAGCCTGTTGCCAAAAAGCAATCATGTGATGAGTGAGGAATGACTAACGTTATCTAAAAACCCACTCTCCATGTGGGTGGTGGAAAGAACCTGGGGCTGTAGTGGGCAGAGTTGGGGACAGCAATAGTAGTTCAATAGCTGTCTGAGTTTGGGCTCAATATCTAATTCTTGAGCTTCACCTGGTAGCTGTTGTATTTCATTTTCCTTCTTTCTGCCTTCCTTCTACATACTCGCTGATTGCTCATCCCCTCAGAGGGCAGTAATTTCTCAGTTCAATCAGGAGCTAATCTTATCATTGACTTCCAGGACTTCTAATAATTCTGAATGTAGATGGTGTTGCCCTCTATGGAGCATTTTGGGAATTCATAGGGCCATTTTTTTCATACGGAGTCTGAGAATTGCAAAAAGTGAGGTAAGACTGTACTTTGTTTTGTCTAGAATTTTTCCAAATGTTGAGCCCTGCTTTGGAAAATTGTGTCAGTGAAATGCACTCCACTCACCATATTGGAGGCATCGTAACACATGGTGGAGTTTCCAAATAGGGCTATGTTTTCTGTGATCGTTTGTTACAACCTGTTTCATGTCATAGCCCGGGAAGTACCTCTGACACTACACTTAATAAGCAACCCAAGCTCATGTGCGGAGATCTCGTGCTTTCTTTCCTTGGACAGTCTGCAATTTGTCTTGGCATGTTATCCCTACTTTATTTGCAATCACTTCCTTTCTTTTTTCTTTTACTACTATCAACGAAATCTTGTTTGTTGGTCCTCATCTTAATACTAGTTGTTATTCTAGTGCCATTTGCATCCTGATTTTTCATGTCCTGCATTTTCTCTTAGGAACATTTTCTGATCTCCTCATATTTTTTTTTTTTGGTTTTCGTTTTTGAGACAGGGTCTCTGTTCTTCAGGTTGGAGTGCAGTGGCACCACCACGACTCACTGTAGCCTGGAACTCCTGGGCTCCAGTGATCTTCCCACCTTAGCATCCCAAGTAGCTGGGACCACAGGTGCATGCCAGCAAACTCATGCCTGGCTAATTATTTTTTTATTTTTTGTAGAGACTGGGTCTCGCTATGTTGCTCAGGCTCTGATGTCCTCTTAAACCCAGGCTTATGCATCCTAAGGAGGTATAGGGATGTGTGTCTCATGATGTCTTCTTTTGCAACTGTGCCTGATCACTTGCATATTGGAATACATGTTATTTTATAAGAACTACCTTCCTTGGTTTTTGTCATTTATATCGTGGTTTGCATATTATCTTGACTCATTTTCAAATTATGACTGTGGTAGGTTCTATGATACATTAATTTTATTTCAAGATATAAAGAAGGCATTACATTTGGTATATTTTAAAAAGGCATATAGGGCTTGGTGCTGTGGCTCACACCTGTAATCCCAACACTTTGGGAGGCTGAGGGAGGAGGATTGCTTGAGTTCAGGAGTTCAAAACCAGCCCTGGGCAACGAAGGGAGACCCTATTGCTACAAAAAAAAATCAATAAATTAGTCGGGTGTGATGTGTGCCTGTAGTCCCAGCTACTGGGGAGCAAACTCCTATGCTCCCTTGAGCATAGGAGTTTGAGGCTGTAGTGAGCTATGATCGCGCCACTGTACTCCAGTGTGGTCACCAGAGCAAGACCCCATATCTTAAAATTTTTAAAAAGCATATTGATGATGACCATGTTGAGAACCCATGGGATGTATGAATTAAATAAATGTGAGGTGATGCCCCTGTGGTCTCTCTTCTCCACTAAGAAGGGACATTTTTCTGTGGCAACTTGAAGACATGCCAAGGTCCTGGCTAACAAAAATACATAAATAAATAAAAGAATTCAGCTTGAGAGTAGGGAAGGAGCAGTCAGCCAGCATTTGATTGGGCTTGGCCACATGCTATGGGATCATGTGCAAATCTGATGCCTTCAATTCTCTTCACATCCTTATCCCCAAACACACGTGTCCAGCCCGTGAGCAGATTTTCTACTCAACATACAAGGACTTGTTTTCATGCCACTGCCTCTGAGAAGGTTAGTTCTTTTCACTGATTTGCTTCCAGGTATATCCCTGCAAGGCAACCGTTTCCTCTTTGAGAATAGGGACTATTTCTTGTTCATCTTTTTGTCCTTGGACATGAGTACTGAAAAATACAAGGCACTTCAAACATGCTGTGGGCTCACTATTTAAATTCTGTGTTTATCCCAAGGGTGGGTCAGGTTACATCTATATTTTAAGATCTTTCTTTCACTGTGTGCAGATAACTTCACTAATTTTGATAAGCCAGGAGAACCATTGTCATACTTAACTAAAATAATGAACGTAAACCTGCTTGGGAGCCACTGTAGTCATTATTATTCTCCCTTATTCTGACCATGGTAATTCAAGGAGAAGGGAAATGGAAAGGGAATTCTGTCAAGCAAAGGGTGGCTTTATCCTTCCTATCCAGGCATCAAAATCAGACCATAAATGTGATACAGCTTTATGCATATAAAGGGTCATTTCCTGGAGGCACACATCATAACCACAGAATAAAATTTACATTCCTGCAGGCTCTAATTTCATATTTATGAATTTTTTATAGGTTTTCTAATAGAGATGAAGCCTAAAGTTTTGCCAAGGTGTGAAAAATATTTTATAGAGAATGGATGGGAACGTGGATATTCTTAAGATGTGAGAGCAAAAATACAAGTTGTTGAAATGTTTTCCAAGGAAAGACTAAAGTATTCTGGACATGAATCATATGCCATGCATGCCATTAGGAACTTAGATATGTATCACTCTATGTAATGCTCATCATTTTTTTTTTAATACAAGAAGGCTGGGACCCAGAGATGTGGTCATGCTACTAATAAACAATGGCTATGTTGGAAGCTAGGTTTGCCTAACTCTAAAATCATTTTCTCTGCTAGGTTCTGCTCCTCATTTAGATGCTGCCCTTCTTTTGTCTTTAGATATTTTTTCAGACTTCCTTTTCCTAAATGGAACTGGTACCCTCATTTTGGCTATTCACTCCATGAACATATTTTCTACAGTCAAATTTAGCCACTTTCACTTGTCTATCCTCGTTGACAAATGCTTCCTGGTATCTATAATAGAGATGCATATATTTCCATCTATCTGCTTATGGCAAAGGGAGATTTCAGCCAACTGGAGTATCATTCTGAATATCTGTCCTCATACATAGAGATGAGGGCAAACGTTGAGCACAGTCTAGTGACAGCCGGCCTTGGGAGACACCTTTGATCTTTGGGCCGGCAGCTGGGCTTCCTCCAGGATGGGGCTGACTTGCTTCAGCTGTCCTGAAAAGAGACATCATGTGCTGTCTTCATCGCCACCCTCCGACGGCAAGCCAGGTCCTTGCACACCGTGCCTTCTCTACCAATATCACACACGCTAAAAACTCACTGATGTCCAAACTTCTGCTTCCATTGCGACACCTGGATAGGCAGGGACATAGTTACACTCGCAAATGGAAGTAGAGAAACTCTGCAACAGACCATTAATGGTACGAGAGGGGAAGCTAAATTTGGACTCACAAATAATGCGGTCAGCAATTTAATTTAGGTCGGTACTTTGGTTATCAGGGAAAGAGAGTAAAATGTTGGCAATAGTTCTATTATGTTGGAGCTACCTAATGCCTGAGAAAGGAATTACAAAGAGCCAACACAGGGTAAGACATCTGTGCAGGTCCCTGGATATCGGATTACTCCACCTGTGCACTGTTAAACGTTCATGGAGTGACCTCCGTGAGGAATGACAAAGGCAGCAAAAGGAATGAAAGCAACCCAAAAGCAAACAAACAGTCAAAAAATAACAACAACCTTCTTTAATGGCTCTTAAGTGAACACATTTTGTAAACATGGCTGTATAAAGGTTCTCTAGATTGATGAAGGAGAAAAATACAAACTTCCAATAGGCAACCTTTCAGAGGGCTCATTTCCTGCTCTTCTTCCTCCACCTGTCCAGTAGGTAGTGGAGTTTCCTCCACCTGCCTCTGTGTTTCCTGGTTGCATTCTGTGACCTTCATACCCTCTGTGTGCTAATGGAATTCTATATTCATATCTCTCTTGAGAATTCCAGATTTCTACATTTTATTGCCTCACTAGCACAGCTATTTTGATGCCTTAGTGGAATTTCAGTCTTAACTATTGCCAACCATAATTCCTGGGCTTCTCTCCTCTCAGGATGCATTGCTCCAACATGAGCCTTCTGCATGTTCTCTCTCAGGAAATACAGGGTCATGGATCTAGCACTCATGCTTCCTGGAAGTCAGTCTTCATACCCTTTTCTCTCTAACTGCTCCCCTTCCAACCTAAAAGCCATCATAAAAATCTCACCTAGGCCATGCATGGTGGCACACGCCTGTAATCCCAGCACTTTGGAAGGCTGAGGCAGGCACATTGCTTGAGTTCAGGAGTTGGAGACCAGCCTGGGCAACATGGTGAGACTCTGTCTCTACAAAAAATAAAAAATAAAAATTAGCCAGATGTGTTGATGTGCACCTGTAGTCCCAGCTGCTTGGGCTGAGGTGGAAGGATCAGTTGAGCCAGGGAGTTCAAGACTATGGTGTGCTATGATAATGCCACTGCACTCCAGCCTAGGTGACAGAGAAGACATTGTCTCAATAAATACATTAATAAATAAAAATAATAAATTTCACCGAGTCTACTCTCAAAAGGCCCCCCAGTTTTGGATTGAAGATGTTGCTGGAAGATGCTTAGAAAAGGTAAAAAAATATTAAAATGATCACCAAATAAATGACACAATGTCAATTGTAAGTTCATGAGAAGCAAGTACCTGGAAGTGTTAAAAAAGCAAATCACACCTTTGGGAAGAGATGGCCACACTTGCCAGAGGGTAGTAGACGTCTCTCTGTCCTATCTCCATCCATTCCCACTGCTTGTGCTGTACTGCAAAGTGCCAATTTGTCTCACCACTTTTACTAGAGAAACCTTCCTATTGGGGCTTTCTGCTTCCATTATTTTCCCTTCACAATCTGCGTGTTAATTGGCATTCCAAATGATCATTTAAATGTGCCTGTTTGTCATGAAATTCCTCTGCTCAAACTTCACCCTTGGTCCACCGTGGCACTTGAAATGAAATACAAAATTCACAACATGATTTATCTTGCTGTGCAAAACTCCTCTCCCAGACTGGGCACAGTGACTCAGGCCTGTAATTCCAGTACTTTGGGAGGCCAAGGTGGGAGGATTGCCTGAGCCCAGGAGTTTGAGACCAGCCTGGGCAACATAGCAAGACCCCATCTCTAAAAAAAAAAAAAATTAGCCCCGTGTAGTTGTGCACACTTATGGTCCCAGCTACTTGGGAGGCTGAGGTGAGAGGATTACTTGTGCCTGGAAGGTCGAGGCTGCAGTGAGCCATGATCACGCCACTCCAGCCTGAATGACAGACTGAGACTCTGTCTCCAAAAGAAAAAAAAACTTTTTGGTTTTGGTCCCAACGTCCTTTCCAGCTTCATCTTATGCCCTTCCCCTCTTTGTACTCTGGGCCTCAGGCACTTTGATGCTTTTTCATTGTGTGACATGTGGGTCTCTCTGCCCTTAGGACCCTCAAGCGGACTGTCTTCTGGCTAGACCTAACCCCTCACCTCTTCTTCTTTAGGAACTTCTACTTACCCTTCAGTAAACTACTATCATTTCCTCAGGAGCTCTTTGTATTTTTTATTTTTATTTTTTTAAGAGACAGGGTCTTGCTGTGTCACTCAGGCTGGAGTGCAGTGGCATAATCACAGCTCACTGCAGCCTCGACCTCCCAGGCTCAAGCCATCCTCCTGCCTCAGCCTCCAGAGTAGCTGGAACTACAGGTGCATGCCACCACACCTGGCTAATTTTTTTGATATTTTTTGTAGAGATGAGGTCTCGCCATGTTGCCCAGGCTGGTCTGGAGCTCCTGGCCTCAAGCAATCCTCCTGCCTCAACCTCCTGAAGTGCTGGAATTACAGGCATGAGCCCCCGTGCCCAGCCTTCCTTGGAAAAGTTTTTTCACCGGCCATGAGACCCCTCTCAATTTTTCCCCATGGTATCCTATACTTAGGTCCACAGACCTTATACTAATTTGCCATGAATAAAAACCTCTGCAATTCTTTAGTTTGATGCCCTTCTCCTCTCTGAACTGGGAGGACAGAAACAAAATTGGTTCAGTTTGGCTCTGTCTACTCAGCCTCTAACAGTACTGCATGCACAGGAGAAATTCTGAGTTCAATGAGTGAAGGAGGCTGTGGCTGGGAGAGATCAACAACCATGCAGAGGCCAAGCATCCTTTAAAGAAGAGGATCTCTCTGGGAATCCAGGAGGAAGCGTAGACCTGCACAGACTCCACATCTCCGGGCTTCCTGCAAATTAAGACACTCAAAACAATCCCCTCTACACGGCACCATAAAGAATGCAGAATCAAGACCTTGAGGATCTCCAGTACTTTTGTTAGACTGTCAGTGAGATTCTTCCCTTTCCAAAGCACATTTTTTTTCACCATTCAATAGACACTATAAATTTGGAGAGTCAGAAAGGATGATTGATACGTCATAGGTAAGGAAATTCAGCTACTGTGAAGTTAAGTAATTTTCAAAGACCTCAAAGCAAAACACAGAGTAGAACTGTATCTACAAGTTTCAGGTTTGTGCTCCCTCTACTAGAAGCTCCCAAAGTCCTTCCAGCTATGAGAGGGCATCAACCACAGTGGAAACGGGAATCAAAGGGGTTATGGTTCTGCAGGCAGCATTGGATGACCAGGATTTTTCAGTTAATTTCCAGCGTGGGTGGAGATACATGCATGTGCCTGGTGTCTGCGTGTGTGCATTTCTCTCTGCTCACAGAATTGCTTCATGCTCTTTTCTCTGCTGTGCCATTAATTTTGGAGCCTTTGAGATCTCATCATCTCAAACAATACCATGCTTTTCTAAATGTCTATATGTCCTGCATATAACATCAAATGAAAAATCAATGAAAAAATATGAACTTTAATATTAAACTAATAGAAACATCCCCCCCACCCCGAATTAAATTACCATATGTTGGCCTAGGAATAAAATTCTTGCAACTATAATTAAAATAGCACAAAAGAAAAGGCATCAATATTCTTTACCTTGGAGCTATCCCTGTACAAAGTGACATGAGGGGTTGTGCAATGATCTGGAGAATTGATCGATGCAGACTGTTAATCCGTGAGTTTCACACACCCTGGCCCATTTTTCTTATCTTTCAGTGTTGTAAATTCCTCAGTGGTGTAAAATAGGATTGTGCCATTTTCTTCACTACTGAGGAAATGCGTCGAACTCGGAGATATGTACATCACTTATCAAAATTTTAGGAATTACCACATTCATAAGAGACAAAATTTGAGATAAGGTTGAATCCCTGTAAGGCAGTCCTTTTTTTGGACACTTTTTTCTTCTGCAGTCACTAAAGTATCTTTCTTTTCATGCTAAAACTAGCTTACATGCAAAGGGCATGTTTTAGAAGTGGTGATGGGGTTGGAGGGGTGACACATTTATTAGCTAAATGCTGAAAAATGTATTTCATCTCAGTTTTGTCTTAGTCCCTATTTTTCACTTGTTTTTTTTGAAGGATTTCTTAAGCACTTCCACTGCAATTGGATGTAAATGTCTCATCAACCTGTCTCCTCTTCCAATGTAGCTTTCCTCATTGATTGCCTGATTATTGTTGCCGTGTGATACTTATGGTTACAAAGGGAGATTCTGATTAGCATCAAGAATGTTGCATGGGTTTCCATCGGCTGAAGAACAAAATGCAAGGGTCTCGTCGTGGCCTCTGATGCTGTCATGGCTCCTGCCTGGGGCTCTCCAGCTCTAGTTATTTTATTTTATTTTGTTTTATTTTATTTTATTTTATTTTATTTTATTTTATTTTATTTTATTTTATTTTATTTTATATTTTATTTTATATTTTATTTTATATTTTATTTTATATTTTATTTTATTTTATTTTATTTTATTTTATTTTATTTTATTTTATATTTTTATTTTATTTTATTTTATTTTATTTTATTTTATTTTATTATTTTATGTTATGTTATGTTATGTTATGTTATGTTATGTTATTTTTGAGACAAAAAGTCTCGCTCTTGTTGCCCAGTCTGGAGTGCAGTGGCACCATCTTGGCTCACTGCAACTTCCGCCTCCCAGGTTCAAGTGATTCTGCCACCTCAGCCTCTGGATTAGCTGGGATTACAGGTACCTGCCACCAGGCCTGGCTAATTTTTTGTATTTTTAGCAGAGACGGGGTTTCACCATGTGGCCCAGGCTGGTCTTGAACTCCTGACCTCAGGAGACCTCCCCACCTTGGCCTCCCAGAGTGCTGGGTTTACAGATGTGAGCCACCGCACCCAGCCCTCCAGCTCTAGTTATGTTACCATTTTCCCACAGACTTTACCCCCTCATCTATTCTCTCTCCTAGGATCTACTTCCATTGACTCTACGATAGATGTTAGCAGCTTAGAGGCTAGAGCCAAATTACGTGTACTGCATCACTTATGCAGTCTGGAGCAATTTTCTTAGATGCTCCATAGCTCAGTTTTCCTATCTGTAAAATGAGGATGATCATCTTTCCCATTGGCCGGCATTACGATGCTCATGTTACAGAGGAGGAAATTGAAGCAGAATGAGGTTCAAAGGTCTGATCTCAGGTTGGGGCTCATTCCTCCCTCCCTCTTCATGATCTTAGGAGTGTGTGTCTATTCACCCATCCTCTTCGAGCCTCAGTTTTTCCTCCTGTAAAATGGGAATGGGATAATTTACCTTCTATATAAGATCGCCCTAAGGCTCAAGTCAGATAGTAGAAGCAATCGAGCTTTGTAAAATTAAGCCTATGAACCACAGGCTAATTCCTATTGTTACAGCAATAAATGTTACTATTGGAGTAAATATACACCCATAAGAACCATCCTGGTGGAAGAACTCATTTCTGGTCTTTTGCTCATCATAGGAACTCAGGAAAAGGGAAAAAAAATACTGCGTTGGTAACACTCAGTGTTGCCTTCACTCACCATAAAACTTTCCATTTATTCCTGTATTTGTTTCCTTTTATGTCATGCTGTCTGACAGGCAGCCAACACATCTTCGCTCATCGCTCTCTTTGAAGCCGAATTTACCACCGGAGGCACACACTGTCACCTACTAACAGGGCGTACCTTAGCTAGGAGTGCACAGAAAAGGGCCTTTGCATATTTAAAATTAATTACAAAGAGACACATGTTAAGCAGCAATGGGGAATTATTCTAACTGGGGTTTCTTCTTTTTAGAAAAGAGTCCCTTTGGCAAGATTCAGAACGCTGGTGGCCACAGGAATACAAGCTAGACCTTAAAAAGAAAATCACCTATTGTAATGCACTTAGGCACATGGAAGGTGTGTGTGTGGCGAGGGGGACTGACCTCTGACTGGTTATATTGTGTTTTGAAAATAAAAGCAATTTAAATGAACAATGACACGTTCTACCCTGCCAGCATTGGCCTTTTCTCCCCTCACCTTCTCCATTTTTTCCGAACCCTACTCCTTTGCTCAGTTGGCGGTCATTGGTTCTGTAAGTGACAGAGCAACACTGTATTTCACGTAGTTTAGGAGGGTGTTTCTTTGCATTGTTTTCTATACAGAAATGTCAGCTCTGACGACTTACCCATCTTCCAGGAGAAACTGGGGTCTGCCACATAACCCAGGGGTGTGGGTTTTTAAACCCTTGGCACAGGTAGTATTTGGCCCCAAAGTTATTGGATGGATCACTCTTTGTGGCCAACTGGAAGGAAACAAAATTATGTGGGCTTTCAATATCCTTTTCTTTTTCTTTTTCTTTTTAAGTAGCTGCAGAGCAGTATTACATTAAATTAGGCTCCGGTACTTAATTCTCCTGGGGCTTCACCAAACAAGGCTTGCATCCCTGGGATCAAACAGCAAGTCTTCGCGGGCTCTGTCAGCAGGCTGAGTCCTCCATCCATCAGACTCAAAGCTGGAAGGCAGCAGTGGCATTTGAGGTGGTGGCAGGGAGAATCCTTTTCCCCTCTGGCAGTTCTTGTAGTCAGCGAAGATGGAGAGGAAGGGATTGAGAGATGCTATTTGTATGCAGCTGGTGGACTCAGCGGGCAAGTCGGGAGCAAATTGCGATTTTAGGCAAGTCTAGGTTGTTAACAAGAATGGGACCCTCTATTTTACTCAGAAGCCCAAGAAATTGACCACGAGAATGGCTTGAGTTGTGAATATCGATCAGTGACAGTGAGAGGAGATGTTCGCCATCACTCGTGCTGGGAGGCCTAATTAACAGAGGCCTGCTTGCTGAATTAGATAAAATGTAGTGTCCACTGAAATTAATGCGATGTTGTCCGAGCATCCTTCACCTAACAGTGGAAAATCAAGTTTAAGTGGTTGGAAGTGGGAGTGCTGGTGAGAACCGAAACATTGCAGAGAACAAAAGAAGTGGATTTTAAAAGAGTTTGCAGGGGCCAATCAGAGGAACAAACACTTTAGATTTCTATCTAGAGCCAATAGCCCCTTTTTAAGTGCAATAACTGTCGTCTGTAGGAACTAATATTAAGAACTGTTGGTGGTGGGTATCATTTTCTTTCATTTTCTCATCTAATGAAAATGGAGAGATTTCTTCTATTAGATAAAGATAGCAGGGGATGCAGATTTATGGCAGTTTGGTTGCATGAGGGAGATAAGAATATTAGAATTTGAAATTCCTTATTTAATATTTTGAAAGGCGGGACTGAGGAGGACTATATCAAAGTCTCAATGTGGACTGGAATCTGAAAGAGGAAAATGTAATCCATTATCTGGCGATGTCAATTGCCAGACCAGTTTTTGCATCTGTGATGTGTGTAAAATACAATTCTTCCTATTGTATTCGAATTTATCACTGATGCAACATTTTAGTTAAGTAGCTCGGGTCTGTTAGGATTTTGGAGACTTCAGTGAAGAAAACCTAGTCTTCCGTTATAGTACTCGCTAAAATAGATACTAATTTCATCTTTCCTGAGAAACTAACAAGAAGAAAAAAGAGTTTTATACTGGGTTAGTTACCAAAGTCATAGTAACAGGAAGGTCTAGATGCAATTTGTGGATCACAGTGTTAAAGCCCAATGTTATTTTTTTTTTATTATTTTTTTTGAGACAGAGTTTCGCTCTTGTTGTCCAGGCTGGAGTGCAATGGCGTGGTCTCGGCTCACCGCAACCTCTGCCTCCGGGGTTCAAGTGATTCTCCTGCCTCAGCCTCCTGGTAGCTGGGATTACAGGCATGCACCACCACGTCTGGCTAATTTTGTATTTTTAGTAGAGACTGGGTTTCTCCATGTTGGTCTGGCTGGTCTCGAACTTTGATAGAGTAGTGATAAGGTTTTGTTTTTTACTAATGTATATTCAACTTTTATTTCTCTCTTCCCATTAAGGTTTTCAAAAAATAAATAGTCTTGCTCTGCTTTTCCCAGGCCTGGATTGATAGCTAAAAATGCTGTTTATCTTTCAGTTTGGTAATATGTTTGAATATATAGAAATAAAGAATTTTTTAAAGCCCTCCAAACTGTGTTTTAAATATTGAGATTTAATCTTAAAATACCTTTCTTTATGTACTTATTTTGCAGGTTTAGCCAAGAGTATTTTAAATTCTTTCTAAAATACTTAAGTTTTTCAGTGAAAAACAGAGGCTTCCAGCTAACAGCTACATAAGTGAGTCATGGGTCCACACTTCCTCTAAATCCTTCAGGTAAATTAGAATCAAATGCCATAGTAAAGAAAAAATTCTACTACATCATTGTGAACTTAAGAACTCGTTTTAAAGGATGAAGGTTAAAGTTTAGCAGTTAACCACATATCATATCTCATCCATTTTGCATCTTATTTTAGTCACATGAAGAGATTACATGGGCTAAGCATGGTGGCTCATGCCTGTAATCCTAGAGCTTTGGGGGGCTGAGGTGGGAGGATTACTTGAGACTGGGAGTTCCAGGCCAGCCTGGGAGCATAGCAAGACCTTGTCTCTACAAAAAAATAAAATATTAGCTGGTCATGGTGGTGTGAACCTACAGTTACAGCTACTGGGGAGGCTGAGGTGGGAGGACTGCTTGAGCCCAGGGGTTTTAGGCTGCAGTGAGCTATGATCATGCTACTGCATTCCAGCCTGGGCAACAGAGTGAGACCCTGTCTTTAAAAAAAATATCATTTGGAGACTGCTCCACAATTATGCTGAGATGATTTATTATTTTAAATGCTTGCAAGATATTTGATTGAAAGCATAATTTACTTAACCATTATTCTACTAGTGGACACAAGTTATTTCTAATTTTTTCTGCTTTATTATAAAGAGTTATATATCAGATATTCTTATACTCCATGAGACAGAACCAAACTATTTTAATTAGAATAGCTTTAAAATATACTTTAATATCTGTGGGGCATCATTTTCCCCCTTAATTACCTTTCTTTTACCCTTTTTTCCAAATGTGAACATGGGCATCTGAGAATGATGAAAAAACAAAACTATTTTATACTGCACTACTTTCATTTGGAAGAGATTATGCATTGTAACATGATATGGTTTGGCTGTGTCCCCACCCAAATCTCACCTTGAATTGTAATAATCCCCATGTGTCAAGGGTGCGGCCAGGTGGATATGATTGTATCATGGGGGCAGTTTCCCCCATACTATTCTCATAGTAGTAAATAAGTCTCATGAGATCTGATGGTTTTACAAACAGGAGTTTTCCTGCACAAGCTCTGTTTCTTGTCACCATGTAAGATGTGCCTTTGCTTCTCCTTTGCCTTCCATCATGACAGTGAGGCCTCCCCAGCCATGTGGAACTGTGAGTCCATTAAATCTCTTTCCTTTATAAATTACCCAGTCTTTGGTATGTGTTTATTAGCAGCAATGAGAACAGATGAACACATAACACATTGGCTATAATATTTTGGAAGAATGGGATTGTGCCAACTGTTGGGTTTCCTATACATAATCATTAAAGTAGTTTAGTTATTAAAGTAGTCAGGTCAACATTATTGATACCAATTTCATTGATATCAATGTTAAACCATGTTGAAATTTTTCACCTCAGCTATCATCATCATAATTTCATCTTGTTCCCAATGTGAAAGATGGCATTGGGGATTATATTAGTTATCTAATGCTGTGGAACACAGCAACTCAAAATGTAATGGCTTACAACAACATACATTTCTTTTCTCACATTTTCTGTGACTCAGCAATCCTGGAGTGGCTGAGCTTGGTATTTCTGGCTCAGGCATCTCATGAGATTGCAGTGAAGATGTCATCTGGAGCTGATGTCATTTGAAGGCTTGACCAGGGCAGGAGGAACCACTTGTAAGATGGATCACTTATGTAGCTGTTAGCTGGAGATCTCAGTTTTTCACTGTCTATTGGAAGAAGACCTCAGTTCCTCACCATGCAGCCTTCTCCATAGAGCTGCTTAAGTGTCCTTACAAGATGGCTGCCATCTTTCTTCAGGATGAATGACCCAAGAGAGAGAGCAAGACAGAAACCATAATCTCTTTTATGACCTAGCTGCGGGAGTCATGCACCATTACTATGCAAATAATAATATTTTATTGATCCAATAAACCAACCCTGATGCAATGTAGGAGAGGACTGTATGAGGACATGCATAGCAAGGGTCAGGGACTGTTGGGGGGCATTTTAGAGGCAGCTATGATAATGATTAAAAGCTGATGCTCTCAGTTCTTGTGCTAGAGACAAAGACAGATCATTTGTATTCAAATTTTCAATTCCATATGGCCTAATGATTTTCTTCCATAATTTGATACCACTGCCAACATGAGCAATTCAATGTTCTACGGTGATCACAGTTACACAGGTACCCTAACAGCAGCCTCTTAATTTATCAGTTTCTTTTTTTCCAACATAGTTCTTTTTTAAATTTAACAATTTATTTTTTTCTCTTCTATTGTTAATTCCTCACTTAGGTTGAAAATTATTTCTCTAAACCAGTAGACTTCAAATTGTTTCTGTCAGACGCATCAGAAATTATACCATCTGGCATGTACTCAACAGAGACTACAATGATGAACATTTCCGGCAATCTGGATACATACTTTTTATTTTCAGGCCCCATCTCATCCATTTATAAGTGCTGTATTTTGTTCTTAAAACTCAGATGAGGTAAATAATGTTAAAAAATGATCAAGTGATATGGCTTCTTGTCCTGTTTTTTATTAACATACACGTCTCTCTCTTAGCCTTCTCTCTCTGTTTCTCACTCTTTCTCTTTCTTTCTCTTTCTCTCTCTTATTGTATTTTAGATTACAAACATATACAAATATACACACACATGAGTATATAATCTAGAAAGAATTGGACTATCCGGTGATTCTAGCAGATATAAACTAAAAAATATAATTTGTTTCAAAGTGAATTCTTTACCAAATTATATATGCCATCAGTAGGGATGTTGAGATAATAGTTTTGTGGAAGTATTCAACGGAGGAAACACTTTAGGATGTTTGTGCTTTACCTTACTGGCCGGGAAACTTTGATCTTTCCTTTTATGCATGCTTCCTCAGCCGTAATTTGATTTCCTTTAAGCAATAACTTCAGCCCCAAATAATCAGTCATAATAAAGGGGCTTGCCGACAAACACTTGCTCATAAAGACTTGTACTCACATGCACAGAACCCAATTAAAGCAAACTATTATCAGTTTCCATCCTTCATGCATCGCTAGTGATATGCAAGGTGTCACATTTGATAGGCATAGTCAATCATGGCTGTCCACTTGGGGCCTTCTTATGGTCCAGAAAACAGACACTAGTGCAGTGAATAAGACATGGGTTTGGGGTTGCTAATGGTTTTGAATCACTGCGCTTCACTTGTTTTCAGGGAGGTTATGGTCGGAGTTAAGTTCACAATTCACATGGCCAAGACAATTCATAATGGAAAGCTGCTAGTTGTCCGGAGATCAATTTTCTTTTGGGATTGCTCTGGAAAGCTCTAAACTCGCAGTGAAATCTGCTGATGTGCATAGCTACAGGCCTAATTTCAAGGAAGAAGAGTCACCCATGAGGGGTTTCTCACCCCGTTCTCTGGAAGGACTGAGAATCATTATATCACAGCTTTTGACATGGTATGGGCTTGGTTGGTTATACCTCTAAGTCATTTTCTCATTTATTCAAAGAGTCCAATAGAGTAGATATAAGGAAGCAGTTTTTCCTGTATCTCTTGCGTTTCTGCCTGTATTGCAACCAGAGGTGCTGACAGCCTGTATTGTGCACATCCTTTTCAAGCATGTGTGTTTATGTAAAAGCCTTGGAAGATAGAAATGGTGTCGTCCTTTAAGCCAAATGGTAGGTTTCCTTATTTACCAGTTCAATGAATATCTCCCCCTAGAGAAGAGGCCATGTAGGCTTACTGGTCATGATAAGTATTCAGGTCAGGTCCCTAAGCACAGGGTTCATCTCCTGTAATGCAATCCACTGTAGGCAGGCATCATCCAGCCCTTTACACAGCCCCCATGATGGTGGGTGGGAGGAACTGCAGTTAAGGAAAGCAGCACAAACACGGCTGCTCTGCCTACTGCTATTACTGTGTGTAGAAACTGTCTTTTGTCTCTGACCCAGAGGATTTGTGTCTTCTGCCAACATCAATGAAGCTCTAGCAGGCTAACTTGTTAGCCTGAAACTAGGATGAAATTTCAGATCCTTCACAGTACTTTACAAAGGATCCCAACTAAAGAGCAAAATGAAATACAATTACAGTCATGAGCCACGTCACGACATTCTGTCAGTGACAGACCACATATACGATGCAGATCCCCTAAGATTATAATAGAGCCGAAAAATTCCTGTCGCCTAGTGACAATCCCAACCCTTTGTAGGCCTAGACAAAGTTATGTGTTTGTGTTTTAGGGTTTTTTTTTAAAGTTTAAAAAGTAAAAAAAAATTAAAGATGGAAAAAGCTTATAGAATAAAGATATAAAAAAGATTTTCACACATGTGAATGATGTGATTGTGTTTCAAGCTATGTTTTTATAAAACAGTCAAAAGCTAAAAAAAAAAAAAACCTAAAAAGTTTATAAAGTAAAAAAATTGCAGAAAAGTAAGGTTATTTTATTATTAAAGAAAGAGGTCGGGTGTGGTGGCTCACACCTGTAATCCCAGCACTTTGGGAGGCCAAGGTGGCAGATCACCTGAGGTCAGCAGTTTGAGACCAGCCTGACCAACATGGCGAAACTCCTTCTCTACTAAAAACACAAAAATTAGGTGGATATGATGGTGGGTGCCTGTAATTCCAGCTACTCGGGAGGCTGAGGCTTGAGCCCGGGAGGCAGAGGTTGCAGTGACCCGAGATTGCACCACTGCACTCCGGCCTGGGCGTCAGAGTGAGACTCCATCTCCAAAAAAAAAAAAAAAATTAAAGAAAGAAAAGTGTTTTTTAAGTAAATTAAATGTAACCTGAGTGTACAGTGTTTATAAAGTCTGTAGTAGTTCACAGTAGTGTCCTAGGCCTTCACATTGACTCATTACTCACTGACTCACCCAGAATAACTTCCAGTCCTGCGAGCTCCATTCATGGCAAATGCCCTATATAGGGGAACCGTTTTTATCTTTCTTACCATATGTTTACTGTACCTTTTCTATGTTTAGATATGTTTAGATACATAAATACTATTGTGTTACAATTGCCTGCAGTGTTCAGTACAGTAACGTATTGTAGAGGCTTGTAGCCTAGGAGAAATAGACTAATCGCACACAACCTCGGTGTGTTGTAGGTTATCACATCCAGGTTTGCATCCTAATGACGCCTTTCTCAGAGTGTGTCCCCATCGTTAAGCAACACATGACTGTATTATGAATCCTATATGAATATACATATGCTTTTTAAGCCAGCTTCTGTAGAGAAAGAAACATTTCCTCTAACAGCTAGGTTTTTGCTGGTTGTAGCTAATAACTCCAGTATTCCATAGTCTTTTCCATTGATAGCCCCAAGTTCACTGGTGGAGGGAGAGAGATGGGAGTAAGGAGGATAATAGGTAGTAGGAAATCAGGAGAAGGAGAGGAAGTACATACACAGTGGGGTCCCATTACATCAAATGATATATTTAACGTCCAGCCAATTTCAAGTCTTTTCTTAAATACTTCTGAGGTTTCCAGGGTTTAAGACTGCCCCCAGCCTATCCTTTCCTATCAACTTGTTTTCTATTCCTCATAGCAATCTTTACCGTCTTTTCTTGCCTCAGTCTGAACAGGCATTAGCCATGGCTGGGGTTAAGAGCTTTGGGAGTGGGCATCCAAGCAGCAAGCTGCCTCTACTGTAGATGGTGGTCCTTCCAAGCAGGGATGCAGGCAAAGTGACAAGGACATGAAACTACATTCTGTATTGCTCAGCTTTGCTTGACCAGGGTTGATTGAAAGAAGCATCATGTCATTGAGACTCTTTAATCCTTTTATGTGTACTTTAAATGCATTCCATCATGACTCCTGCTATGGTTCGAATTTTTGTGTCTTTCCAAGATTAATGTTGGAACTTAATTCCCAATTAACGTTCAGTTAATTCCCAATTAGTGACACTATTAAGCAATAGTATTAAGAGATGGGGGCCTTTAGGAGGTGATTAGGTCATGTGAGCTCCATCCTCATGGCGGGGATTAGAACCCTTATTATGAGGCTTGAGAGAGCAAGCTTATCCCTTTTCTCCCATCCTGTCCCATCTGCGATGTGAGGACATATTAGGTTGGTGCAAAAGCAATTGCGATTTTTGTCACTACTTTCAATGACAGAAACCGCAATTAATTTTGCACCAACCTAATAGTCTGTCTCCTCTGGAGGACACAGCTACAGGGCACCATTTAGGGAGCAGAGAGCAGCCCTCACCAGACACCAAGTCTGCCGGCTGCTTAATCTTGGTCTTCCAGCCTCCAAAATTGTGAGCAATAAATTTCTACTCTTTATAAATTACCCAGTCCAGAGTGAGTGCTATAGCTGCACGAACAGACTGAGACAGTTACATTCCTGTCAAATGGGCCTATGCCCCTCAACTTTCTCCCCAGGCTGTTACCACTGGCAATGCTAAGTTAACCACGTGTAATTCTAAGTCCTATTTTCACATCCGTGTGTATAAGAGAGAAAAGACTTTTCACCCATTGCAAGGTTCATGGCTGAGGCACTTATAACAAAAATCAGATTAGCAAGAAAAAATCAGACAGATCTGTTTAATGTAAGTTTTACATGACATGGGAACCTTCAGAAACAAAGCCCCAAAGAAACAGGAAAAACTGTCCATTTTAATGCTTAGGTTTGGTAAGCAGCAACAGTTGTATAGAAGTATAATTGGACAAAGGCGGTGGGATCTAATAGGAGTAAACCAGGAGGAAATGTAGGAAAGCCTGTTTGTTGACATTCATCTTGTCCTCCCTGTGTCTTCAGACAGGACATTTCTTTACTCTGGGTATAGGGAGGACCCCTTTGGAATGAGTCATGACCTCTTTTCAGAGGAAGGTCAACTAGGTTTTATGGCCCACTTCAGGCAACTTTTGAGGAGGGGTGGGTGAAGTTTTTTCTAGTATCTATGGCCGGCTTCTGCTGTTTTCCCAAGTGCCAAGTTTCCATATTTGGGGGAAGTGTGTCCTGAACCCTGTCTCATTATAAAATAAAATTAGCATGGATGGTGAGGGCATTCTGCTGCCTGGGAACTTGGGTAGGGGGTACATACGTTTCAGCTTCAGTGGGATCCTCTGTTCCCTTGCTGTAACTCCAACCATGTGCTTGGCCAACCTCACTCTATTGGTCTTAAGAACGTACACATTATTTTCCCCCTCCTTGTTATTTTGTTCTATGTCACCAAAAGGTCTTAGACCCACGTATACCTTTCTCTGAATTTGCTGACTTCACATAGGCTTGAAATCAGCCTGCTGACTCTTCTCATTCATCCAATGCAGTAGGAGACCTCTGTGCACAACACTGGCCACCTACGTACCACAGCATGACATTCTCTCCATTATTTATTTGATGACTTGAGTCCCACTCCCACTCAAATGTTTTTCTCAACATTTTATTATAAAAATTTTCAAATATCCAGAAAAGTTGAAAAAATTGTCCACTAAACAGCTATGTGCCTGTCTCCTGAATTCTACTGTTAGCGTTTCACTAAATGTGTTAGTTTCTCATTGCTGCTGTCTTGGGTTACCACAAACTTTGGGGCTAAACAACACACATTTATTAACTTACAGTCCTGGAAGTCTGAATTCTGATACAGCTCTAGCAGGGCTGTGTGTTCCTTTTTGGAGACTCAAGGAAGAATCTATTTCCTTGCTTTTCTAGCTTCTACAAGTATCCCGCATTCCTTGACTTACTGCTCCTTCCTCCACTTTAAAGCCCACAAAGCAGAAAAGTTGATAGAGTCCCACCCTCAATTCCTCTCCCGTCTCCCTCTTCTACTTTAGTGACCATGTGATTACATTGGATAATCCAAGATAATCTTTTCATCTCAAGGTCAGATGACTAGCAATTTCCATTTCTTTCATAACCTTGGTTACTCTTTGCAGATTCGCAGGTCTGTGGATTCAGACTTGGGCATCTTTAAGGGACCATTATTCTGCCTAACACATTATACTTTTTCACATATATATTATTTTTCTTTTCTTTTCCTTCTTCTTTTTTTTTTTTTTGAGACAGAGTCTCTCTCTGTTACCTAGACTCAACCTCCCTGGCTCAAGCACGCTTCCCATCCCAGCCTCCCAAGTAGCTGGGACTACAAATGTGTGCCATCATGCCCAGTCAATTTTTTGTTTTTTGTAGATACAGGGTCTCACCATGTTGCCCAGGCTGTTCTTGAACTCCTGGAAACAAGCAATCTTTCCACTTTGGCCTCCCAAAGTGCTGGAATTAAAGGCATGTGCCACCACATCTGGCCAACAAATATATTCTTGTGTCAATCCTCCACAACTTTATCTATTGACCATCATTAACATATTTTAAGATAAATTGCAAGTACCTGTAAATCTCCCCCCAAAATTTCCACCAAGCTTATATTTAACTAGAATTTTACATTTGTTTACAGGTCTTTTTGTGTGTAAATTTACGTACAATGTAATGCAGAAATCTCAAGTCTACATCTGCTAAACAAATGCTCACATGTGTGTAACTCAGGTCCCTATGGAGATGTAGACCATGAAAAGCACCCTAGAAAGGTCCGTCATGCCGTCTCTTAGTCAATCATTGTGCCCCACCTGTTATGTGAATATTGTTTAACTATTTTCCACCATGAGTTAGCACATAAGTGGAGTTATACACTTTATTTGAAGGAGTGTCAGATAAAATACACTATGTGTAGTTAAATGTGGATTTCAGATAATCAATGCATATTTTTAGTATAAGTCTGATCCAGGAAATATTTAGAACATATGTTGAAATGTATGTATTACCTGTCTAAAATCCAAATTACTCAGGTGCTCTGAATTTTTATTTACTAAATCTGGCCATCCTATGTGTAAGGCTCTTTGTCTGAGCATAAGATGATTGAGATTAACTCATATTGTTATGCATACCAGTAGTTTTTGATTTTTATTTTTTGCATAATATTCTGGTCTAGGATTGACACACATTTTATTTGATCATTCTCCAATTGATGGATACCTGGACTGTTTGCAATTTAGGATTATTATACTTATAAAGTCAGTGTAAACATTTTTGTACAAATTCCTCTGAGTGTATTTTGAGGTGAAATATTTTTATTTCCTTCTCCATCTATATATCATATCCATCATTCTATCCATCTATGTATGTTTGTATGTCATTATCTGTCTATTATCTGTCATCTGTCTTCCTTCTCTATCTACCTATCTACATCTGTATATATCTATCATCTATCGTCTTTCTCTATGATCTATCTATCATCTGTCTATATATCTTCTGTCTCTATTTGCTGATATATATCTATCTTGTATCTATCAATCATCTACCTTTTTTCTCTACCTATCTCTATGATCTATCTACTCTATCTATCTCTATGATCTATTTATCTATCTCTTTCTATCTATGTTCTATCTTCTCTATCTATCATCTATCATCTGTCTATATATCTTCTGTCTCTATTTGCTGATATATATCTATCATCTATCAATCGTCTTTTTTCTCTATAATCTATCTATCTCTATGATCTATCTTCTCTATCTATATCTATCTACTTATCTATCTATCTATCTCTCTATCTACCTACCTATCTATCTGCCTACCTAGGTATCTTAAATAAACAAAACTTCTACCCCACCTCTTTGATTTTTCCTCCTTCTTTCCTTCCCTTCACATCCTATATCCAATCGATGCTCAGGTTGTGCTGCCCTACCTATTTTCTCCCTAGCTAACCATCAGCGCTCCAGCTTGGGGGCCATGAGCTCTTATTCCTGGCCTGTCTCTCACTGCTTCCACTCATCCTCCCTTCTTTATTTGTTCACACTGCAGACTCAGTCACTTTTGGCAATAAGAAACACCTGCTTTTTAAAAAACCCTCCAACAGCTTCCCATTAAACTTGGGACACAATGCAAATTCCTTCTCAAGACCCCAAGGTCCCGAGTGACCCACATTCCCTGCCTATGGCTTGAACCTCATCTGTTTCTACTCTTCTTGCTCACTAGCCTTGGACTGCACTGTTGCTTCTTCTATTTATTTATTTATTTATTTATTTATTTATTTATTTAGAGACAGAGTCTTGCTCTGTTGCCCAGGCTGGAGTGCAGTCGTGCAATGTCGGCTCACTGCAACCTCTACCTCCTGGGTTCAAGCGATTCTCCTGCCTCAGCCTCCCTAGTAGCTGGGATTACAGGTGCCTGCCACCACACCCTGCTAATTTTTGTATTTTTAGTAGAGACGGGGTTTTGCCATGTTGGCCAGACTGGTCTCAAACTCCTGACCTCAAGTGATCCGCCTGCCTCAGCTTCCCAATGTGCTGGGATTACAGGCGTGAGCCACCGCGCCCGGTCTCTTCTGTTTAATTAACTGACAAATCCACCTTCTCTGCATCTGCATGGCTCTTCCACTATTCAGATGGTTTAGGTATCATCTCTCAAAGAAACTTTCCCTGAGCGTTTGTCGAGACTATACCCTCCACATTTATCTCCTTACTCACTGTGACCCTTTATTTCGTTTTGTGGATTTATTTTCCCCTTCAAGAGAAATAGCAAAGTGATAGAACTAACTTTTAAAAATATACCTATTTACTTGTTTTTTGTCTTCTTCTGCTTCAATGTACAGATGCTCCTCGACTTATTTTTATTTTATTTTTTGAGACAGGGCCTGGCTCTGTTGCCCAGGCTGCAGTGCAGTGGCACGATCTCGGCTCACTGCAACCTCTGCCTCCCGGGCTCAAGTAATCCTCCAGCCTCAGCCTCCCAAGTAGCTGGGGCTACAGGTGCATGCCACCATGCCTGGCTACTTTTTTTGTATTTTTTGTAGAGATGGGATCTTGCCATGTTGCCCAGGCTGGTCTGGAACTCCTAGGCTCAAGGGATCTGCCCACCTCGGCCTCTGGAAGTACTGGGATTGTAGGTGTAAGCCACTACAGCCAGCCCCTTCTCAACTTATGATGGGGTTATATCCTGTCATCATCAGTGGAAAATATCATGAGTCGAGACTGCATTGGATCCATCTAACCTACCAAACATTGCTCAGCCTAGCTGACCTTAAACTTGCTCAGAAGACTTACATTTGCCTACAGTTGTACATAATCATCTAGCACAAAGCTTATTTTATAATAAAGTGTTGACTATTTTATGTAACTTATTGAATACTGTCCTGAAAGTGAAAAACAGACTGGTCGCGTGGGTGCTCAAGGTATGGCTTCTACTGAATGCATCTCGCTTTTGCACCACAGTAACACTGAACAATTGTTAAGTCAAACCATAGTAATTTGGGGGTCTCCTAAGAGAGAGACTTTCTCTATCATTTCCATTGTCTTCTCCCCCCGACACTTTGAACAATTATCAGTGGAAATCTTTTGTTATGAAATAGAAGAACATAAAATTTGAGGTTATATATTAATTAGTATTTTTCTTTACTAAGCAGAGGCTTTGGGAACAAAATTACAGCCAAAATGTCAGAAATTATATGGGTCTGCTTTAGCAGTCATGAATGTATATTTTTCTAAGCTTTTGGCAGTGACTACAAAGATAATCCTTGAGTTCAAAGCTTAAAATAAAAGCAAACAATTTACCCATATGTATATAATAAGTTCAAGTATAAAAGTCAATTAGTATTTAAAAGAAAGTAATTAATGACCACAGTGTCTCATCCTCAACAGATAAGAAATTATGTTCCAAATTTTGGTCCCAAGTAATTGTGCTATAAAACATCAGGAAATTGTGAAAAATGTGCCAGGGAAAGATAATTACCTACAGTTGCATTAAGGATTGTATCAATTGGATTGGATTCAGCAGTAATGCCACCGAATTTTTTAAAAATAATATTCTACAGCACAGAAAGCACAAAAGCAAAACACAATATGACAAGAGACAGAGAAATGTGAAAATTGTCTTCAGCAATGGCATAGCAACGACCCTCTTCGCTGGGTGTCTGCCTAAATAGAGATTGGCATGCAATGCATTTTGCTAGGTGATCTGTACCAATGCACACAGCTACCAATAGCAGAGACACAGATGTTTCAGCTTCTACTTAGCAGCTAGCCCAAGGTCTAAAGGGTACATGTTTTGAGGGTAATAGAAGCAAGGAATTTTATGTTCTCTTGTCATAATTGATATTGTGGGGTTTTTTTTAGGCTATTCAAGATTCTGACTATTCCTTGGTTAATTTTTAATGGATTTTTGAGTGGCCCTCAAATCATTTCGGAGCTCTGTCTACTGAGATGAAATCACAGACTTCATGAACCATGGGAAATTTAACCAGTGACATGCTGGTGAGCCATTGTTCAAATCTTCCAATGTATTAATAAATCAACCGGAGACAGAGACAAAGGTCGGGGGGTGGGGGGAGAGACAGAGAGTGACAGAGAGAGGAGAAAGAGAAGTTCAAGACTGAACATGAAGGATCGAAGGATCTCTGGAAATGCCTCCCAGAGCAGTAAAGAGGAAAATATTGAAAAAACAAACAAACAAATAAACATGGGTTTTGAAAGAAATAGAAAAAGTTTCCATTGACTTTTAAAGATGTAGAATGTGGTGATGGAATATTTTATAAGGTACTGTGGAACAAATACCAGGGGTATGATGGATGTAATTCAATGCCAGCTATAAGCAAAAAGAGGCAGGAAAGTTCATATGGATGGGTGAAAAAGAGATGCCCAAATTTTCAAGCAGATTGGATAGTTTAATCTGATGCTCAGAAGAGTGAAATGTGCACTCCTAAACTTTTGAAAGTTTGAAAATACAAAGACTCAAGGTAGCATAGAATGTTTGCAATACCTGACATCTGAGCTAAGACGTGTTACCAACACAATGCCCCGAAAGAGTGGATGCTATTGCAGAGAAGAGGGATTCCATACAAAATAACAGACAACATTCATTCAGAGGGTTTCTTTTTCTTCTTTTCTTCTTGTTTTATTTTTATTTTTTTGAGAAACTGCTGAAAATTTCACTCAGAGGGCTGTAATCTGTGTAAGACAGGTCTCTTGAACTGAGATACTACTATTCTTCATGTGGGACTCATGATACTAAAAAAACAGATACCCTGTGGGTTTCTTTGCTAAGGTCTGATTCTGCTTCAGGGTTTGTAAATCCAAGACCCAGGACTGAGTATGTCTATCCCACTTCTGTGTTCCTGGTGCCAGGCATTCTGTTGGGCACCTAGTGGATGATTCATAGTTATTGAAGAAGTGAATGAAGAGTGAAATGGCACTGAGTTGACTATAAATGAGTCCACAAGTGACCTATAGAGTCAATGCTATGAGGTTTTAGAAGGAGAGAGAACAGCACATTGAGTATTACTGGAGGTGGTTGGGCTTGGTGGAGACCTTACATAATAGTTGAAATTTAGAGAGAAATGACCTGAGTCATTTCTCAGACAAGAATGAGCATGGTATGTTCAGGTTCCATCATACAGGACCTCAATGCAAGTGGAAGAGAAAGCCTCTCATTAACTTGAAAAAGAAAAGCATACATTGGGCAAGAATCCAGGGCCCTACCAATGCCTTGCCATCAAACCCATATCTGTTTATAACAAATGCTGCCCAATTTGTCTTTACATGTCAAATGGCTTCCTTATAAAGTTGCTGGGATTTTTTTGGTAGTGGTGATAGGGATAGAGAAGATATGAGAGTGACATATTATATAATATGTTTGCCATACTGCTCACTGCTTGTTGGAACATATTTAGGAAAAATTAAGTTAAAGCACCAGTTTATATAAAAGGGAATTAAAGTGTTTTTTTTTTTCTTATAGTAAACTTACCTAATGATTATGTTTTAATGGGAAGAAATAGAAAACGCGCAAAGTATGTGTAAGATTGGAATGCCATCCGGGGAGATAACACAATTAAGGTGCAAGAAATGTCAATTTCTATGAAAATGAAAACCATTAAAAAAGAAATATAATTTGAAGAAGAATGTTCAAACATTGAAATGTGAAATCTCTTGGAAACGAATCCCTGGGTAGTAAGGAAATTAGCTAATGGATTTTCTTACCTGTATGGAAAGCATTTGCAGAATAGAAGAATCTTAAAAACAAAATAAAATCACAGATAATGCAATGTAGTTTGATTCAGTAAATTTAAGTAGGCAGCTGTATAGAAAGAACTACTTCCAAAACTAGCTGGTGGTGACTATAAGCCACAACACATTTTAGGGAATTACCAGAATCAAATCGAATCAGAAATAATGAATTACTCATTGATGTGTTCAAAGGATGACAGTCAATGTGATCACGTGCGTCTCTGAGAGGGGAATTAAATTTAGTTATTCATGGAAATCATGTAAAAGATAACGTCGTGGAAAGATTCAGGGTTCTGGTTAGGGCTTGCTGAAGATGCTGTGTAGCGATTGCACTGGGTTATGTGGGGATGGGGGTTTTGAGTTTTGCCTTTAATTCTTTCCCTGAATTTGTCTTCATGTTCCTTGCCCATCCTTGCATGTGCATTATGGTGTATGCAATTGCTACCCTACAAAGACCTTCTTAGGTATTTATGATCCTGTTGAAAATGAAAGGCTTGTCTACACAGGTTGCACATTCATTTTCACTCTGCAGCTTGCGAAGATTAATCATTGATCTGACAAAAACAGTGTTCCAAGGAGTCAGGGTAACTAGGACAATGTTTGGATAGATAACATGTTAAGGAGGATTTTGACAACCCGTCAGGAAGCAAGTCTGTATTATTGTTGACTAAGAAATAGCTTTCTCAAGTCAAAGAGACTAAAGAAGTGGCTATACCCCTCAGATGCTGAGTGAGACAGAATTTATAGGACAACGAAGATGAACAGGTAATTCCTGCACCTTGGGTAAAGATTGCTGATGGTGCCAATGCTTCAAAGCTGGTTTCCCTTCGGTAGACTCTCCACCCTCTCAGATCTAGTAAATCAGTTTCCTGACATGTTCTAGGAGTAAGACCTAATTCTGGAGGGATGCCAGCCCTGACATCCAGGATCTATGTTGCTGAGAATGAATATGTGTCCCATAATGTCTGTTTGTATAATCCAATGCACACAACCAAGCAGCATAAAGCACAAACAACATTTGCACCCTGCTTGCAAATATAAGAAATGAACAGCAAGCCTCAATTAGACTCGAATGATGTGTACATGATCCAGTGACCAGAAGATGTTGATGTGAATGTATTTGTAAAACTTCTGCTGGAGGGCATCTAAACTAAAAAACAGAGACAATTTGCATGGTGGTTAGTTTTATGTGTTAACTTGACTGGGCTAAGAGATGCCCAGACAGCTGTGAAATGTATTTTGGGGTGTGTCTGCGCTTCCAGAAGAGATTAGCATTTAAATCAGGAGAATGAAGAAAGAAGATCCATCCTCACTTATGTAGATGGGCATCATCCAATCTATTGAGGGCCCGTGTGGAATAGAAAAGCTGAAGAAGAATAAATCTGCTCACACTTCTTGAGCTGAGACACCCATTTTCTCTTGCCCAGGGACACTGGCACGCTTCATTCTCAGGCCTTCGAACTTGGGCTGAATCATACTATTGGCTTTTCTGCTTCTTCAGCTTGCAGATGGCGAATTTTGAGACTTCTTGGCCTCTACAACTGCATGAGCCAAATTCTGTAATAAATCTCTTCTTATATATCTCTCTCTTTATAAATAGCTGTTTTCTCTGGAGAACCCTGATTAATACAATTCACTTCTGAGTCCTAACGGGAAAAGCACAGTTATCTCCAATATTCCACAAATTAAAAGTCCATTCATGACTTAATTTTTCACAAATTGAAAACATCACCACTCGTGTTCATTGCCTAATTATTGACTGGTGATTAGTGTGTACTCCTTCCCGGGACTCACGAAATCCAGTGTTCACTAAATCCTTCCATTACAGGAAAGAAGTCTCGATCCAGACCCCAAGAGAGGCTTGTTGAATGTCACACAAGAAAGAATTCGGGGCGAGTCCACAGTGCAAAGCAAAAGCAAGTTTATTAACAGAGTAAAGTGGTGAAAGTACAGCTACTCCATAGACAGAGCAGGGCGTTCCCGAAAGCTAGAGGAGGAACGCATCCACCGGTAGGTACAAAACTTGTTTATACATAAAATAAAAAAAAGATCATGGGGAAAAGTGCTCTGCTACAAGGGTTTGTGATAAAGGATTAATTTTCTTTATTACTACATTCTGCAAGAATCAATATTATTATCTTTAAAGCAAAATTAGGAGTGCTTCTGTTCTCAAGATATAGGGATATTGGACACTCCCAATTCCGGGTCTGTTTACTAAACATTATCCATCTGTTCCCTTAACTGTAAACATCTAGAGGCTAGGAACACCTAACTTTCTGGGAATGCAGCCCAGCAAGTTCCAGCCTCATTTTCCTAGCCCTCACTCAAGATGGAGCCGCTCCGGTTTGCTGCGTGAGGGTGGGAGTATGATAATATGTGCAAGACCTTAGGCCAATCTGTTTGTAAAAGATGCCCATGTTCTTTGCAGCAGGAGAGAAATCACGGAGAAATGATCTCATTCTCATAAGGCAAACTCAGACTTCCTGGTGAACCAACTGAATCTCTTCCTTTGAAAATGCTGGCTCACTTCATTGCACACAAAGCAGAGAAAATATATTAATTAAAGTTCCTACAAGTGTTACTTTTCAGACATTTTTAAAGATGTCTAAGTGACTGACATCTTCTAGACAGGCTGTTGGGTTTTGGAAGATTGGACATCAGGGGAGACCAATCGTATGGTGGAGGCCATTGCTCCATGTGCCCAGAGTATTGTCAGAAATCGTAGATGTGGTTATTTTATTTTATTTTATTATTTTATTTTGAGATGGAGTCTTGCTCTGTAGCCCAGCCTGGAGTGCAGTGGTGCGATTTCTGCTTGCTGCAACCTCCACCTCCTGGCTTCAAGTGATTCTCCTGCCTCAGCCTCCTGAGTAGCTGGGATTACAGGCACCTGCCACCACGCCCAGCTAATTTTTATATTTTTAGTAGAGATGGGGTTTCACTATGTTGGCCAGGCTGGTCTCAAATTCCTGACCTCAGGTGATCAACCCACCTTGGCCTCCCAAAGTGCTGGGATTACAGACGTGAGCCACTGTGCCCGGCAATTAGATGTGTTTTAAAATGTATCCAGGGATGGAGCTGTACTGTTCACAGGCGGGGTTTGTATTTAGAAAGGAAAAGGGAGAATCAACTACTAGGGCACCGGAATTTCCCGGCCTGGCATGAACCCAGGAGCACCCAATACTATCCGTGTTTCCAGGAGTTATGTCCACATTTCTAGCACTCTCCGATTTAAGCCCATGAGCCTAAATTATGTCTTAGGCAGTGTAGACACGATGTGGTTTTATAGGCTCTTAAACGTTCATATGGATAATTCAGAAAAAAAAATCCTCTTGAGAAAAGGACTCTGATAAGCGTTTCTCTTCACCAGGTTTGCCAAATCCAGGCAACACTGTGTCAGGTATGACCCAACCTGCTCAGGTACATAACCACCAAAAGAACAGAGTTTCTCAGCCTTGGCATTAGTAATACATTAGGCTGCATAATTCTCTGTTGTGTGCATTGTAAGATATTTAGTAGCATCCCTGAATCCATCCTCCAATAATCTAACAACTCTGAAAGTCCTAAAGTATTGCCAGGCATTGCTAAGGATCCCCTCTCTGAGAACTACTTCCCTAGTGGAATTATTTCTCCTGGAACTTTACAAAGGAGGCAAAGGATTTACTTAGGCTCATTAAAGCACTCCCCAGAAAGAGACTTCTATGGAGTCCATGACATGCACTTTCTGTTCTGAAAACAGAATCAAAAGCCAAATCAGGATTTCAGGTGTAGGCAGCTCAAAAACATACCTTTGATCCTTCAGAGGATTCTGAGAGGCAGGAACCTACCTGTTCCTTGTTTGTCCATGAATTACTTTCATCTCTGGGTCCAAAATTGGGAGGGAAAAAGTGTTTTGGAGAAGTTGCATGTAACTTTATCCCAAGAAGTCATCATGTGACACAGATTGATCATGTCAGAATGATCATAAAAAAAGAGTGCCGTAATGGGTGACCCATGGCCTTTTAGATGCGTATCCCTTGAGAATGAATCAAGTTTGTATTACCTGGACATATTAGAATATCAGACCCATAAAAGTTTGATGAATGAATATCTTTTACCACCAAGTCATGCCATGGTGTGATATGTGATTGCTGGTGTGATATGTGATTGCTGTTGCTGTTGTTATTGTTGTTGTGTGTGTGTGCATGTGTGTGTGTGTAGCTTGGCCAATGAGTAGTATTTCATCCTAATAGGTAATATTATAATGCTGTCCTCCCTCTTACTTGCATTTTTGTTGTTTTTGTTTTTCTTTCTTTGGAGACAGAGTCTCGCTCTGTCACCCAGGCTGGAGTGCAGTGGTGCCACCTCCTAGGCTCAAGCGATTATCCTGCCTCAGCCTCCTGAGTAGCTGGGATTACAGGTGTGTGCCACCACACCTGGCTAATTTTTGTATTTTTAGTAGAGGCGAGGTTTCACCATGTTGGCGAGGCTGGTCTCGAACTCCTGGCCTCAAGTGATCTGCTTGCCTCAGCCTCCCAAAGTGCTGGGATTGTAGGCGTGAGGCACTGCACCCGGCCTGTTTTTGGTGGTGGTGGCGGTGGTGGGGTGTGTGTGTGTGTGTACATGTTTATCCAGCCAGCCTCTCATCCTGAGATGAGATAATTGGGGAATTCATTCGCCATCATGCATCTAATGAGTTCCTGCTGCTACACGCCTTAAAGCCTAGGATGAGGACTCACTCAGGTGCAAAGCATCTCAATTGCAAATCAACTTTTTGGCTGTTCTGAGGGATGATCATTTGTCTTTTCCATGCAAACCATGAAGCCTGTATTGGACCAGCCTATCCCTGCCTTCTTTATTTGGTGAGAATCCATGGAGCTATTTTCAGTGATACAGTGTCTTGACTGACTAAAATGTTTATATCTATATCTAAATATATGTGTATACACTTAAACACTCTGTAGTTTAAGTCTGTGAGCCTAAATCATGTCTTAAGTAGTGTAGACATGGTGTGGTTTGATGGGATCTTAAAAGTTCAAATGGATAATTCAGAAGAATTATATATATAATATAGATTATACAGTCTTTTGTGTGTGTATATATGTATATACACATACACACACACATATTCATAGATACATATGTGACGCTGATCAAGAATGTGTGTATGTGTATATGTGTGTGTATGTGTATATATGTGTGTATATATACAATATGTATATATACATATATACACAAACAAAGGATTTTTTCCTTTGCTTTTCTGAATATGCCTAATATTTTTGAGGTTTTAAAGAGAAGAATGTGTCTATCTATATTTGTTTCTTTTTAATGGCATTTTTGATACAAGTACAAGAACATGCTATAGAACTTCAAGAGGGAGAGTTTTCTTTCCCTTGACTTTATTTTCATTTTTGAATTTTTTGAGATAGGGTCTCTCTGTGTTGCCCAGGCTAGAGTGCAGTGGCGTGAACATAGCTCACTGCAGCCTCAGACTCCTGGGCTCAAGTGAACTTCTGCCTCAGCCTCCCAAGAAGCTGGGACTATATGCATGCCACCACACCCAGCTAATTTTATTTTTTTTGGTAAAGGCTGGATCTCACTATGTTGCACAGGCTGGTCTTGAACTCCTGGGCTCAAGAGATCCACCCGCTTGGTCCTCCCAAAGTGCTGGGATTAAAGGCATGAGCCACTGCACCCTACCTTTTTCTTGACAATAGAGTAGCTCCATGGTCATGCCTTAAGCTGCAATGCCGTTATGTCAAGTGGGGAAACCTAATGTAATCTACCTGTCAGTAAGCCTGGTCCAAGGGCAGTTGAAACGCTTGGAATCTGAGCTTTAGATTAGGGTTGGAAGTCCAAGAATGTAGAAGTGAGTCAACGCAAGCACAGAAAATGACCATCTCTCCTGGTCGACAGGCTCAGTGGGTGCCCACTTAGAAAAGACCCTCTGTCTTTATTGGGACCTTCTGTTCTGTTTCTCTCTGGGGCACAGCAAAGCTTTGCTTTCACACTGCTTTGCTTTCATACCCTCGGCACAGCACAGGTCTTCTTTTGTGGCATGCTCAGAACTGCAGACATTCCTAACATTCACAAGGAGGATGAATGAAAAATTATTGAGTTTAAAAATAAAGGCCATTCTGGAGCATGGGAAGTGGACATGGACGGAGGTCTGTGAACCCCCGGCGGCGTTCTGAATGAACCCTGTTGTTGGATTGCCGCATTCC
Organism: Homo sapiens; assembly: GCF_000001405.40. Lineage (NCBI taxonomy): Eukaryota > Metazoa > Chordata > Mammalia > Primates > Hominidae > Homo > Homo sapiens. The sequence continues at coordinate 6,779,124 of NC_000023.11, read as the reverse complement.
CCTCCCCCTGCTCTTTGCTTTCTCATTGCCTGTGCTAAAAATAGCAAATAATTAGCAGTGGTCACAATGCTCGCTCTTATGCGCACCTAGTATATTTCAATCCTGCTGGAGCCCTTGTGCCATGCTCTGGTTCGAATTGGCTTTCCCATTTGGTATCCAGAGAGCTAATTCATTTTGTGGCCGCACTCCTGCATTCTTGATCAGTCTTTGACAACGAACACTGTCTGCATAACAAATGTGTCTTTCTCAGGCTACAGCAACTACAAGAATGATTAACATGAAATAAAGGCTCCAGCTGGCACGCTCTCCCCGTTCTTCCACGGGTACCACTGTTTTTATTTAACCCTGCATTTGTCGGCTCTGTGGGAAATGGTCTTTCTCTCTCTATCTCTCTTTCTCCCCCCATGCTGAGTTCAAAACTAAACAGGGGTCCCCGGCCTCCTCGGAAGCCTCAACTTCTGCGGGCTCCCTCTTGGAGAGCTGCCTGCGGCACTCTGGATGCAAATGATTATTCACTCTCTGCTCCCTGACATTTCCTCAAGTACTGCATCAAAAGGGGCTGAATCACACATCCCGTGTCTTGCAGGGAGCCCCAAGTCACCATGTTTCTCCCAGGCTGCAGGTGACATGCAGGGGAACTTGAGGAGTGTTAATTCCCTGGAAATCAAAGAGGGCAAAGCAGCAATGCTCAGGGTGGCTGGCCTTGGGAGCTTGGCCCAAGGTTGCAAATAGATTTGCATGCCTCGTCATCCTGGTTTTTCAGCTCAGTTTCTTCGTTGGGGATGTATAGATACCCTATTCTTTACCAGAGTGTGGGTAGGTCCTGTTCCAGATAGAGGGTGTTTCCAAGACTTCCCTTTCGGGACTGCCCGCTTAGCAAGTCCTACCTTTGAAACTTTGGAGAGAGAATATTTCAGGGACGTAAGGGGGCCAGCGTGTCTATAAAAAGGCATAGAAGCTTCCTTCTGCTCTGATGAGCAGTCTGTCGAGCTGTTTCCACAGCCCCCTTCTCATTTTCCCTCATTAAAACATGCCAACAGCTTCTCTTATCTGCCTCGGAATAGTCTTTTCAAAATGCATCTTTACTGGAAAAAAGAGTACTTGTAGCCTGGGTTCGTGGCGGGGGGACAGGTATCTTTCGAAGCTATTAAAGCAGCACTATAGTAGACTATTGCTCATTTGCACCTCTCAAAGTCTACAAATTTTCCTAATTCAGACAGAAAACCGAGGCTTTTTACAGTCAACTGGTGAAAATGGATAGCCTTACCTGTTTCCGGGTAGGTGTCATAGTTTCTATTTAAAGTTTCCATGTAAGTATAGACCTTGCTATAAAGGTTCAGAAAGGAAGAGGAAGTATCAAATAGATCCTACAGTGTGCTACTGTATCTATCTGCTTGCTTGTTGACTTGTTTTTCTGTTTCTCTATTGCCTCTTCCCCAAAAAGGATTTGAGGCAAGCTCTGTAAAGATGGATGCAATGGAATCGGCACATGGCTTAAAATAAAAAGGAAATAGAAAATAAGCCAGAAATATACTATTTACAAATTCTGCCTAAGGTGAACCAACTCCCAGAAATTTAAGGAGTGCATTCATACAGTTGCAAAATATGCATATGTGAATAGTAAAGCTTCTGCAGATCCCTAAAGAATTCAGAGCAAATAATACAGCTTAGGTCAGGCTGATGAAAGCCACGGCTCAAAGCAAATGAGGATATTTCTATTGGGGGAGTCCTCTGGGAGTGAACTTTTCAAAGCACTGAGCCTAGTTATAAAAATATCTCACATGTTGTATTGTGCTCGGCAGTTACAAAGGGCTTTCTGCACAAGTTCTATCATTATTATCTATACCACTAAGTAGGTAGGGTATTTTTACCCTTAAGGTGTAGGTACAGAAACTGAGGACTGATAAATTAAAAAGCTGGGCAAAGCATCATAAATAGCAAGGAAGCAGTGAGACTGGAAATATATAGCATCTATTTCTCCTGGATTGAGAGAAAAATTAACCCAGAATTGGTGATCCAGCAATATTTGCAATAGAATAAAAATAGCCAATAACCCATATTGTCTTCCTTGTTTGTGATGAATGAAAGTATTGGTTTTCCCTCCACAGAAAGAGCTCAGATCCAATGAAGTGGCCAACACAGCATAAAGATAAAAATGTCTAAACGCTGTAATTTGGTAATTATGATTCTGAATTTAACTCAAGGAAATATTCCGAGATGTGTGGAAATATTTATTGTCAAGAGTATTCATGGAGTATTATTTGTATTTCATAAAAAATGGGAAAAATCAAATGGCCCCAGATATAATGATTAAGTGCATAGTGGGCTTGTTTTATATTAAAAGATTACAAGTAGATGTTAAACTGTGTTTTCAAATAATAGTACAGGATGTGGGAAAGTGCGTATGATATAGGGTGAAGTGAAACTATTGCAAATTATAAAATTATATGTGGAGCATCAGTTCTCAAACTTTAGAATCCCCTGGAGGGCTTGATAAAATAGGTAGTGACCACCATCTGCCTCCAGAGTTTCTGATTCAGTCAGTCCAGTGTGGGGACCAAGAAACTGTGGCTTTGTTTGTTTGTTTGTTTTTTGTGATGGACTCTTGCTCTGTCACCCAGGCCGGAGTGTAGTGGCGCAATCTTGGCTCACTGCAAACTCTGCATCCCGGGTTCAAGCAATTCTCCTGTCTCAGCCTCCCAAGTAGCTGGGACTACAGGCTCCCACTGCATGCCTGGCTAATTTTTGTATTTTTAGTGGAGATCGGGTTTTGCCATGTTGACAAGACTGGTCTCAAACTCCTGCCCTCAAGTGATTTGCTCACCTTGGCCTCCCAAGGTGCTTGGTTTACAGGCATGAGCCACCATGCTGGACCTAGAAACTGTGTTTCTAATAAGTTCCTAGGTAATGTTGATGCTATGGGTTCAGGCACCCCATTGAATTAAATACATGTGTATTAAGTGTGTGAATAAGGCCGTCCTTGGTTGCAGGATAGTGCTGTCCACACTTGCTGGTGATCGCACTCAATGGGGAACCTTTAAAAAGGTATAAATGTCCAGTGACGTTCTCCAGTGAGAATGTAAAGTGGCACAGCCACCGTGAGAAAGGGTTTGTCATTTCCTCAGTAAGGTGAAAACGGAGTTACCATATGTCTTAGTCCTTTCTGGCTGCCATAACAAAATGCCATAGGCTGGGTGGCTTATAAACAGTAGACATTTCCATCTCACAGTTCTGGAGGCTCAAAGATCAAGGCACCAGCAGATCCAGTGCCTGGTGAGAACCCGCTTCCTGGTTCATAGACGGGGCCTTCTCGCTGTGTGGTGGAGAAGGCACATGGTGGAAGAGGTGAGGGAGCTCTCTGGGGCCTTTTTCATAAGGACACTAATTCCATTCATAAGGGCTCCACCCTCATCACCGCTCATCACCTCCACCCTCATCACCTAGATCATGTCCCAAAGATCTAAGTCACCTCTTATAGCTCCATCTTGGGGGTTGAGATCTCAACGTATGTATGACTTTTGGGAGGACAGAGACATTCAGTCTATGGTACCATATGAACCAGCAATTACACTCCTAGGCATATTTTATATACATATATGTGTGTGTGTGTGTGTGTGTGTATGTGTGTGTATATGTGTGTATCTATCTATCTATCTATATCTATCTATCCATCCATGCCCCAAAAGATTAAAAACAGGTATCCAAAGACATGTAAATGAATGTTAATAGCAGGGCTCTTAACAATAATCACACTTGGAAACAAACAAAATGTATATCAACAGATTAATGGATAAACAAATGTGGTATATCTATACAGTTGAATAGTATTCAGCCATAAAGAGAAATAAACTACTAGTGTATACTACAATATAGATTAAAAAATTAGACTAAGTGAAATAAGCTAGACACAAAAGACCACATATTGTATCACTCTATTTATATGAAATATTCAGAATAAGAAAAGCCATAGACACGGAAAGTAAATTAGTGATTGCTGGGGTCTGAGGATGGGAGCAGGGAATGAGGAATGACTGCTAACAGGCACTGGGTTTCCTTTTGGGGTAAAGAAAAAAGTGATAGTTGCACAACACTGTGAAAGTACTAGAAGCCATTGAATTGTACACTCTAAAACAGTTAATTGAATGTTATGTACATTTTGTCTCAATATTTTAAAATGTCCAGACAGCACCCTCAAGAGATTCTGATATCATAGTTTGGAGAACAGGCATTCATCTTTTTAAAAAGCCTCCCAAATGATGCTAATGTGCAGCTGGGCTTGACTTAAAACCCCAGATCTGGTAGGATTTCAAACAATAGTCGCAAAGGCTGAATAACACTGAGTGTTTATTTGGTGTGGTTCAGTGAAGCACAAGGGAGCTTGGAAAGATGGAAAGATCAATTGCAATGGCTGGATTCTTAGCACTTTGCTAACTGTGTGTCCATGAACCAGCCACAGCAACCCTACCTGGGAGCTTGTCAGAAACAGAGACTCTCCAACCCCACCCTTGACCTCGTAACTGAGACCTACCTTTTCATAAGATCCCTGAGGTTGACATAGGCAACAAAGCTTCAGGAGCACTGGAGAGGTTGTGTAGCCTTTCCATCATTGTGTTTTAGGAAACGTTATGTTGCTGAGGTACTATTGCCCACCCTGAGACAAATGGCTTGTATTGTCCAAGTGGTTTAGAAAATGTTGGTTGGAAGAAAGTTAAAACATAGTCATATATTTCAGGATCTCTCTGCATCTTTGAGAAGTTCCCATGATGCAGGTCAGGCAAGCCACAAAGTGGGGTTTAATCCCTGAGGGTTCTTGGCTGTGTCTAGGAAATAATTGAAGGGCAAGCTGGAGGTAGAAGAAAACAGCTTTATTGAAGAAGCAATGTTACAGCTCCAGCTGTGTTACAGCTCTGTGACTTTTCCTGCAGAACGGGATAACACTGTAGGCAGAGAGTGTCACATTTATGCCCACTTTTTTTGCTGTTGTTTCTGAGATGGAGTCTCCCACTGTGGCCTAGGTTGGAGTGCAGCGGCAGTCTCAGCTCACTGCCAACTCTTCCTCCTGGGTTCAAGTGATTCTCCTGCCTCAGCCTGCTGAGTAGATGGGATTACAGGTGCCCACCACCACATCCGGCTAATTTTTGTATTTTTAGTAGAGACAGGGTTTCACCATGTTGGCCAGGCTGGTCTCAAATTCCTGACCTCAGGTGATCTGCCCACCTCAGCCTCCCAAAGTGCTGGGATTACACGTGTGAGCCACAGTGCCTGGCATATACCCACTTTTAATTTCCTGCAGATTAAGGGGCAGTTTGTGCAGAAATTTCTAGGGAAGGGGTAGTAACTTTTGGGTCATCGGGTCATTGCCATGGAAAGGGGTGGAAACTCCTGGGTGTTGCCGTGACAATGGTAACTGACATGGCACAATGGTGGGCATGTCTGATGGAAACCTGCTTCTGCCTTGGCCCTGTTTTAGCTACTCCTCAACTTGGTCCCATGACCAAGCTTTGCCTCTGGTGTTGAGTTCTGTCTCATACCCGACCTGGACCCAGCAACTCTCCACTGAGTATTGTCTGGTTTGCTGTGCAATCACATCCCAAACTATTTGAAAAAGGAAACTCCTTTTAAAGGACCACCTCATGACCCTGACGGACTCTAGTGATCTGCAAAGTACAATGTGGGAAACGCAGCTCCAGGATCTTCTGGGCCCACCAAGCCTCAACTAAATGTTAGAAATTATCTTGAATTTGGTGAAACTTTAAGGGCAACCCTAAATTTCAGTACCCAAAAAGATGGAGTGTGAAGCAGTGGATTTCACTGAAACCTGTATCACAAAGCAAGAGAAAATGTGGAAAAGAAGCAGAGTCCCCTGATAGCATGGCTCTTTTTCATTGTAGACCAAAAAGATTTTGAAGTTTCATCCTCAGAGTTAGAGTAACTTGAAAAGCCAAGACAGCACAACCAACATGGAGCATGTTCCTGAGAAATTCCCAACTTTCCACTCATCTCCAAACACCGTGAACTTTTCCATCTAAATTTTCCAGGTTACATTTGTCTCAACTAATGTCTGAGAAAAACTTTAAGATGTGATTTTCAAATATATCCTGAGATGACTTAACTACTGTACTAAATAAAGCTATCCAGATGAAAAAGAAAGCTTGTGAACTTGTGGAAAAAGCTTCAACTATTGCCCTTCTAATCAGATCAACAGACTTGTCTTTTTTTGTCTTTTTGTTTTTTTTGAGACAGAGTCCCACTCTGTCACCCCAGCTGGAGTGCAGTGGCTTGATCTTAGCTCACTACAACCTTAATGTCCTGGGTTTTTTGTTGTTGTTGTTTGTTTGTTTGTTTTAATTTTCTGCTGTAGAGATGGGGTCTCACTTTATTGCTCAGGCTGGTCTTGAACTCCTTGGCTCAAGTGATCTACCCACCTCGGCCTCCCAAAGCGCTGGGAATACAGGCATGAGCCACTGTGCCTGACCTTCTTTTTTTTTTTTTTTCCTTGTCTGTATTTCTCTGAAAGTCAGATAATCCATACTGAAATTTGTTTTTCTGGGAATGGCTGGAAATATCAACATAATTTTTAAACTGGTGCAATCTATTCAAAAAGTTAGGTAGATGGGGACCTCAGAGTTGAAAGATGAATATGGTTATAGTGTTGAGGTGATGGAGAATGATTTTCTCTGTTCTGTGTCTCAATCTGTTAATATGAGTTTATAGATGAGCTGCTGACTCTGCTTGTAGCCCCTTAAACCAAAGGTGCCCTTAGCTTTCACGTCTGCTGAAGACTCAGGAATTGATTAACATAATTATTTTGGAAAACTGAGGAAAAATTTATTTCATTGTAATATAGGAAAAAAAAGAATTTCCAGCCCAAGCCCACATTTCTGAATTCAGTTAATTTCCCTAGATTTAACTGCTACATAAAACAAGTGATTCACAAGCAAATTGTGCTAATAAATGAGGAGACAAAAGCAAATGAATGCAAGAGGAGTGATGTGCACTGTGATTAGGATACAAGGCATTGCCCCAAACGTTTTTTAAAAAGATTTTACTGAGGGAAAAAAATAACATCTGTGGTTTTAATTCCTGAATAGAAAACAAATGTCAAGGTAGTTTCCATCCACATTTCACTTGGTTCTGCATCACCAGAATGGTGCAGGATCTTTTTGTTGAGGGTTTGGAGGGACTAGAAAACTACAGCCTGAGGGCTGAATCCAACCTATACCACCTGGTTTTATAAATAAAGTTTTATTGACACACAGCTACAGCCATTCATTTACAGATTGTCTGTGGCTCCCTTAATGCTACAACGGCAGAGTTGAACGTTTGCAACAGAGACCAGAAAGGCCTAAAATACCTGGGTCTTTGCAGAAAAGTCTGCCAATCCCTGGCCTTGAGTAATTCTGTGTATTAAGTCATTTATGTACACATTTCATGATCCGGAGAGTTTAATGCCAAAGAAGAACAATATCAGATCCATCTGTGATGTCAATAAACATAAGCCAACAAGTAACTATTGAGTTTTCTTAACTCTTACAACCCAATTCTGAGAATCTATTATGTGGAAGGCAAGGTGAGGGTTAGGAAGATGAGGAAAACTGTTCTTGCCTTTAAAATGGTCTAATGGGTGAGAGGCAAATGACTACTAATTTGAGTTGCGGACATGCTCCAAAAGAGATATTCACAAAGTTCTATATTGGGTGATGGATTAAAGAGGAATATAACCAAAAGCAGTCCAGTAGTTGCACAAGACTTCCTAAGGGCAGTGGTGTTTGGGGTAGTCTTCAAAAATGAAATGCATAAAAAGGAGATAATTCCAGCGTGCAAAGAAAGGAAGCTTGTCAGAAGGCCATGGACGTGCAGGTGTTGAAGTAGATCTATTAAATGGGTTTCTGGAGCAGAACAAGACTTCTAGGTGGCACGTTTCTTTCCATGGGGTCATCTCTCTGTGCATTTCCTGTGACTGTGCAATTCCCCAGGGCTCTGAGCCTGGTATGTGTGTCAGAGAGCAGTGGGAAATAAGGCAGATAGGAATGAACTTGAATGGGGGCAGATTTTACATTCCTGACTGAGGAGTTTGCATAGAACTCAGAGGAAGAGTTTCAGAGAGTGAAGCTACAACTTATTTGGAATGATTTAACTTTTCTATATGACTGAGTTGGATTAGAAGGGGGAGAGGTTGACTTCTTCTTCTGTCAGGGAAATTTTCCATCTCATGATGACTTCTGTCATGAGATGATAGGGTGTCATCATCTTTTCCTCATCATTTGAAACGTAATGAGAGATATTTGCTTTCAGATGGGTCTTCTCTTCAAATTCACCAGGCAGCCCAGCATTGCATATCTGTCGGTCAGGTTCTGAATAATTTGTTGGCTTTCTATTCTTAATGCAGATGGGCACCATGTGGATGAATTGGTGGTGTGAAACGCTGTTTGGGAGGAAACAGCCCCAGCCCAAAGCCGGCAATCCTATGTATCTCCTTTCTTGCTGGCCTATCATAGGACAGGTGTGTTTCTTACAGGTTAGTTTGCATTAGAGAATGTGCAGCTGTGTGATGTGTGCTGACTTTCTGTAGATACCCAGGCAGCAGGTCATGGATCCATCACAAAGCCATAAAAAAACAAAAAACAAAAACAAAAAACAAACAAAAAAACCAAGGCTTCTGGCTCCATCCCTATCTGCCTGCATGGTTTTGACAAATTATCTTACCCCATTGGGTCTGTGGTTTCTTAACTCTGAAACAAGGGGTCAGCAAAATATTTTCTGCAAAGGGCCAGATAATAAATGGGTTCAGCTTTTTAGGCCACAGCATCTCTGTTGCATCTACTCAACTCTGCCATTGTAGAAGAAAAGCAGCCACAGACAGGCATGCAAATGAATGTGTGTGGCCAGATTTGGCCAGCACAATGCAGTGCATCCACCCCTGGACTAAATAACTCCTCCGGCTCCAAGAAGATTGTATGATGGGAAGTCAAGAGTAGAAAGAAACACAGAATGTGCTTGAGCTTTTCATTTTCTGTAATGGGAGAGAGCTCCTTTTTGTAGAGGGAAAGGCTCTGAATGGGGCCAGAAACAAAATGAAAATGGAACTCCATTGTGGGAAGGGGTTCATTTAAGTCACCCTAGTCACCTGTCCTTGAAGCTTGTCATGACTGAAACAGACTGTAGGGCTTTGCAGACCATCTGCAGAACAGACTGCTTGCAATTTATCCCCCGTTTAGGTTGTTCAGACCCCACAGTGCAAACAGACCCCAGCACATGACTGTAAACAGTTTCTTTATATTAATATTTTCTCGCCATCAAAATTGCTATTTATTTAAGTACGATTGAGAGCCCAGGCGCTAGGCTCACCCAGAATCCAGTCCAACAGACTTGATGAGCTTGTGATTGTGCTATAAAGCAGCTCTCTAAGCAATAGGAAGATGCAGCAATGATAACGTACCTTTGCAATTTTCTCAGATACAACAAAGCTTTAAAGCACGAAAAAGATGAACTCGAAACACCAGTGACTGGAGGAACCATGACAACACAAACAAGAAGGAAACAAGAAAGAAAAAGCATAATCCTGGTTTTTGTGTTCTGAATTGTGGATTTGAAATGGAGGCTCCCGTGGCTGCTGACAGCCTGCCTTGATGCTGCTGATGTCTGGGTGATGAACAGTCATGGGTTTCCTCCCACCTGCCTCTGTGGATTAATGAAGAGCAAGGCAGGAATGGCAGACCTGCCATCTGGAATGACCTTACCTGATAAGATTGTTCTGCCTTCCCCGCCAAAGGTGAGGAGGGCTTTCAGGATGCAGGAGACTGTTTTCCCCACAACTTAATGAGAAAAATTGACCTGTTTATTCACCAGCTGTCTTCTTTGTTTCTAATCCAAGCAATTGCTGCAAAATCTTTTTCACTTCTTCCATGTTGAAATTGAGCAGAAAGCCCCTCGAGTGGCTTATCTTTGGCAGACAACAAGGAATCAGGTTGGAGGAGTCACACAGACTCGCTGGGAGACACATGGAATGGGAGACCAGCAAATATTTACACACTGTGTTCAAGATCCATTCTTAGAAGTGTGAGCATAATTTATGTGACATTTCGAGCACTGTGCCAGTGAGCGCCTTCTCTATGTACAAAATGTGCTACTTTCGTTGTGGCTGTATCACTTTTGGTGGAGTGCAGCCTTTGTGAGTTTCAATGGTATGGCGGCCTTTTCTCTGGGGCTTGAGTAAACACCACCACGGAAAGCTATTGTTTTACTGTGTGAGCTAGTGTTTTCTCTATAAAACTCGTAAAAGTGTGTTCTACCTGTTGTGAACTTCTTGCTGAAAACTGTTTACTTTTGGAATATGCATATATGTTCATAAAAAGGGAATGAAATCTATTGGGGCCCCCAAACAATGACAGAAATCAGAATGTTAAAATAACTCCAGCAATCTAGATATTTCCTGTAAGTTTTCTGTGAATTCTGGATCTTACAATTTTTAAAAGACTTTAATTTTTTTTTCTTTTCAAATCTCCCTCTTCACAGAATGGATCTTGCAATTTTTAATATCTAAAAGAATTCTATAGATAATAACAGCCAACATCAATAGCCTCCACAGTATTCAAAGGGCATGATATGTATTTACTTACTTAATTTTCCCTACAATCCTGAGTCCGAAATTATCATTATAACCATTGTAGCTAACATACCCAAGCACACACAGAAATTAAGTGGTAAAACCATTGAGTTCAGGCACTGTACTTCAACTGCATGTTCTTAAATCCTATGCTACATTTGGCAGAACTGTGGTTTGTCCACCTTGGCACCAGTGACATTTGAGGATGGATGAATCCTTGTTGTCTAGGGCTGTCTCGTGCACTGTAGGATATTCAGCAGCATCCCTGGCCTCAACCCATCAACTGCCAGTGCCATCCCCACAACCCCTCACTGTAACAACCCCAAATGGCTCTAGAATGGCCAGATGTCCCCAGGGAGAACAAAATCGCCCCTGGTTGAGAACCGCTGGGTAGAGCTACCTAAAATTCCAACATTGGATTATTCTTAACCTGCAAAAGTGGCAATTTCAATTGAACTTTGTCCAATTGAAGTCTGTTCCTGGTCAAGCTTCCCTGATAGACTAGTTTTTCAGATGGGTTCAGAAGGGTGTTGAGTACATGGGAAACGAGAGATCTGGAAGGGCTTTGCAAACCCCAAAACTCCAGTATGTGTAGCAGTCACAGAGACACCCCAGATTCGGAATAGACTGAGATGAGAACCAAGGAACTGATGGAGTTTGAAATTACTTCACTTTAAAGCACACGTGCAGGTTAATTGCTGACAAAGAAAGTTGCAGGTGGGCATGGAAAGCTGGAGAGGGGTTCAATGCAAAGTTTCTTAAAGGCTTAAACCAATAAAACTCGAATCCCATTCCTCATTCTCCAAGGAGCCCACTCCATTATGAAAAAGAACTTCAAGCAAATTTGAATCTTTCTTCACTGAGTTCTAACATACTCCAGACCTGTATTGTGGAAGCTCTTCCTAAAGTCCATTTGTGTGGAATGACTGCGCTGCTATATCCCATCGTGGGCAAAGGATACCTGCTATGAAGGGCGAACTGGCATCAAGCCTAAGTCTTCATTAAGAGCAAGGTAAGACCATTAAAATGTGTTTTTATTTCTGTATGGCCATGTATTCCACATTCGCCAGCGACTAATGAGGAAGATAAAATAAAAAGCAGCTCCCCTTCTGTGAGGTGTCCATTCAGGACATTGCAGGGCCTCATTAATGAACTAGTGCTGTAATAAAGCAGAAATATACAAATGGCAGCACTGACACCCATAAGCCCTTCCTCTGGCAGGTGCTTTACAAACAGTAAGGGAACTGACTCTCCTTTTGTTAGCAATGGACCCAAACGCATGCCATGGTTGACCAGATTCTTTGTGTATCATTAGCTTAGCTACGCTAAATAATTCCACTAAATAATTCCACTGCCTTACAAGGCTGGGCCTATTCAATGCATTAGGGTACAATTTTTCTAGTTACGAATGTCACCTTTTAAAATATGGAAAATACAAAGTTAAGAAAAACCTTGTAAATTCTTATCAACTTGCCATCACTTCTTACAGTTTAAAAAATTGGTATGGACCATTTTAATTAATGTGACATGTGTGTTTGTCCATCTCATTAAAGGTCCTTTTTGGGTTGCTATTGTTGCTGGTAGCTTTATTCTTTTATTTTAATTAAACATTTTATTTTGAGATAATTAAAGTCATGTAGTTGTAAGAAAGAATACAGAGGGATCCTGTGTATTTTAGTACACATTTACATGATGTTCTTGAAATGGCAATACTATAGAATTGCAGAACAAATTAGTGCATGCTGAAAATTAAGGAGGGGAGGGCAGGAGAAAAGTGAGTATGGCTTTAAAAGGACAACATGAGAGATCTTTGTGTGGATAGAAATATCCTATATCATGATTACATCAATTACAGTATCTTGGTTGTCATGTTGTACTAAAATTTTATAAAATGGTACTATTCCTATTTTGGATATCTATAGTGTTTTAGTTTATGTCTTTGCGTAACCTTCCTTAGTAATTTCTCTAGATGCTATATAATATATTCATAACTATCACAGTCTACTGATGTCACCATTTTACCACTTCTAGTGAATGTAAAAACATCACTTCCCTTTACCTTCCCCCATTTATAATTATCTTAAGTATTTTTCCAGCAGATGCATAGAACCACATCAAACAAATGTTCTAATTTTTGGTTCAACCCTCAAATATGGTTTAGAGTATCCCAGATAAGAAGGAGAGCATATTTATTTACCCATAGTTTTGCATATTGATTTTCCTTCCTGGCACTCCAAGATTTATTCTGTTATCATTTTCCTCTATATAAAGAACTTCTTTAAACCATTTGTTCTAGGATAGGTCTGCTGTTGACAAATTCTCTTAGATTTTCTTCATTGGAGAACGTCCTGATTTCCCTTTCATTCCTAAGGGATATTTTTACTGGATATAAAGTTCTGGGTTGACAGTTTTTTTTTTAAGCATCTGAAAAATATTGTGCCACTTCCATCTGTCCTCCATCAATTCTGGTAATGAATTTGCTATTACTTGAATAATATTTTTCCCTAGAGGTAAGGTGTTGCTTTCTGTGGCTGCTTTCAAATTTTTTGTGTGTGTTTGGTTTCCAGGAGTTTCATTAAGAAGTGTCTTGGCATGGATTTCTTGAGATTTACCCCGTTTGGCCTTCACTCAGTTTTTTGAATCTGTTTGTTTATGTCTCTTGGCAAACTTGGGAATTTTTTGGCTACCTTTTCCTTGAGTACTTTCTCAGCCCCAACCTCTTTCTCTTCTTTTTCAGGCATTTAGCTAGTTGTTTTATCCCTAATTGTTAATTACAGCTCACATTGCATGCCCAAAGAGGGAGGCTAGGGCTGGGTGGACTTTCTATGATCTTTCTGTATAAAATATTTTGCTATCACATCTCAGTCATTTCTCACTAATGTTTTTAAGGTTTATTGATAACATTGCTTATTAGTGATTTCAGATGAATTTTAGAAAGAAAATCTGACAAGTTCCTGAAAATATTTACTAAAGTTTCTAATTGTCATTGTAGAAATCGACATGATAGTATGAAAAATGGACATAATTAAAATATTTGTAATTTGAATCCTGTGACGTGATTTGTTTATCCTGTTTATGCAAGTCTAATTTTATATTGCTCAGTTTCAAGCAGTTTAACTTAAGGCTTTACGATTTTCTAGACAGGTTTTACATATTTCTTGTTAAGGTTAGTTCTAGGTATTTTCAGGGCTTTCTTTTTGTTGTTGTTGTTGGTTTGTTTGTTTGTTTGTTTGTTTTTTGAGACAGGGTCTGGCTCTGTTGTCTAGGCTGGAGGGTAGTGGCGTGATGTTGGCTCACTGCAACCTTTGCCTCCTGGGCTCAAGCCATCCTCTCGCCTCAGCCTCCCAAGTAGCTGGGACTACAGGTGCACACTACCACACCCAGATAATTTTTGTAAATTTTTTTTTTTTTTTTGGTAGAGGTGCAGTTTCACCACGTTGCCCAGGCTGGTGTCAAACTCCTGGGCTCAAGCGATCCTCGTGCCTCGGCCTCCCAAATTGCTGGGATTACAGACGTAAGCCACCACACCTACCCATATTTTCAGCTTTAATTGATATTGGGATAGGTCCTTTTCAGATAATATTTTAAAACTAGTTTTATTGTGTATATGGAAATCCTGTTGCTTTCTTATATTTATTTTACATTTAGCCATTTATTAAAATTTGTAATTAATTGCTAGTTGTTTATCAGTAGTAGTCAGTATTTTTTCAGTATGTTCCTTGTGGATTTCTTACCTCCTACCACAGATGCCCAAATTTTAGCCACAAAACAGATTCAGGCATATTCTGAAATATGCCTAATAAATAAACTTGCCCATAGTCAATAATTTTGATGAATGTTACATTTAAATTCATCATGTGCTGATTCACATTCATCGTATCGTACTAAAGGCTTTGAGAAGTCCTGCATTTAAGGGTCCAACTAGCCTTGTTTAACCCACTGTTTCTGACATGCAAGCCATACATATCAAAAACCCATGGAAAATACATAGAAACCCTACATACACTGCACTTGTAGACAAGTGTTTATAGTCTTAAAATGTAAAGAAATCTTACAAAGCAGGACCAACATGATAAATTCCCACAATAGAAAGATGGGGAACTGACAGAAGAAACCCACAGGGCCAATAAGCCATTTTCACTCAGCAAATTCACCAGGCCACAGTTATGTCCAGGGTGGCCTTTGTTTCTGATATTCCATTTCAACAGCTGCCTTGCACTGAAATTTGAATTCTTTATAACCCGGGCTGCCAAGACCACGATGGGGTGTCTTCTGCTTTGCCTCCTGCTTTGCAAAGCAGTTAGTCCCATCAATCTGATTCTCTGTCGACTTAGCAGGGATCTCTCTGCCTTTACCATCCTATTTCGTGATGCCAGCATGGTTTGATTACTTTCTGAAGGTCAAGCAAACCAAGGGGTTATTTTCCTGGTTAAAATCCCTACTGGATATGAAGATGAAAAATTTGCTGCACTCTAGATGAGTGAGAAAAATAGATATGGATTATTTTCTAGCTCCCAATGCTATGATAAAGGGTTGAAACAATTCTAGAAAGAGAAAGACACCAGCCAATAATTTTTAGTTGTTTCTTGGTTGAAAACATAAATCTCTGTGTAGGAAAACATTATGGTGCCAGTTCAGAACCCCTGGTTCTTATAAACACCCTTGCTGCTGAACAAGGTATCTATGCCTTTTCTGCTTTTCTAAAGGATAATATATCCAGAGGTATAAAAAGGTCCATGACCTTTGATCCATAATTAATTACTTAGAAAAATATTCACAGATGTCAACCACAATTTAGGTCAAGAACATTCACAACAATGTTATTTAAAACAGCAAAAACAACAAAAACCCCATGGTGCTCAATGATAGGGAAGCGTTTAACCAAGTTTTGATATAAACAGAGGTCATGTGGTTACATAGTCTAGGGGTCAGGAAACTTTCTCTAAGAGGCCAAATAGTGAATATTTTAGGCTTTGAGGGACCGACGTTCTCTCTGACAATTACTCAGTTCTGCCCTTGTGTCTCAAAAGCAGCAATAGTCAATAATATGTAAAGAAATAGGTGTGGTTGTGTTCTAATAAAATTTCCTTTAAATTTGAATTTCATAATTTTAAGGTGTTACGAATTTTTTTTTGACAGTCTCACTCCATCACCCAGGCTGTAGTGCAGTGGTGCAATCTTTGCTCACTGCAACCTCCGCCTCCCGGGTTCAAGTGATTCTCCTACCTCAGCCTCCCAAGTAGCTGGGACCACAGGCACACATCACCACACCCGGCTAATTTTTGTAATTTTAGTGGAGACGGAGTTTCGCCATGTTGGCCAGACTGGTCTCGAACAACTGGCCTCAACTGATCCACCCACCTCGGCCTCCCAAAGTGCTGGGATTACAGGCAGGAGGCATCGTGCCTCCCTGAAATATTATTTTGTATTTTTATTTTTAAAAGCTATTTCAACATGTAAAAGCCATATTTAGCTCATGGGCAGGGGGACACTGTTTGGCCATGGGCTGTGGTTTATTAATACTGGCATAGCCACTAAAATCATATTTTCAAACGCTATTTCACCTGGTAATATGCTCACAATATAATATTGAATGAAAAAAAGTAGAACCTGAAATTATTTTTAGAGTATGCCCTTATTTTAAAAGAAGAAAGGAATATAAGAAGAACTAGAAAGAAATAGCCAAAAGCATTAAAATGTTTTTCTCTCCAGGGTGGCCTCTGAATGATTTTTACTCCCTCTGTGTGCTTTTCTGTGTTTGCTAAATGCTTTACAAGGAGTATTATTTTTACAATAAGGAACGTTACTTTAAAACATACTGTTCTTTAAAAAATCATTCTCAAGCTGGTTCATTCTCCTGCTATTTTAAGTATTCATTTTCCTTATTTTGAAATTTATTTCTTCTGCCTGTCATCTGTTTCCTTCCTTCAGAGATATTTGTCATTTATTTTCAGAAATCCTTCACTCATTTCCTCACTCATTCTTTCTCTTTTCTCCACTCCCTGGAACAATCTTTGTCACGTATGACATTTTTCAAAGTTCTATTCTGAGCCAACAGGAGAAAAAATATTAAACATATTCATTATACTGAAAATGAAGGTAGAAAAGTGTGCTTTCCTTTCAAAGCCACTGATAGTAATTTTAACATCTTGGGCATCGAGCAATCCCTCAATGTTGTAACTGTGATGTTTTCAACAGAAAACTGAACCAGACTGAAGACAATTAAAAATAGGTTTATCTTTAACGTACACTGAATTCTATATAGACCATTGGGTCAAGATTCTCTCATCAGAGGCGCAGGAAGTATGGCTTTATTTTATTTTATTTTGAGACAAGATCTGCTCTGTGGCCCAGGCTGGAGTGCAGTGGTATGATCTCGGCTTACTGCAGCTTCGACCTCCCTGACTCAATCCATCCTCCCGCCTCAGCCCCTGGAGCAACTGGGACTACAGGCGTATGCCACGTCACCCAGCTGATTTTTGTATTTTTTTGGAGCGATGTGGTTTTGCCATGTTGCCCAGGCTGATTTCAAACTCCTGGCCTCAAAGCCATCCACCCTTCTCAGCCTCCCACACCTGTGCTGGGATTACAGGCATGAGCCACTGCGCCTGGCCAGGTGCAGGAAGAATGCTTTAAGTGGCTTGCCTTTTCTTGACGATATTCTCATTTGACTCATAAAGAGTGTACAAGGACTCCCCTTATATCCCAGGTATTCTCATTAATGTAATCGTTCCTCTTCTGCTGCAGATGCCCAACCGTCACCACAGCCATGAAGAGAAGGCAATGCGGCTGCTGTGCTGGGTGGCTTGCTTTTATTTCAAACCCATCAGCATCTCAATCCTGTTCTTTAAGAAAAATCCTATTAGGATTCTTTTTTTCAACATTCTGTATCTATTAATTTGCATGGCTGCTCTTCACTGAGTGTGTATTTTGCAAAGGGCACTGTTTTAAAGACTAGAAATGACAAGGTGGCAGCACTATGTGAGCAAATGAGCTATAATTAATGAAGGAAGATAGGGCTTCAAGCCAGAGAGGCAATAGTACTGTCAGCATTAAGCATTGGGGTGTGGCCATGTGTAAAGGAAATAGTCCAAGTGTTCACAAAGGGGTCAGAAAATAGTGTCAAGGAGGTTGCAAATGAGGAAGAATGCCAGGGTCCTATTCTTAGTGGAGCCAGGTAACTGCTAGATGCTTTGCACATTCCTTGTCATGAAAACCATGCGGGGTAGATGCTCTACAGAGTGTAAGTCCCTTGTCTTTTATGCCACGTGGGGAGAGATTATGAAGGAAGAGGAAATAAGACCGTACAGGAATAATGCTAATTACACAGGGCTTATACAAATCCATCCCATACCATGTGCCGTCCTAGGCACTTGACATGCCCTATCTCATTGAATCATCTAAACAATGCTATGGGGTTAGAACTGGCTCTAACCTGATCTTGAGATGAAGGAACTGGGTCCTGGAAAAAACAAACAAACAAACAAACAAACAAACACTAACTTTCTTTGATCATACAGCTAATCAGTGGTGGAACCAGTACCCAAGTCTACTATAGCTGTTCTCATCCACACACAGTAAGAATTATGTAGTCCACAACCTTAAAATATGAATCAAACACAGCTTCAATCTTATTATTCCATTAAAATGTATGTAAGTCTGATCTGCTAATGATCCTAAATCATTACCGTATGACAAGTGTGGACGGTAGTGATGCTTACTAATTTGATGCTAATTTTAAAAGGAAATATTCCACAGGTAGAAAAATCTCCACGTTAAAAATAAGGGAGAATAAGTTTAAGAAGAAAAAAGAATAAGAATGTCATTTTGTCCATGAAGTATGCCTGCCTCCAGGAAGAAACTTACCAGATTTTGAAAATTGGGACTGATTTTCGACGTGTGGCTCTGCAGAAGGTGTCTTTCCTGACTTTGGGTAGTTAATTGATAAAAAGTAATAAACAGGAATGCATGATTGCTTGAATGTAAAACTACCACCTGAGTACAGATGGGATGCATTCTGTATCTGCAAAAGTAGATTCCCATGAACCCCACCCTGAGGAATGTGAGCGGAGTGTCTGGTTTAACAAGAGCAATATCTTCACCAGCTTTTTGGCAATCTGGTAACATGTGATCCTGCCTTGCCAAAGGGCTGAGGCTTGCTTTTCACATCAACATCATATTCAGGCCATAAAACTACAGTGGGCTGAGGCTAGACAGAGCCTCCAGGGCTCAAAAGAAAAATCAAATCTTGATGCTCAACCCAGAGAATGGCTGACAGATGGGAGTGGGACAAATTCACTCCCAGTTGAGAAAAGAGGGACAGCTGAACAAATTTCAGCACTCTCCCTTCATACATACAAGTTAACTGACATGGAGGCTGTCTTGACTCTGCTCCTGAATACTTTGTAGAAAGATGGCATTGCCTTGCAGTTGGATCTGCCAACCTCCAGTAATTCACATTAAAGAAAAAAAACCTAAATAAATAATAGATCAATAAAGAAAATTCAGCAACACACAGGGAAGAAGTGGGAAGGTTCTGTCACCATGGCAATGTGCTTTTGGCCACTTCCCTCTGAATTGACAGCTAGGGTGCCATGATATCGAGGGCATGCAGACTGCTAGCGAGCACTGCTCCATGTTGCTATGGCGAATGAGAAGCGTCCACAATGCCACAGAGCTTGTTGGCAGCATCGTTGTAAACAAACACTATAAGGCCAGTACTTTTGCCAACAGAATTCATGAGAGTATGTTGCATATTCATCTCTCCTAGAGCTGGGGAACACGTCCTGAGGCAAAGGAAAAGATCAGAATAAAACCATGAAAGCAACCGAGAAAATTACCTACACACTAAAGTGCCAACATACTCAATGCCAGTGCTTCCCAACCAAGGGTGATTTTGCCTTCTGGGGGACATCGGACCATATCTGGAATCATTTTTGGTTTTCACTACTTGGGGAGAGGTGCTACTGGCATCTGGTAGGTAGAGGTCAAGGTGCTGCTAAACATCTTACAATGCACAGGACAGCTCCCTACAGCCAAAGATTATATGGTCCCAAATGTCACCAGAGTTGAAGTTGAAAAACCCTGCTCTCTGCAGAGAACCTTTCAAGAGAACCAGCTGTAAGAAGCTTGATGTTAGAATCTACTTTCTATAAATTCATGGCATAATGGATGAAGCACAAAAATCTTGACTGGGGAAAGTGTCAACAAGAAAACAAATGAAAAATAAAGGAAAATGTCGCACTTGTGTCAACTCCCACTACAGTTCCTAAAGGTGCTGAAAAATGTAATGAAGCTGATTGCACAGAAATCAGATTGATGACCCAGGAAAACAAGGGAACAGCTGACTCTTTGGGCTCCCATGAAATGACAAGATGTATGTATTTCTAAAATTTCCTTTTATAATATGGAATGCTATGTTTGTCAGAGACTGTCTAAGTAGGGAAGCTCACAGCCAAGAATCGGGCTGTCATTTCATAGGATCTGTCCTCTGATTAGCAGGGGTGAACACCTTTTGCAGGGCCAGGGACTAGTTGTGGTTTCATCTCTCCACCCAGAATCTCTGTGTGATGCTTCTTTTTGGAACCTGCCACTTGGCCAGTAATCATAGCCTACATGTGCAGCAATTTTATCACTCTGGCCGAAGGCTGTGCCACACGGCTGGATTCTGCATTTCATCATGTCTTTCTGCTTGCCTTCCGCACGTTGATGAGGCAGGTCTCTTCAACTTCGCACAGAGCGACTGTAGTGATTTGGCTGCCATCTTGCACATGATTTGTCTGATTCAGAGCCAGTTGGTTCTGAGGGCTCTGCCTTAATACAGGTGGATGGACACTACTCTAGAAATGTGTCTGTAAGTCTCCCTTTTCTGTGCTAGGATTGACTAGAAAGATGGTAGAAAATCCATGTCAGGTCTTTGTCTCATAATCACACAGCCCATCATCTAATATTACCTTGGTTGCATTAAGAATGTTTTGCAAAATGTCTGTTCTGGCGGCTAACTGAGCCAAGGATGAGCTTCTTTTCAATGCTTACTTTCACTTTTTTGTTTGTTTTGAGACAGAGTCTCGCTCTGTCACCTAGGCTGGAGTGCAGTGACGCCGTCACAGCTCACTGAAGCCTCAACCTCCTGGGCTCAAACGATCCTCCCATCTCAGTGTCCCAAGTATCAGGGACCAGAGGTGCATGCCACCATGCCCAGCTAATTAAAAAAAATTTTTGTAGAGACCGGGTATCACCTTGTTGCCCAGGCTGGTCTTGAACTCCTGGGCTCAAGTGATTCTCCTGCCTCAGCCTCCCAAAGTGCTGTGATTACAGGAATGAGCCACTGCACCCAGCCTACTTTTATTTCATTACTGCTTAACCAAGGTAGCTTGACACTGATATATTTTTTTGAAGATATTTCTCTGAGAAGTGAGTATATTGTCCCAACCATCTTTAAAATTACACAATTATTTTCCACAACAGTTCATGGGAAATGTGTCTCTCAGTGCATCCCCATAGAAAATAACTCTTAATGATCCACATCGAAACGATATCCATTTGAGGGAATTGACAGCATCTCGTGTCACTAAGACAAATCACACGTTGAAGCATTGGGTCTCACTGGAAAGTGATTATACTGAGTTGAATGCTAGTACACAGAACTTACAGAAAAGGTGGCAGCACAGACTTACTGTTCAAAACAAGATCTGCCTACCAACATTTCACGACATATTGCTTAGTGAAAACTGAAATGCATAATTTCGGCATTAAGAGACATATGTAAATCAACTTCCATTGTTTTCCTGCCCAGTGACATCTCTCTCTATTGTTCACATTCAAATGAATGTGTCTGAATTTAAGGGGCTACCATTTTCTGCATAACCTTGTTCAGACTTTTTAATTCATAAATCAAAATGAAAAATATATAGCCCATTGCATCTCTTGCAAAAACACTTATCACACTCATCGTTTCTCCTTGAGTTTTCTTCCAGGGGAAAAAAATAATTTATCTCTTGTTGATAAAATTTGACCTTATCAATATATCTAGTTCCTGATGGTTTTCCCCATCCAAGTCAGCCTTACTACTTGTTTCAACCTCCCACCCCCACACCCATGAAAACTATCTTCTTTTCCTTCCATTTTTCATCCAAAGTTTTTCATTTCAGCTTTCTTCTCCCTAGCACTATGGATTCCCTTAACCCTCATTTCTGTTTCCTCTGCCTCGTAAATTTCTTGACCCTGGCTGAAAATATGTTCACTATATTAATGGCTAGAGAACCAATTAGCTTCTCAGACTCTAACTGCTCAGTGTTTGTAGGGGTCAGGGATCATCCGGCTCTATCTACTTCCAATTTACATGAACCCAATGCCACCAGCAATCCTGCCCACAATGATCCACTTTTGTGTTCCTTGGGGTAGTAATTCTAAATCCTTATCACTTTGCTCAAGGCATTCTCACCTCCTCCGTCTTCTCTCTGCTCTGCTCTCAGGATAATCTATTCTCTACTTCGGAGGGAACATAGGATCTATGTGGTGTGAGGACACTTCGTGTTTTGCAACTCACTATACCTTGTCCGTATCCCGTGATCTACAAATCTTCCCACTTGAACTCCTTCCTTCTGATCTCATGGATGAAATGTTGTTCCTGTAGCCTAAGAGAAATATCCGTCTGCTGTTAAGATCTTATTTGTTCTCTCGTTTATTTTCTCAGTCTTTCTTGCCATGTCTTCTGAATTTTCCCCTCTGATTATATAATTATGTATATCTCATTCCAAAATAAAAACAACCAAATAAAACCACAGGAAACAAAATCATTTTTTAAAGGAATCTGTCTCTTCATCTGTTACGTATCTTCATCTAGCTACTGCTATGACCTCTACTCTTCATGGTCAGCCATCTAGAGTCATAATAATAATGTATATTTTCCCCACCTTTTAAAAATGACAACTGTATTGAAATATGAACCACATATCATTAATCCATTTAAAGTGTGCGATTCAGTGGCTTTTGTTCACAAAGTTGTGCAACCATCCCCACTATCTATTTCCAGAATATTTTCAGCATTCCCAAAAGAAGGCCTGTGCCCATTAGCATTCATTCAACCCTGTGCCCATTAACATTCATTCAACCATTTGTATGGCTGAATAGTATTCCATTGCATGTATTGACCACATTTAATTTATCCATTTATCAGTTGATGGACATTTAGGTTGTTTCACTTTTAAGCTACTATAAGTAGTGCTACTATGAACATCCATATACTTTTTTTTTGTATAGATACGTTTTCATTTCTATTGAGTATAGACCTAGGAGTGGAATTGCTAGGTCCTATGGGAACTCTATGTTTAAGCTTTTCAGGAACTACTAGACTGTTTTCTGAAACTCTTTTCCCCACCTTTTTTCCCTCCATATGCAGTCTGCTTCAACCTGTGGTCTTACTTCCTAGTTTATGGGGAATCTCTTTCTCTTGGGTTACCAGTAACCTCCATGTTGCCAAATCCACTAAGGGCTTTACAATACTTCTTTAACTTTGATCTCTGTGACTTTGACCTTCCTAATCTCTTCTCATAAAAAGCTCTGTTCCCCTTTGGTTTTCAGGACAACATTCTCATCTCCTGGGAAAGCTCTCTTTAGTCGTAACTCATTATTTTTTTTTTTGTTCCTTTAATCCCACTTGGATGCCTCTCTCGTGTTACCATCAACTTTATCTTCTCACTGAGCATACTCCTCCCAGATATTCGGTGCACAAATGACTCAAAATCTGTAACATCACCCCAGATCTCACTTCTGAGCTATAGGATGAAGTTCCCTACACAGATGCTCCATATACATTTTACCCTCAAGAAAACAGTGCTGTGCCTATCACCTCCTCTGACTCATTTCTCCATGAATGCGACCAACATCCACCCTGTTAGCTATTTTCATCCAACTGGATGAGAATAACTCTATATGATGAAAGATTGAAATATATTATTGATGAGAGCATGTTGTAAATACAAGGTATGGAGACTTCTTAAAAATTCGGGAATCACTTTATTATAGTATGAATACATTGAGAGAAGAAAACATGACTATTATTTTTTTAAATCTCTGTTTCCCTAGTACCTGGCAAGGTGTCTGAAATATAGACATTCAGTGATTGTTGGTTGAATTAATTTATGTTATATAAATGTCTATAATTTGTATATACAGTTGACTCTCATTGTTTGTGGTCATTACAGTATGTTCTATAAAGTCACCAAAAACACTGGATTAGCTGAACCATTGGCTAGGTTCTTATGAGCCCCCTGGTTATAACATTTTTGTCAGCTGATGAATATGTGACCTTGTTTTCTGTGTGTTTCTGTATAGAGACAGCTAACTTCATACATATTGTTATTCATTCACCTTGAACTCATGGCCAACAGCACTCTAACTCATGCCTGAATGAAGCTTCTCTAATACCATATTATCTCCAGAAGGGACATCAGATGTCCCTGCTTGTGCTTAGGGACACAAGACAGCACTCCAGCACTGTGATTTGGGGCCATTTTCACAGCAAAACCAACAAGAAAAAACACAAACATGCAAAAAACATGATATGAAATTGACTGCTCAAAGGACACACGTTTACAGGATGAACTGAGCCAAGAATTCACAGTGTAACCTTGTTCATTCTCAGCTGAGAATGTGTCTGTTAGGTGATTTAGATGTTTCCCCACACTGCACATGTCTGTAAATGACTGTGAACACACCCTAAGCATTGATGCTGCAGTTAGAAGTACATTTTAGTGAGTAGGCAGACAGGTAAATACAGAATCTTCATATGATGAGGATCCACTATATATAATTCATATATCTATAATATATAATGTGCTAAATTATGTATAAAGCTATAATAAATATAATATATAATATTTTATAAACTATGTTATAATATTATACAATTTCAATATCATAATTTCTAATATTTTATAATAGTCTGTGATTTTATATGTGGTATATATAATGATATAATTTATAATGTATGACATATATGAGTTATATATGTTATAGTATATAAGCAGATCTCACCAATTTACATATAATTATTTATATTGTATTAGTCTGTTCTCATGCTGCTAATAAAGGCATACCTAAGACTGGATAATTTATAAAGAAAAAGAGGTTTAATGGACTCACAGTTCCACATGGCTGGGGAGGCCTCACAATCATGGCGGGAGGCAAAGGAGGAGCAAAGGCACGTCTTACAAGGCAGCAGACAAGAGAAGTGCACAGTGAAGTTGGGGAAAAGCCTTTTATAAAACCATCAGCTCTCATGAGAACTCACTCACTATCATAAGAATAGCATGGAGGTAACCGCCCCCATGATTCAATTACCTCCTTTGGGTCCTTCCTATGACATGTGGGGATTATGGGAACTACAGTTCAAAATGAGATGTGGACCTGAAACTATAAAAATTCTAGAATATAATGTTGGAAAAACCCTTCTAGACATTGGGTTAGGCAAGGATTTTATGACCAAGAACTCAAAAGCACATGCAATAAAAACAAAGATAAATTGCTGGGACTTAATTAAATTTAAGAGCTTTTACACAACAAAAAGAACCGCCAGCAGAGTAAACAGACAACCCACAGAGTGGGAAAAAAATCTTCACAATCTATACATCTGACAAAGGATTATTATCTAGAATCTACAATGAACTCAAACAAATCAACAAGGAAAAAAACGAACAATTCCATCAAAAAGTGGGCTAAGGACAAGAATAGACAATTCTCAAAAGAAGATATACAAATGGCTGACAAACATATGAAAAAATGCTCAACATCACTAATGATCAGGGAAATGCAAATCAAAACCACAATGCGATAACACCTTACTCCTGCAAGGATGGACACAATCAAAAAAACAAAAAATAGTAGATATTGGCGTGGATGCAGTGAAAAGGGAGCACTTCCACACTGCTGGTGGGAATGTAAACTAGTACAATCACTATGGAAAACAGTGTGGAGATTCCTTAAAGAACTAAAAGTAGAACTACCATTTGATCAAGCAATCCCACTATTGGTTATCCACCCAGAGGAAAAAAAAATCATTATATGAAAAAGATACTTGCACACACATGTTTATAGCAGCACAATTTGCAATTGCAAAAATGTAGAACCAACTCAAATGCCCATCACTCAACGACTGGATAAAGAAACTGTGGTGTATGTATATGATGGAATACTACTCAGCCATAAAAAGGATTGAATTAATAGCATTTGCAGTGACCTGGATGAAATTGGAGACTATTATTCTAAGTGAAGTAACTCAGGAATGGAAAACCAAACCATATGTTCTCACTCATAAGTGGGAGTCAAGCTATAAGGATGCAAAGGCATAAGAATGACACAATCAACTTTGGGGACTCAGGGGGAAAGGATGGGAAGGGTGTGAGAGATGAAAGACCACAAATAGGGTGCAGCATATACTGCTTGGGTAATGGAGGCACCGAAATCTCACAAATCACCACTAAAGAGGTAATAAATGTCTAGGCACTTAAAAAAAAATGTGGGTGGGGACACAGCCAAACCATATCAGTTACAAATTTTGTGTATATAAATTGTATTTCTATCTATATGCATATATTTAACTAATTACACATATATATGTTTATATGTACACATCTAAGGGATAATCACATATTCCTGAGAAAATAAAATGCGTGGCTCCTGTATTAGGTGACCAACCATATGATTAAGCAACCTTGATTGCTTAATAATATCTTTTCCCTCTTCTTCCTAGTTTCTCCTTCAGTTTCTTATCTCAGTAAATGGCACCATGATCATCCAGGCAGAATCTAGGAAACATTCCTATCCTTCCCTCCTTCTTATTTCTTATATCCAAAGCATCATTGAGGGCTTCTTGACTTTGCCTTCCTGACGTCACTCTGTTCTATAAACTCCTTCCTGTACTGCCACAGCCTTAGTGCCACCTTTACTTCATTTGTATTAAGGAAAATATTCTTCAAATTGCTTTATCCTGTCTCTACAGTTTCCTAGTTATTAATAAATCCTCCACTCTGAGCACAGTGTGGCTTTTAAAAAAGGACAGCCTGGATCAGGCCACCTTTGCATAGAATATTTCAGTGGCTTTTCATGGCCCCTACCTTCAGGTGAAAGTCCACCTCTTCCATAGGACATAGAATCTGTGCAGTGAGTTGTCAGATGAAAATACAGCAATGGCCAGGTATGTGCAAAGAGTCTAACTCAGAACCTTTGGGGGTGCTGCCTCCTGGTTGATCAGAAAAAGGAGGAATGATTAAATGGATCAAGACCAAGAAGAAGCAATCGAGTGAAGTTTAGGAAACCAGGAAGAAAGTGCTGTCAGAGGCCAAAGGAGAGAGAATTTGAAGTGATATGGGGTTTAAATGCTTCCGAAGGAGGTCAGAATGAATGAGGATTTATAGTCCCCTGGGTGTAGCAGGTGGGAGGTCCCTTGGGGAAACAATTTGAGAAGAATAAAGCACCACCTGCCTGCTAGGGACTGAAGAAGAGGAATTTAGGAAATGATGAGATGAAACATAGATTATCCCACCGGGACTCCTGATGGAAGAGAGAGAACAAAGTGGCCAGGGAGGATTCAGGACAGAGAGGGGTTATAAGAAGCACAGGTGATGCTGCCTCATAATTCTGACTTCTCAAAACTGCAGTGAAGCTGCAAAAACACCAATCGTTCTTCTGCTTGAGTGCTCGGCTAAATTCCTCCTGCTGTAAAAATATCTTGCATAATTTATAGGTTTTTGCACTCAAAATATCATTCATACAAATATGAGGATTTCTGAGGTGAGAAGTGAGGAGAAATATTTACCTAAGCGTGGCCGATAATGAGTTTTATATTTCTGACGTCTCTTAAAGTGAGATGAAAGGTTGCACTTTTTATCTTGAAAAATGATCTCAAAGCTCCTTCCAAGAGATTCTCCTTACCTAATAGGATTGTGGCTACCTGCTATTTTATTTCTTTTTCTTCTCTTTTCAAAGGAAATATCTGGTATTTTTCATTGCTCAAGTACTGATGAACAGGGTGTTTACTAAATAAATTCATAGAACATAGAAATGGAAGAGGCAATTGTGAGAACTTAGTGCCAAAATGTCCCTCCATTTCCAGCTACTGTGATTTCTTTATTGAAAACCAGAGACTTTGCGAAGGGAATTGTCAAGCAAGTTACCTAAGGGAATCCATCTATAGCAATGATGAAGGGCACCAGAATTGGCATCTGATCTTCCCTTTTCCTTTCAACATATAAAGAACGTAGTATTCTTTTTGAGGTCACAATTGCAACCATCATGACACAGTTGCAATTTTCTTTTTCTTTCTTTCTTTCTTTCTTTTTTTCTTTCTTTCTTTCTTTTTTCTTTCTTTCCTTTTTTTTAGACGGATTCTCACTCTGTCACCCAGGCTGGAGTGCAGTGGCACAATCTTGGCTCACTGCAAGCTCCGCCTCCCCGGTTCACACCATTCTCCTGCCTCAGCCTCCCGAGTAGCTGGGACTACAGGCGCCCACCACCACACCCGGCTAATTTCCTTTTGTATTTTTGCTAGAGACGGGGTTTTACCGTGTTAGCCAGGATGGTCTCCATCTCCTGACCTTGTGATCTGCCCGCCTCGGCCTCCCAAAGTGCTGGGATTGGAGGTGTGAGCCACCAAGCCCGGCCGCAATTGTATTTCTGAACTAGAAATTTCCTGGATATTCTTGATAGTGTCCAGTGTTCAGAGATCATCTTTGTATATCCTTCAGGTCTTCCTGTTGAAGTAGTTACTGGGTTAATAACCAAACTGCCACTGATGGAAACAAGTGTTTTTGTGAAGCCGATAGTGCATCTTATAGTTGGAATGAAGCTCTTAAATGAGGTCTTTGGAATTTTTACTGAAACTGTTTCTTTGAGGGAAATGCAAACCCCCAGCCATTTTCAACAAAGCCTACCAGGGGTCAATGTTTCCAGCAGAAAACCCCATCTACCTGAAGTTAGCCAGTCAGCAACATACACCGAGCACCTGAAGTGAGAAAATCTTTAAGCAGTGTGCGTTTATGTAATGGTAACAGTGAACTGCCTCTTCAGGGGTTTACTCTCTTCGTTTGGGAGTAATGCACGCTCACACACACACAGACACACACACACACACAATTCATCCAAAGTCCTATTTCCAAAGGTACCAATCAACAAGCACAAATCAATGTAGTAAGAACAAAATGCTACTAGGTGCTGAATGAAAATGGCAGGGGGTGACCCAAGACTCCAGTGGGCTGCAATTGCTGAAACGATTTCAATCTGATGAAATCATTCATATAAATCTGTGAGATTTTATATATTTGAAATGCAGATCCAGCCTTTTGAACATGAACGGCTCCACACTCTGAAACAACACCTGTAATAGTTCCCTGGGTGTAGCCTTGACTGTGTCATCTCTTAATGCAAGAAGCTGCACAGCAAACGTTCAACGAGTGTGTACCATCCATCCCCTTATTGTATTCTCATCTCCCCAAATACGTTCCATTTAACTTCAGTTATTTTATACTCGACTCTTTGGTTTCTGTCATCCTCCAGTGCTGTTAGTCAATAGTCATTTCATAATCGAATCTCATGCCTTCAGGCAAAAATCATTGCTGGAAGGAAAGGGAGGAGAAAAAATTAACGCACTCCATCTCTGTGGTTCATGGGCAGATTTTAAGGGCCATTTTCACGGTCGCATGAGAGGACACCAATGCAAGAGAGGTTGTTAGTGACTCAACGTGTTCATTTCCTTCAGGTTGCAGGAGACTGATTTTTAAGTGGCTTGTTGGGAAAAATGAGATCTGTGGTTACAGAAACATCTTGTATAAATGATCATTTCCCATATCTTAGGCAAAGGCATCATGGAAACAAAATATTTAATGTGCACCTAACATTCAGCAGCAATGTGAAACTCATCCTGCCAAGATTCATTTCTGAAGTCTCCATTGCAAATCATTTAGTGTCTTCCCTGACGTAGGCATAGTTCTTTCTCTCTGGATAATTCTCCATCCACCCTGCAATTCAGCTTCAGTTACCGTCCTCTCCTATCCAGACAATTGCAGCCTAAACACAACGGCCACCTCCTTTCCCTCTTCTTCTTTCTTCAAATCAGCTCAGTCCCACCAACCACTAATCCCAGATCAATCGAACCATATACTCCCTCTGTACTATCACCAGGCACATCCAACAGTGAAAATTCATGACTTTACTGCTCTCTGAGCACCAAAATTAACTGGTGTTGTGCACAATCCCGATGCTGCTGCCTGATAAAAGTCCCTCTCCCATTTCTCACACTGGCTTTTGCCAACATACTCCAATTCGTCTCAAGTCCTCCACTTCACCCCTCACTTTCAGCACACAATCTTTCTTTCTAATGCACAGAGAAATAGACATTATCAGGAATAACCTTCGTTGGTGTTTTGCATCTCCTGCAAAATGATCTATACCTGCATTCTTTCTTCACTGCCGCCTCTGGGGTGCATAGGATCCGAGATAAGAATCTCCCTCTCTGCTCTGTAAATTCTATCTCATCCACATGATGGTCCCCATCATTCATCTCCTTTCTCTTCTTTATCGCCAACCTTTCTAAGAATGGCACATCTGCAGATGAATTAGCTCTCTGTGGTTCTCAACATACTTGCCAAATGTCATCCATCAGTATGTTTCCAATTTTAGCACATCCATTGCTGGGCAAACATTCACAAATTTGTCCACACCTACTGTCACAACTTTTTCACTTCCTACTTATTCTACTTTCAGAATTTACTACTCTTCAAAAATAGGTATCTTCAAGGTCACTCGTCAATGACCTCCTAAATGCAACCTTAATCTCTTCTTTTAGTTCATATTCTTGCATGGTCTCTGCATGTGTCAAGATTGAAAAAGTGGTGTTCGTTATTTTTTTTAAGGGATTGTCTTAATTTTTTCAAAGGAGTAGAAAGTGTTAAACTGAACCTGAGTTGTTCAAACAGCATGCTCTCCTCCTAGGATTTTTGCATTTATTTAAGCTTTGGCTGAACAGCCTGTTCAGGTCTTTGAGACATACTGAACAACGAGTCTATTCAGTGATGTTTACTACAATGCTGCCTGCACCGTATTTGAGAATTGAGTACGTTGGATCTGACTGATTTTGATGGAAGGAATGATTTCATCAACAGTAATGTGACCATGGTTCTGCAATAAGAATTTGTATTAAATCTTTATGGTTGAACATAAAAGAAGCCTGCAGGAACCCCAGCAATTATTCAGACTCTGGGCCCGAGGGCTCTGTATTTCAGAGACAACTAAAAATGGATCTGGTACAGGTGTGGTGATTTGGACTCCCTGATTCAACACACATTTGCACAGTTTCTACCAGGTCATGACCCATGAATGGCATCTTTATTCTGCAATGAAGATGACAGGGTTTATGTATGTCTGTATCCTATTACTGATGAGACCCCCAGGTGTCAAATAAACAAGTCCTGATATGGAAAGACAATTTGCTCTTATACAAAACAGAGGAGACTTATTTTTCCCCTCCAAGGTTTTTCTCTTCTTTTTTGGTGTGATGAACTGAAGGACATGTAGTAACTTAGAATGATTTTCATAGAACATCTTCACACCCATTTTTCTCTTACGTTCTCTGCTGCTAGTTCTGCAGACTTCAAGATGTGAGTCTAAAAATAAAGACGCATGAAGATTCAATCACTACTATTCTTTTATTTAAACTCTGGACAATTACTGAGAAAAAACCCCTAGGGGATAAAAAATAGATTAGAAAAATTGAATAAGAAAGTCATTATGTACAATACATCACTTGGTATATGGTGCTTTGCGATTTTGAATTTTAATAATGAGTCAGAGACTAGTTAGAATTTTTACCGAGTATTATGATCCCGTAAAATTATTCCCACTGGGGCATTTTCATAAGTACTTCAAAGATTAAACTGATATTTAAATATACCTTTCCAAAGCAATGTGGGATATTATTTCCTGTATTTCCAAAAATGATTATGTTGTCTAATTAACATTAGCCAATGATCAATATACTCATCACTAATTGGAAAATTCTCTAAAATGATATGTATAGTTAATTGGGCAGCAACAGAGGAATGTCTATCCAAATTGAAAGAATTTTTAATATTGACAAGGGTCTCATGCATATGCATATACCTGAAAAGGTCAAGATGAGTCATAGGATGGCATTGTACCTTCTGAGAATAAGGGTGAAAAACCATGGCTCGTGTGCTTCCCAGCTCATGAAATCAGGACAAATTCAAGCACAGACACTGCCCGTGTACTGAAACCAGAGGGGAAACATAATATCTTCCTTTGGGCATCAATAATTCATGTATTTATTCACTTATACCTTTACAAAAGTATGTATTGACTAGTGTACTCTACTTAAAAACGGCCAATCATGCCCGTCAAAATGGCAATTATTAAAAAGTCAAGAAACAATAGATGTTGGTGAGGTTGTGGAAAATTAGGAACACTTTTACACTCTTGGTGGGAATGTAAATTAGTTCAACCATTGTGGAAGACAGTGTGGCGATTCCTCAAAGATCTAGAACTAGAAATATCTTTGACCCAGCAATCCCATTACTAGGTATATACCCAAAGGAATGTAAATCATTCTGTTACAAAGATACATGTACATGTATGTTCATTGCAGCACTATTCACAATAACAAAGGCATGGAATCAACCCAAATGCCCATCAACGATAGACTGGGTACAGAAAATGTGGTACATATACACCATGGAATACTATATAGCCATAAAAAGAATGAGATCATGACCTTTGTGGGGACATGGATGAAGCTGGAAACCATTATCCTCAGCAAACTAACGGAGGAACAGAAAAACCAAACACCACATGTTCTCACTTATAAGTGGGAGCTGAACAATGAGAACACATGGACACAGGGAAAGGAACAACACACACTGGGGCCTGTTGGGGGATGGGGTGGGGGGAGAGAGAGAATTAGGAAACATAGCTAACGCATGCTGGGCTTAATACCTAGGTGATGGGTTGACAGGTGCAGCAAACCACCATGGCACACGTTTACTTATGTAGCAAACCTGCACGACTTCCACATGTGCCCCAGAACTAAAAATAAAAATAAAGAATGTTGTGTAAAAAAGAAAATGGCAAATCAAATATAGTGCCCAGTCTCTGGTCACTTAAGGTCTCAAAGGGGAGATAGAAAAATAAGTTTGTGGCACAAGTAAAAATAAGAGAAATTTCTCAAGGGAGGCACTGACAGAGAGTTCTTCAGGTTCACAAGCATTAACCATTGATTCTGATTTGAGAGCTGGGCTGGGTAAGGTCAGAGTTGGAGGTTATTGAACACGATGCTGTTGGAGTTGCATAGGAAGAACATATAGTCACAGGGAGGTGCTATGTGTTCTTCCAATTTAAACAGCCTATAAGATAGAGCACTTCTTGTTGAAATTTCTTTAAGCAAGAAATTTCAGTTGTTTCAATTCCTAAGCCACAGCCCCAGGGGGGCTTTGTGATCAGTGGATCTTGCCCCTCTCTATGGAAAAGTTCTGAGGAGTCAAGATTGGGTCAATGAAAGAGGACATGGGAGCCAGGGGGCAGTGACTCATGCCTGTAATTTCAGCACTTTAGGAGGCCAGAGCAGGAGGATTGCTTGAGCCCAGGAGCTTGTGACCAGCCTGTGGAACATAGCAAGATCCCATCTCTACAAAAATTAATAAAATTAGCCAGGCATGGCAGCACATGCCTGTAGTTCCAGCTACTTGGGAAGCTGAGGTGGGAAGATTGCTCATGCCCAGGAATTCCAGGCTGCAGTGAGCTATAATTGTGCCACTGTACTCCAGCCTGGGTAACAGAGCAAGACCCCATCTCTCTACAAAAACAAACAAACAAACAAACAAACAGCATGTGACATCCAGGATACTGTTGTATAACATATTTTGAAAAAAACCCACTGGCCACTTCCAGAAAAGAGGATCCTGTGTCCAATTTTCATTTAGAGGTAGTACTGGTCTTGAACAATGCATAATAATGAGTTTCTGTGGTGTGATCTTTGTTGTTTACTCCAAGCTTTCTCTTGACACCTTGATTCATTTCCATTGGGAGCAATGGTCACAGTGCAGTGGCCAAGACTACTAAACAATTTACCTCAAAGAAAGTACTGGCATGGGACTATCATGAAATGGAATCATAGATTCCTGCATGAATTCTGCAGATAGAAGACCCCATATGTGAGTTAAGAGAGTTTGTTTATTCGTGGAAGTCTCTATAATCAGCGGTGAGGAGGAAGTAAAGTATCAGTGCCAGAGAGAATTCAGTTAGTGCGCAGCTGCATGGTAGAGTTTTAATTTCACCCAAGTACAGTCACATTTGTACTTATGGCCCCATTCAACTCATCCTCTTTACAGAGTGTTGACACAGTCCTTGATACTGCCATCATGCTGCAATTTTCGAGCAGGACTATGTAAACAGGCAAAAAGCAGAGAAAAGGATATAAAAATATATGCACCAAGGATTGTCACAGTAGTTGCTGACTGGTGGCAGAAACTGGTTTTTATTTTCTTGATTCTTTTCGCCAATCTAACTCGTTGATGATATTGTCTTTTTACTATTTATTATGATGATTAATATTTCGTTTAATATTTTTCTATTGAGATCGTTTTTATTATTGTTGCTTCCATCTATCTAGGTTTTAAAATATTGCACCAATGTTATAATATGAATAATTTTGCATTGTGCATATGGCCTCAAGAGATACTATTGTATCATGCATATTGCCTGAAGAAGTAGTCTTGACTAGTGGGTCATCGCATAGCTGTTAGGGTCAGTGATGTCTTTCGCCCCCCTGGGAAATACCTGTGAGACCTCGGATAGGATTCTTATCTCCTCCCTGCCCCAGTTTTGTCAGGTGTAACACAATAGCTTTAATAGTATATTAGGGCTATAATAAATATTTAAATAAAGTAACCCATTACAGTGCCTGATCTAAGATACAGACTCAATGATTATCAGAATTATAAGAAATGTTTTACCAGGGTAATATATACACTTTCCATCATAATTTTAAATAGTTGCAAAAGGTTCCATCAAGCATACCTTCCATTGTAGCCGTAACACTTCTTCTATCTTTGAATCCATTGGGTCCAGTTTTATGCTGTTATATATTGTTCAATTATGAAGATTTTTGTGCATAAAGAATTCTGCACATTGATGATTCCATCCCTAGGCATAAAAACTCAGAAACAGAATTACCTGTAAAGCATCCAACATTTTTAACATTCTTGCTCTATCTTGCCAATTTGCTTTTTTGGAAATAATATGAAGTAGAAAACACTTTTTAGGAATGTTTTAAGGGGCACAGCAGTGTTTGTATAATTGACAAAATTGTCCTCCTTCAAACCTTGTGTGTTACTAATTCTTCCAAATAGCATGTAGACAAATACCTGACACCAAGTCTAGACCTCATTCCCCTCAAGCCATTCAATTGCTGGATGTGTGACCAACAACTTTTGACCTCCATGGGGTAGCTAAGAGATGCCACTGGGTGAGGTTCCCTAAAATGCCTTAGGATATTACATCATGAAGACACTGTGGTCGTTCCGATTACTACATAGATGTGGTCATTATAAATGACACCAAAAAATAAGGTGGGAATTATGAATTCAAGATTCTGGATCATTTTACTTCCCCTTATTATAACTTCCCTGTATGCCAAATAACAAATTGGCATTTTGGAACTTGGGGGTACTCCAGCTTTGCTGGCGCCCTGTCATGGCACACCTGGGGAAACTGTGGTTTGTGTTTGGATGATTTAAGTCACATGGCAAATGTGTGGTGGAGCTGACGTTGACAGACCTGGAAATCTGGACTCCTGGGCATCCTGTTACAGCTGCAAACTATTGCGATGCTGACCTATTGATTAACTTGCATGCTCTCATGTCCCCATGTCCATTGAATATGGCTTCAGATATAAATTCAACATATGGAACAAAGGAAATGAGATGTGAAACACAAAAGCAATGGAAAGCATGGAAGTGAAGATAAAACCAGGTTGTACGTATTAATAATCATGCAAGTCCTCATTGAGTTCTTTAGAGGGTGAAATGTGGAAGAACCCACCACCCCAAACCCTTTACATTAGCTGGTACAATCTTGGTAAATGGGAAACACTAAGTCAATGTTAGCCTGTAGCAATGGAAGCCACAGTGGCTTGTGTTGTATCCAAAACAAAATTTGGAATTTTATTCGTGATGAAACTTGTTGACTGGCTGGTGGGGCTGCCCTCAGACAACCACGTCTTATGGGAACCATGCAATAATGATAGAGACAGTCACTGCAATAAGAACAGAGCAAAGCAGGCTTGAGCTTATTTATTTTTTTAAGTTTACCTATTTTAAAACAAATACAGATTTACAAGAAGTTGCAGCATGATGTACAGGAAGCCGTTGTGTATTCTTCATCCAGTTTCCCCTACTGAAAGCATCTTGAAGGAGAATAGGGCAAGGTCAACACAGAATGGTTCCCATTTTTCCAAACAAAGAAGTCCAGCATTTTAAAAGGGGGCTTTTTATTTTCCTAATTTTTGAAAACACTATATTTGAATATATGTGACTTTGTAACCTGAGCGGAAGCTATGTATTTCACTTTCTCAAACCATGTGTTCTTAAAAATAACTGTACCTGGTTCTCTTTAATCTGACTTAAGGATAAGCAAAATTTTTTTGTGTTTGTTTTTGGTTTTTTGTTTGTTTGTTTGTTTTGAGGCAGGGTCTTGCTCTATCGCTCAGGCTGGAGTGCAGTAGCATAAGCATGGTTCACTGCAGCCTTGAACGCCTGGTCTTACACGATCCTCCCACCTCAGCCTCCTGAGTAGCTGGGACTACAGGCGTGTGCTCCACCACAACTGCCCGGCTAATTTTTATTTTTGTAGAGAGTGTCTCTAAAAAATATCTTGCCCAGGCTGGTCTAGAACTCCTAGGCTCAAGTGAGCCTCCCTCTTTGGCTTCCCAAAGTGATGGGATTACAGGTATGAGCCACCACACTCAGCCCAAAGATTTTTTTACAAAGGGCCAGATAGCAAATGTTTTGGCTTTGTGAACCACACAGTCTCTGCCATAAATAGGCAACTCTGCCATTGTACAGCAAAAGCAGCCACAGACAATACCTGAATAAATTAATGTGACTGTTCCAATAAAACTGTATTCATAAAAACAGGCAGTGGGCCAGATTTGGCCTGTGGGCAGTGATTTGGGGACCTTGGCCTAAATCAACCCACTCAATGTCTGAATCCAGAAAAGGGTTTTGAGAGTTAATTCAGTAAATCCAGTTATATCATTTCCCTGTTATTTATCCAGAATCCTCCAACTATACACATTAAAAAAGAGGGAAGGCCGGGCCTGGTGGCTCACATCCCAGCACTTTGAGAGTCCGAGGCGGGCAGATCACTTGAGGTCAGGAGTTCAAGAGCAGCCTGGCCAGTATGGTGAAACCCTGTCTCTACAAAAGTAGCAAATTAGCCAGGCGTGGTGCCATGTGCCTGTAATCCCAGCTACTCGGGAGGCTGAGGCATGAGAGTAGCTTGAACCTGGGAGATGGAGGTTACAGTGAACCGAGATTGCACCACTGCACTCCAGCCTGGGCGACAGAGTGAGACTCCATCAAAGAAAGAAAGAAAGAAAGAAAAAGAAAGAAAGAAAGAAAGAAAGAGAGAGAGAGAGAGAGAGAGAGATTTAAAAAGAGAGAAATCTTTATACAAGCATGTAGTATTCTACTTTGAGGAGAAAAAATGGCATAAAAATGAGTTGATATTAGGAATTTACTTGTATGTAACTTTCCAGGATGTATCATGAAATCAGTCAATCAACTTATCTACCTACCTATACCTATCTACCTCCCTCCCTCCCTATCTACCTACCTACCTATGTATACCTATGTATCTCTCTACATATGTCTATATCTGTTTTTACCTATCTATTCATCCACCATCTATCTCTATATATCCCTCTATATATCTATATCTATCTTATCTATGTATATTCATGTGTGCCTATGTATGTCTATATGTATAAATGTGTGTATATATGTATATATGCATATACAGACACATCAGTTTCGATTAAATTCACATACAAAGATATATTGAATTCCTATTGACTTCCTATAGATGCATTCATTTACATATGCAACAGTTG
The DNA here is from genome assembly GCF_000001405.40 of Homo sapiens. Classification (NCBI taxonomy): domain Eukaryota; kingdom Metazoa; phylum Chordata; class Mammalia; order Primates; family Hominidae; genus Homo; species Homo sapiens. The sequence goes on along the minus strand of NC_000023.11, from coordinate 6,741,343 downwards.
CCATATGTATGCATGTGTGAATCCATTGTGGGAATGTAAACTAACACGTTTGAAGTCACATAGATAATTCTCAAAAACTGTGTTGGAATTTGTCAATTTTCCACTGGCTTAGAGCTGCAGAGGAAAACTAAGACTTGGAGGTACAAACAATTTCAGTCTCTGCCGAGTTTTTTTTTTTTTTTTGGAGATGGAGTCTTAACTCTGTCGCCCAGGCTAGAGTGCAGTGGTGCGATCTTGGCTCACTGCAACATCTACCTCCCAGGTTCAAGCAATTCTGCTGCCTCAGCCTCCAGAGTAACTGAGATTACAGGTGTGCCCCACCACGCCCGGGTAGTTTTTGTATTATTAGTAGAGATGGGGTTTCACCATGTTGGCCAGGTTGGTCTCGAACTCCTGACGTCAGGTGATCTGCCCACCTCAGCCTCCCAAACTGCTGGGATTACAGGCGTGAGCCACCGCACCTGGCCTCTGCCAAGTTTTTAAATTAAAATGGCAATTATTCTATCAAGTGCATGTAAGTTTATTGTATTAGAACTCGTTGATAAGATGTCGTGAAAGTGTGGGATGAGGAGCACGAGAGGGTGTATCATTATCAGCCCTCTTGGTATTACTGACATGACATTTCAATGAATGCACTCACTTGGGCTCAACATGTGGCCTCTGGGCCTTCTCAGGGATCTCTGCAGTGGGTTCCAATTATTAATAAGGCTATTATTTAAATTTAATGTATGATCTTATGTTGGAAAAGGAAAAAGTGATTACAATACTGACAGGCACGCAAAAACAGATTCTTTAAATTTGCAAAAACCTTACTCTTAGGGACATCTCTAATGGTCCTTGAGCTTTATAAAATCTGATAAAAATAAATTTAATATTGAAGTGAAAAATCTGGAATAATTCAGAAACAACTCTATAAAATAGGTATCCTTAATTGTTAAAAATATAATCTTTTGTCTCCCTAGTTAAAGGTCCAACCATGTGTACAAAGAAGTGTCTATTCCATGACAACAGATTTTTGATCAATTATTTTCCCAATGGGAGAATGCTAATTACCAAGTTATCCTTTGGGAAAATACCAAATACCAAATAAAATACCAGATAAATAAAATAAAATAACAAACACCAGTGCTGCATTTCACAAAAATTATTACTTGGAAAACCAATTCCATGGAATGCAGGGTGACCACCCACCCCACAATACGGAAAGTTGCCAGGATATAGGACTTTCACTCCTGAAATTGTGACAGTATTGGGCAAACCAGGATGAGTTGATCACCCTAAAGGAATAGGGAATAGTAAAAATTACCCTGCTAAAGGTGTCTATGATCAAACATGACAGAGACATTCTGCGATAAATAAAATTTGACCATTGTCTTTACTGTAACCATTCACAAAATCTTAGTAGGCTAATAAATAAATGAGAAGAGCATCAGTTGGGCACTGCCTATTCCCAGGTTCTAGAAACTAAAATACTACTCCAAAAATAGCCAGGTATTAAATTTTAGCTCAGGTTCCATCCCTCTTGGAACATGAAGACAAGCTCAAAGTTTTACAGTAAAACTCCCTTGAAGATCAACAGATGAAGGAGGAAATATTTGGAGAAGAGAGGGAATATTTGTGCCTCTATCTAAATCACATAGTGGAAATTATTTGTAAGTTCATTCATTTTTTCTTTATCCTACTGTTCTCTTTCTAGGGCTTCTCAGCCTTGACACTATTGACATCAGGGGCTGGACCATTATTGTGGAGGGCAGTCCTATACTTTGTAGGATGTTAAGTGGCATCTCTGGCCTCTGCCCAACAAATGCTAGCAGCACCCCCGACACACACACTCTGCCATTTCCAGTTGCGACAACCAAAAATGTCCTCAGACATGGCCAAATGTCCCTGGAGAGGAGCAATGTTACTCCGAATTGATAACCTATTTGAGCCAGTCTGAAAAATAAGGTCCCACAAACAGAGAAGCAAGCTCAGGAAGCGGTTACTCAGAAAAGCAAACCCCTTTCAGGAAATTGTCCTTGATGGCTTCTAGGTCACTGCAGCTTCCTAAGGGATGCCATGTGACTGTTGAGAGTGGAAGTGTTCCTATCATCCATGTGCACGATTTCAGCAAAAAGCAGGCCCTTCCGTGAACCATTTTCGAAACCTTGAAGAAACAGACATTGGTGTTCAACCGCAACACCTGGCGTGTGAATGTGGCTCTATCAGATGATTAACTTAGCTCTCACAAACACAATTCAGGAAGGAAAAGAACATGCAAATAGTTGTTCTCATCACTCTCAAAAACTGCTAATTGTCCCCCTCACTAGCTACTAGAGGCACTCAGGGCTGCAGGAAATGGTGACTCAACGCAGGTGTTTGTACTCTATCTCTCTCTTCCTCTATTTCTTTGCTGTCTTCCCATGCGACCTTCAATTTGTCAATTAAATTCAAAAGCACCGAAAAAAAGAGGAAAGGCATTTAAAAATGTCTGGCAATGATTAATGAACCCATCAATGCAGTAATCAAATTCCCTGGGTTTGAGGCAGGTTTTCTCATTCTCAACTTTGACATTTGAGGGTTTGGGGTAGGTTTTCTCAACTTTGACATTTGAGGGTGAAGTCATTCTCTGTGGTAGGGGCTGTGCTGTGCATTGTCGGGTACTGAGTAACATCCCTGGTCTCTACCCAACAGATGCTAACTGGGTTATTGCAACCCAAAATGTCTCCAGACATGGCCAAATGTCCCTAGGGAAAGAATAATCCCTGTAGAGTATCACTAGTTTATGGGATAAAGATGAAGAGAAAATGGACAGTTGCTCAAAACATTTAGGAAAAATCTAAGGGTAACTTTCAAAAATACATATGCCTGGATTCCACGCTTGGAGACTTAGAAGTCATTGGTGTGGGATTCAGCTGGGGTACAGGATTCTTTAAGCCTCCCCAGGTGGTTCTAAGGTGCAGACAGAGTTGGGAACTACTCATCTAGAAAAGAAGACAATAATGACCAGAGTTCCAATAAAGCTTCACAACACTTCTCAGAAATCGACACGCATGGCACCAACAGATTCCATTACATTGTTGCCCATCATCCATGATGGTTTTGTAAGCTGTAGAATTGTCCTCAGTTCTAGAAACTGTGTGTGTTTCTGAGTGTCTAAGAACTCTTGTACATGGACTAAATTAGATGATGTGGACTGGGGGACCAACCACACCCCCTGGGATATGAGAAACCAAGAGTTGCATCAAGCACTGCCTGCACCTGCATCTGCTAGCATTGTCCAAGGTTTTCTAGGGTGCCATGATGGCATCTTCATCTACTCCTTTTTTTTCATATCCAGTTCATTAAGTCCTGCCTGTTGAACTTTAAAAACATATCCAGAATATGACCTCTTCTCATTAATCTCATCATGACCTTCTAGAAACTGCTACCATTGGGTCTTTCAGGATAATAGTAATACTATTTGTATTTTTTGCTTCAGTGCTCGCATCGACAGCACAAAGCCCTCAAGGTTATTCTAAACCCAGTTGATGGAGTAATCCTTTTAAAATAGGAGACAAAGTTGTGCCAACCTCCCAACCTGGAAACAGGAAATGGGGTGGGTGGTGCTGCTGGCATTTTTGGGCAGAGACCAGGGATACTTCTCAATATCCTACGATACCCCTCTCCTGCATCCTAAAATTTGAGAACCTTGCAGTGACATGCAAAGATGGGTCCCCGCCATCACTTCTGTGGCCCCACCTCCTACTACTCTCCCTCCCTCCCTCCCTCATCCATGGCCACTCTGGGTGCCTAGGGCATTCCAGGAATGCTCCTCCTTCAGGGTCCTAATACCTGCTGCTCACTCTCACTGCAAAGCTCTCCCAGAGTTATTACCAGGTTCTAGAAACAATCCCCTCCCCTCCCTTCTTGAGGTCTTTGCTCAAACGTTGCCTTCTCAGAGCAGTCTTCTCTCACCACTTTATCTAAATTGCAACTCCCTACCCCAAGCACTAGCTACTCCCCTCTAATGTTCTTCATAATATTTCTTGCCAACTGTATTTGCTTTCTCGGGCTGCTTTAGCAAATCAGCACAAACTGCATGGTTTAAAACCAACAGAAATGTATTTCTTCATAGGTCTGGAGGCCAGAGTCTGAAATCAAGAACAGATGAGCTGCCTTCGAAGCCTCTAGGGGAGGATCCTTCCTTATCTCGTGCAGCTTTTGGTGGTAGCTGGCCTTCCTTTGCTTGAATCTAAATCTTCCTTTAGCCTGAATCCCATCTTGAAGATCAGCACAGCACACAGATCTTTTTTCTCTACATTGTCTCGTCCTCTGTGTGTGACAGATGTCTCTCTGCCTCCTCTTTTTTAAAAAAACTGTTATTTTAGGTTCAGGGTTACAGGTGCAGGTATGTTTAGGAAAATTGTGAGTTTCAGGTGTTTTGTATACAGATTATTTCATCATGCAAGTAATCAGCATAGTACCTGATAAGTGGTTTTTGAATCTTCACCCTCCTCCCACTGTCCACCCTCAAGTAGGCCCCAGTGTCTATTTCTCCTTTTTTTTGTGTCTATCTGTCCTCAATGTTTAGCTCCACTTATAACTGAGAATGTACAGTTATTGGTTTTCTGTTCCTGTGTTACTTCACTTAGGATCATGGCCTCCAGCTCCATCCATGTTGGTGCAATGGACATGATCTCATCCTTTTTTATGGACGCATAGTATTCCAGGGTGCATATGAACCATGCTTTCTTTATCCAGTCTACCAGTGATGGATATGTAGGTTGATTCCATGTCTTTGCTATTGTGAACTGCGCTGCAATGAACATATGTGTGCATATGTCTTTATGGTAGAATGATTTATTTTCTTTGGCTATATGTGCAATAATATCTGCTTTCTTCTTGTAAGGATACACATGATTATATTAGGGCCCACCTGGATAATTCCATTACCTCAAAATCCATAATTGCATTTTTCATATAAAGTATGAAAGAGCCTGTTTCATATAAAGTAACCTTTCCTGGTTCCAGGTATTAGGACCTGATATCTTTGGGGATAGGAGGGCATTATTCAGTCTACTAGACCACTTATTTATTTTTCATATTGATTGTTCATTGTATCTTCCCTCAGTATAATACAAAATTCACTGAGGATACGAGTTTAAATTTTTTCTTATTCTTTCACTATATTTCTCATCTAGAATATACTAGAAGCTCAATAAAGTTTTCAATGTTTTTTTTTCTTGAATGAAGGAATGAACATTTACAAATGAAGTGTGTCGTTATTGGTTTAGAAATACCTTAATGGAGTAGATTTTTTTTCCTTTTCTTGCTTCTTTTTTTTTTTTTTGAGACAAAGTCTTGATCAGTTGCTTCAGTGCAGTGGCATGATCATGGCTTACTGCAGCCTCAATCTCCCAGGCTCAAGTCATTCTCCCACCTCAACACCCTGAGTATCTGGGAAAACAGGTGCATGCCACCCTGCCCAACTAATTTTTTTTTTTAATTTTTAGTAGAGATGAGGTCCTACTATGTTGCCGAGGCTGGTCTCAAATTCCTAAGCTCAAGCAATCCTCCCTATTTGGCCTCCCTATTTGGAAAGCTGTACACATCAAGTGTGTAAATGGAGTGTGAACAACACTATTGTAAAAGTATAAAGCAGTGCATGGAACAGATTAAAAGATTAATTCAAGAGAGGGATGAATTACTACAAGGTGGAGGGGAGTGAAGGTTGGTTGCAAAAGTATACACAGGAGACTGCAGTTGTTAGTAATATTTTATTTCTTCACTTAAGTGGGTAGATCATTATGTGAAACATTGTAGCTTCTATGTCTGAATTTATTTCTATGTGATACTTATGTAAAATAAGTAAATACACAAAGAGAGAAAGGTATGCAAAAATAAGTATATTTTGTTTCTATGGAGGTTTTATCTTTTCTGCTTTCCTCAGCATTTTTAATGACCTCATAACATTTTTTTTTTTATGTTGAGGCAAAACGTTTTCCTTCACTTTGCAGTGTCCGAGGTGGTTGGTCACTGAAAACATCTGGAGAAGAGGGCAGTGTGGACAGATCTGTGTCCCAAGTGTAGATGGTCTCAGCCCAACACTACCTGAACCATGGAAACATATTTTTATCTCTTTAACAGAATGCAATCTTAACTTGGTTAAAAAGAAACCAGCCTGCCCTGAGTAAAACTGGGCCTCTGAGAACCATGAAGTGTTGTGAGGAGTACAGGAAAAGTTCATGATATGCACCAGCTTCCTGAATATCACTGGCTCACATAGCAAAGTCATTGATAAGCAAGAGGTTAAATGAATTATTTTGATGTAGAACAGATTGTGGTTGGGAGCACTTGAATACTATGTAACCAGTCGGATCCAGCAGGCATTCTGTATTAATATGATTCATTCATTTGTAAATTGCTTGCAATGCATATTCCAGCTTTGTATTGATAAACCGCAAGCATCAGGCCTCCTATACGTAATTTGTCTGTGCACCTGATTCTCGTAAATCCAAGAGAAGCCCCCAAACACATGGCCTTTGCTAGCACTCCACTGCTGCAAAATCTAAGGCAACATTCTTTAATTTTTGTTTAATTATTATTATTATTAGAGACAGGGTCTCACTGTGTAGCCCAGGATGGTCTCACTGTGTAGCAGGGTGTGACCATGGCTCACTGCAGCTTCAAAATTCTAGGCTCAAGCAATCCTCCCACCTCAGCCTGCTGAGTAGCTGGGACTACAGGCGCACACCACTAATTTTTTTCATTTTGTAGAAATAGGGTCTTGCTACATTGCCCAGACTCATCTTCAACTCCTGGGCTCAAGCGATCCTTCCTCCTCGGCCTCCCAAAGCACTGGGATTACAGGCGTGAGCCAGCCCACCGGGCCTAATAATATTTTTAATAGACAAATCATAATTGTATATGTTTATGAGGCACAATGTGATGTTTTGCTGTATGTATGCATTGTAGAATGATTAAACTATTAACATATCCATCATCTCATTTACTTATCATTTTTGGTGATAAGACGTTTGAAATTTAATCTCTTACCTATTTTGAAATATGCAATAAATTTTTATTAACTATAGTCACCTTGCTGCATAAGAGATCTTAAAAACTTATTCCTCCTGTCTAGCTGAAACTTCATACCCTTTGGATAACACCTCCCTGTTTCTTCCCTCCACTACTCAACAAGGCAACATTCTTGAAATGAGATTTTTTTGTTGAGCTTTGCAAAGGTGGAAGCAGTCTGGATCCCTGTCAAGGCGGAAACAGCTGTCCCAGAAACGATCTTTGCTTGGCCAGGCGTGGTGGCTCATGCCTGTAATCCCAACACTTTGGGAGGCCAAGGTGGGCAGATCATTTGAGGTCAGGAGTTCGAGACCAGACTGACCAATATGGTGAAACCCTGTCTCTAGTAAAAATATGAAAATTAGCTGGGCATGGTGGCAGGCACCTGTAATTCCAGCTACTCCAGAGGCTGAGGCAGGAGAATCACTTGAATCCGGGAGGTGGAGGCTGCAGTGAGTCGAGATCCTGTCACTGCACTCCAGCCTGGGCAACAGAGCGAGATTCCATCTCAAAAAAAAAAAAAAAAAAAAAAAAAGGCTTTGCTTTAGGGCAGCTCCGAGTTTAAACTGTGGATCCCGCTTCTCATCATGAATTTGGCCCAATCTCTCACCTTTCTAAATCTCAGTGTGTTCCAATCAGATCCGCAGCCAAACCTTTCCTTCACCCTTCTGGTCTGAGCCGCTATGGACCATCTCTCTCTGGATTCCTGCAGAAGCCTCCCCCATACCAAATACCCTCAGCACAGCAGCCGAAGGGAGCCTTTGACTGGGAAACCCTGTTCATCTGATGATGTCAGCCCTTGACTCAAAACGCTGCAGTGGCTACCATTTCTCTAGAGTCAAGGCCAGAGTCCCCATGAGGTTCTGAGGCGCCGCCCCCATCAGGCCTCCTCCACCTCTACTTCACCCCTGTGACTTTATTTCCTCCTGCCGATGCCCCTAGCTCCTCCTTCCCATTCCTGGAAGGAGTCAGATCCCCCTGGATTGGCTGCTCTGGTCTGGTCTTCACCGGGACGAAGCGTGCCTCTCCCGAGCAGACTGGCTGGCTCCCTCCTCTGCCTCAAGTCTTGCTCCTTTCCCCCATACCGTCTCCCTTAAAAGCCTTACTTAATCCCGTCACCTGGTGTCCACTCCCCATACCCAGCATTCCTGTTCCTTTTCCCTGTAGAAGACAAGGCTTCAAGCGTAAGTGGATGAGCTCCATGCAAAGGCTGGAGTCAGCACAGGCCCAGTGGCTCAATCCATGCCCCTTCTCATCACCCTGCAGTCTTTTACCTGGTGTTGGCTCCACATGCCACCTTTGCGCGTGCAATTTGAGAGACCGTTCCTGAATGCACCATTGCTCCTTTGAAATGTTTATTTATGGTCCGTGCGGGCCGCTGACATTAGCATCCTTTCCTGGCTGTGGACCACTAATGTATCTTTAAAGTTAACCTACAGTGCAGGAAAGAAAAATGGTACTCAGTGGTTAGACTGGTTTCATAAAAAATATATGAAAATTAAGTGGAAGAAATTTATCAGAGACCTCAGATTACATACAACTTTATTAATTCATTTATCCAGTTATAGTCTCAACCATCTTATTTACAGTTACTCCCTCACTGATTTCTCTCCTCTCCTTTTCTTTTCCTTCCTTCCTCCCTTACTTTTACCTTCCTTCCTCCCCTCCTTCCTCTCTTCCTCCCTCCCTCCCTCCTTCCCTTCCCTTCTCCTTCCTCCCTCCCTCCCTCTCTCCCTCCCTACCTCCCTCCCTCTTTCTCTCTCTTTCTTTCACTTACCTCACGTGTGCCTCTAATTTAAGCTAAAAAGAAAATATAAATTAATGAGTTTTTACTTTGTTCAAAAGCTTTTAGTGAGATTTTACATTTTAATAAAGAATGTGTGTGTGTGTGTATGAGAGTATGCACATATAAGCCCACACAAGTTTGTCAGGGAAAACAGTGGTTTTCCTGTGGTTGATAAAGGAAAACAGTTCTAAACCTACAGACAAATGAGGCCTCCTCAGTGAGCCAACCCCAGGACACGAAAATGCAAAGCAGAGAGGGCAAATCTATCTTTGGGAGCCCAGAATAATAATTTTTAAGCTGACAGCATTCTGAAAGGTGCCTTTCATCTAATGATGCAAAATACTGGGGAGGAGAGATGCCTGGAACAGCCTCCTACAATTTCCCCCAAAAATTACTATCATAAACTGAACTGTTGAGAAAGTGATTTTTAAATAAAAGAATATAAAGGGATCAAACTATTCCCATCCTGCTCTCCAGAAATAACTTTTGACAATTAGTTGTGTATCTCTTCATAAGTGTTCTGGGCTTTGCATATATGTATTTATATATGAAATATGATGGAGTACAAATGGGACCTGTCTACAGTCGTTATATTGTAACTTCTCCTGCATTTAACATTATCTATTGGCATTTTAAATTATCATCACACTGAAATGTACAGGAACTCAGTATGAAGTACCGGAGGTTTTAATGGCCTTCCTTCCTTCCTTCCTTCCGCCGTCCCTTCCCTCCTTCCCTTTTCCCTCCCTCCCTCCCTCCCTCCCTCCCTTCCTTCCTTCCCTCCTTCTTTTCTTCTTTCCTTTGGTGGACATTGACTTCGTTTCCAGCTTCTGCTACTAGAAACAAAAACGCTGTGAAATATAATTATATGAACCTGTTTGTACATTTGGTTGAGTGTAGCTGTAGCTTATTTTGCAGGTTATACTATGAAAATGACATTGTTATTTGAAAGGGCATATACATTTTGAATGTTGAACAGGAACAGCCAAGAACCATATTTTCAAGGGTATTTGAAATGTGTTAATCTTTGCTAATGGGATGAGTGACAATGGGTATCCCATTATTTTAGTTGGTTTTTCACCAGTTTTTAGTCCACTGAGATTTTGTTAAGACTCAGACAGCTCGTAGCTTAAGACTGTATCCCCTGGGCTGGATGCAGTGGCTCATGACTGTAATCCCAGTGCTTTGGGAGGCTGTGGTGAGAGGATTGTTTGAGGCCAGTAGGTCAAGATCAGCCTGAGCAACATAGCAAGACCTTGTCTCTACAAAAAGTTAAAAGAAATTAGCTGGGTATGGTGGCACACACCTGCATTCTCAACTACTCAGGGGGCTGAGACAGGAGGATAGCTTGAGCCCAGGAAGTTCAAGGCTGCAGTGAAATATGATAGCACCACTGCACTCTGGCCTGGGCAACAGTGTGAGACCCTGTGTCTAAAAAAAATAAAATAAAATAAAAATAAAAAGACTACATCCCTTGGCAAGGGTTTGGACTATAGATGTTCTACAGTTGAGTAAGCCATGGCTTTAGAAACCAAGTGAGTTGGTACCCTGATATATTGATGTTCTCTATTGGAAATTAAAGATCCAACGTCAGCTCTCAAATCCCACTAGCTGCCAGATGTTTCTGTTCAAGTCTTGAGTCTTGAACTTCACAGTTCTTTGTGATGTGCTTTGTGAGTTTCTTTTCAGGTCTGTCACTTGGTGCCTCACTTCTAGCACTGTGGGCTCCAAGAATAGTGAACTTAGGTCTCTACTCAAGTCTTCAGCTCTTAGCATGGGTGGTTTCTTAGTTGGCAATAATTTACCTTTATGTTGGATAACTCTTACTTATTCAACAAGATTCAGCAGAAAGGTCACCCCCTCAGCCAGACCTTCTCTGAACACCCAGCAGCGATATTCTTTGCTATTTCTATTCATAACCTCATACTGTAACCTTTGTTCTATTGACTTGTGGGTCTCGCTCCTAGACCAAAGGTTTCCCATGAGGGAGTGTGCTTCTCAGAAGCACACAAAACCAACTAAAAGAGGATGGGAAGACAGGATTGGAACTCAATTTGTTTTTCCCATCATTTAGTGATTCCCAGTTTTGTGATTGTGTAATGGCTAAGAACACACATCTTGTGTGAAAATCCATGCTCCACTCCTCCCTTGAGTGTAGGCTGTGCTTCGAGACTTATTTCCAAGGAGTACAATGTGCAAAGGAGAGGAAGAAGTCATTTTACAGTGGATAAACCTGACAGTCATGGCCTCAGCCAGGCGATCATGTCAGCATCATCAGTGGGAGGTCAGGGATTCTCTGGAGTGGGTGCTTCCAGACCTCACCAAATTGTCCTATTGGTTTGAGCCATAAAGTTACCTCAAACTGTTACCAAGCACCAACAGGAGATTTGTCAAAGGTCAGGGGCACCTCCACTCATGTTGGGAATAACACTCAAAACCCTAAGGAAATTGAACACTGAAACAAAGGAGTCTTAGCAAAGCAATTTTACTTCTGCGCAGAGGGTGCTTCTCCTTGGCCAGTCACCATGAGAGCACACCTGAACTAAGGGGCATGAAAGCCTTTATTCCTGATGCAAGTCCTGCCCCGGTATCCTTTTCCCATTGGCTGGGGTCGGGTGGCACAATTTGGACTAATCCGGGTTGGCTAAACATTTGAACTTTCTTTAGATAAGGTGGGCACGTAAGAGAGAGAGGGTAAAAGGGGAAGGGCTGTCTGCAATGAGCTAGAGAGCTAGTCTTGCTTCCAAATAAGGAAAGGAATGTGAGCTGGTACTGATAAGCCTGGTACTGTGGCGTGTCCGGGCGTGTAACGAAGGCAGAAAGGAAAAAAGAGAAAAAGGAAAAAGGAGTGTGTGTGTATGTGTGGGGAGGTACTATGAATTAAAGAATAAAGGATTGATCAGGCTATTTGAAGAGAAACCTCATCATATCCCACAACTCAGAATCCCTCCATGGTTACAAAAATGTGAACCCCGGATATTTGAGACAGGTCTGAGTTAATTTAGAAAGTTTATTTTGTCAATGTTGAGGACACGTGTCCGTGACACAGCCTCAGGAGGTCCTGACAACATGTGCCCAAGGTGGTCAGAGCACAGCTTGGTTTTATACACTTTAGGGAGACATGAGACATCAGTCAACGTATGTAAGATGAACATTGGTTTGGTCCGGAAAGACGGGACAACTCAAAGTGGGGACAGGGCTCCCAGGTCATGGGTAGATAAGAGACAAATGGCTGCATTCTGTTGGGTTTCTGATGAGCCTCTCCAAAGGAGGCAATCAGATATGCATTTATCTCAGTGAGCAGAGGGGTGACTTTGAACAGAATGGGAGGCAGTTTGGCCCTAAGCAGTTCCCAGCTGGACTTTTCCCTTTAGCGTAGTCATTTTAAGGGCCCAAGATATTTTCCTTCACATAAGTCGTGTTGAGAGTTGTACCCTTAATGTGATGTGAGGAACACGGCACTTTGCCTCTGTGATCTTCCTCCCCCAAACACCTAACCTTAGTCTAATCATGAGAAAGGCGCCAGACAAGCCCAAATTGCAGGGCATTCTAAAAAATACCTAAGCAGTTCTTCTCAGAACCATCATGGTCATAAAAAGCAAGGAAATTCTGAGAAACTGTCACAGCCAGAGGAGTCCAAGGAGACTTGATGACTCACTGCAGCGTGGTATCCTGGGTGCGATCCTGGAATAAAAAAGGGACATCAGGGAAAATCCAAGGACATTGGAATAATGTCTGGAGTTTACTAAAAGTAATGGGTGACTTCGTTGCAACAAATGTGCCATGGCAGTCCAAGATGCTAACGGAGGGAAAGGGATGTGGGGTAACCAAGAGCTCTCTTTAATAGCCTTTTCAATATTTTGTGAACATAAAAGTATTCCAGAATTAAAAGTTTAAGCCTGTATCTCACTGCCTACGTGACTTTCGGCAAGTCACATAATCCCTTTGTGCCCTGGTTTTCTCATCTGCAAAATGGGGATAGTATTAACATCATAAAGGGCTTAGAACAGTTTCGGGAAAATTGTCCAATAACATAAAGTAAATAAGCATAAGCATGTTGCTGTAAATAAGCATAAACATGATGTGATTGCTTCCTATGTTAGGATTGTGCAATTCTAATGTCTAACAGTGTGCGTGTGTGTGTGTGTGCATGTATGTGTGTGTGTGTTATGTTTCTCTATGTTGCCGAGGCTGGACTCAAACACCTGGCCTCAAGTGATCCTCCTGCCTCGGCCTCCCAAAGTGCTGGAACTACAGACTTGAGCCACCTGGTGGGAGATAATTGAATCATGGGGGGCGGTTTCCTCCATGTTGTTCTTGTGGTAGTGAATAAGTCTCATGAGAGCTGATGGTTTTATAAGGGGAAACCCCTTTTCCTTGGTTCTCATTCTCTCTTGTCTGCCACCATGTAACACATGCCTTTTGCCTTCTGCCATGATTGTGAGGCCTCCCCAGCCAGGTGGAACTGTGAGTCCATTAAACCTCTTTTTCTTTATAAATTCCCCAGTCTCAGGTATGTCTTTATTAGCAGCATGAAAATGGACTAATACAGCAAATAAACCTCCTAATAAATAAACCTCCTAATAAACCTCAACCTCCTGATTGAGACTTGGCTCAGTCATTTTCTTTGATTTGCAGGCATTCAGTCTCAGGTTTCACAGTGACATCGATAGCTTGAATCTGTTTGTTCAGCTGAAGACCACCTGTGTCATCCTGTGCCACCTGTGCTGTTGCACCACCTCTCTGAGGGTGCCTAGCTCTGGGAAGCAGGTAGCCCCCCATAATTCTACAGCTGGTGTGCATGCTGGGATGACAGCCACACCCACTGGCCACAGGGATATAAAAATAGGTTGGCCATCTGACTAAGACAGCTGGTTTTAAAATTATTTCTTCTCCACCTACGACCATGTTCCTCCTTCTCAAATATGATTGGTCGACTCATTAAGCCACCTGGATCCAACAAGACAGGAGTGCACACCCAGTAGTAAAAAGTGCTGAGGAATAAATTCTCCAAAATTCTTCGAAGGGGAAATTTGCCTTCTTTGAAGTCAAGATCCTTAACAACATGTTAGATTTCTTCCATGGTAATTGGTCTTTTTAGTTAGTCTAAATTTTCTTAATTTATAAATTTATATTTTAAGCATGGATTTTATACAGATTTTAAAACTTAATAGGATAGTGTTCTATTAAGTACTTCTAAGATTCTGTCATGTCATCCTTATCTATATAATTATAGCCCATTTATCAATTCTATTGTTTTCTACTTTAGCAATCTCTCTTTCTCTCCATCTCTATTTTTATCTTTTTTTCCTCTTGAACATTTTTAAGAGGGAGTCACAGATTTATACCTGAATCTGTTTATCAGTTTTATGATTTTTTCATTTTGTCATCCATTAAATTTTACCTGTGTGTTAGCATTATTTCTTCTTCTTTCCCAAGAAAAAATTTTCAAATATATATACCTTTAAAAAACTACATAATCGTAATTTATCACACTGGTGTAAGTTCTTTCAAGAATATAGCATTTACATTCCATTTTGTAATGGTGTTTCTTGGAATTATTTAGACTTTAAAGAGACCCTTTATTTAGCACTTCTCCTCTCATGCCTTACTGCCTTTCATAGTAAATTGTAAAAAAATTGAAATTGATTTTAATTGATTGGTCTCTTATTTAATATAATTTAATTGATTAAATGAATCGACTTCAATTGACTGGGCTCTCATTTTATTGGAGCACATCTCCAAGTGTTTATGTATTTCCAGGAAGGCTTCCTGAGTAATATGTTTTCAGTGTCCTTACACATTAAAAAAATCTCCCTTGGCTGGTTTTAGATGTGTGTGACATTTCTATAACTGTGTGCTTTATGACCATCTCAACTTGAGAAGAAGAAAATGTTAAATCATACCAGGATTTGCTTTAGAATATATATGTTTTCCTTTTATTTTTACTTGACAGGTAACAATTGTACATATTTATAGGGTGCAGAGGAATATTTTGATACATGTACACAATGTGTCATGATCAAATCAGGTTAATTAGCATATCTATCACCTCAAACGTTTATCATTTCTTCGTGTTGGGAACATTAAAAATCCTCTCTTCTAGTTTTCTGAAAATACACCCTAAATTATTGATAATCATGGTTCACCCTACAATGCTACAGCACACAGAAACTTATTCCTCCTATTTAGTAGTAAGTTCATATCCGTTAACCAACCTCTCCCTAGTCTCCCCTGCTCTCTGTGCTTCCCAGCCTTTAGTAACCACAGTAGAATGTATACTGTTAACATATGTACCAGAGGCCATGTTGGGACACACGGCCATGCCCATTTTAATTCCTAAGTGTTGTTATAATGTGTCACCTTCAGCATGATCAAGAAGAAGGGCCACTGATGTTCAAACCTGCTACTTCTCTAAAGTAGGAGAAGTAAGGCAATGAGAGATAAACCATCCTCTGAAAGGTGAGAGATTTGAGAAGGGAGGAAAAGAGGACACGTTCCTGCTTGCTTTGTGTGTTCACGAGCTCCAGGGAGGATTATAAAATACCTTCATACAGGTGCAGGTGTCTTTTTGATACAATGATTTCTTTTCCTTTGGGTAGATGCCCAGTAGTGGGATTGTTGGATCGAATGGTCGTTCTATTTTTAGTTCTTTGGGAACTCTCCATACTGTTTTCCATAGAAGTTGTACTAACTTACACTCCCATTAACAGTGTATAAGAGTTCCCTTTTCTCTGCATCCTCACCAACATTTGTAATCTTTTTGGCTTTTTAATAATGGCCATTCTTGCAGGAGTAAGATAATATCTCATCATTGTTTTAATTTGCAAGTCTCTGATGATTAGCGATGCTGAGCATTTTTTCATGTGCTTGTTTGGCCATTTTTATGTCTTCTTTTGAACAATGCACTATTCACAATAACAAAGATATGGAATCAACCTAAGAGTCCATCAGTGGATGATCGGAGAAAGAAAATGTGTTATATATACACCATGGTCTTAAGAGAAATAACTCAGAAACAAGAAGTCAAATCCCACATATTCTCATTTATAAGAGGGAGCTAAATAATGTGTACAGCTGGACATAGAGTGTGAAATAATAGATATTAGAGACTGGGAAGGATAGGAAAGTGAGAAGGGGGTGAAGGATGAGAAATTATGTAATGGGTATAATGTACATTTCTCAGGTGATGGATACACTAAAAGCCCAGACTTCACCACTATACAATGTACCCATGCAACATAACTGCACTTGTATCCACTAATATATGCAAGACAAGACAATATATGCCTCCACTTTATCATAACCTTGGGAATTCCTCATCCATCCTGTAGGGATGATATTCTGAGAATCAGTTCCATTCTCTCTGCCCTCCCCTGGTGGCATCCTTGGGGAGGAAACACACCTGTGCCAGTTCTATCACCATCCATGGCCATGTCATTGGGGACCAACCGTGCTCGACCCAAGAGGAAGCGTTTACAGACCATGGGCATGTGATGAAAATTAGGGGAAAGGACGGTTAGCAGTTGCCTCTTGTTCCATTGCCAGTTTGTTTATTTAAAAAGAACTCCTTCTTTTTCTTTCAAGTACCTGGTATTAAGAGTGCTCCATGCTGCCAGACTGCAGGGTTGGGTTGATTAGAAGAGACTTGTGAAAAGGTCTTCTAACTCCTTCAACCCATATTGATAAGCTGCAGTTTCTCCGCAGCTCATGGTGGATGGGGGGTGGGAACCCTCACTCTTACAAATATTTCTCCAAGATTTAACCGAGTGAGATCAAAAAGCCATCTGGTTAAACAATCCTGCATACAAGAGCAGTTCTTACTTTAATTTAGAACACTGCTTAATGCACAAATTATTAAAATATAAAAACTGGGAGATCAAATGGAGCTCATTTAAGATAAGTCCTGAAATCACAAATTTCACTTAACCTTGCAATGAACATATGCTAGCAGGATTTTCCTACTTTTGTTGGTTCCCCCACCCTTTCCTCCTTCCTTTTTTTTTTTTTTTTTTTTTGGAGAGAGAATGAGTGGTTTCTAATTCATGTTTTTGTATTTTTCTTTCCAAATATCATGAAAATGTCATGAAGAATAGAAAAGAGAAATGAAAACTGTACAGCATACAGTTGCAAACAGCAGCAATTCATAAGTTTTATGAAGTATAAGTTTGCTCATTTTAGTAAATGCATAATGAGATGGTTTTATTATTCCTTGACCTTTCAGGGTTTGAATTTATTCACTTTATTGTTTGAGATATTGTAACTCAGGCAACATGTTTTTGTAAGAAATTCTGAAATTGTGCTTTTTTCCATCTCTGCCATGGGATGTGACTTTTGACATTATTGCACATTAAATTACATTATACGTGAGGTTGCTTTTATTTGGAATTGTTATATTTTAGGCAGTGCCGTTTAACGGAAATAAAATGTAAGGGGAAAAGATTAAAATGCAAGATAAAATAAGGCTAATCTTGGAATAAAACAGTAACAGATTTCTTTCCAATTTTGAATTAAATCTGCCATCGACATATTTTGCTGAACCCAATCAACTGAGCTTCTTAAATTAAAAAAAAATCTTTTTGAGTAATATGGGGAACATTCATAAATCCAACACTCATGTTTAACAAATACTAACATTTTTGCCGTATTTACTGAAGCTTCAATTTTCCCCAGAAATAAAATATAATATATACAGTTGAAGCCACACTTACATTTTACTTTTTCATCTTCCCTAGAAATACCCACTGTCCTCAAGTAGTGTCAAGTAGTGGAGAATCTATCTTTCCAAATCAATCAGGCGTTTTTTTGTTTTGTTTTGTTTTGTTTTGTTTTGTTTTGTTTTGTTTTTTTGGTGGGGTTTTGTTAGGTTGCCCAAGATGGACTCGAACTCCTGGGCTCAAGTGATCTTCTCTCCTCTTGCCTTAGTCTCCTGAGCCAATCACATTTTTATGTAATATGCATACATCTCTAAAAACAATCTGTAGTATAGCTTTCTCTTTTTAACAAAAATGCATAAATAATATCAAACTATATATTTATGCCACTTGTTTTTTTCTTCTCTTTTTTTTTTTTTTTTTTTTTTTTTTTGACAGAGCCTCTCTCTGTCACCCAGGATGGACTGCAGTGACACGGTCATAGTTTATTGCAACCTCAACCTCCTGGGCTCAAACAATCCTCCAACCTCTGCCTCCTGAGTAACTGGGAATACAGGCATGTGCCACCATGCCTGGCTAATTTTTTTTTTTTTTATTGTTTTTTGTTCGTTTTTAGAGAGATGGAGGTCTCACTGTGTTGCCCAGGCTGTCATGTATACTTTTTGAGATGTATCCAGGTTCACATATGTACATCTATTCATTTATTTTTCACTGTTGTACATATGCCCTGACATTAAGGTTATTGTGGTTTTTATTTTAACTGCAAACAATACTTTGTGTATTGTTGGTTATTTATGAGCTTTTTTTGTTTGTGTGTATGAAATTGCTAGTTTGTAATATCACAATGAGGTACATTTGCAACTTTACTAGGTATTTCCAAAATAATTTAACAGATTTACAGAATTATCAAGAGTGTGAAAAATTTCATTTTCCACTATCTTGAAAACACTTGGTGCTATCCTATCTTGTAATTCTTTTAACCATTCTAATTGGTATCAAATGTTGTTTAAAGGCATACTTTCTTAATTTTTAGGGTTTGAACAAATTTTCATATTTTTAGTTGTTCAATCTCCTTTACTCTGAATCACCTTCTTATATTACTTGATCACTTGGTTCTAAGTCTTCTGTTTCCTTATTGATTTGCAGGAGTTCTTGCGGGAGTAGGAAATAATCCATTTAGGGTTTGATTCCTTTTAAACCTCTGTTCGTCTATGGCTTATCTTTTAGCGTAGTTTCCAATGTCTTCTTTTATACAGAAACTTTTGACTTTCTTGCAGTTTGGTACTCCAATATTCTCCTTTAAAATTTATGCATTTAGTATCTTCAGGAAACTTTCTCCAGTCCAAGATCATAAAAATATTTTAATATACTTTCTTCTAGTTGTTTGGGCATTTTTCTTTTAAATTTAGATTTTTTTTTTTTTGAGACAGTCTCACTCTGTGGCCCAGGCTGGAGTTCAGTGGTGTAATCTTGGTTCACTGTAACCTCTGCCTCCCGGGTTCAAGTGATTCTTGTGCCTCAGCCTCCTTAGTACCTGGGATTACAGGCGCGTGCCACCACCTCTGGCTATTTTTTGTATTTTTAGTAGAAATGGGGTTTCATCATGTTGCCAGGCTGGTCTTGAACTGCTGACCTCAAGTGGTCCACCCGCCTTGGCCTCCAAAAGTGCTAGAATTACAGGCGTGAGCCACCATGCCCAGCACAAATTTAGATTTTTAATCCACCAGATTTTTAATTCTTTTTTTTTTTGGTAGTGCGATGAAGGGATCTGCCACCCTCTCCCCCCATTTCTACACACAATTGCTTGTTGACTAGCCTGTTCCTTTCCCACCGTTGTACACCAAATTTCTGCCATATTGTCAATGTCTTTTTATATATTCCTCTATTTCCTGTCTCCTTATTCTGCTAAGTGTAGTCTATCCAGTGTTCCACCAATCTTTCTAATGTCTTGATATTTACTAGGAGATTTCCCCATCTTTATTAGTATTCTTCAATATATTATTAGCGATTCTTGGCCACTTACATTCCATATGAAATAAGAATCAACTTGTCCAGTTTAAGGATATGCTGTATTGTGATTTGATAGGTGATTTCCATGGAATATAGAGCTTAATTTAAGGATGACAAACATCTTAAAGATATTGAACCTTCCCTTTAGTGAACATCACGCACCTATCCATTTGTTACATCTTCTGTTATGTCCTATAACACATAAAGTTATTTCTCCTCATAATGGGCTTTTATGTCCTATAGTAAGTATATTTTAGATAACTTTATATCTGAAATGTTTTGTATTTTTCCATTGCCCTCTGTTCTTTTAGAACCACAACATTTGGAGATTACCAACATGGTTTTCAGCCCTCAGCTTTGGCGAGACTTCTTCCTTTTCATTCTTTTCTGGGCAAATCTAAACCTTTGGAGAAGTAGATGAGTGAAGTCAATTGCAAAGGTAAGAGAGATATTCTGGGCTCTCCTATAACCTCTTTTAGGACAGAAATGGTTGGCAGGGATGTCTATCAGTCATAACACCTTCACCTCACTTGGGATGGGTTGCATGAGCAGATTGCTTTCTGCTGTGTTGCAATTGCTTTCCATGAAAAGCTGGCGTAATTTCTAAAGGAGGATTTCTCACAGAAACTTTGCAAGCCTAACTTGTGTTTTTCTTCATTTTTTTCATTAAATCATGTTAAATTTATCAGCCTGAAGAAAATCTCTCAGTTGTTGCTGTCACTTACCTGAGGACTGTAGTTAAAGGTCATATGGGATATTTGCATCTTTTCTTTCAAAAATAAAATTAAATAAAGAAAGTAAATTTAAACTAATGAAAAGGAATTTGACCCAGGATATCATGAAATAATAATGTACCTCAAAGTGTGACACAAAGCTGTACCTAAACAGTTCGTTCTTGTGACATTTTCCCCAGCATGTTTTTCTTCTGATGGGCAAGGGAAAGTCTCTTTGGTTGGATTCCAGAAACAGACACTGAGGGAATCAGAGAACACAGGGCCATAGAATAGAGATATGAATTCTTTTATTCCCCCACCTTTATTGAGGTATAATCGGCAAGTAAAAATGGAATATACTTACTGTGTACCGTGTGAGGTTTTGATAAACGAGCACGTTATGAAACTTTTACTATGCACTAGGTAAATAACTTATCTATCACTGTGCATAGTTATTATTATTATTATTATTATTATTTGGGGATAGTGTGAATATTTGAGATCCACTCTCTTAAAAAATTTCAAGTAAACAATACGGTATTGGTAACTATAGTCACCATGCTGTAGATTGCATCCCCAGAACTTATTTATAACTGAAACTTTGTACCCTTTGACCAACATCTCTCCAGTGTCCCCCACTCCCCAGCCCCTCGTAACCACCTTTCTACTCTCTGCTTCTGGGAATTCAACTTCTTTAGATTCCAAATCTAAGTGAGATCATATGGTATTTGTCTTTCTCTGTCTGGCTTAATTTGCTTAACATAATGCCCTCCAGGTTCATTCACATTGTCCCAAATGGCAGAAATTACTTCTGATTAATGGCCAAATACTATTCATATTTATGTGTGTGTGTGTATATATATATATATATATATATATATATACACACACACACACATACATATATACACACATATATACACATATATATATACACACATATATATACACATATGTATATACACACATATATATACACATATATATACACACATATATATACACACGTATATATATATATGAATAAATGTATATATGTATGTATAAACATTTTCTTTATCTATTCATCTATTGGTGGATGTTTAGGTTGGTTCCATATCTTGGCTATTGTGAATAATGTGGCAATAACATGAGGGTGCAGATATCTCTTTGAGACGCTGATCTTGTTTCCCTCGGATATATATGCAAAAGTGGGATTGCTGGATCATCAGATAGTTCTATTTTTAACTTTTTGAGGAACCTCTGTACTGTCATCCATAGTGGCTGTGCCAGTTTATCAATGTGACTTATTTGAAGCTTACCATGTTGTGAAACATCCACTTCAAAATTCATCTTAAAGAATATTAATTGAGAAAATTATTGACTGTGGATTGGGCGTGCACCTAATACACTAGACAACTCATGCACTAGTGATTTGCTAAGCATATTTCTTTCTCCCAGAAAATCTGGACTTTTGGAGAGGTGGACATACAGATCAATGGGACAGGGCAGTGAGATGTTCTAGGTTCTTTTGTAACCTCCTCTGGGGCAGAAATGATTGACAGGGATATCCACCAATCTTAACACCTTCACCTCATTTGAAGCAGGTTTCATTGATTTTCAATTGCTGCATAACAAGTTACTGCAAAGTAGCAACTTAAAACAACATACATTTGCTATCTCACAGTTTCTGTGAATCAGGAATCCCTAGGCATAGCTTAGATGTTTCTATGGACTGAGCTGTGTTTCCCCAAAATTCATATGTTGAAGCCCTACCCCGCAATGTGACTGTATTTGGAGATGAGGCCTTGGACCTTAAAGAGGTAATTAGGTTCAAATGAGTTTGTAAGGTGGGACCTAATCCAATCTGGTGTCCTCATAAGAAGAGGAGTTTGGGACACAGACTTGTGTGAGGACACAGGGAGAAGACAGCGTCTACAAGCCAAGGAGAGAAGACTCAGGAGGAACCAGCCTTGCCCACACCTTGATCTTGGACTTCCAGCCTCCAGAGCATAAGAGAATAAATTTCTGTTGTTTAAGTCACCCCGTCTGTGGTAGTTTGTCATGGCAGCCTCAGCAAGCAAGAGAGCTGGTTTCCCTTCTTCAAGGTCTCACAGGCTCCAATCCAGGTGTCAGTCAGGGTCGAGGTCCCCACACAGGCCTCTCTCGGGGAAGATCTCCTCTCGTGCTTCTGCAAGTTGTTGGCAGAATTCATCTCCTTGCAGCTGTAGCACTGAAACTTCCCTTTTGGCTGTCAGCTAGCGGTTGCTCTCAGCTCCAAGAAACCACCTACGGTTTGTTCTTTGCCCTGTAGCTATCTTCATAAGCCCCCTCACAGCATGGGAGTTTGTCTCTTCTAGTCCAGAAATAGGGAGAAAGTCTTTGTTTTTTAAGGCATTTTTTGATTTTTAAAGTTTTTATAGGTTTACAGGGTACAAGTGCAGTTTTTTTACATGGATAAATTCCATGGAGAAGTCTGGACTTTTAGTGTAGCCATTGCTTGAATAGTGTACATTGTACCCATTAAGTAATTTCTTATCCCTCACTCTCCTCCCACCCTTCCACCTTTCCTGGTCTCCAGTGTCTATTATTCCACTCTTTATGTCCAAGTGTACGCATTATTTAGCTCCCACTTATAAGTGACATTGTGCAATATTTGACTTTCTGTTTCTGAATTGTTTCACTAAAGGTAATGGCCCCCAGTTCCATCTATCTTGCTGCAAAATACATAATTTCATTCTTTTTGATGGCTAAGTAGTAAATATTCCATGGAATATGTATACCAGATTTTCTTTATTCAGTCCTCTGTTGATGGACACTTAAGTTGGTTCCATATCTTTGCTATTGTGAATAGTGCGCAATGAACATACGAGTGCAAGCATCTTTTTGATGCAATTATTTTTATTCCTTTGGGTATATACCCTGTAGCAGGATTGTTGGATCGAATGGTAGTTTTAATTTTAGTTCTCTGAGAAATCTCCATATTGTTTTCCATAAAATCAACAGGGTGACCACACAGCCTACAAGGCGGGAGAAAATATTTGCAAAACTATATATCTGACACAGTGCTAATATCCAGAATCTACAAGAAACTCAAATAACTCAACAAGAAAAAAAAAATTAAAAAGTAGACAGAAGACATGAAAAGACGTTTGTCAAAAGAAGACATACAAATGACCAATAAACATGTAAAAAAAATGCTCAACATCACTAATCATATCAGAGAAATGCAAATTAAAACCACAATGAGATACCATCTCACATCAGTCAGAATGGCTATTACTAAAAAGTCGAAAAACAATAGATGTTGGTGAGGATGCAGAGAAGAGGGAATGATTTTATGCTGTTGGTGAAAATGTAAATTAATTAGAGAGAAAATCTTTGACCTCAGGGAAGGCCATATCTGCCTTTTACTGCTCCTCACCTAATCAAGTCAAATCCACCGAAGATAATTCCCCTTTTAGAGAACTCAAAGTCAACTAATTTGGAACCTTACTGACATCTGCAAAAGTTCTTTGCTGTGGCCATGTTCTGTTGGCCAGAAACAAGTCACAGGTCTCGTCCCTGCTGAAGGGGAGAGGATTATGTAGGCTGTGAGCACAAGAGGGCAGGGACCACAGGTGTTCACCACAAAGTGCTTCCAGGAGGAGTCTGGTAGGAAGTGCAGGAAGGAGGACAGAAGGAAAAGAAACCAAGAATAGATGTGAGGCCAGGTATCGGGTACTGACAGCAGAGAGGAGCCTCATCCTGTCAATACACTCAGTATTGTTCCAACCCAGAGCAGCAAGCTTTGATGCCCCATAGCTGCCAGCCACTAGTGAAAGGGAGATACAAAATCCCAGACACTTACAGCTCTCTGTGCATAAAGGGGCAATCGCTCCAGCAACCCAAGGGTATCATTCTGAAAAAGTGCCCCAGGTGCTAGCCATCAAAGGTGGAAGCATATTAAAGCCAAGATGGGAGTCCTAAAAATGGTTAAAAATGAGCCAATAGCACAGTACTTGCATTCTCTCCTACCGAAGGTGAGGATGAATCAGTCACTCTTCTTCTGGAAGTAACATATACTTCCTCTGATTATAAGATTTAATATATTCTGGCCAGGCACAGTGGCTCATGCCCATGGTCCCAGCACTTTGGGAGGCCAAGGTAGAAGGATTACTTGAGGCCAGGAGTTCAAGACACGCCTGGGCAACATGACAAGACCCTGTCTCTACAAAAAATTAAAAAATTAGCTGGGCATGGTTGTTTGTGCCTGTGGTCCCAGCTACTCGGGAGGCTGAAGTGGGAGGATCACTTGAGACCAGAAGTTCAAGACCAGCCTGGACAACATAGCAAGACTCCAGCTCTGCAAAAATTTTGAAAAAATAGCTAGGCATGGTGATGTCTTCCTCTACTCTCAGTTATTCAGAAGGCTGAGGCACAGGGGTCACTTGGACCCAGGAGTTTGAGGTTGCAGTGAGCTGTGATTGTGCCACTGCACTCCAGCCTGGGCAACAGAGCAAGACCTTGTCTCAAAAAAAAAAATACATACATACATAGAAATATATTTAAAGGAAAAGCAAATTTCAGAAATTCAGAGACTTGGTAAAGAAGGGAACAAAGATCATGTGTAATCCCATCAGCACATGGTTCACGTCTCAGTTTATCTGCTTCTGGACTTTCCTTTCGACATGCATATTTATTCTTTTCAGAGTGTCTAATTACAGAGTTGGATAGTAATTGCATTTACTATCAGGGTCCACCAAGCCATTCGTTGTAGCTGTCAGTACCAGCCTCTGCACGCTGCTGTCTACCATGAATATTTTTTCTTCAAGCAGTTCATTTCACTTTTTATCAGCATTAAAGTAAATAATCAGCACAGATATGAATTCTGCTGACACATTATCTTCACAAGTAAGATGATGATTTACCATTCTGGGTAAGTTCAGCCCAGAGCCATTCCACCAGCTTACATATAATGCTTCCCACTGAAATAATCAGCATCTTCTCAAAAATGGGGAAGACAGCTATGTAAGCGAATTGGAGACCTTTTTTTTTTTTTTAGCTAACATATTCATTTAGGCTCACAAGTATGTATTTATCATTTTGGAAGAACCTCTAAGCCTTTCTTTTATTTTGGTGATTAATAGATATTAGATAGAATCAAGAACATGATCTAGTTTCGTGGGAGCCCTTCTCTGACATGCCTTGGGTTTCTGTTGGAAGATATTTCCCTGGTCCCTACCCCTGGCCTCTCACCTGGGTTCCCTGCCTTTGGCAGCTCAGCCTGGCTTCTCCCACACCCCACTTCAGATCTGCTATTAGCCATGCAAGATAGGGCAGTGGGTGGTTCTGTGCTTCTTGCAGTTCTGAGGGTAAGCCTGCCCACTTCTGGATCTCTATCCAGGGAACCCCAGGGCTGCTACGTACCTAATCATGGCCTCCAGTATTCAATTCACCAGTGATAATACCAACATTTTGAACTCACTTCGTCCTGAGTCCTCTGTCTACCTCAACTGATGCAAAACTCATGTTGTGAAGGAGAGCTATTTATTCAGCCTCTTACAAATGTTTGCTTGTTTAGCCCTTTTAAAAAAAGTCTAGTTATCTGCAATTACATAGTTTCACTGATTAAGGCATCATTTATTGAATACATTCCATGAGTAAGGTAATATACCGGCATGTATCATTAGCCATGACTTGACAGTGTCTGAGCTTAGTCTAACTACTGAATGTTGCATTTCTTCTATGCATCTTTTTCTCTCAGGGAGAAAATCTTTACCTGTTACTTGACACCATTTTGGGGGTGAGATCAGGTGCACAATTTTATTAGATTAAGGCCATTTAGCAAAACTAAGAAGTATCCAGAGCATGGATGATTAAATAATAAAAGCATAGCCACACAATGGAATGCTGCGGGGGCCACAAAATGATGTACAAATATTTATTGGGATGGAAAAATGATCATGATCTATCATTAAATGAAAAAATAATATGGGTCAAGGATGTCAGTTTATAAAATTAAAATAAAACATGATCAATATGAACTACCTTTTGGTAAAAAATATTTTTATAAAAATATGTGTGTATACATATTTATGTTCCTTTACATTTTATGTGTATATATACATTTTGATTTATAAGGATGTATGTCCTTATAAAATATGTACACACACACACACACACACACATATATATATATACACACACACATACACACACATATCTATATCTATCTCCTGCAGAATATATATACATATCCTATTGGGTCTAGATTAACTGGAACAGGCAGTCAATTTAGGACACATAAGTTCTGAGTGGTGACAATGATGTGTTAAAGGAGGAATAAATGAAGGTTGGTTTGAAGAATCACTTGCAATACATGAGTCAACAAAATATATCCAATAGACAAGACACATCTTTATCTATATATATACATCTATATCTCTACCTATATCTATCTATCTATCATCAATCATCTATCATCTCCATTTATCTGTCATCTCTATTTATCACATCTATCAATCATCTCCATTTATCTATCATTCTATCATCTCCATTTATCTACGTATCTATGTATCTATCTATCATATCTATCTATCATCTCCATCTAGCTATTGTATCTATCTATCATATCTATATATCATCTATCATCTCCATTTATCTATCATCATCTATCATATCTATCTATACATCAAAAGACATATAGACTGATCTATCTATGCATCTATCCTTTCATTTACACACATGTGTATCCTCCGTCGTTTGTGTGTATCTGTCATACCTTGTTATCTACCTTTCTAGCTGTCTATCTATCCACTCATCACCTATTTATCCATGTAGCTATCTATCATCTAGCTATTGATTTATCTCCCTACCTCAATTTTCCAATGATTATTTCTTGATGGTTGAATCTAGATGAATGACCTAAACTTTTGCATTTTCTGTAATAAATACATACTATGGTTCATGTAAAATGAATAAATCAGTTGAGGCTGGGTATGATGGCTCACACCTGTAATCCCAGCACTTTGGGAGGCTGAGATGAGATGATCACTTGAATCAAGGAGTTGGAGACTAGCCTGGGCAACATAGTAAAACCCTGTTTCTTCAAAAAATACAAAAATTAGCCGGGTATGGTGGTGTGCGCCTGGAGTCCCAGTTACTCGAGAAGCTAGGTGAGAGGATCGCTTGAGCACAGGAGGTTGAGACTGCAGTAAGGTAAAATCATTGCACTCGATCCTGGGTGACAGAGCAAGACCCTTTCTTCGTAGTAATAATAATAATAATAATTCTAAACCATTGGAGACTCTGTTGTTAACATTATTAGTTTAAAATGGGACCTGTTCCCTCTTAAGCTGTGCTCTTCACTTTTCCATCTGGAGACGGCTTCAATCTATGGATCCACAGTGCCCGACAGTCCCTTCCCGGGCTCCCAGACCACACCCTATGCCCTGGCCTGGTTGTGTCAGCCAAGAAAGAAAGGTATATCCCAACAGAAAAATGCTCACTGTGGCCTCTCCTGGGAGATACATAGATGTTCCTCCACTTACGATGGGGTTACATCCCGATAAGCCCATAATAAATATAGTAAGTTGAAAATGTATTTAATACACGTCACCTATCAAATATCATATCTTTGCCCAGCCTGCCTTAAACATGTTCAGAACACATACATTAGCCTATGCTTGGGCTAAATCATCTAACACAAAGCCTATTTTATAATACAGTGTTGAATATCTCATGAAATTTATTTCAGTATTATACTGAAAGTGAAAAAAAAATTGT
The DNA here is from genome assembly GCF_000001405.40 of Homo sapiens. Lineage (NCBI taxonomy): Eukaryota > Metazoa > Chordata > Mammalia > Primates > Hominidae > Homo > Homo sapiens. The sequence goes on along the minus strand of NC_000023.11, from coordinate 6,713,396 downwards.
ATGAGTACTCAAAGTATGAGTTCTACTCAATGCATATCACTGTTGCACCGTCATAATGTCCAAAAATTGTAACTCAAACCCTCATAAGACAAGGACTATCTGTAAATAAATGTAAAGTTTTGGAAATGGCATCTTGTTTCTAGACACTGTGCTTCAAATGGAAAAAAACAAAGTTAAATAATTAGTGATCCTTTCCATTAAGTTGTGAATCTCCATGGACTTGCCATTGTGCAAATTGTGGGGGATGTGAAGATGAAAAGACAGGATTCCAGGCTCAGAGGAGGAGGAGCCAGGAATTGTTTTCTGAGCCCCAACATTAAGCCTTTTGGTGTTTCTTTTTGTTTGTTTTTTTGAGACAGTCTGGCTTTGTCACCCAAGCTGGAGTGCAGTGGCACGATCTTGGCTCACCGAAACTTCCACTTCCTGGGTTCAAGCAATTCTCCTGCCTCAGCCTCCCGAGTGGCTGGGGCCACAGGGCACGCCATCATGCCCAGGTAATTTTTGTGTATTTAGTAGAGACAGGGTCACACCATGTTGGCCAGGCTGGTCTGGAACTCCTGGCCTCAAGTGATCCACCCGCCTCAGCCTCCTAAAGTGCTGGGATTACAGGCATGAGCCACTGTGCCCGCCCCTTTTGGTGTTTCTTATGCAGAATTGCAAGGACCCAGGGAAGACTTAGTAGCATGGGGCTTTTGACTTTCTTGAGTTTTGGAGTCCTGATCCTGTGAGGGCTGCTTCCACAGTATATGGCTCCCCAGAATCCCCAAGATGAACATGGTGAAGGTGCAGGACCCTTGTTCTTCTAGCCAAAATCATTGAACCGCTTCATCTTACTGCCTGTTGCCTAGAGAGATGAGGAGCTCCTTATCATTGCCCGACTTTAAGCTCTCATGATTTGTATATTCCAAAGCACTGTTTCCAAAATTCCCACTAGAATTTGGCTCATAGGCTGGGCGTGGTGGCTCATGCCTGCAATCCCAGCATTTTGGGAGACTGAGGCGGGCAGATCACTTGAGGTCCGGAGTTGGAGACATTCTGGCCAACATGGCAAAAACCCGTCTCTACTACAAATACAAAAATTAGCCAGGCATGGTGGCACATGCCTGTAATTCCAGCTGCTCCAGAGGCTGAGGCTAGAGAATTGCTTGAACCTCGCAGGCAGAGGTTGCAGTGAGCTGACATTACGCCACTGCACTACAGCCTGGGCGACAGAGTGAGATTCTGTCACACACACACACAAAATAAATAAATAGATAAATATTAAAATAAAATAAAATGTGGCTCCTTGAGGGCATTGCATCCTTTGGTTCCCTAGCCCTGCACCAATAGGTGGCATGCAGTTATTTTGTGGATGTGGAGAGCAGTTTAGAGATGAGTCAACTCCAGCCAGAGAGCCCGAGTATGCTGACTCCAGGAAAGAAACATTGAATGCTGCACATGCTGTAGATTGACAGTCTGAGGATGCGACTATAGGTGATCAAATGTAAAAGCAGAATATTGGCTGTGCCTGAGGCACCCAGGCCCTGTGAGCTGGACACAGTGGAGAAGCAGTGCTTCCTGGCTTTGAGAGCACAGCAGGGAAGGTCCCATAAGCTGCGGTGAATTGGACACAATGAAGGCTTTGTGCAGCCCCACGTGGACCAGAATTTACTAAGGAGACAAAGCCTAAATCTCTTCCTTAGCTAATGTTGTGCTCAGAGAACACTACCCCAAAACGAAGGCCTCAGAAGAAGCCTCGGAAGGAAAAGTTTCTTCCTCACCTTCTCCTGCCCTCCTGTCTGTCAGTCCCATTCTCCCTCCAGGCCTCATAAAAACTAGAATTTCTCCTCCCCAAGGTGGTTCATAGAAACCAGAGCCCCTTTTGCCCCAAAGCCAGACATAAAACCTAAAATAGGACTCTAACTTACCCTCCATCACCTCTCAGTGTCAAAACTGGCCGTAAAGAAATCCTCTGATCTACCTGGTTTGACTGTAGATCCTAAGACCCGCATTCCAGAGAGGGTCTCGCAGCACACCCGGAAGGAAGGAGCGCTGCTCAGAGAGAGAAGCAAGAAGAATCTACACAGACAGGCCTGGCGGGGTTTCCACCCTCAGTCCATTTGCTTTAGATCAGGCCCTTTTCCTCCGATGCTATTTCTACATGGATTTTGTTCATACCTGCTTGAACCTAAGCATAACAATGCACAGTTTCCCTCGTATCTTTGGGTCTTCAGTCTGAAGGCTCCCATGTCACATAAAAATGTTATAAAATAAATGTTTGCGCCATTTCTCCTATTAATCTGCCTCTTGTCAGTGATTTTCAGTGAAACTTCAGAGGGGGAAGGGGATGTTTTCTCTTGTCCCTGACATTCTCAGTGATATTTCCTTCCAGTTGGGACATTTCCACAAAACGGAATTTACATACGTGATCAGTGCAGCTCCACACTTTTCCCCCCTTTCTCCATGGAACCCAGTCTTCAATTGATGAGCTGTGTACTTTGAAGAGATTTACAACAATGAGGCTTTGGGTGTGTCACAACCTCCAGCTATGGAGGAAAACTGGGACGTACACAGTGTTTCTTATTGGCTTCGGAGGAAATTGGATAATCAAAAATAATTATAAATGAAACAAACACACAGAAAAACCCCAGACCTTTGGCACACAGTTATGTGCTCCTACTGTTTGGTCGAGTGAGCAGAAGGTGATTTTATTCTGCGAAATCCAGCGTCAGCAGCTCCTGCACTATTTGGAATGGCACGTCTGACATCCACCACAATGAACAGATGGTGTTAATAGTTCATTTAGTTGCATTTAATAATAATGACACTGCCAAAGTGTTGCTCCTTGAACATTTGACGCCAACCATTTCTGCTGGGTCTAGACTGATGGGAACAGGCGGCTGACTTAGGGGATGTGAGTCCTGAGAGGTCACAGCAATGCAGTCCATGAAGAGTGAGTGAGGCTTGCTTTCAAGACTCACCTCTATTTAACTCTGGGAATGGAGTGGAAGGGTGGCGAGGTCTTCAACTTAGCTACAGTTTTATAGTTTACACTGCATTGCCAAGCAGTGGTTTAATGCATGGGTCAAAGTCAACTGCCCTGTTTCGAGGTGTTACCTGCTTCCAGCTGCAGCTGAGTCTGTCTTGAATTGGTCAGATGATATGGACGATTATATCATTAGTGTGGACTGAAGATTGGGAGTGATTAGAACATTTTGTGCTTAGAGTGTGCTAGGCTCCCAAATTCAGCTTTCATTTGTTTGTTTTTGTTTGTTTGTTTTGTTGTTGTTGTTTTTGGACAGGTTCTTGCTCTATCGCCCAGGCTGGAGTGCAGTGGCACTATCTCGGCTCACTGCAGCCTCCACCTCCCGGGTTCAAGTGATTGTCCTGCTTCAACCTTGTGAGTAGCTGAGATTACAGGTGCCCACCACCACGCCCGGCTAATTTTTGCATTTTTAGTAGAGATAGGGTTTCACTATGTTGGCCAGGCTGGTCTCGAACTCCTGACTTCAAGTGATCCACTTGCCTTGGCCTCCCAAAGTGCTGGGATCACAGGTGTGAGCCACCACACCTGGCCCAAATTTAGTTTTTAAAACGTCCAGTTTCTCTGGTTGTGCCTTAGGTTTGAGAAAATAAGGAAACTTTACAAATAAAATGTATCTAAGTCCCTGACTTAAAAGCGAATTGTCCAACAGATGATGGAAATACATCACCCTATAGTCTGAGCATAAAATTACATCATTTTAAGAACATCAGTCAGAAATACTCAATTCCACTCAAGCAACTTTTGTCGAATGTCCAAGGAAGGAGGGGGCTGAGACTTCTCACCAATGTCACTTTGAATTCAGAGACTGTCAATGACTCTCGTACTAAACCCAGTGATAAACGCTTCGGGTGATGGAGGCACCATTGTTGAGTGAGGGATTCCTTTTGTCTGGGAGATCAAGAAAGATTTTCCAAAGCAGATGGACTAAAAGCTGGACTTTAACGGATAAGTGGACTTGAAGATAGAAGGGGAGTGGAGTGGAAGGACATTTGGGACTGGAGGATGGGTATAAGGGCCTGAGAGTGTGTGATTTATCAAGAGAATCATGAATTAAACAGAAGTGTGATCAGAGCACAGGGCACAATAACACCACGTGTTGGGAGGTAAGATTAAACAGCAAGTGAGAGACCAGACCCTGGAAGATCCTGTGTGCTATGCTAAATACCTTGGGTTTTATTTCACAGGCAATGCAATCTCAATGGGGATTTGAAGTGGGGGGAGTGACATTTCCTAATCTAAATCTTCTAAGAGGATGATTCTAGCAGCTTTACCGTAAAGCCTTGGAGTGATGTGCTCTTTTTCAGATCTTCCAATTCCCTGAGCCATGCTCATCTGTTCAGTGTTTTCAGAGAACAAACTCTACATGCACTGTCTTGCTTAGAAGTGTGTTCAATATATATACCTGTGAGCACAGGTGGCTTCATCTAGGGTAGCTCTTGCCTTGAGGTCTCTGCTGTGTTTAAAACTGAGTAGATTAGTCACTACCACTAATTGCAGCACAGTTTAGAGGGTGTGGCAGGAAGACAGCATTAGGCTGGTCATACCTTTAGACGTTTAAGGGACAGTTCTTCTCGGAGAAACGAGGATTTCTGGGACCTCAGCCAGAGCTTGTTCCTTGATGCTATTCATCCTCAGAGGGTTGTCTTGGGACCTTGGTCATGGAGATCCTGGCAATAAATGGACCATGATGAAAACAACGGCAGCCAAAGAAACCGATACATTATTTATTTGCAAAGGTCATTTTCATTTGATGAAATGATAAAGAACCAGGAGAAGGAGTTACATTTTCTGTCATTGCTAAATAATCTAGTTGATGTGAGCGGTATTAGCATACAGGCTAATGTCAAAATGCAGCTAATTTTGTATGCAGTACATTTTCCCAGAGGCCCCAAGGATTCCACAGATACAATCTCATTAATCTCCTCAGCATTTCTTTGGAGCTACCTGACAGCCATGGGCCATGGTTTATAGATTAAGGAAGCAAAAGGGAGACACCAAGTGTCCTACCTCGGGCTGCAGAGGCTTTTTCTACCCTGGCAGAGAGACAAGTCTTATTTTGGAAAATTCTCTCAACACAGCCCTTCTCACACTGCTTGGGGCATCCTTGCTTCCCAAATGCTACCAGAGGCTGTTGGCATTTCAGAAGAATTCTTTCTATGAGGGTGACAAAAAGATGACTCCCCCATTCAGGAATGTGGAAACAGACAGGCTATTCTTTCTTTAGGGCATCTCTCCTTGGTTGGTCCTTGTTTTGAGTTACTAAAAGTATTTTAAGAATTCAACTTGTTTTTTGAGGGGGTTAGGGTGGGAAGTGCATTTTCTGGGTAATCCAGCCAGGATTGCAGGAAATCCCACCCAAGTTTCTTGCTTTAAAGGAGCTTCGTCGAAAATTAACAGTGACATTGTGAAACAGGGCTCAACCGTGGAAAATAATATGGATTATGATGATAGGTGCTTCTCCACAGTTGCTACAAGGTTATAAAAGAAAGTGCCAACTTCATAGGCTGCCATTAAATTGTGTTTCCAACCATGTTTCTTGTTACTCTGTTGCAATCCATCCTGTGCTCTAAAGCAGGGATGCCCAAGCCCCAGCCACTGACGGGTCTGTGGCCTGTTAGGAACCGGGCTGCACAGCAGGAGATGAGTGGCGGGCTAGTGAGGGAAGTTTCCTGTGCATTTACAGCCGCTCCCCATCACTCACATTACCACCTGACCTCTGTCTCCTGTCAGATCAGTGATGCCATTAGAGTCTCATAGGAGTGCGAACCCTGTTGTGAACTGCACATCCAAGGGATCTAGGTTGTGTGCTCCTTATGAGAATCTAATGCCTGATGATCTGTCACTTTCTCCCATCACCCCCAGATGGGACCGTCTATTTGCAGGAAAGCAAGCTTAGGGCTCCCACTGGTTATACATGATGATAAGTTGTATTTCATTATATATTACAATGTAATAATAATATAAATAAAGTGTACAATAAATATAATGCACTTGAATCATCCTGAAATCATGCCCCTGTATCCCCACTGCAGTCCATGGAAAAATTGTCTTCCACAAAACCAGTCTCTGGTGGCATAAAGGTTGGGAACTACTGCTGTAGAAGGATGCACCCAGCCACAGGTCTGAGTGTGGTGCACTGCTTGGAATCCTCTAGTAGAATTTTTTACTAGTGAAGGACCCTCTAGTAGGATTTCTTCCTCTTTGCATGGGAGAAAAAATTTCCTCTACTTTCTTGGGTTGTGTGGATGAGCTTGCAACACAAACTGGCAAAAGACAAATTAACAGGAGAAAATCATAGATATTTTACTTGATGCTAAGCTTTATGTTACATTGTTGGTTGGTGGTGTTGGGGGGTGCTTCACAAAGAAAAGATCCCTCCTCATCCCCCAAGAAGCACCTAGACTTGAACGCTTTTATACCATTCAAAGAATGATACACTTGTAGACAAGTGACACAACAAAGGACAAGGGTTTTTGGACTTTTTAGGGGCTGTAAATGGTGGGAAGGTGAATATAAAGGGGATGCTGATGGTTGATGAGGGTCATTTGGTAAGGTGTGTTTATTAGATTCTTTTTGGTGCCATCTTGCCCCTGGTCGGGAAGAAGGGAAGCAAGGCAAAATTTGTTTTGCTTTTAGGCAGCTGGCAAAGGGCAGAGAGCCTCATTGTGTGTCTGCCTTTTCTCAAAATAATCCTTACATCACAGTGGCATATTTTGGGTGTCGTATTCTGATCTTCTCCACCTTCACGGCACCTCACTTTTCTTTTGTGTATTGAATTCCACCCATCCTTTAAGAAATTATCATATATGATGACTGATGTCTACTCTGGTAATCTTTTAGAAGTTGTGGTAAAATATACATAACATAAAATTTATCATTTTAACCTATTTATTTACTTATTTTAGGGACTGGATCTCTCTCTATCACCCAGACTGGAGTGCAGTGGCACAATCGTGGCTCACTGCAGTCTTGAACTCCTGGCCTCAAGAGATCTTCCTGCCTCAGCCTCCTGAATGGTTGCGACTACAGGTGAGAGCCTGGCTCATTTAACCTTTTAAAAGTGCATGGTTCAGTGGCATTAAGTACATTCCCCTTGTGCAATTGGTACTCCCATTCACTTCCAGAGCTTTTTTCTTTTCCCCAAAGTGAAACTCCATAACTATTCAGCAATAACTCCTCATCACTCCTTTCCCACTTCCCCAGCCCTTGGTAACCACGAATCTACTTTTTGTTTCTATGAACTTGACTATCCTGGGTACCACATGGAAGTGGAATCATACAATATTTGTCCTTTTGTGTCTGGCTTGTTTAACTTGGCATGATGCTTAGTTCACATGGTGTGATGTCCTCTAGGTTCATCCATGTTGTAGTATGTATCAGAATTTCATTCCCCTTTTAAGGCTGTATTATATTCCATTGTGTACATACACCACATTTTGTTTATTATTTAAGTAATCTGAATTTGTTTGTTTGTTTTGTTTTAAACTTTCTATGCTGATATTGTATTCCTCTGACAATTAAAATAATGGAATTGCAGAAGACACTCATCCTGTTTTGCCAATATTTCATGTGTGAATATACGGTTAACCTTGAAATAGTAATTGGTGCTTTCTAACTGAATGTTTATTAATTTCTTTTGCAGAGGCACAATTCTATTTAAGTGAATTTAAGGAAATAACAGAACAAGCCAAAGTCCTTTGTGATGGTTAATTTTAGGTGTCGACTGAATTAAGAGACACCTACATGGCTGGTTAAGCATTGTTTTCGGGTGTGTCTGTGAGGGTGTTTCCAGAGGAGATTGGCATAGGAGTTGGTGGACTGAGTGGTGGAAATTCTCCCTCAGTGTGGGTGGCCACTGTCCAGTTGGCTGCGGCCCTGAATGGAAAACAGTGAGAAGACAGGTGAATTCTTCTCACTTCCAGAGCTGGCACACCCTTGTGATTCTGCCTTTGGACCTCAGAACTCCAGGTTCTCCAGCTTTTTAACCCCAGGACTTGCATTAATGCCCCACCGGTCTCTCAGGCCTTCAGTCTGGGACTGAGAATTACACCATTAGCTTGCTTTGCTCTGAGGCTTTCAGACTTGAACTGAGCCACACTGTAGGTTCCTGTGGGTCTACAGGTTGGAAAAGGCCTCTCATGAGACTTGTCAGCCTCCTTCATCATGTGAACCCATTCCCATAATAAATCCCCTTCTACATCTCTACCTCTGCCTATCTATTTATCTGTCTATCTATCTATCTATCTATCTATCTATCTATCTATCTCATGTATCTATGTAGCTATCTTGTCTATTTCATCTATGTATCTCATCTCTCTCATGTATCTAATCTATCTTATCTATTTCATCTATCATTTATCTGTCTCATCTACCTTGTCAATCTACCTATCTCATCTCTCTATATATATCTCTCTATCTCCTCTATCTATCCTATCTATCATCTATCTAACTACATACGTACCTACCTATCTTATCTATCTATCTGTCTATCTCATCTGTCTTATCTATCTCATCTATCTCTATTTCATCTATCATCTATCTAATTTATCTAATCCATTTTATCAATCTACCTATCTCATCTATCTATCCTATCTAGTCTATTTCATCTATGTACCTCATCTCTCATATCTCTGTCTCGATCTCATCTATTTCAGCTATCTCATCTCTCTATCCCTATCTATCTCATCTCTCTATTTAATGTGTCTAATCTATTTATGTACTGATCTAATCTGTCTACTTATCTATCTCATTTATCTATCTCTCTAATCTATCTAATCTATTTCATCTATGTACCTCATCTCTCATATATCTATCTTTCTCTCATCTACTTCATCTATCTATCACATCTGTTTATCTCTAGCCATCTCATCTATCTATTTAATGTATCTTATCTATCTTTGTTTTTTTGTTTGTTTGTTTTAGACGGAGTCTCGCTTTGTCGCCCAGTCTGGAGTGCTGTGGTGCGATCTTGGCTCACTGTAAGCTCTGCCTCCCGGGTTCACTCCATTCTCCTACCTCAGCCTCCCGAGTAGCTGGGACTACAGGCACCCGCCACCACGCCCGACTAATTTTTTGTATTTTTAGTAGAGACGGGGTTTCACCGTGTTAGCCAGGATGATCTCAATCTCCTGACCTTGTGATCCACCCGCCTTGGCCTCCCAAAGTGCTGGGATTACAGGCATGAGCCACTGCACCTGTCGTATGTATGTATGTATGTATGTATGTATGTATGTATCTATCTATCTATCTATCAATCATCTATCATTCTCTCTCTCTCTGTCTCTCTCTCTCCATCTCCATCCATCCATCCTATTGGTTCTACCTCTCTGGAAACCCCTGACTAATCCACCCTTCCCTTTATACCTTCATCATCCTATAACCCAGTTGTCACACATGCTTCTAATTTGGAAATAGTCAAGGGCACACGTGCTAATATAGGCAGAGCATGGTTTAGATTAAACCTCTCTCTGCAGGTTCAAACTGCCTCCCACATGAAAGGTTCAGTGAGACCCTCTGGGGCTCCCTATCTTGTATTTGTCAATAATTTTCCAATAGCTGAGCATACATTGCTTAATGAAGTAACCGTCAGAAAAATGAAGCAGAAAACTAAATTACTGAATGGCTAGTTAAGTAAGAAAGCAAGCAGATGCAAGCTATGTAGTGATCTTTTCAGGGTGAATGTCCATATTATTGAGAGAGGAAAACAACCTTGTCAACAAACAAGTCAAACTGAAACATCAGTGATAGCATTCCAAAATGTGGGAATGACCCCAGCCATATTTTTAAAAGCTCCTCAGGTAATTCTGATGTGCTCTAGGTTGAGAACCACTGGTTAGACAAGCAATGTGTTTTGAATTCTAATTGCAGAATAAATGAAAACCATTTGGTTAGTCTTCATATCCACCAAGAAATAAACTAATGCTATTTAAAACAAAGGGGGCCAGGCACAGTGGCTCATGTCTAATCCCAGCTCTCTGGGAGGCGGAGGTAGGAGGATTGCTTGAGCCCAGGAGTACGAGACCAGCCTGGGCAACATGGTGGGACCCCACCTCTACAAAAAAATTCAAAAGTTGGCCAGACATGGTGTCATGCATCTGTGGTCCCAGCTACTCAGGGAGCTGAGGCAGGAGGATCACTTGAGCCCCAAAGACTGAGAGTGTGGTAACTCATGATGGCCTGGGTGACAGGCCAAAATAAATAAATAAAATATAAATCTGTAAATCCAAATGAAAGAGAGAATATATTTGCAAATGTGACCAATTGTAAATATTAATAGAAACTTTTTTTGCAGTGATTTTTAGAGGATTGACTTTATAAAGCATTTGTTAAGGGAGGGGGAATGATGGGCATGACAGTTTCTACTTCTTCATCTAAGTCAATTAATTATGGAACATGCTTTATTTTAGTAAGCTTGCTGCACAAATGTTCTCAAATTAGATTACTCACAAAAATTATATTTATTTACAAAAATGGCAGGCCCCTTCTGACTAATCCATAATATCTACTCTATGGAATTTGGAACATCTGTAGAGTTGAATGCATCATGATCAGAGCTAAGCAGTCAATATATTTCTAATGAGCACTCATTTCTCTGTTGAAGGTTTTTGGTGGGTGATTTTAGAGAAGATCTCAGAGACTGGCAATGTAAAAAACAGATAAACAGAACAAGAGACAATTATGTAACTGTTGTTCATTTCTAGTTATAACGTAGAGGCACAGAAGCAATGGTTCTCTAAAGACGCAGGTGAATAAAAAATTGTTGGGATTCATTAATCTGGCATTACATTTATCTCGTTAATTATATTCTGTTTGTAGAGACAAAAAGTAATTGCATTCTCTGAGTACTTTTTAAATGTGTTTTTGGATACAGCATAAGAATTTGGTGGAAGCTATTCCAAATGTTAGATTCACTTCTATGGAAAAAAAGAATCAAGTGATTTGTTTAAAGTCCCCAATTTCATTGCCAGATAATCTTGCAGCACAGTGGTTTCTATGCAATTAAGAACAAAGTTATATAACTGGATACTTAGATACTTGCACATAACAAGTTTATACCTCTATACTTGATACATATGTTTAAAGGATGGGATTATCCTATACTTGGAATTTGTTTATTTCATTAAGAATATACCACAGATATTTATACAGATTAACACTTTGAAATCTTATTCTTTGTGGGTCCATCTTGAGATGAAAGAAAAAGTAAGCACACGAATCAAAACATTTTCAGAAAAGATACTTGGAAAATCACCTTAGGTTTTTGACAGTTAACTATATTGGACACAAAATAACATGTACATTTTCAGTTGAATAAAGAAGAAAAATAATTCACCTCTTTGGAGAGATATTTGAATTACAAAGGAGTGACTTTTTTGACGATCAGTTCGCAGTTTCAACAAACAAACTTAGAAAGAAAATATTGTAAGATCTCACAGAGGAGAGGCTGTGCTTTGTGCATAGCTTTTACTCTTCAGTTCCAGTCCTGCAGCAGATGATTAATAAGTGAAGATACTTTATTTTTATTTTTTTGAGTTAGAGTCTCTCTCTGTCACCCAGGCTGGAGTGCAGTGGCACGATCTTGGCTCACTGCAACATCTGCCTCCTGGGTTCAAGCAATTCTCCTGCTTCAGCCTCCTGAGTAGCTGGGACTACAGGCATGCACCACCACGCCTGCCTAATTTTTGTATTTTTAGTAGAGACGGGTTTCACCATGTTGGCCAGGTTAGTCTCAAACTCCTGACCTTAAGTGATCTGCCTGCCTGGGCCTCTCAAAGTGCTGGAATTACAGGTGTGAGCCACCATGCCTGGCCAATAAGTGAAGATACTTTAATAATAAACATGAGTGGAGAGGTGATAGGCTGTAAAGCACAGACAGCGCTACTTAAACCACTAAATTCAGGTGTAGGGCAGAACTCAGAAAAGCTTGCTTCAATAACTCAGCTGTCCCCTCACATTGCCTTTTATAGCATCAGCGTCATCATAGCCACAGGCAGTTGCTGACAGCAACCAGGCCTTCCTCATCTGCATCTTGATAGGAGAGTTGACTGGCCTGTTTCCCAGGAGCCCCATCCCGTAAATGTCTTTCTGCCATGCATGGCAGAAGAGATGGGATTACCAGAGTTGGTGCATAATGGTATCCTGGGATAGAACATAGTCAGGCAGCCAAGAATAGGGAGCCACTACATATCTCCAGGCCGATGTTTATCTCTCTTGCTTTTAGAAAACATAACATGCTGTAATTTAATCTCACGAGGTTTATTCTGTCTCCATTAGCAGTGGGGGCAAGGTAACAAGATTTGGTATAGAGAAGACTGAGATACAAACAATGTAAAGAGATTTTCCCAAAGTAATTGCTAGTCAATGGTGGGCCCAAAAGAGAACTACAGGCTATAGCCCAGATATCTTAACATCTGGTCCAAGGACTCATTTCCCTCCCCACCCCACCCCCATTTTTTTTTTTTTTTTTTTTTTTTGACAGGGTCTCACTCTGTCACCCAGGCTGGAGTGCAGTGGTGTGATCATAACTTGCTGCAACTTTGATCTCCTGGGCTCATGTGATCCTCCCACCTCAGCCTCCCTAGTAGCTGGGACTACAGGTATGCACCACCATGCCTGGCTAATTTTTGTATTTTTTGTAGAGACAGGGTCTTGCCAAGACTGGTCTTGAACTCCTAAGCTCAAGAGATCTGCCTGCCTTAGCCTCCCAAAGTGTTGGGATTACAGGCGTGAGCCATCATCGCCAGCTCCAAGGACTCATTCCTGTTGGATTTTATATTGATGGCAGTAATGACAGATAAGTTTAGTGCCTGTTTTTACCCCAGCAGTGCTTGCAATGAGGGTTCTTGGAGATGGCTGATTAGTTGAACTGAGAGTATTCTTAAAGACAATAGCCATTGGAATCTAAACTCTGTAGGAAGCAGAGTGGACTGAAGACCCCAAAGAAGGCAACTTTATTGATAAGAGTTATGGGGAATTCAAAGTTTTAAAAATGTGTTCTCTTCCCAGTGCTTTTTTACTGCATTCACTACACACAATTTATTGCTTAAAAAAGGAAGTGCTTCAATAAGTGGAAATGTTCATTCAGAAATAATAATGTAGGAGAATATGAAAAATAGTAATAAAATTTATACAGCAGACAATAATAGATATTGATATAGATTATCTTATTTAGTCCTCTAAATAACACTCTGGTGAAGACAGAACTTGGAATCTTTTTACATATCACCTTTCTCTACATATCTATCTGCCTAACCATCCATCCATCCATCCATTCATCCATCCATCCATCCATCCATCCATCTATCCATCCTTATATCTATCCATCCTTTTTTGTTTCTACCTTTTCTGCCTATCCATTTATCTATCCATTTATCTATCTATCTATCTATCTATCTATCTACATACTAATGTTAAGGAAGGCAAAAAACTTTTCTTGTATCTCGTTGGTTCTGTGACTGGGGCCTGTGATCTAAATAGACAAAATATAGATTTAAAAAGGCATATGTTTCTTTATTAATGTTAATTTTTCTATGTGCATGAGACCCCCACAGAAAAGAGGTCAAAAACTGAAAGAGGCAGTTAGACCCCAGGGCTTATCTACCACTTTCACAAGAGGTGATGAATTGTGAAGAAATGACAAGACAAAAAAAAAAAAAAAAAAGAGGTGGGGAGGGGATTTGGGCTTCTTGGGACAATAAATTGTGGGAAGGTGATTAGGAAATATATGGTAGTTAAGAATCGTTTAGTAAGGTTTATTACACCTTACTAAACCACTTATGGGAAAGGGGAACCCTTTACAAATAGAAATTTACATCAACTTTAAAAAGTGAAATTTATGTCATGATTTTAAGAGGGAGAGCAGAGATTTCTTTCCCTATCTGTTGCTTGTCAGGTACATTCAGCTAAAAAATAATCCTTATGCCAAAATGGCACATTTGGGGTAGCATATTCTAATCCCCTTCACTATCTATCTATCTATCTATCTATCTATCTATCTATCATCTATCTATCTGTATAATCTATTACTTATCATTTATATCAGTCATCTATATCTATCATCTATTATCTATGTATCATCTATTAGCTATCTATCACCTATATCTCTCTATCAATATCTATCTCTATCTACTTATCATCTGTTTCTATCAATCATTTATCTCTATCATCTATCAATCATGTATCTCTATCTCTCTATCACCTATCTCTATCATTCATCTATCATCTAACATCTCTATCTATCAATCATGTATCTATCTCTCCATCCTATCATCTATCTATCTATCTATCTATCTATCTATCTATCTATCTAATACCAAAACTTCAGCTCTCCACAATATACTTTCACATCCATATATGTAAAAATATTTTCAGGCCGGGCGCGGTGGCTCACGCCTGTAATCCCAGCACTTTGGGAGGCCGAGGCGGGCGGATCACGAGGTCAGGAGATGGAGACCATCCTGGCTAACACGGTGAAACTCCGTCTCACTAAAAATACAAAAAACTGTACGGTGGCGGGCGCCTGTAGTCCCAGCTACTCGGGAGGCTGAGGCAGGAGAATGGCGTAAACACAGGAGGCGGAACTTGCAGTGAGCCGAGATCGCGCCACTGCACTCCAGCCTGGGCGACAGAGCGAGACTCCGTCTCGAAAAAAAAAAGAAAAGAAAAAAAGAAAAAAATTTTCAGAATGTTTGCAACATGATTCTCAATAAATACAGTGAGGCTTATTATCATGAGTGTCTGCAGAGTCAAGAACTTACCCAATAGCAAATAGAGTTAAAAAACATAAAAGCAAACAAAACCCCCAATTTTTATTCTCTAACTTCCAGTGCAATGTGTTTGTATTATACCTGTATCTTGAATTTTTAGAGTGGAAAAAAGTGCTTTCTCAGGCTTAACTGAACTTCAAAGAAATAATCCATTTAGACTTTGTATCTTTAATTTGTTTCCAGGCCAAAATCTCCCCTCTCCAAAGGGGAAAAGAACAGAGATACAGAGAAAAAGAAAGAGGTGCACACTTTTTACATATATAAAACATAATTTGTTCTGTAACTGTGTAGACCAAGGAAATGACAGAATTTGCAAACCATTTCTAACCAGCTTAGAAGTAGCATAGAACTCAAAGAAGATCTGAGTGCTGGTATGTTAATCCTCCTGAATCCTGGAAGCCTCCTTATTCAAGGTTGCCTCCACTTGCTCTCTGTACCTTCGGCTGAGTTTGTTTTTGGTGGATTATGTAAGTCAAGAGGGTGCAGGGGCTCATTGTTATTTCTCCCAACTGAAGCTATCCTTTTTGGTGCAGAAGAAATAAGTTGTAGATAATCCTGAACAGGGGAACATGCTTATGCTGATTCCATAAAGGGAATCTTTGCAGTCTTTCTCCATCAGTCCCACGATTCAGTCCAAGGGAACACAGGTTAAATGATAACTCCATATTTTACATCTACAACCTAAAACTACTCTGATAATACTTCTTTTATAGTGTGCATGACTCACTGATATCCTGAAACAAAAATAATCATCACTCTTCAATGGGAAAACTGCATTTGTTTTTTTGGTCTGGAGGGAAATTTCTAGATAAATTTGTATTCCTGGTTTTGAATAAACAAGTTAGTCAGCTTCATCACTGTCAATCATGTTTTTTTAATCATAATAGATTTATAGATGGGGGATTTTTTTTTTTTTTTTTTTTTTTTTTTTTTTTTTGTAGAGATGGGGTCTCAGGCTGGTCTTAAACTCCTGGGCTCAGGCGATCCTCCTGCCTCAGCTTCTCAAAGTGCTGGGATTACAGGTTTGAGCCACTAGGCCTGGCCTGGTTGGAGAAAAATTTTGTTTTGGGATAAAATGGCAAAATGATGTCAAATAATAATGATGATAATGATTATCTTGTTTTGTTCTTGATTTTTTAGCCCTTTAATTACCTAAGAGATTTTGAAACAAAACATAAGTAGATTTTTGTCCTTTATTCTTAAAATAGATAGTTAATAACTTCAATGAGATAATTAGCTTTCATGCATTTGAGAAACGTTTTTATTTTATATAAGAAGTTTATTTTATATGTTTTCCTCACATTTCACATTTTTTGTGTCTAAATATATTAAAATTTACATGCTATGAAATGCACAAATCTTAAGTGTACAATTTGATGCATTTTGATAAATGCTTACTCTCATGTAACCAGCATTTTAAATAAAATGTAGAACATTTCCATGACCATAAGAAAGTTCCCTTATGGATACTTCCAGTGTATCTCCACCACCCAATATAGGCATCAAGTTTTCTCATTTTCATCACCATAGATTAGACTCTTTTCCTTGAAGTTCATATGCACCCAGTAGGACCATATTTCACCTTCTATATTGTTCCATACATCAGTGGTTTGCTCATTTTCAGTGCTGAGTAATATTCCATTGTATGAGTATACCACCATTCTTCTGTTGATGGCCTCTGCATTATTTACAGTCTTTGGTTATTAGAAATAAAGTTTTTATGAATATTCTTGCTGAAGTATTTTTGTGGACATAAAAATATTATTTATCTTGGGTCAATACTAAGCATGGAAGTATAGACTATAGGGTCAGTATGTGTGGTTTTATAAGAAAATGCTGGTTTCCATCAGCAATATGGGAAAGTACCAATTTATGCAACTACCATTTTTTAAAATTTCAATTCTTGCAGTTGGTGGGAAGTGATGTTTTCATGGTTTTAATTTGTATACTCTGATGACTAATCATGTTGAGCATCTTTTTTTGTATTTATTGGCCATTTCTCTATTTTCTTTACTAAAATTTTCTCATTTTTCAGTGGATTGCTTTTCTTTTTATTATTGATATTTTAGTTTCTTAAATCTTCTACATTGAAATCTTTTATCATAGATATGTATTGCAGCTATTTTCCTCTCAGTCTTTGGCTTATTTTTATAACTTTTTATAATAAACTGTTTATAACTGTTTACTAACAGTAAGCTTTGATAAGTAAACAATTTACCTTTGACAAAGTCTAATATGTCTTTTTTTCTTTTATGTTTAATTCTTTCTGTATTTCTAAGAAATGTCTGCTTTGGGGTAGCAATTTTATTGTCTGACTATATAGAATTTAGATGAACAATTTATAATTAAAGGTTCAAGGAAGATGCTATATTCTAGATAAGAAAATTATAGAATAAGAAAGTTTGCCCATTTGAAAACATGTGGAATCAAACAATATAGCATCAAACCCTGTCAAGTATGACTGACAAAGCTTCAGGAAAAATTTTGTCTATAAGTAATTTAAGTTTGGAAATTGAAGAGATCAAACTGTCAAATAATAATAAATAAAGAAGTTCAACTATGCAATGGGTTCGCCTTGCCCACTGCCTAGACAGAGCCGATCTATCAAGACAGTGGAAATGCAATGGAGAAAGAGTAATTCACGCAGAGCTGGCTATGTGGGAGACCGGAGTTCTATTATTACTCAAATCAGTCTCCCTGAGCATTCGGGGAGCAGAGCACTGATCTTAGGTTTTACAACAGTGATGTTATTCCCAGGAGCAATTTGGGGAGGTTCAGACTCTTAGAGCCAGAGGCTGCATGATCCCTAAACTGTAATTTCTAATCTCACAGCTAATTTGTTAGTTCTACAAAGGTAGACTGGTCCCCAGACAAGAAGGGGGTCTTTTTGGGAAAGGGCTATTGTCAATTTTGTTTCAGAATCAAACCATGAACTGAATTCCTTCCCAAAGTTAGTTTGGCGTATGCCCAGGAATAAACAAGGGCAGCTTACAGGTTAGAAGCAAGATGGAGTCGGTTAGGTGTGATTTCTTTTAGTGTCAAAATTTCCTCAGTTATAATTTTGCAAAGGTGGTTTCAGAAGTAGAGATGTTACATTTTGAACAATGCGATTAATAAGGATGCGTCATGAGATATACACTGAATTTTCCATCCACAATCTTTTTAAGATATTACATTTTAGAAAAATTAACGATGTCCTAGGCATGCAAGAAGTGTCAACATTTTCTAAAGAATCAGAATTGTACAACCTATGTTCTCTAGTCTTAAAGAAAAATGTAAAGTAATATAAAAAATGAGTTTAAATGTAATAAATTCAGCCAGGCAACTGCTTTGTTCTTGCCATCTCAGGCTCAAATTACCAAGGTGATTTTTTGCATGCTAAATTGAGCACTTGTGTTAGTTTCTTCTAATACTTATCCAAACAGGAAACGCTGGGTAAGCATGAAATGAGTTGGTTGAACACTTCAGGGCAAATCTGACAGAAGAACATGTTCAGGGAAAACTGCAAAGCATGTTTCAATGCACCAAGAGAAACAAAACAAAACAATGTAGCGTTTTCACTGAAGGGCTTTGGGTTCGTGATGCAGGAAAATGTCGGGCCTATGTTAACCAAGGTTTGGATTAAATGACAGTTATTTTCAGTATTTATATATGTGTTCAGAGCAAAAGTTTTAACTTTCCTTTTAAAAAGATAGTGCTTTTGTTCTCTAAAAATATAGCATTATTATGTACTACTTAGACATTGTGAATTTGATTAAGTATATTTTTCTCCACTTCGGCCTGTTTGAATTTTAAAAATCTTTGTTTTCAGCACTTCTGAGCCATTGCGCTAATAAGACTTTACCCACTAAGCATCTATTTGCAATCATTTATTGCCACTCCTAAGTCCATCTACAGCCCTGAAAACTGAAGAGAGAACTTATGCTTTCCATGTAGACAAACGAAAATCCCTCCAAAGATTAAATAAAAGAGAAATTACATTTAAATCACAGAAGGAGCGTGGACAGGGTTCTTCATTTAACCAGCAGAGAAAAAGACAATCATTTCCATTCCTGGTCTCTACTGGCATTTCCCTTTATTTTAAATGTTAACGGTGTCACTCACATTTATCTCCTTTTGCATCTCCTCAAAGCAGTTTCCTGTACTTTCACAGACAAACATGGCAGGCCGGAGTGTAGTTAACAATGCCAGGATTTCTGGAAAAAATTCCTAGGTCTTTTGATCTGTCAATTCAGTGAAGAGATTGAGCTCCCGCAATGTGGTCAAAGGCAGGACTCCACTTGAAAGGGGCAAAAGCTACTGAAAAAAAAAAAAAAAGAAGAAAGAAAAGAATAAAAAGAAAAGTTTCATACACATTAAAATGTTCTTATTATATATAAATTATACTGGAAAATACATTAAATGTGAATTCAGCTCTTCAGTTTCTTCCAGATGATAATCTTAGTGTTAGTGTTCATAGACAGGATTTTCTCTTTTTGTTTCTAATCCAAATAACAGTTGTTTCGGGTTAAAAGGCTTTTCTGCAGGTTTTGGTGTGTTCATTGCACACAATAGCTGCAAAACTGCTGGCTGTGCCTTAGAGGGGTGACATTATTGTGCATTTACTGAGCATGCAAGGAGTACAGAATATATTTTAGGGGCTGGGATCAATACTGGAGGGGCAACAATGAACATCCCACGGCCCCAACTCTGTGTAACTCTGAATCTTGTGGGAAAACCGCTGAAAGGGTTCCAGAGAAATAGTGCACGTGCGCCCACAAACACACACACACACACACTGTGCGATCACAGAACGGAAAAATATAGCTCTTGAAAATTAATTAAATAACTGGACATAGAGTAACATCCAGGGATCATGGTTCTCATAATCAATACGAGTTCTGATAAGAATGTCTTACGTGTGTGAAATATATATATATACATACATGTCTATACACACACATATACGTATATATATAATATAAAATATCTATTTAGATACAAATACATATTTATATTATATATATTTATATATTGTATGCATATTGTAGATTAAAATTGAATACCTGATATGTGTGATCTGGTATTCAATTGTCTTTCCTACATATGAGCTGTGTAATTTTAGGCAATTTGTTTAACCTTTGTAATTCTCCTTTTGTGCCTAGAAAATGGAGATAGCAAATGTACTAGGGTCTTCATGTGTTACCCGAAATTCACTTGTTAAAAACAATTGTGAACAATTGTGGTTTACATCAAAATTAAGCCCCCTCTCCCCAACCATGGCATGAACTTCCTCCTCTGGGCCAGAGCACTCCAAAATTTAACCTGAAAGACTGGTTCCAGTTAAATGACCGGAAGTGGGGGGTCGGACATACCTCATTATGCCTTCCTCCCTTGTGGAATTCAGGAACAGCCGACCAGCATTTAACATCAAGAGACCTTAAGTCCGACAAGAAACATTTACCGTCTATTCTCTCTGAAGCCTGCTACCTGGAGGCTTCATCTGCATAATGAAACTTTGTTCTCCACAATCTGTTATCCTAACCCAGACATTCCTTCCTTTCTATTCATAATAAAACTTTTAAATCTACCTATAACCTGGAAGGCCTCCACCCCTCCCATCCCCCACCCCTACAACTTTGAGTTGTCTCACCTTTCTGGACCAAAGGAATGTATATCTTAAATGTACTTGATTGATATCTCATGTCTCCCTGAAACGTAAAACGAAGATGTGCCCCGACAGTCTTGGTCACATGTTCTCAGGTCCTCCTGAAGGCTGTGTCACAGGCCATGTCACTCGTATTTGGCTCAGAGTAAATCTCTTCAAATATTTTACAGAGTTTGACTCTCTTCATAAACAGTTTAAATTCCTATGTCATAAAAATAAATCTAAAATGTACTCTTTGTTTTATGTCTATATACATGTAAATATAAATATACAGTCATGCAACATATAATATTTCAGTCAACAATAGACTGTATAGATGATCGTGGCCCCATAAGGTTATAATATCATGTTTTCACTATACTTTTTCTGGGTTTAGATATGTTTAGATACATAAATACCATTGTGTTACAATTGCCTACAATATTCAGTACAGTAATATGCTGTGAAGGTTTGCAGTCTAGGAGCAGTAGGCTGTACCATACAGTCTAGGTGTGTAGTAACTACACCTTCTGGGTTTATGTAAGGACATTGTGATGTGCACAATGATGAAATCTAATGACCCATTTCTCAGAATGTAGTCCCATTGTTAAGCAATGCATTGCTATATATACATATATAGTTACTGTATGCATATATATTTACTTACACAGTATATATTTATACCATATATAGTAACTGTATATATGTATATATGTACTCATTTTTATATATACTTATATTTATATATATTTATATGTACTACAAAGAGCATGCTTTAGATACACTTTTATGACACTGTATGGATTAAAAAATAAGTTTTAATTTATATCACAAGTTGTAATATATATCACAAGTTTTAATATATAATATATTTTATATATTAATATATAAAATTATAATATAAAAATATATAAATACAATATTTAATATAAAAATTATAGCAGTATTATTTTATATTTCATAAAATATATTAGCTTATATACTTACAAAAACTTCCCCTAGCATATATTGCTTTGTCATCTATATATATTGCAATGTAGGGTATGTTACGTGTACTTTTATAACATCACATAGATTAAAACAACTATTAATCATGCTGATTTTTCCATAAATATATAGTATTCCTGAAGTTTATAAATTTCTGAAGTGGTTTTGACATATAACCTTTGAAGCAGTACCAGTCTCCCATGGCAATTCCAAATAGCATAGCCAGTCTTTAACAACATCAATTCTGATTCTCCTATTCAAGACGTAGCTTGTTTTTTGAAGACCCAAATCAGAGATATTTTAAAGAAATATTGCCTGTTGAAGAATAAAAAATAAAACTGATTGGTATGCAATTATGTGTTGGGGAATAAAATATTATGCAAGGTTTGCAAAGGAACGCATTTTTTAAGAAACGCTACTGCTGCATTTTTAAAAAGCCATGAAACTATAAGTGATACAAAATGTATAAAATTCGATATTCATTTCTGGTAAACAACCTGCTGCCGTATATTTTATTGCACATCTACAAAGCGAACTTTTCATGTTTTGATTTAGCAGTTGCTGTGGGAGATATTTCCTTTGCTCTGTGCTTGAGAGGTTAGAGGCTTAATATGTAGAGAAGAGGCCATGCAATGTAGAGTAAGACAGATCTGGCATTCAATTGTCTTTCCTACATGTCAGCTGTGTAATCTTAGGCAATTTATTTAACCTTGTAATTCTCTTTTTGTACCTAGTAAATGGAGGTAGCAAATGTACGAGGGTCTTCATGTGTCCCTCCAAATTCACATGTTGAAATTTAATTGGTCATGTGATAGTATTAAGGGGTGGAGCCTTAGGTGATGAGGGTGGAGTGTCACGGATGGGACCATGACCCTTATAAAATGGCTTGAGGGAGTGAGTGTATTCTGTCTTGCTATGAGAGTGAGAGGTGACAGCGTGCTGGTAGTCCTCAGAGCCCTCACTTGCTCTCGGCGCCTCCTCTGCCTGGGTTCCCACTTTGGCAGCACTTGAGGAGCCCTTCGGCCCGCCGCTGCACTGTGGGAGCCCTTTTCTGGGCTGGCCAAGGCTGGAGCCCACTCCCTCAGCTTGCAGGGAGGTGTGGAGGGAGAGGCGCGAGCGGGAACCAGGGCTGCGCGCAGCGCTTGCGGGTCAGCTGGAGTTCCGGGTGGGCGTGGGCTTGGCTGGCCCCGCACTTGGAGCGGCCGGCCGGCCCTGCCGGCCCCGGGCAGTGAGGGGCTTAGCGCCCGGGCCAGCGGCTGTGGAGGGTGTACTGGGTCCCCCAGCAGTGCCAGCCCACTGGTGCTGCACTCGATTTCTCACCGGGCCTTAGCTGCCTTCCCACGGGGCAGGGCTCGGGACTGCAGCCCGCCATGCCTGAGCCTTCCCCCGCCTCCGTGGGTTCCTGTGCAGCCCGAGCCTTCCCGATGAGCGCCACGCCCTGCTCCACGGCGCCCAGTCCCATCGACTGCCCAAGGGCTGAGGAGTGCCAGCGCATGGCGCGGGACTGGCAGGCAGCTCCACCTGCAGCCCCGGTGCGGGATCCACTGGGTGAAGCCAGCTGGGCTCCTGAGTCTGGTGGGGACATGGAGAGTCTTTATATGTAGCTCAGGGATTGTAAATACACCAATCAGCACCCTGTATCTAGCTCAGGGTTTGTGAGTGCACCAATCGACACTCTGTATCTAGCTGCTCTGGTGGGGCCTTGGAGAACCTTTATGTCTAGCTCAGGGATTGTAAACACACCAGTCAGCACCCTGTGTTTAGCTCAAGGTTTGTGAGTGCACCAATCGACACTCTGTATCTAGCTGCTCTGGTGGGGCCTTGGAGAACCTGTGTGTCGAAACTCTGTATCTAACTAATCTGATGGGGACGCGGAGAACCTTTGTATCTAGCTCATGGATTGTAAACGCACCAATCAGCGCCCTGTCAAAACAGGCCACTGGGCTCTACCAATCAGCAGGATGTGGGTGGGGCCAGATAAGAGAATAAAAGCAGGCTGCTGGAGCCAGCAGTGGCAACCGGCTTGGGTCCCCTTCCACACCATGGAAGCGTTGTTCTTTCGCTCTTTGCAATAAATCTTGCTGCTGCTCACTCTTTGGGTCCACACTGCTTTTATGAGCTGTAACACTCACCGTGAAAGTCTGCAGCTTCACTCCTGAAGCCAGCGAGACCATGAGCCCACAGGGAAGAACGAACAACTCCAGCCGTGCCGCCTTAAGAGCTGTAACACTCACCGCAAAGGTCTGCAGCTTCACTCCTGAGCCAGCGAGACCACGAACCCACCAGAAGGAAGAAACTCCTAACACATCCGAACATCAGAAGGAACAGATTCCAGACGCGCCACCTTAAGAGCTGTAACACTCACCGCGAGGGTCCCGGCTTCATTCTTGAAGTCAGTGAGACCAAGAACCCACCAATTCCGGACACAAGAGGGTGCAGCAAGAAGGCTCTCAGTAGACACCACATGCAGGTGCCTTGACCTTGGACTGCGCAGCTTCCAGAACTGTAAGAAATAAGTTTCTGTTTTTATACATTACCCAGCCTAAGATATTTTGTTATAGCAGCAACAACAGACTAAGACACTATGCCTACATAGCTGGCCAATGGATAAATGAATACATTTATATACAATTGACCCATGAACAATGCAATTGTTAGGGGTGCTGACCTTCTGCACAGTTCAAAATCTGCATATAACTTCTGACTTCCCCCAAAAACTTAACTACTTACAGCCTCCTGTTGGCCAGCCTTCCTGATAACATGAACACATACTTATGTGTTTATGTATAACACATACATATGTGTTAACTGACTGTTTATCATGTATGTTTATAACTAAACTGTTGGTTAACACATACATAAGTTAACACATATGTATGTATTAACCAACTGTTTATGTTATACACACACGTATGTGTTAGCCAACTGTTTATCATATGTACATGTTATACATATGTGTTAACAAATGTGTGTGATTTATGCATTCGTGACATGAATATATTTTGTGAATTAATGACATGCCTTTTTCCTATTTTTTTCAATATTTCTAGGCCATGCAGTTTATCTGTGAGTTTTTAAAAATTGTCACAATCTCAATAAAAAAAAATTCCAACATATTTATTAAAAAAAAAATTTTGTATAAGCAGACCCATGTAGCTCAAACCTAGATTGTTCTAGGGTCATCTGTGTACATCTATATGATATATGGCTCCATGCCTGGCACAAATGATGTGTTATTTAATAAGTTCTCTGATGTAAGGTAGAGTGTTCCTTTTCTATTAGTGTACTTTAGGAATGGTGAAGGCAAACCACAGAGGCCAGATAAATAAAGGACGAAAATGACATACGGTTTGGCTCTGTGTCCCCACCCAAATCTCATGTTGAATTGTAATCCCCAGTGTTGGGGGAGGGACCTGCTGGGAGGTGATTGGATCATGGGTGTGGATTTCTGCCTTGCTGTTCTCATAATAGTGAGTGAGTTCTCAGGAGGTCTGGTTGTTTAAAATTGTGTCACACTGACTCCCTTCGCTCTCTCCCCTCCTGTGCCATGGTGAGACGTGCTTGCTTTTCCTTTGCCTCTGCCATTATTGTAAGTTTCCTGAGGCCTACCAGTTATGCTTCCTGCTCAGCCTGCAGAACTGTGAGTCAATTAAACTCTTTTGTTCAAAATTACCCTGTCTCAGGTAAGTTCTTTTTATCAGTATAAGAATGAAGTAATACAATGACCAACTAGGAAAAGACCATGGCTCTTCATATGGGGCATCAGCTCTTCCTGAGTGGAGCAAGGATTACCAGGCAGGAATGCAGCTTTTATATTGCTTGTTCTCTGCATTTTTCAAGAACAGTCCCAAAACTTCAGATTTTATGTAAATATCCAAATTTTCAAATGTTGGCAACTGATTTGATTAAAGAAGAAAGTACGTGTAGCACAAGCACATTTGAAAATAATATGAAAATAATAGAAACATCAGCACTTTATTGAAGAAGAACCGGCCCATAAGCTCATTTTTGAACTGTTTTCTTCATCCACCATGTAGATGAATGGTTCTCACCTGGGGGCCAAACCTGAACTGTTGTAGTAAAGAAGGCTGCCAAAACCCACCAAAACCAAGATGGTGACAAAAGTGACCTCTGATCATCCCCACTGCTCATTATATGCTAATTATAATGGATTAGCATGTTAAATGACACCCCCACCAGCGCCACGACAGTTTGCGGATGCCACGGCAACAGCAGGAAGTTACCCTATATGGTTTAAATAGGGGAGGAACCTCCAATTCCAGGAATTGCCCACACCTTTCCTGGAAAACTCATGAATAATCCAAACCTTGTTCAGCATATAATCAAGAAATAACTATAAGTATACTCAGTCCAGCAGCTCAAGCCACTGCTCTGCCTATGGAGTATCCATTCTTTATTCCTTTACTTTCTTAAAAACTTGTTTTCACTTTATGGACTCACCCCAAATTCTTTCTTACATGAGGTCCAAGAACCCTCTCTTGGGGTCTGGATCCGGACCCCTTTCCAGTAGCAGAACAACCACTTGCTTTTTCATGCCTCTGAACTAAGAATAACTTTCACAGTTTTAAATGATTAGGGAAAATTACAAAGAAGAAGAATAATTCACAACACATGGAAATTATATGAAATTCAGATTTCATGCCCGTGAATAAAGGTTTATTGGAATGCAATCACTCATTCACTTTGTATTATCTGTGACTGCTCTCGTGCTACAAGAGCACGGTTGAATAACTGTGATAGAGACTATATGAACTGCAAAATGAGAAATATTTATTATCTGGGTTTTTACAGAAAAAGCTTGTGGACTCCCATTCTCACTGATTCTGATGCATGTTTAAGCTTGAGAACCATTGTTTTAAATCATGCCTTCTCTCCCATCATTGCAATATAATGTCATGGCTGTGTTGAAATGGAAAAGGGAAGAAGAAAAATTGTTTTCAGTCTTCCTTGGTGTATTTGTCTGTTCTCACACTGCTGTGAAGAACTTCCGAGGCTGGGTAATTTATAAAGGAAAGAGGTTTCATCGACTCACAGTTCCCCTGAGCTGGGAGGCCTCAGGAAACTTATAATCATGGCGGAAAGGGAAGAAAACATGTCCTTTTCACTTGGTGGCAGGAAGGAGAAGTGCAGAGCGAAGTGGGGAAAAGTCCCTTGTAAAACCATCAGATCTCATGAGAACTCATTCACTATCACAAGAAGAGCATGGGGAAACTGCCCCCATGATCTAATCACCTCTCACAAGGTCCCTCCCTCAACACGTGGGGATTAAAATTCAGAATGCAATTCAAGATGAAATTTGGGTGGGAACACAGAGCCAGGTCATATCACTGGGTACCTGATTGTGAATCCATTAGAGGCAGACAAGTTAAAAGAGCTTCAGTTTTTGCCTAAGATGGACTGAGTTCAGATTCTTCAGCCCTTTCTTGGAAGTTTAGATATATCAAATTATTTTCCATTCAGATTCCCCTTCTGTAAAGACACAATAAATGATCCACACCATGCAGGATTATTTTGAAGGTTAAATGAATAAAACAGATTATACCTAAAGTCCGTAACACATTTCCTGGCATATAGTAGGTGTTTTAGAAACAAGGTCATCATTTCAGTTTTAAAAGATTATTTTCATTATCTGGAGACTCTAGGAGAGTGTGACATACCAGGAACTGACCTACTGGAACTGAGTCTAGACTTGAAAAAAATATTCATGGCAACATTATATATGTAGAAAAGCACTCAGACATGGAGGGAAATGCTGTATTTCCTTTTCAACTTCTAACATTACAGAAAACTCTTTTAACAGGACTCAAGGAAAATGAGCTTGTAGCGATACAGGTCTTAACTGATCGTTTTCCAGGTGTCTCCTATCATACAAGGCACCTGTTTCAAGTAAGCATTTAATTACTCTTTACTGAATGAACAACATGTCTATTTTTAATTATTTTTGTGTTGTATGATGCATTGTTTTATTAGGCTACTCTTACTTTGTCATATTCCACATCCTTCTCATTTTACCACTAGGAATTATTATCTTTTCCATCTCTCAGGACTAAACATGGTCCCTGAAAGAGACTACTTGATTGATTGAAGACGAAAATGTCTGACATCTTTCATTTATTTAATCCGCAAAACTCATTAAAAAACGTGTTATTCACCACTCCTCCCTGATGGCCATGGTTATGTGGCTCCCACAAGATAGCCTTATACAGTTTTTCATCAGAACACTGCAGGGCATTCTGCAGGCACCCAGCGATCTTCCTGGCCACAGCTGGAAGTTAACTCCTTAGAAATGGACTTTGCCTCATTCCTGTTAATCTTTTCTAAACTGTGAACACTTTTCTTCATGTCTGCCAATGCCTCCCTTCCTTGTTCTTTTCCCAAATGTATTTCCGTCTTTCTCTATTTCCAATGATAGTTCTTAAAAATAGTCATTGGGTTAAAAATTCCTGAAGTAAAAAATAGAACGGCACGACTAGAGTTTCCAGAGAGGGGACTTTGTAAATCAGAGAGATCACTCCATCACCAACTTGAGCAAGACATAATAGATTTCAAGTATTTCTATTTTCTCCTTTAGGTGAAATTGGGAAATTCCAACTTATTGCCTGGAAAATTGTCTCAGTATGCCAGCTCCCTTGAAAGCAATTTTGAATTGGGTGGATGCACAAAAACTCCCTGTCTTGTGAAATTTAAGTCTGCAAGATTATTTTACAGCAACATGTATTGATAAAAAAGGAATTTCTCCAGAGTGGGATACAGCAAATAAGATGGTGTTTGTATATTTCCTCACATTACTATTTTCTGTTTATTTAAAGCCTATTCTGTCATTTGAATTAATCTCTATCACCCCTGCTATTCCTCCTCTGCCAATATCCCTTTTAAAAAATTCACTGGTGAGGTTGAGAGTGAAATGCATTTTTGGCTTAATTTAAAAATTAGATAAAAGTCTCCAGGTGCAAATGCAAGCCCTAAATGGGAAATTCTTGGCAGGCGTATATAATTCATAAAGTCCAGCACCTGTAAATATAACACTAATGGACCTCACTCAACTTTCACATAAAGGGTAGATTTGAATATAGATGAAGAAAGAAAAAACATCTCATTTCATCTCTACATTCATTGTAACAGTCTCCACAAATCAATCTTTTAGCCTTGCTACAGATTTTATTATTTTCCAGAGCAAAAGTTGATCAATTTTTAATCTGGTCAAAAAATTATTCAAAAAACCAAAGGGTTTATTTTTTAACAGAACAATAAAAATATTTTTTGAAAGACTTTATGTATTAGTGAATGTAGCCCTGAAAAGTATGTGTAACCTTGAATTAATAATTTATGCTTTCTTTGCCGATGCTTATTCATTTTGTTCATATAAAAATATAATAGTTTACTCAGATTTTCTTCATTAAAGAATCATATTTTATTTAAATGAAGCATTTATGAAAATAATTGGGCTAAGAAAATGTAGTGTAATAGGGGTCCAAACTGAAAATTATCAGGAAGTTTACATAGAATCATGATTTATTTTTCATAAGAATCATATAAATTGGTGAAGACATACAGTTTAAAATAAATCCAACTAATTACTCCTATATTACCTCTATACCCCACTTTATAATGCCATTCTTATTTTATATATGACAATCTATGCTAGTGTGAAAAGTTGTGTGAGATTTTTGTTCCTCTGTGGAAGCAAAGTTATGAGCTATAGTCAGATGAGTTCTGAAGGCGATGAATTCTCACCTGTCAGTATTTAACAGTGAACAGTGCTTATTGAATTGTTGCTGTCTTCATTATTCTAATAGTTCTTACTCGTATTATTTCAACTGCTATAGAATGAATGATTTAATGTCTTTTACCCAGTAATATATTGCAAGATTTAGCAATTTGCCCATTATTGAAGTAGGCTGAAATTATCTTTTATTTTCTCCAACTTGACTTTTGGTCCGCTTTTCTTCCCTTAATAGGTACACAGTAAATTTTTGTTTCATAGTGTTTATATTCCTAACATCATATAAATAAGATGAATTTTATAGCTTAATTGTACTAAGTTATAAGTGACTGATACTGGTTCTGTTTGAAAAGTATTAGTGTATTTTATTAGAGGGAAAAGTCTTCAGAGAAAGGAATTAATTAAGCCAGGTGTGGTGGCTCACACCTGTAATCCCAGCATTTTGGGAGGCTGAAGTGGGAGGATCACTTGAGTCCAGATTTCAAGACCAGCCTGGACAAAATAGCGAGAACTTGCCTCCACAAAAAGAATACAAAAATTAGCTAGATGTGGTGGCACACGCCTGTAGTCCTAGTTACTTACTCTAGAGGTGGGAGGATTGCTTAAGCCCAGGACATCAAGGATGCAGTGACTTTACCCAGTCTCAGATATTTCTTTATAGCAACGCAAGAATGGTCTAATACAACACATGAAAATGGTACTGAAACTCATCAAGCGTTGGAGAAATTTGCATTAAAACCACAAGGGGGGAGACATCTACACCACCACCGAAATGGCTAAAATGAGAAAGACTGACATCATCAAGTGTTAGCAAAGAAACAGAAAAATCGGACTTCACGTACATTGCTGGGGGGTGGGAGTTACCAGAAAGGGAGCATATGCTTTGGAAAATTGGTTGGCTGTGTCTTTAAAAGCTGGCCATAGAAGAAGCTTGAAGAAGCTGACCATTTTTCAAAGATTCCACTCCTCAGTATATACCAGATAGAAATGTGTGTTTATGTGTGCCAAAAGATTGGTTCAAAATGTTCATAGCATCAGTGCTATGGTTTGGATCTGTGTCCCTGCTCAAATCCCATGTCAAATTGTAATCCTAATATTGGAGAAGGGGCCAGGTGGGAAGTGACTGGATTACGGGGGCAGACTTCTCATAAACGGTTTAGCACCATCCTCTTGGTGTTGTTCTCATGATAGTGAGTGAGTTCTTAGGAGATTTGACTGTTTAAAAGTGTGTAGCACCTCCTCTCTCTCTCTTTATTGTTACTCCAGCCATGTGACATGCCAGCTTCCCCTTCATCTTCTGCCAGCTTCCCCTTCACCTTCTGCCATGATTGTAAGTTTCCTGAGGCCTCCCCAGCAGCCGAGCAGATGCCGGCACCATGCGTCCTGTACAACCTGAAGAACTGTGAGCCAATTAAACCTCTTTTCTTTATAAATTACCAGTGTTTATAAATTATTTTTAATATTTCATTTTTCTTTACAAATTATCCAGTCTTTATAAATTACTTTTTAATATTTCCTCATAGCAATGCAAGAATGGCCTAATATAATCACTATACATAAAAGCCAAGAACAGGAAAAAAACCTAAAGATTTGTCAACAGTAGAATGAATAAATAAATTGAGGTGTCGTCATACAACAGAATAGTATATAGAGATAAAAATGAATGAACTACCCAGTCTATACAACAATGTGACTAGGTCTCATTCACATAATGTTAAGTGAAAGATGCTAGACAGAATAATAAATACTGTGTTATTCCATTATATAGAGTTTGAAAACAAACAAACCCAGGATGTAAGTATTTTGGCATGGGGAGTGGTAATTATTGGAAGGGACTATGGGGGTGTGCTTTGAGATGCATGCAGTGCTTCATTTTTTGACTTTGGTGGTGGTTCTGTGGGTGTGTTTACCTTGTGATCACTCACTTACCTGTGTAGGTATGCTGTGTGCACTTTTCTTCAATGTCACACATCAACAGAAACATAACTTTTTAATGCCACTTGATTAAACCAATCACCTGTCCCCATATACTTTATGGACCTAAGGGCTGATTTTTGCAGGAAATAAAATCTCACTTGCATTTCAAACCTAAGGTAAACCAGAAGTTTTACGAGTTTTCTAGGAAATTTATTTTCTCCCTCTCTTCCCCTTTCTGGCCTGAATGGAATATTCTTTTCCCTTTTAGCTTTAGGCAGCACTACAAAGGTACAACAATGCACTTTTTTTTTCCCCAGAAACTGCAGCTTTACACGTGGCCTGATTTTCAACCCATTCCTATTCATATGGAGAGTTCTGAAACTTGATGTGCCCAGTGATTTGAAACTAGGTGGGGCAAGAGGCTAAGGAGGATATAAATGCTATCTGTTTTCTCTCATCAGATTTCCATAATGGAGATGCTTGTTTGTTTATAATGTGGTACATTTTTTTGGATGGTTAGTTGAATAGAATCATTGACACTCACTAACTCTTTTCTTAGTCTGACCACTAAAGGGAAAAAGCAAATAAGAAAGGCTAGTATTTGTGTCTATTCACAGTGACTAATGCGATTATTTCCCTCTGAAGAGCCAATATAATGCTGACGTTGACATTTATCAGTAAATCGACTGAGTCAGTTCTCTGTAAGGCCGTGTTCTTCATACAGCAGAATAGTATATAGAGGTAAAAAATGAATAAACTACCCAGTTTATACAACAATGTGGCTACGTCTCAGAAACATAAGGTTAAGTAAAAGAAGACATTTAGAATAATAAATATTGTATTATTTCATTTATATAGAGTTTGAAACAGAGAAACCCAATCTATGGTATTAAAATGTAATTATTTTGGCTCTGGGTAGTGGTAATTATTGGAAGGGAATATGGAGGTGGGTTGACCTGGTTTGGCTGTGTCCCCACCCAAATCTCATCTTGAATTGTAGTTCCCATAATCCCCATATGTCGTGGGAGGGACCCAGTGGGAGGTAATTTAATCATGGGGGCGGTTATCGCCACACTTTCCTCATGATAGTGAATGAGTTTTCACAAAATCTTATGGTTTTATAAGGGGATTAACCCCCCTTCAAACTGCACTTCTCGTTGCTGCCGCCATGTGAAGAAGGATGTGCTTGCTTCCCTTTCTGCCATGATTGTAAGTTTCCTGAGGCCTCCTAAGCCCTGTAGAACTCTGAGTCCATTAAGCCTCTTTGCTTTATAGATTACCTGGTGTCGGATAAGTACTTATAGCATTGTGAGAATGAACAAATACATGAGTGCTTGGAGATGCATGCAGTGCTTAATTTTTGGACTTTGGTGGTTGTTCTTTGGGTGTGTTTGCCTGTGATCACTCACTTATCTGGACAGGTATGCGGTATTCGCTTTTCTGATGCACATAGCTAAAGTGAACATCACTAAATGGACTGAGCCAGTTCTCTCTATGGCCACATTCTGATCTCTCTCTTTTAGTTCATCAGACTAGTTCTTACTGAAATGGTTGTTCACACACACAAAAAAAACCCATGTCCCCCATTCTCTTTATCTCACCAGATAGAGCTTAGAATTAACCTTAATTTTCACAATGGATTAGAAACCATGTAGGAGAAAAGACTGAAAAATGGTCTTAAAAGATGAATTAGTTTTTTTTAAAAAAAAAAACAGGAAATCTACTACCTTCACCTTTCTATAACCTGAGTTCTATCCCTGCATTTCTGTTGATTTATTCAAACCTCCAAAGTGACATGTATAATGCCATTTTTCAATAAGAAGGTCAATGGTTAGCTTTATAACTTCCACCATTGTGGGGGAAATATTGTAGTCAATTTTGTAAAACATATTGAGAGACCACCTCAGAAAGGGCTATTTTGTTAGAAATAGCCAGCAAGGATTTAGGAGGCAGAGGTTTTTGTTAAAGCACCATTACAAGGGATGTTCAAAGATATTGTTGCCACTGGAGACAATGGCAGTTCACTGGATGCTTTATGACGAGATTTTCAAACAGCTTTGGATAATGTTTTACCGGTTAAGGTATTGTTAAATCAAAGTGCCAAGAATCACTTGATAAGGAAAAAAAAATTGGTCAACACCTTAAACCAGCAGAAGTCAGTCATCTGTAGGAAATGCCAGCTCTCTTCTGACTTAGGCTAGGAATGAAGGCATGGAACTTACACTAGGAGCAAGGCTACTGTGTATCTTTTGAAAAAGTTACATGTCCTTTGAGGCTTCATTTCTTTATCTGGAAAGTAGAAGTTATAACCATTACAGGCATGGAAAGTAATTGCTATACATTAGCCAAAATACCATCCTCAGCACCCCCATAGATTACTTCTGTCTAGCTGTTAGGGGGAGATGGAGGTTTCTCTTACGCCCATCACCATCCTGTCCACTCTACCATTGCTTCCTATATGTAGTGTCTATTTTTATTTTTAATTTTTTTTCGAGACAGGGTCTTGCTATGTCACCCAGACTAGAGTGCAGTGGTGTAATGACAGCTCATTGCACCTTTAACCTCCTGGGCTCAAGCAATCCTTCCGCCTCAGCTTCAGAAGTAGCTGGAACAGCAGGTACGCACCACTACTTCTGGCTAACGTCTCCTTTTTTTTTTTTTTTTTTTTTGTTTTTGTAGAGACAGAGTCTCACTATATTGCCCAGGATGTAAATATAATGTTTATGTTGTTTCTTCTAGCTCTGACTTGGATCATTCATAGCTTGTCTTGTTGCTAATCATTACCTAAACTGCCTGGTTCCTAGTACCCCTGGAGAAGATATTCTCCTTCCACATAAGCAACAGAAACAGGTGACTATGAGAGGTCAGTGCCAACCCTATAATTTGTACTCCTCACTGTCAAGGTCAAACTGGTGTTTGCAAATAATTATGATCGTGCATAGCAAGGCTATCTTTGTAAGCAGTTTACTTACCTGCCAGTCAGTAATCATTAACAGTATTTGTTGAATTGTTGCTATATGTGTGATTAAATTTGTTCTTACTAATAATTTGAGGTTGTTGCTTATGTTAGAGTTAAATACAGGGAACTATAAAAATAGGAGAATGTTTTCAAACTTCAAGCTTCCTATGTTGTTTTCTTAAATTCAAAAAGCAAGCAAACAAACCCAAATCAAACCGAAACAAACCCTTAGTGCTTCTTCTATCTTTAGATTCAGATCTCTCAGGAGAGCATTTCCTCTTTTATTTGTTCCCACAAAAATCCCAACCTCCTTTTAGGAAAAAACCTCAGAGCTATGGATCTGGCTCTAGGATCATTCTTCCCTCATCCCCTCTATCCTCCTTCAGGGAGCATGGGAGAAAAGAGAGTTTGGATAGGGGAGTCCAGGCTGGGTTTTCTTCTTCTCAGTTACTGTACCTGGCAAATCTCCCTCTCTGTGCATCATTTTGAGGTTCAGCTTTGCTTCCCCTTCCAACTGGACCAGCCAATGGGTGACCAAGGAAACCCAGAGACAATTCATTCTCAATTCATACTGAAAGAGAGAGAGAGAGAGAGAGAGAGAAAGAGAGAGAGAGAAAGGGAACAATTTTCTAAGCACCCTCCTTGCAGCTGATAACTTGGAGGTGATGGGTCTTTGTCATCTGCCACACACTGTACCCTTTCACTCTGAACAGGTAGTGTGCAAGGAAGATCCCTGTGTGTCTCCCAGTGTAGCTCTGTGAGTAGTTTACCCAACTTAAGCAGACGACATCCTCACCGCCAGCAGTAAATACTCTTCTCGACAGCACGCCACTTTGGCAAAACACTCAAGTGAGCAGATAGGAGCCGCAATGCAAACAGTGTTTCGAGGCTCAGTGTAATATGTGAGTTTTATCAAGGGATTTGTAAGAGGAGTAGGCAGCCGTTGCTGGCATTGCTATCACAGGGATAAAGGAAGTAAGTGAAGAGTGCCAAAGCACAGTATTTAGGAAGTCATAGTAATAATAATAATAATAATAATAATAAAATGTGGAGTTCAAGGAGCTGCAATAAAAGGAAAAGAGCTTCAGTCTTAAAACTAGGGCTCCTCGATTCATGAAAATGACAAATGCAAGGTGGAAAACGCACATGGTGCCACAGTTTAGGCACCTCTCCCAATATCAGTTCTGTTTACTTTCTTTGCATAAATGCATAGGTGAGTTGATAGAATATGGCCTGTCTACCACACTCACGCCCTGATGTAAATATCTGTAAGTAGAGCTTGAAAATTATTTTCAATCCCTTGCAGTTGTTTCCCATGAACTATTTTTTAAATTTGTTTCTTTTTTTTTTTTTTGGCGTGGAGAGCTGCTTGCACTTTGTACACATTCATTTTGTTGGTGGATGGATTTACAGTCGCATTTCCATGCAGATAAGCTGTTGACGTTAGCCAGATGTTTTAATAAGATTCTGTTTACCCTGCTAGTAAGGAGAAGCTCTGATTCAAGGGAGAGAATAAAGAGAGTGGGATGGATTGTGCGAGGTCCCAGCTGGGGATTTGTCCAGAAGGCAGGTTAGCTAAAATGTGGCAGCCAAGTCCTCATCCTAGGCAGACTAGGAAGACAGAAAATTCGTTGTCAGTACCGGCTCTGCTTCCTTAATTCTCACCAGTCCTCTGTTGTAACGTTCTTTGCTTGCCCACCCCACAGCTTTAAAATTGCCTGTTGCTCTCATAATTTCTTCTCATCCCACCCCAATTAAAAACAACACAAAACAGAGCAACACTTTACAATTCTCTTCCTAGTAGCTATGGCTAGTGGACAAATTTGTCCTTAAGTGCAGAGAGTCGTGTAAGTGTGAGGGTAGATTTAATGGATTAATCTTGCAAGATAGCATGTGAAAAAGAGACGATCTCAGTTCATTCGAGCTCCTATTAGAAACGACCCTAGATCAAGTGGCTTATAAACAAGACACTTATTTTTTTTTAAAGTTTTAGTTGCTGGAAGTTCAAGATCTAGGTGTGGCAGATTCAGCGTCTGGTGAGGACCCATTCCCAGTTTATAGACAAGCTTCTTCTTGCTGTGTCCTCACACGGTGAAAGGGGCAAGGGAGCTCTCTGGGGTCCCTTTTATAAGAGCACTAATCCCATTCATGAGGCTCCACCCTTATAACCTGTATTAGTCAGGGTTCTGTAGGGGAACAGAACGAATAGGATAGATGTATACATAAAGGGGAGTTTACTAAGGAATATGGACCTACATGATCACAAGGTGAGGTCCCACAATAGACCGTCTGCAAGTTGAGGAGTGAAGAAGCCAGTCTGAGTCCCAAAGCTGAAGAACTTGGAGTCTGATGTTCGAGGGCAGGAAGCACCCAGCATGGGAGAAAGATGTAGGCCAGAAGACTAAACCAGTCTAGTCTTTCCACGTTCTTCCGCCTGCTTTTATTCTGGCCATGCTGGCAGCTGATGAGACGGTGCCCACCCAGATTGAGGGTGGGTCTGCCTCTCCCAGTCCACTGGCTCAAATGTTAATCTCCTTTGACAACACCCTCACAGACACACCCAGGAACAATACTTTGCGTCCTTCAATCCAATCAAGTTGACACTCAATATTAACCATCACATGACCTCATCACCTCCAAAAGGCCCCACCTCCTAACACCATCACCCTGTGGGTTAGAGTTCAACATAAGAATTTTGGGGGAAAGCAGACATTCTGATCATAGCAGAAATCATGTTGTGCAGGGTGGTTCAAGAGCTACAGAATGCCCATTTCTCATGAAAAACATTATAATTTCTGTCACTGTGGTAAAATTTTCTTTCTATGTGTTCTCCTAAGATCCCATAGTTTTCCTTTGACTAGGCTCAATTGTGTAGATAACCCATGCTTTTCATTTCTAGTTCCCTGAAGGCAGGAGCCACATCTATCCTGTTGGGTGCAGTCTCTCCAATGACTGATCCAAGTGGTGGATACTACATAGATACTTTTGGTTTCAGAGGAGAAAAAAAAAGACTCCCTGCTGTGAAAAAGCTGCAATTCAGTCACCCTCAGTATGGAAGCCTCTTGTGTTAGGTAGGGTGTGCACACTGGCTTCCCTATGTACTGTTGCTGACTCTCTCAATGCCATTTCACCTCCTTTGGTTCATAACCCCTACGGGGAATTGACAAGCTTAAGAGACATCTGTCTTATCTATTCTGTCTTTTCAATTTTAATTTTTTGTTGTTTCTTTTTGAGACAGGGTCTCACTCTATTGCCCATGCTGGAGTGCAGTGGTGCAATCACGTCTCACTGCTTGATTTCCTGGGCTCAAGCAATTCCACCTGCTAAGGCTCCAGAGTAGCTGGGACTACAGCCACTTGCTACCACACCTGGCTGATTTTATAAATTGTTTTGTAGAGATGGGGGCAGGGGGTCTTTACTATATTGCCCAGGCTGGCCTCAAACTCCTGCTCTCAAGCAATCCTCTGGCCTCGGCCTCCCAAAGTGCTGGGATTACAGGCCTGAGCCACTGTACCTGGCTGTATTCTGTCTTGGTGTTGCTGAAGAAGCGTCAGCATTGGTGAAGTTGGAGCAAAGAGAGATAATTAAACATATCTTCAGAGATCACTAATAGAGAGACAGAGGGGCTCTTCTATCCCCAGTAGAAAATGGCATGTTCATTCAACACTCTCTACTTGGGGAGCAGAGGGAAGGTACCCCCTTGGGGCCAGATGTTGACGTTGCTGGTGAGGGTGAGTTCTTTCTTTGCCAGAGCCCCTCCATACTCAATAGTTTTGCCTGAATCTCCTTGACTCTACTTTACACCGAGTAGCCATGTGTTCTCATACGACAGATGGTTGATCTTCTAGGGCCGAAGGCAATGAGAAAGTTGTTCATGCTCTTTACAGATTAACAGCAAAACAGTATTCTCAGTGTGAGTAAAGTTCCTGATGACCTGTCTTTCCTTCCTCTTTCCTATGGAGACAGATCATCAGAGACAATGATCTGAAAGGTACCCACTCATGCCCTACCTTTAGAGGCCAAGGAGATAGAGAGTAACTATCCACCGACTATCAGCATGCTAGAAATTTCAAAATGAGCAAGAGAAGAATTTGTGAATGTTTTGCTCCAGGGCCCATTACTCAAACATATGTCTCTGCAAATGGACCATATGTTATGGTCTTTACAGAGGCAAAATTCCTGTGGAATCATGGGAGTTTCCGTAAGTAAAGATTAAAGTTCAGCACATGCTCTCAAAGCTGCTCCACAGGCGTTTGCAGCTG
Organism: Homo sapiens; assembly: GCF_000001405.40. Taxonomy (NCBI): domain Eukaryota; kingdom Metazoa; phylum Chordata; class Mammalia; order Primates; family Hominidae; genus Homo; species Homo sapiens. Next base: position 6,675,111 of record NC_000023.11, on the reverse strand, counting down.
GCCAGCCCTTGAGTATATCATGCAATTAGCTTCAGATAAACTTATTGAGCTCCACTTCTCCTTTCTGTTGCCTACTGAGTTTCCCTTGGAGTTTACATTCATGGGAGAACTGTTAGTCTGTTTGACACATGCAATTTATTACGTACATCCCATGTCAGAAGAGATTAGAATAAAAGGTGTGGCTATCTGATTCAACCACACAGTGGCTCTGTGTCATTTATAGCTACTAATAAGCATGCCTCAGCCAGGTTCGGTGGCCTGTAATCCCAGCATTTTGGGAAGCTGAAGTGGGAGGATTGCTTGAGCCCAGGAGTTTGAGATCAGCCGGGGAAAGATACTGAGACTTCATCTCTATGAAAAAAAAAATTAGCTGGGCAAGGTGGCGTGTGCCTGTGTTCCTAGCTACTTGGGAGGCTGAGGTGGGAGCCAAGAGGTTGAGGCTGCAGTGAGCTGATGGTGCCACCACCCATCATCCTGGGAAACAGCGAGACACTGTTTCAAAAAAAGAAAAAGAAAAAGAAAGAAGAAGCACTCCTCTTCTATTTTTGTGGTCATAAAACTTTCCAGGATCCTCAGAATTATAATAACAATGAGATAAAATATATAGAAAGAATATTTGGCTGGCAAAATTGTAGGTGACTTTTGTTTAACACAGTAGGTCCAATATCCAATATGCAATGCGAAACAGGCAATGTCCTTTTTGAAACACCACCAAGAGATAGAACATTTTCAGAAATCTTATATAAAACAAGGTTAGCAAACATATTAGAGATAACACCTCCAGTTTCCACTGTCTCTATTTCCCTTTGACTCATCTTTTTCCTCGGCAAAGCACATAACTGGTGCAAGAGAAATTTCTGTCTTATCCTGGCTGAGAACTGTCTTCTACTTTGATAATTCAATGGTTGTAGCATTTCTGAAAAGTTTAGCATTGAGACTTGAAAAGCAAATTCAAAACAAGTGACTTTTATCATCAGAACTTGTTGTTGCCATAGGGATATAGGGAATAATGTTATTCTAAAGCAATTATGTAGGGCTACAGAATGGAGACAGTCAAACTAAGGTAAGGCTATTTCTTTCTCTGCGTTGAGTATCTTTGGTGGGTAATGGAGGAGGGCAGTCACATTGCAAATTTTCTGTCCTTTTATTAGATCTTCTAACAGTTAATTCTCCTATGAATTCTCTAAATGATTAATAAGATTTCTCAAAGTGTGCCACAAGTTTCCAGTCTCTAGTGTGTAGAATCTATCTTTCTTCCATACACCCAGATTGGATACACAGGTTAGCAGGGCAGCTCAGACTAACTGTGGGAATGGAAAGCCCACTAGACTATTATAGATTCCAGCAACCTAGAATAAACTCTCTTTTGTACAAATGTGCGTAAACTCATTAATCTATGCTTCCAAACCTCAATTTCCTTATCTCAATATTGAGTATATTAATACCTGCTCTACCTCACAGACTCTTTTTCTGGATTTAGGAAGACAAAAAGATGAAAGAGCCTCATGAGACCACAGAGCCCTGTATGACAGTAAGCTAGCATCGGTTCAGAGATTGAACACCTGAGACTTTGTGCCCAGGTCTTCATGAATAAAACAGTTCTTCGTAGTGGGCATTTAAACCATCCTTTGATATTAGTTATGATTAACATTGAATTGCTTTGTCTTAAATATTAAGTTCCACAATGGTGGAAAAAAGCCCACAGATTCTGGTGTGTATTATGGTAGTTCCTATGCATGTGTAGGGGAGAAGGAAAAGCATGTACTCTATCCACCAAACTGAGACATTCTGGGGAGCAAAAGGAAACACTCTTGATAATTCCATTGGGAGGGCAACGTATACATCAAGACTTTCCTAGGCAAACCAGGACATGCGTTCACCTTATCTATAAGGATAGAACTTGGAAACCGATAGTATGATGATGACTGCATCCAGGTTGGGGGACTCTAAGTCCTAACTCCTCTCTCCATTCTAGTCTTGTGTTTATCTTCGTATCTCAAAGGTGATATATTAGTCCATTTTCATGTTGCTGATAAAGACATACCCGAGAGTGGGTAATTTGTAACAAAAAAAAAAAAGAGGTTTAATGGACTCACAGTTCCACATGGCTGGGGAAGCCTCATAATCATGGTGGAAGGTGAGTAAAAGGCACATATTCCATGGCAGCAGACAAGAGAGAACTTGTGCAGGGGATCTCCCCTTTATAAAACCATCAGATCTCATGAGACTTCACTATCATGAGAACAGCATGGCCAAGGCCCGCCCCCATGACTCAATTACCTCCCACCAGGTCCCTCCCATGACATGTGAGAATTATGGGAGCTACAATTCAAGAAGAGATTTGGGTGGGGATACAGCCAAACCATATCAGGTGATGCTATGAATCCTTCAGAATGGGTGAAACCCTCCTGCCTCAGTCAAGCTAGACCAATACTTGATCATTTTAGTCTTTTCCTGATTGGTCATATCATATGTACTCTGTCTTAATGATCATTGTAATATACTCTATCTCTAAGTAACAACTGTAATAAAGGATCTGAATCTATTATTTTCTTATTTAGAGACTGGGTCTCACTCTGTCACCCAGGCTGGAGTGCAGTAGTAGTGTGATCATAGCTCCCTGCAGTCCTGACCTTCTGGGCTTGAGCAGTCCTCTTGCCTCAACCCCCCAAGTAGCTGGGACTACAGGCGCGCACCACCATGGTTGGCTAATTAAAAAAATTTTTTTAGAGATATGGTCTCACTGTGTTGCCCAGGCTGGTCTTGATCTCCTGGCCTCAAGCGATCCTTTTGCCTCAGACTTCCAAAGTGCTGGGATTACAGGCATGAGCCATAGTGCCCAGCCTGAATCAATTTTTAATGGCTGACCACTGATAGTTTTCAAATTCTATGCCTTATCCTTTTGTTTTTGTCCCACAGCTGGACAAGCCAATGAGAAAGCCTGGGAGCTACCCGCTTGGAAAGCAGTGGGAGAAGTTTAAGCCATGCACATCCTAATGCATGTTCAGGCAGGATGCTTCACCCTGGCCCTATCTCCCAACCACAAGAAAACTCAGAGCCACTGCCCCCAAACCCCTTGCTCTGGTTCCACTCTAGAGTGAAACTGAGCCCTTCTCTTTGGGAAATCCTCTTGCCATTTACTGAGTGTGTAATCAACTATTTCCTATCCATTGGTAACTGCTAGTCATCTGTCTGTACATCCATAAATCTCTGGTCGGGGGCTGACCAGAGTCCAGCAGGGGATGCTGGCCACCCACATAAAACATCAACCTTGCCAGGCAACTAGCTAACCATCATTAAATACATTTATTATGGAGTTTGCCACACATCCGTGCATAAACAAATCAGCTCAACCATTACCTGTAGCTGTTCTGGGCAATGATTTTAAGGTGCACAGTTCTAGCCCCTCAACCAGTAAAAAAGTTGGTGACCTCCCTACACTTTGAAGTCAAGACAACTGCAAACATAAATTTTAAGTCTGGCTAAACTTTATTTAGTTGATCTCATGTGATGTGAAAGCAAACCAACACACAGAATCCACACTTTATGTAGCTGCCTTGGGTTTTTCTCATGGGTCTAAATCAAGGATTTTAAACTCCTTGAATTCATGACCTATTGCTGTGTAACACATAACTGCGACATTCTCAGCTTGAACAACACATATTTGTTATTTGACAGTTTCTGTGGGTCAGGACTCCAGGGGCAGCTTAGATGGGTCTTGTGCTTCAGGGTCTCCCAAGGCTGTAGTCAAAGTGTTGACCACAAGTGGGTTTCCCTGAAGTCTTGCGTGGGGCGGGATCTTCTTCCAAGGTCACGTGAATGTTGGCAGGATTCAGTTCCCTGCAGATTGTTGGAGAGAATGGCTCATTTCCTTGCTGGCTATTGGCAAGAGGTCAGCCTCATTTTCTTGTCTTGTAGACCTCTCTATAGGACAGCTTATTTTAGCCAAAGCCAGCAAAAGAAACTCTACTAGAAAGACAGAAGCCATTGTCTTATGTAACTCATTGTGGAAGTGACATCCTGCCATCTTTGATATATTCTATATGTTTGAATCAAGTCACTATGGCAGTTCACACACCAGATTGAGGTTATTTGAGTGCCATCTTAGTGTCTGTTCACCATATTTCTTAAGCACCAGAACAAATACCAGAAGTTGTATTCTTCTGCACATCCATTTATCCATCTTTTCATCTTCTAATGACAGACTGTACGCTATAGCGCTTGAGAGTAAATGGTGTTACTCAATGTTCTTCAACCTTTCTTCATCATTGCCCACTAAGAAATATTTTACACATTTTTTAACCCACCCCCCATGCAAATTTAACAGATATACTCCTTATCTGTGTATGTCTGTATCTCTGAGCTTCGTACATGAATGGCTTTTTCACCTTCCAAGAACCAATTTTCATTCCCTTTGGGAAGATATTATCCCCATTAAAAATGCCGAAGGAGCATGCTATAGACTCAGACTCCTTTGTTTCTTTCTGTCCCACCACTTATCAGCTTTGTGATAGGCAAGTCGCTGAACACCTCTGAACCTCAGCTTTCTTAACTGCAAAATGAGAATCACAATAGAACCTACCTCTTACTACTGTTAGGAGGATTAAAGGACACAAGATACCAGAAGTATATATAACAGACACAGTGGATTGTAGGAACACCATAAATGCAAGCTTCTATTACTGCAGTGCGCAGAACACTATGTCTAGCATCAGGAATTTTAAGATAATACCAAAACAAGAGTCTCAAAGAGGCTCACTGTTTGTTAAAGGAGATTGAAAGATTACAAAAGGTGTGAGATGTGCTATCATACAGTTATATTCAAGACGATTTGGCTGTAGAAAAAAAGGAGTCTCTAAAGTCTGAAAAAGAGAGAGGAGGGCAAAAGAAAGAAGGGTTTCTCAGAGGAAAGACACTTGAAGGAAGAGAAATAATTTGAGCTGAGGAATGAAGAACCAAACTAAAGCAATGGCAATGTTGATGATGACAGAGAGGAGGAGAAGGCCTGGAAATAAATGATCATGTGGTAGAATGCTATGGTTATTCAAAAGATTCACTTATGTAAGTAGGCATTTCTCCACTTGCTTGTTTATTCACCCATTCATTCGTCCATCTCCACATTCATCCACCCACTTTCCATCCATCCATCATCTATCCACACCTGTTTCCTCTGTCAATCCATCTACCTATTTATTCACCCATGTCTTCATTGATTCTTACATTCCACTCTTCTATACATCTGTCCATGCATTCATTCATCAATTCCTGCATTCATCCACTCACTCTCCATCCATCCATCCATCCATCCATCCATCCATCCATCCTTCTATCCTTCCATCCATTTATTCACACATTCATCTACCTGCTTCCTTCCATTAATCTGTCTATTTATTTGACCATCTCCTCATCAGTTAATCCATCTCACCCTTCTATACATCCATCCATGCATCCATCCATCCACGCATCCATCCATCCACACATTAATCTACCTGTTTCCTTCTGTCAATCCATCTACCTATTTATTTGTCATCTCTTCATCAATTAATCCATCCCACTCTTCCATCCATCCATCCATTAATCCATTCGTCCACTAGTCTGTTCCTAGATTCATCCACCCACTCTCCATCCATTCATTCATCCATCTATCCTTCCTTCCATCCATTTATTCTCACATCCATCTACCTGCTTCCCTCTATAGATCCATCTACCTATTTATTTGTCCATCTCTTCATCAATTCTCCCATCCATCCCAACCTTACATACGTTCATCCATCGATCCACACATGTGTCTACCTGTTTACTTCCATCTGTCCATCTATACACTCATCACTTCATCCTTGGCTTCATCAATTCATCTATCCCACCCTTCTATACATCCATCTTTCCATTCATACATCCATCCATCATCAATCTATCCATTCATCTACCCATTCACCACTCATCCACTAATTCATCCATCTATCCACCCATCCTCTCATCCATCCATCTGTCCTCTATCTTTTTCCACAAAGGAAAAAGTGGTGTAGAAAGACATATAAAATAAATATAGAAAATGAATAATAAATGAGTAAAATATGAACAAACCAAACACTAAACTCAGGTAAGAATGGAAAGGAGAGAACTAGAATAAGGACATAAAGTAGGACCAGGGGTTTGATTTAGGCAAGTATGCATTCCATATGCCTGACCTATGAGGGCCAGACATTCAGTATGTTAGGATGTTGAGTTGTTTGTGCTCCCAAGGTAGCCCGTATCTGTACCAAACTTTCTACTGCTTAGAGTCTAAATGGAGGAATCTTTTAAGTTATTTACTGTACTCCACATCAAATGTTTGCTGGCATTTGGATAGACTTTAGCAAATGTAGTCCATCTTCTAATTTCTTCTTTATCTGCATTTAAAGGGCTTTGCGCTACAGAGATGAGATGATACTGATTAAAGGCAAGTCAGATTTCAAATACTTTCTCCTGAAAATCCATTTTACTCCTTTGCTGTTAGCAGCATTTACTACAGGAAAATGTATACTTAACATTTAGCCAAAAATAAAAACCTCTGCAAAATGCCTAAATATAGATTGCTTCATTGCCTTCAAATCAGACTGGAAAGAACACAGAGGCTGGTGCTCAGAAGAAACTGAGTGGTTGGAGACTGCAAAGCAGTCTGCAATCAGAAGAAATTACAATTATGGCACCGAGCACTAATCCCAGAAAATCTAAACACAGACAACCACTAAATCCCATTATAAAATATAATAATCATTATTAGAGCTTTTTTTTTTTCTCCCAGAAAATAAAGAGTTGGAGACATTATGCCGTTGCTTAACCATTTTCCATAGCAGGTCATTATTCTTTATGATGCTACTAAATATACTCATCATCTTACAAATCCCAAGTTCACCTTCCAAATACATGATCTCGTCCTTCTGTGTAAAGTTAATGAAAGTTGTAAAAGTGCTTTATTCCGTATCTTTATTTTTCCCCACAGGGACAGGGGAATAAAAATGTGATGCATTGGAGGAGAATCACAGGACTCAACAAATAAACCTTGAGATGTCATTGTCACCTGTGTGTACTTTATGAGAATACACGTAGAGATTAACCCTTTCCTGGAAAATGAACGTCTATTGCTTCTTTTGGGGACAGCATGCTTTATAGTTAGGACATTCTTCTTTATATCCAGCCTGACTTCTTCATGCTGTACTAGCCTTCCAATCCTTAACTAAAAATTTTTTAAAAATGAATAAACACTGGGCAATGTGTTCTATGGGCTCTTTAAAATACTATGAGACTGTAGTAAAAACATCACAACACAAATGGCAAAGTAGTGAAGAATGGTGCTGATATGGTTTGGCTGTGTCTCCACCCAAATCTCATCTTGAATTCCCATAATCCCCATGTATCCTGGGAGGAACCCAATGGGAGATAATTGAATCATGGGGACGGTTACCCTCATGCTGCTGTTCTCATGATAGTGAGTGAGTTCTCATGAGCTCTCATGGTTTTATAAGGGGTTTTTCACCCTGTTGTTCAGCACTTCTCCTTTCTGCTGCCATGTGAAAAAGGATATGCTTGCTTCCCCTTCCGCCATGAATGCAAGTTTCCTGAGGCCTCCTCAGCCATCTGAACCGTGAGTTAATTAAACCTCTTTCCTTTATAAGTTACCCAGTCTCAGATAACGTCTTTATTAGCAGTGTGAGAACAGACCAATACAGATGCTGTGCTAAGTTTTCTGATTTTACCACCTCTTCTAGAACATGCTAGAACCAGTCCACATCAAATTTTCCCTTAAGGCACAAACTGCTTCCTTCTGTTTTGTAGCCAAACAATACAGTACATTTGTGGACCCACAATGAATATCCATAAATCCTCACAGAATGAGTGAGTCAGCGAATCAATGAACCATTACTTCCTGAATTCAATACAAAGCACTTCAGACAATGAAACCAAAATCTCCATCTCTCATCTCTTTCAATTCCCATTCTAATAAGGAAAGAAAACATAAACATGCAGTGAGTTCTCAGTTAATGAATTATTTCTAGATTGAACTACAAGAAATTGCCACTTTGGTTTATAGGTCAAAAACAGTTGAATATCAGCTGTATGCTAATATTTGCAGTCTTTGGCTGATATTTGGGAATTTCTTCTTTTCTTTAGCAACATCAGAAAAAAGTGCCTTAAGATGAGTTAGAGATATGTAAATAGCATCTCATTCTGGGAAAATAGCTAAGCAAAAATCAGAAAGGATGCCAAAATGCTCAGTTTGGGTGTGCACTCTTTTGATTACACAACACGTTTTGGTCATTGGTAAATGTTTCTTTTAATGTTCACCCAGCAAGATGAGGCATTTGGGACAACAAAGCAGTGGGTTCCTTCTTCTGATGACTTAGCCTGAGGAGCTAAAGAGTCAGTTAAGAATGAGTGTTGTCTTTGATAGAGGAGCCTTGAAGGAGATGGGTCTGTTTTAAGAGTAGAAGCAAGCCTGCGCAACATAGCAAGACCCCATCTCTGCAAAAAATAAAAAATTAGCTGAGTATGGTGACAGATGCCTGTAGTCCCAGGTACTTGGGATGCTGAGGGGGGAGGATGGCTTGAGCATGGGAGTTTGAAGATGCAATGAGCCGTGGTTGTGCAACTGTACTCCAGCCTGGGTGACAGAGTGAGACCCTGTCTCAAAAAACAAAACAAAACAAAACAACAACAAAAGAACTCTTGTGAGTACATCAGCACCAGATAATCCAGGATTATCTCCATATCCCAAGATTCTTAATCACATCTGCATAGTCCTTTTTGCCAGGTTATGTCACATGTTCACACCATCTAGGATTGGGATGTAGACATTTTGGGGGGGCACTATTTGACTGACCATAGATTCCCCTGGCCCTTCATTTAACCAAGACTGAGTCCAAATGGTTCAGTGTTTTGCTCATTGCAGAATCCAACACTCTTGTTGGGTGGCAAAGCATCATCTGATCAAGTAAAGTATGCACAGCAGAGTTAGACCTTGGTCAGGATTTGCCTCTACACTTTTTAAAAAATTGTTTAAATAGAGTCTTGCTCTGTCACCCAGGCTGAAGTGCAGTGGTGAGATCACAGCTCACTTCAGCCTTAAACTCTTGGAATCAAGTGATCCTCCTGTGTCAGCCTCCCAAGTAGCTAGGACTACAGGTGAGTGCCATCATGCCCAACTAATTAAAAAAAATTGTAGAGACTGGGTCTTACTGTGTTATCCAGGCTGGTCTCGAACTCCTGGACTCAAGGAATTCTCCAAGTCAGCCTCCCAAAGCACTGGGATTACAGGCATGAGCCACTGCATTCAGCCTCAGAGTCCCTATAAGAAGGTAAGGGGGTCTGAGAAAAAGGTGTGATGATGGAAGCAAAGAGTAATTTGAAACACTACACTGCTGCCTTTAAACAATTGAAGAAAGGACCACAAACCAAGAAACACAAGTGGCCTCTAGAAGCTGGAAAAGACATGGAGACAAAATCTCCCCTAGAGCCTTCAGCAGGAGCACAGCCCTGCTGAGACCTCAATTCTAACCCATTGAGACCCACTCCTGACTTCTGACCTCCAAAACTGTAAAATAATAAGTTAGTGTTGTTCTAAGCCATTGAATTTGTGGGAATTTGTAACAGCATCAGGAGACCTATACGGAATCTTTCTTAGGATCTATCACTAGGCATGTACATCTTCAGAGAGGATGTTACATGACAAGTTTAAAATGAAAAGTGGCTGGGCGGCATGGTGGCTCCCACCTGTAATCCCAACACTTTGGGAGGCTGAGGCAGTAGGATCAATTGAGTCCAGGAGTTCGAGACCAGCCTGTGCAATATAGTGAGATCCTGTCTCTATTTAAAAAAATTTTTTTTAAATTAAATTAAAAAAAAACTTAGGAAGATGAAATACCTTAGGGTACCTGTGGTGGGAAGTCAGGAACCCCGAATGGAGGGGCCGGCTGAAGCCACGCAGAAGAACATAAATTGTGAAGATTTCATGGACATTTATTAGTTCCCCAAATTAATACTTTTATATTTTTTTACGCCTGTCTTTACTGCAATCTCTGAACATAAATTGTGAAGATTTCATGGACACTTATCACTTCCCCAATCAATACCCTTGTGATTTCCTATGCCTGTCTTTACTTTAATCTCTTAATTCCATCACCTTTGTAAGCTGAGGAGGATATCTGCTGCCTCAGGACCCTGTGATGATTGCGTTAACTGCACAAATTGTAGAGCATGTGTGTTTGAACAATATGAAATCTGGGCACCTTGAAAAAAGAACAGGATAGCAGCAATGTTCAGGGAACAAGAGAGATAACCTTAAATTCTGACCGCTGGTGAGCCAGGTGGAACAGAGCCACATTTCTCTTCTTTCAAAAGCAAATGGGAGAAATATCACTGAATTCTTTTTCTCAGCAAGGAACATCCCTGAAAAAGAGAATGCATCCCTGAGGGTAGGCCTCTGAAATGGCCACTTCGGGGGCGGCCGTCTTTTATGGTCGAAGCTGTAGGGATGAAATAAGCCCCAGTCTCCCATAGCGCTCCCAGGCTTATTAGGACGAGGAAATTCCCGCCTAATAAATTTTGGTCAGACCGGTTGTCTGCTCTCAAACCCTGTCTGCTGATAAGATGTTATCAATGACAATGCATGCCCGAAACTTCATTAGCAATTTTAATTTCGCCCCGTCCTGTGGTCCTGTTATCTCGCCCTGCCTCCATTTGCCTTGTGATATTCTATTACCTTGTGAAGCACGTGATCTCTGTGACCCACACCCTATTCGTACACTCCCTCCCCTTTTGAAAATCACTAATAAAAACTTGCTGGTTTTACGGCTCAGGGGGCATCACGGAACCTGCTGACATGTGGTATCTCCCCTGGACACCCAGCTTTAAAATTTCTCTCTTTAGTACTCTGTCCCTTTATTTCTCAGACTGGCTGACTCTTAGGGAAAATAGAAAAGAACTTATGTGACTATCGGGGGCAGTTTCCCCCCATAGGTACCCAATAACTATCGGTCTGTTTAATGCTTTAATGTAAACTTTTATCTGTCAGTGAGGACTGGGGTAGTCTATCTTCTCCTCCCCTTGTTCCTTGAATTAACTAACACACAGTTCTTTAAAGGAGGCTGTGGAGAAATAGCTTAGACACTGGGCCATTAGTGGTGGCTTTTGTTCAGTTAGAGAAACATATGGCTCATTTCTGAAGTGGGACAAATTGGAAACATGTAAAGATGGAAGGATTAAGTTACATAGGGAGCAACACACTAGCAAGAATTGACAATAAAGAATGCAAAAAGAAGTGAAAGTATAATCTCTCCAAACAGGGTGACTAACCATTCCTGGTCTGTCCAAAACTGGGTCTCTCCCAGGATGCCAGACTTTCAGTACCCCCAAATCCCAAAAATCAGTACTTGCAAAACCTGAAAAATCCTCAGTAAACTACCAATTTCCATATAAAGATAACTTTGTTTATGGAGACAGAGGAAAATACCGCAATTAATAACTCAATAGGGCTATTAAATCATTCATTCATTCAACAAATTCTATTAAATACCTCTGATTTTCAAATAATGTATTAAGGTGCTTAGGATAAAATAATTGTGATCAAGTCTTACTTTCTGAAAAGGAAGAAATAGAATACGAAACTTAAGTGTGATACAAACACTAATCTCAAGAAACATGTTCTTTACTGGACATAAGATACATATATATGTGTGTGTGCATATATATGTATGTGTGCATATACATATATATAAATATCACATACATGTGAGAAGTCCACTGTGCTATCAAAGTCTAATAAAAATATTACCCAAATATCTTGCATTAAAAAACAACTTCACTCTTTTTTCTTACTCTTTTCTATCTACATTATATATATAATAAGATCAATTATATTACATTATATATGTATTATATATAATGTAAGTATTACATATGTAATGTAATACAGTGTATATGTTTAAATGTGTGTATATATAGTGTATATGTATATAATGTATATAATATGTATAGTGTGTGTTAAATATACTGTGTATACACACACTATGTAAAAATATTTTATACAAATATGAATTATATATAAATATTTCTACTTTATAAATATAAATATTATATACATTATATTACCAGTAGTACAGTAATATATTACTATATGTTATATAGTAATATACTATTTTATACAAATTATATTTTATAGTAATATAGCATATGTTACTGTATATATTACTATATGTATATGGAGAGAGAGAAGCTATGATAAACGTTAAACCAAAAGATAAATAGATTCTGAAGTTTTTAGTTTTTTAATGCAAGATAGTTGGGTAACATTTTTATTAGGCTTCGATAGCTCAGTTAGCTCTCATGACACAATGAGGATACTGCTAAAATAGATCAAATGTAGGAAATTGAAACAGATGTGCTACCCTACTTAGATAGGACATTTTGCTCGAACAACTTATTGGGTTCATTCAGGGGGAAAAATACCCACAGCAGGGCATTGGAAAATGGCAAAGTGCCGCATTTTGTTGAATGAGATATGTGGTTTGTGTGACCTTTTCCAGCTAGGTCCAGTTTCCAGAAGGATAAAATTAAGTTTAAAAAGACCATTTTCAGTTTCTCTCTCTGGTCATTTTTCCCTCTTATTCATTTTAGGAGAATCAACCAGTTTGAAATTCTTTTTTCATTTTTTGTATTTTTGAGTGGATGGTTCGGGAGTTTGGGTAAGGATTGCTACATTGGCCTATGCATTACCTCATTCACAGAGTTCCAGAACACCCTCCCAATGAGATACACATTGTTCCTTTCTATTCTTTTCCTCATTTCAAGCCAGCCTTTGTTTATGCACTTACATATTTAGAGAGCACTGCTGCTATGAATTCAAGGTTCTAAACTGTCATTGACCTAATTAACTTGAGATGGTTTGCCTGTTGATTTTCTGTAAATGAATATATTTATCAAAATCTATAATAAGTTTACAGGGTCCATTTTAATGTTTGCAGATAATGAGTTTAAGAGCAACCTGGAAAATGTCAATGATCTCTTCTATAGAGGACAATTGGTGAGCCATCACAGCACAGGGCTGTCAATTACTCACTCCGCCTTGCTAATTTCAATACCGTGGCCAACTTGAGATATTAGGAAAGCTAATTAACCTCTGTGTAACTCAATTTGCCAATCAGAGAAAGCTGCAAAATTGGATCATTCTCTCAACTGCACTTTTCCATCTCACAAGGACAGGTGCTCACTGACATCAGAAAACAAAGCATTAGAGTCGTGACAAGGTGGGGAGAAGAAAATCCGGCCAAAAACAGGCAGCATGTCTTGGCCAGGTGAGGAACAGCTGAACTTTCTGCTTTCCAAATTGTTGACCTTCAGTCCATGTTGTTCTTCCCTCCTCATGGACTGTTTATAAGCTGGTCCTTTCAAAAGCATCAGAAAGAGATGGAAGAAGGAAAGGAAACTAGCATTTGTCAAAATCCAGATTTCAGAAAGAAGATGGTTAACCTTTGGTGCAGCAATATGGTGAGAAATAATAAGACACAGAAGCCAGGAGATACTGGATTGGCTTCCTAACTTGGCCTTTTAAAATCTCTGTGCAAAGAGCAAGTTACTCTCCAAGTCTAAGCTCAGTTTCCACGTTGAACAAGGATAGTAATGCCTACCTTACAGCACTTGGGGAAGGCATATAATAGGACTATAGTGGTGACCAGCTGTAGATCACTTGAAGAAGTTTAGCCACATAGGTTGAGTTTGGCAATGGTGGTGCTGGAAGCAGATAGTATAGGAAAAAAATAATGTTGCTACTTTAGTCTTCAGATTCAGTGTGGTGCCCAGACCAGCTGCAGCAGTATCTACAGGAAGCTTGTTAGAAGTGTGAATTCTCCAGGCAGGCATAGTAGTCCCAGCTACCCAGGGGGCTGAGGTAGCAGGGTCCTTCGAGCCCAGGAGTTCAAGGCTGCAGTGAGCTGTGATTGCACCACTACACTCCAGCCTGGGTGACAGAGCAAGATCCTATCTCTTAACAAAAATAGAATTGCAAATTCTCACTTCAACCCCACCCCTGCATGCCAGACCTCCTGAATCAGGAACTCTGAGGTGGGGCCCTGCAATCAGTGTTTTATTAATAACAAGTCCTCCAGAGGCTTCTGATGTACATTTCAGTTTGCTTTAGAAAGACTTTGGTCAAGGTAAAAATCAACAAGAAGAAAGTAAGGCCCAAATCTTGAAGAAACAGGAGAACTCGATAGGTTGGCAAGAAAAGATTTTAGACATGGAGAGCAAGGCAAGACTTTTGTTATTAACCTGGGATATAAGATGGTGGAAGGTGGGGCAGGAATTTGGGCTTAGTGACTCAGAATTTCCATGACAAGCTGAAACACAGCCATGAAGAGATCATGTTGCAAGTTCACCTGAAGCTGAACCCAGGTGCAGAATCAGATGTACCTAGAGCTGATGTTAGGGCAGGACTGACTTTATATTTTTTAATTTTAAAATTTGTTTTTTATTTTGTATTTTTTTGACAAAGGATTTCACTCTGTCACCCAGGCTGGAGTGCAATCATGAGATCATGGTGCACTGCAGCCTCGACCTCCGGAGCTCCAGCAATCCTCCTGCCTCAGCCTCCTGAGTAGCTGGGACCACAAGCATGCTCCACCATGCTCAGCTAGTATTATTATTATTATTGTAGAGATGGGACATCCCTATGTTGCCCAGGCTGGTCTGGAACTCCTGGGTTCAAGTTATCCTCCCACCTTGGCCTCCCAAAGTTTTGGGATTACAGGTGTGAGCCACCGTGCTCAACCTGGACTGACTTTATAGAACAGAATCATCATTCCAACATTCTTCTCTTTCCCGTTTTTTTTCTAGAACAGAGAGACCCTGACCTTTTTCAGTTTATTCTCATCATACCTCCCACTCACCTTCCTTCCACCTCAACCCTTTGGATGTTAATTGGTTTATCTGAATGTTCTTTTAAGTTTGTGTGCATCTGTTGATATTTTCACTTTGAGTTGTTTTTCAGTTAATTTCCTGTCTGTCCTGAGGCTCGAAGGCCAGCATTGTGCTCTGGGAATTACAAGTGAAGATACATTATAGTTGTACGGACAGATAGGATTATGTTTTCTCTTTGGTTTCCAACATTGTGACTTAGCACTTCTTGGCTGTCAAGACGTCAACAGCGTGTAGGGGGTTGTCACCCACAAACAACAGTAGACAGAATCAAATTGGAGTATGTAGGGGGCTGGGACTCTGACACCTAGGTTATTCTTCTGTGTGAATCCACTGCCTCTGCAACCTGTAGGAAGCCTCTAATGTGTCAGGGCTTTCAGCTCTTAGAATAAAGATATTTGAGAAAAAATGTTTATGGTCCTTTCTAGATCTCAAGTTCCACAATCTATAATCTATTGGTTTCCATCCTAAGTCGTGAGTCCTACTTAGCGCCTGAACTTCACTCAACATTCTGTATGCATGGTTAAGAGTCAGCAATAAATCTGAACTGTGCATGATGTTCTTTTATTTTGCCATTTTGAACAAGTACAATTCCCAACCCTGAGAATTATGTGGTAGCTCTCTCCTGAATCTGCATGACTGACCTGACTCTGAAATTCAGAGTCTAAATCAAATCAGCTACTAGCAGAAGTTTTTTAAAAAATGGATAGAGGAACACAGTTCTTGCATAAACCCCATTTCTCAAACACCAGCAAAATCTCTCATTAGAGGTATATGCAGGTTAATTAAGTCTTTTGAAAAGAAAGATGACCTTTGAAATAAAATTGACATTGCTTAAGTCATAGACAAAACTGACTTGCTGTGTCATTTTACAGCATGGCACAGAATTTATAAGAGAATATCTGGTTCTATGCTAAGTGTGAGGGGCAGAATTATCACACAGCCTCTAAGATTCCCACCCACTAGACTACATGTCCTGTATAATCCCAACCTTTGAGTATAGTCAGGGCCTTTCACTGTGATTGATGTCAAGACAGAGACTAGGTTATAATATTTAGCATAACTATGGGGATTTTTGTAGATGTCATTTTGTACCTGTGATTAAGTTTCCTAATCAGTTGAATTTGAGTTAAGGAGATTATATTTGGGAGACCTCACTAATTTGATGAGCCTTTTAAGAGAAAGTCTAGGAGCAAGAGATCTGAAACAGCAGATCCCTTTAGTCATCATGCATTCTGCAACATAAGAAAATAAATTCAACCAACAGCCCTGAGTTGGAAAGAAGACCTGGGCTCCACATGAGATGATCACTGCAGCCTTCAAAAGCCAGCCAAAGACCCACCTATGCCATGCATGGACACTTGGCTTAAGGGAACTCCAAGGAAATAAACATATATCATTTGAAGCCTCCAAGTTTGTAGCGATTTGTTACGAAGCATTAGAAAATGAATACAGTTAGCTTGTAGTTCCTTACTGGGAAAATGGATCATTTAGAGTATTTAGAAGAAGTGCACAGAAGACAGCATTCATTCAGTCTGAAGAAAGGAAAGATGATCTCACTGAATGTCATTATTGAAAAATAATGTGTTACATATTCTGTTGTTAATCTGGTAATAACCATCCAATTAATGGATGATATGGTTTGGCTGTGTCCCCATCCAAATCTCATCTTGAATTGTGCCTCCCATAATACCCACATGTCCTGGGAGGCACCTGGTGGGAAGTACTTGAATTATGGGGGCAGATCTTTCCCATGCTGTTCTCATGCTAGTGAATAAGTCTCACAAGATCTGATGGTTTTCTAAGGGGGAGTTCCCCTGCACATGCTCTCTTGCCTGCCGCCATGTAAAATGTGCCTTTCCCTTCCTTTGCCTTTCGCCATGATTGTGAGGCCTCCCCAGCCATGTGGAACTGTGAGTCCATTAAACCTCATTTTCTTTATAAATTACCCAGTCTTGAGTATGTCTATATTATTAGCATGAGAGCTGATTAATACAATGGACAAATGTGCAAACGATTGCATACAAAAGACAGCTTCACCAACAATACAAGAATCATCTTGAGTAATTGTTGCAGAGTAGGAAGGAATAAAGAAGAAAATGAAGACCTCCATTGAATTATAGCTTGTCCTCCAGTAAAAGTTAGGAGTATAAGGCTATGGCTCCCAAATGTCATTAAACAGGCTAGTGCTCACTGTTGAGGTGTTCTCTTCATGTTTTGACACTTCCTTCAGATCAGTTCCTAACTGGTGTCCTTTATACAGGCAAGGTTTTCCTCTATCTGCAAACCCCTTTCCTTATTGCATCCAGCAAGCCATTGCCAAATTTCTTACTGGGTTAGTCTTAGTCTGTTTAGTGTGGCTATAAAAGAATAGCTGAGGCTGGGCAATCTATAGAGAAAAGAAATTAATTTGTTCATGGTTTTGCAGGCTGTACAGGAAGCATGGCACCAGCGTCTGCATCTGGTGAGGGCTTCAGGCTGCTTCCACTCAGGATGGAAGGGGAAGGGAGCTGGCATGTGCAGAGACCACATGGAGAGAGAGGAAGCAAGAGAGAGAGGAGGAGGTGCCAGGCTCTTTTTAACAACCTCTGAGGAACTAATAAAGTGAGAACTCACTTATTATTGTGAGGATGACACCCAGACATTCATGAAGGATCTGCCCCCATGACCCAAACACCTCCCACTACGGGATCAAATTTCAATATGAGATTTGGAGGGGTCAAACATCCAAACTATAGCAAGATTCTTTAAAGGAAAGAGAGAAGAAAGCCAGAGGCCTCATTTCTCAGAATATTCTTATTACAGCAAGGAAGGACTGAGAGTCAAGAACAAAAACAAAAACTGTTTGGATGACAAGCATTATCAATTTTTTAAAAGATTTATAACAAGCTTGACATTCAAGCTCCATTTCCAGTTTGCATTGGAAGAAAGCAAAGAAGGTCAGGAAACTGACAAACTTCATAGAAGAGTGCAATATCATAGAACAGAGTTTTATCTTGTAATTGTTTTCTCCATGAAAATTTCAAATACATATCTAGGGGAAAATAGATAGGTGTAAGTTTGTCAATATTTCTTCCCTGGGAAGTTTTTCCTTTCCTAAAACTAAGTCCACTCCATGAAAAATATCTTTTAAAGGATAATTTCCAAAGAAGGAAAAATTATGACTCTCAGATAGCTAAAAATAAACCAGTGTTAAAGATGTTATTTAACTCATTATTGGTGTGCGAACCACCAGGAAGGTCTTATAACACATTTAAAAAACAATCCAAGGAACAATCATATTTATAGGTTTAAAAATATCAATATGTATGTGCAAATAGAGGCAAAACAGACTTTTATTTTTGTGGGTGGTGGGAGTCATTTGCACTTCCACAGGAGTAAATTTGCATGTCTAGAGACAAGAATTATTTTGCATTACCCTTGGCTATTTGCAACGTACAGAGTTGTAAAATAACTCAAAGACGATGGGTGGCACAGAGCTTTATAGAATCAGAATCCAATACCAGTAGGGGTGTGATAGAAACAACGAGCAGTTTTCTGCAGAAGCACACAATTTTGCCCTCCACATCCTTTATGCTATGAATTACAGTAATTACTTGGTACCCTTTAATTTTTTGTTTTACTGGTAACCCTATGCAGGCCTCCAATTTTGGGGGGAAATATTACTTATGAATATGGTTCAAAAGTATATAATCAGGCCAGGTGTGGTGTCTCACACCTGAAATCCCAGCACTTTGGGAGGCTGAAGTGGGAGGATCTCTTGAACCCAAGAGTTTGAGACTAGCCTGAGCAACATGGTGGGACCTTGTCTCTACAAATAATAAAAAAGAATTAGTTGCACGTGGTGGTGCATGCCTATAGTCCCAGCTACCCTGGAGTCTGAGGCGAGAGGGTCACTTGAGCCCAGGAGGTTGAGGCTGCAGTGAGCTATGATGGTGCCACTGCACTCCGCACTCCAGCGTGGGTGACTGAGTGAGACTCCATATCTTAAGAAAAAGGAAAAAAAAGTCTCTGGAGGCATAGGGAATAGGGGATAGAATAATTACTTTTATATTAATAGTGTCAATGAAAAAACAAATCTGGACTAAGTAAGAAAAGACTTCTTTGAAATAATTATTGCAAGGGTTGAGGAGGACTGTTCACCTATTATTTTAATTGGGAAATATGAATTATTGCAATAGCAAGAATGCTCTGACTATAGGTCTGCAAGTGTCTGAAGAGTTAGGCAGAGAGGGTTTTTCTTTTATGGGCAAGAGGAAATGAGGCTAGAGAAAAACAGGAGAGGGGAAGTTGGATAAAGGGTGATATTATAGGACAGTAGTTCAGAGAATGGTTTACCCCAAGAGCAGGCTGTTTTCAGAAGAGGCCCTAAAGGAGGGGTGTTCTGTTGGCGTATGTTGAGGGTGAGCTAAAGTCCGAGGTCCTGGGGAGAAGAAGAACTGACCCAATGTTTGGTTCACAAGCATTTTGTTCCCATTGATTAGTGGGGACAAGAGGTTCACCTCGTCAGTTATCAATTGTGATGCAAAGAATGGAAACTTGGAGGGTCTGGGTCTGGTCTTTTCCTATGTAAACTGGGGGAACATTCATGAGTATTATCTAAGTCATATGGGTAAGGATAGTTCTTTGCAGTAATCCATTTTCCAGAACTCAAAATGTGGGAGAAATTCTTTAACTGTTGCTGTTTCCAGGATCACAGGGCTTGGGTACAGTTCAACATCATCAACACAAACTCAAATACATTGTAGACTAGAATGCAAAGGCTGAGGGCTGCCCATCTTCACCTGCTTTCTCCTGAGAGCAGAGCCAGGGCCAGTGGCTTAGAGGACAGTGCTTCCCTTGGTCATGCCATCCCAGGCAGCAAGAGGGCTGGGGCAGTGAATTAGAGAAGACCTAGCCATGGCAAGAATACATTGGTCACCTGCAAGAGCAGCTGGTGGCCACCTGAAAAGTCAAGTGACAGCCATCTCAGGATAGTCTATCCAAGGAAAGAGGAGGAGGAAAAAATGAGACACATAGATCAATCCATTTCTTTCTCCCAAGAGTGAGAAGTTCCCTCCATGATTACTTCCTGCCCATGATGGAGCTCTGGGACATTTCCTAAGGTATTCACGGAGAAGCCACTGTGTGGGAGACAAAAGGAATGTATCATTGATTTGGCAAAACACACCTGGCCAAGTGCACCTGTGTGGAGCTATACAGTGTTAAGGCAAACTAAATATGGCCTCAGAAGGACTCCGTGATTATATTTGAGTCCTTGTGGATCAACTGTAACCTAGCTTAATAGGCAGATAAAATTGAAAATCTAACTTAGTAGTATGCACCCGTAACAATAGCTAAGTCTTGACCAATCCCAGTGGCCATACTTCAACCATTCATACACCGCTGAGTGTTCAAACTGTGTTCAAATAAGGCATATGCCGAGCTGTAACCGATCCAGCCGTTCTGTACCTCACTTCCAATTAATTTCTGTACGTCATTTCCTTTTTTTGTTTGTTTCTAAATCTTCTTCCACCACGTAGCTACGCTGGAGTCTTTCTGAATCTGCTGTGATTGTGAGGGCTAACTTATTCACAAATTGTTCATTGCTCAATTAAACTCCTTTAAATTTAATTCTGCTGAAGTTTTTCTTTTATCAGTAGGAACTGGTTGCTGAAGCTATGGATAGAGTGGGAAGCTGTCATAAGAGAGAAGTTCTGGGAGGACATCTCATACCATATTTTATGAAAAGATAATACATCTTTATAACTGGGCAACAACCCCAGGTTCCTGCTGGAGCTATTTCCTCACCTCTTCCAAGGAGAGCCATTGCTCATAGTGCAGAAAAATTTGAGACTCACTTGGGAGTTTTCAGCTTTCTTAACTGTGGGAAAGAACATTTAGGAGGCAACCGTATTAGTTTCCTTTTGATACTGGAACATATGACCACAAACATTGAGGCTTAAAACAATACACATTGATTATTTAGAGTTACTACACGTCAGAAATCTTGTGGGGTCCTCTGAGCTCTCTTCTAGAGCTTGCAAGGCTGAAATCAAGGTGTCTGTCAGGCTGCCTGCCTTACAGAAAATGCTGGGGATAAATCTCCTTCCAAGCTTGTACTTGTTAGCTTGGGCTGCTGTGACAAAATACCATAGACTGAGTTTCTTACACAATAGACATTTATTTCTGACAGTTCTGGAGGCTGGGAAGTCCAAGGTCAAGTCAGTGGCAGATTCTGTTCTTGGTGAGTACTCTTTTCCTGGTTTGTGGATGGTGCCTTTTTTTTTTTTTTTTTGAGATGGAATCTCACTCTACCGCCCAGGCTGGAGTGCAGTGTTGTGATCTCAGCTCACTGCAACCTCCACCTCCTGGGTTTTAAGCAATTATCTCTGCCTCAGCCTCCCGAGTAGCTGGGATTACAGGTGCTCGCCATCATGCCTGGGTAATTTCTGTAATTTTAGTAGAGATGGGGTTTCACCATGTTGGCCAGGCTGGTCTTGAACTCCTGACCTCAGCTGATCCATCCGCCTCAGCCTCCGAAAGTGCTGGGATTACAGGCGTGAGCCACTGTGCCAGGCCAATAGTGCCTTCTTGGTGTGTTCTCACATGGCAGAAAGAGAGAGAGAGAGAGAGGGAACACATGAGAGAGTACTCTAGTGTTTCTTCCTCCTCCTATAAGGCACCTGCCTTATTGAAACAGGGTCCCACCCTTATGACCTAATTTAACTGTAATTAAAAGACTTTTTCAAAGACCCGATCTCCAAATACAGTCTCATTGGGGAATTAGGACTTCAACATATATTAATTTGTGGAAGGCCTAATAGATCCACAGCAAAGCTCATTCAGGTTGTTAGTCAAACTTAGTCCCTTGCAGTTGTATGGCTGCAGTGCCCATTTCCTTGTCTGGCTGTCAACCGGAGGCTGGTCTTTGCTCATAGAGGCTGCTTGCATTTCCACTCAGTGTTTCCATGGGAAGCCCCCTTCAGCAATGGAATTTTGAGTCCTTCTCTCTCAAAAGAGATGAAGAAAATAAATTTGCAACCAATGAGGTTATTTGTACTTTGTGGCAGGCTTTAAAAATAATCCCAAGCATAGACTTGAAAACCTAGCTTGACCATTTACAGTGTGTTTAAGTGCTTCAAACAATGATTTTCTTCTTGATGGAGATAATGCACATCTGTGTGTTTACATTCTGTGTCATTGACAACAAATAAATTACTTTAACTTTAGAGTCACACGGTATTTAGAATGGAAATAGCATAGTGTTGGATTTATCACAAGTCAACCACAAACAGTGAGGTGTCCAATTAGCTGGGGATACAGTGGCCAAAAAAAATGCTTAAGAATATGCATTTTCAACATAGAGCACACGCTCCTGAGTTACATGATTTTAGCCTTTGATTTTTTTCTGAATTATTTTATAACTGTGTAGATTGTATTTAACAGATAGTATGCCAAAATAATTCTTAGAGATTTGCAGATTCTTTTCTGTCCCACATTGGCTGAATTATGTGGTATGATTGACTTTTTCCCCATTCCATATAGAGAAACCAGTTAAGACTCCATTTGTATATCCATTTCAGCCTTCCTGATCTATATATTTGTGATTTTTCAAAAAGCTTTTCCTTGGAACCAATCAATCTGCTTAGTTCCCTCAATCAACGAGTTATGTAAAGTTGCTTTAAAAAATAAAGTTATTAAAATATATCCATTTTGATATCTTATTATGGCTGTGATGACTTTACTCTCCTGTGAGTTTAACAATTTCAAGCACAATGCATTATTAGTCATGGAAAAAGACATAGCATCAGTACTTATTAAAGAAAAATTTAGTATTTTCCAAGAGATGGCCTCAGAGCTGTGAGCTGCATATAATAATCTAGAGGGAACTTTCCTTTTTTCTAGGCACTGTCCCTCTGGTGCTCACATACGTCTTCATAAAGTTGCCCAACGTCAAGGAAGAATCCTCTAGAGGGTGGAGTACAGTGTTACATTTTTCTTCTCCCCTTTCTCTTTATTTTGAACTTTCTTTTCTTCTTTGAACTGCATTTCTCTGGGATTGCTTTGAATTAATTTTCCCCCTTCAAGCTTAACTCCACCATGGCTGATGTTTTGAGATAAGCTTCCTGTCTTCTTCTGGAAGAAATACACGTCTCCTCTCTTAGTTTCTCAGATGGTGATACGGATGGATTCTATCCAAGCTTGTGACTGACAAGACATTTTGGACCATGTACCAGGCCATGTTGGGGTGACCAGAGCATTCTGTGGATCACAAAAAACAGAAGATGAGTTGGTAATACATTTAGTTTGGATGTGAGTGCCCACAGTCACTTCTTTGTAATGCTAAATTTTCCTAGCTTTCCTGGCCTATAATGGTTGGCTTCCAGAAATACACCTATTGCCTTTGGTCAGAAATACACCTGCTGCCTCATTCACCTGACGTTGTGAGAAGGGACAAGTATATGAATGTATCCTCAGTGCCCAGCAGTGGAAGCAGGTGGGTAAAGGAGGAGGAATATCCTTTCAAATATGTAAAGACAGAGCTATTCAGTAGGTCTCCCCTCTTCCAGTTTCAGACTTATAATATTATAGGGGAATATTCAATTCTCACCAATGTCTGATAAAATAGAAGTTTTATTCTGTCAGAAATATACTACATCATACAATACATTAAAGGATAAATACGTAATTCAATTTGGTGAATCACTGTGTTTGTTGGGCAAAAATCCGCTGGAGTAGGACTACAAATGGCCAATGCATTTGTAACAGCTCATGCATATGAGAACTACTCGATCGCAGTTTCCATGTTTGGTCCCATCTTGAAAATCTACATGATGTTATCTATAATGAGCTGCAACAGTGAAAGACATTTTTCAAATTATAATTAATGAAAATATGCAATCAAACCCTCTCACCCTAAAATAAAACGTGCATATAGCTATGTGAACACCAGAGATCTCCCTAGTACATGTGCTGTTTCTCTCTCTCTATTAGAAGTAGAGGTCAAGCCCATCACCATGGCACATGGGTAGCAGGGTGACAATGTTGAACATTACCTGAGCCCTAAGCTCCCAGAACATAGCAAGAGTTAACAATTTCCCCTCACAATTTTTTTTTCTTTTTTTCTTTTTCAACTTTTATTTAAGATTCAGAGGGTACATGTGCAGGTTTGTTATCTGGGTATACTGCATGATGCTGAGGTTTGGAGTACAAATGATCCCATCACCCAGGTACTGAGCATAGTACCCAACAGTTAATTTTTCAACCCTTGCTCATCTGTCTTCCTCTCTTAGTAGTCCCCAGTGTCCACTGATGCCATCTTTATGTCTATGAGTACCCAGTGTTTAGCTCCCACTTGTAAGTGAGAACATGCGGTATTTAGTTTTCTGTTCCTGTATTAATTTGATTAGGATAATGGCCTCCAGCTGCATCCATGTTGCTGCAAAGGCATTTAATTCTATTTCTATGGCTGCATAGTATTCCACGGTGTATATGTACTACATTTTCTGTATCCAATTCACTGTTGATGGGCACCTAGATTGATTCCATGACTTTGCTATTGCCCCCACATTTTTGAATTCCAGTAAAGGGTTAACTGAGTATCCCCAGATAAGTCCCACCTCCTTCCATCCTTGAGACCAGCAGATGACAAGGATGATTGCCCCCACACTTTTGAGTTCCGGGAAAGGGTTAAATGAGTATCCCCAGATAAGGCCCACCTCCTTCTATCCTTAAGATTAGCAGATGATAAGGATGATTATCTGTCGACTTCCCTCTACAAAACCCCAGGCTCCAATCCTGTCCTTTGAGATGCTCCTCATTAATGAACATTTTCCCTGTTGCAATGACCTGAATGAAATCAGCTCTTTAATTGTACACTGCATATTTCTTTTCTTCTGCAAAGGCAATTAGAAATTCTAATGCTCGCTGTACACTGACAAAAGGTACAGAGAGTCTGTATGTGGGAAAACTTGGAGGTAGCATAGGAGAAGTAAATAAGTTTACAAACTTGGGGACCTTAGGAGAGAAATTAGGCATAGGAGAGTGCCATTAGCATGCCATTTCTTATATTCAAGTATATTCATATCACCACCGCTGTGCTCATATTTCTTATGAGCTCTTTATTGCCCAGAGGAGGAAATTGAGATTCCATAAATTACTACCAATCCAGAGAAATTTCTACACAAATCCTAGGGCTCCGTCAGATACTGACAGTTGGTAAGAGATTCCTGCCTGTTTTGGCTTTTCTACTCTTGTACGCAAGCTTCCCTCTGCTTAAAACCCTTTTCCCAATCCTTTGTTGGGCTGTGGTTTGCTAGCCCCTCAAGACTTAGTCCAAAGCTGCTTTCTCTGGGCCTGATCCTTTAACTCTGTCTCCAATACTGTATCTGTCTTTCCTTGTTCATTTCCCCACTGGGTGGATGTGGATAAAAGGACACTATTTGCACATAGTCGCTATGATAAGGTTAGACTATGACAGAGGTCACCAATAAATGCAAAGTCTTGATTGCTAAGTAAAGGCAATTCGAATCCCACTAAATTTAAAAAGTTTTGGAGTAGGCAGAAGTGGGGAGCCAGAATAAGTGAAGGAGTCCAGAATATGCATAAATATGATTTTCAGATGAGCGACTCAATTCTCATAAATCTCCTTTCTTGGAGCAACCAGGGAAGATGAACTCTTATCACTAGAGACAAGAAGTTGGCATAACACCAGACATTGTCACAAAACTGTTGTATCTATAAGGGCCCACTTGTCTTTCCTAAAAGTCATTATTTTTAAAAAGTGTGACCCCGTCTCTACCAAAAAAATTTAAAAAATTAAAAATCAGCTCTGTATGGTGGTGCCCACCTGTGGTCCCAGCTACTCGGGAGGCTAAGGCAGGAAGGTTGCTGGAGCCCAAGAGGTCAAGGCTGCAGTGAGCCATAATTGTGCCACTGCTCTCCAGCCTGGGCAACAGAGCAAGACCCTGTCTCAAAACCTTATCCCCTTCCCCTTCCATTGCTAAGATAGTATATAGGCCCTAAATTCTCTTTCCTTGAGTCATGTTTTTCTGTTAATTCCCACATACAAGTAAATAACGATCTGCTTTTTCTCTTGCAAATCTGTATTTTGTCAGTTTAGTTTACATATTCTCAATTTTAGGACTTAAGCGGGGACAGGAAAAGTTTTTCCTCCTCAACATGAGCCACAGAGAAGACAATGACTTGTTTTATTTCTGCATGGCTACATGAAAATGAAGGTTTTAATGCTGATGTGTATTGAAAACAATTGATAAATGTCTTCTAAAAGAAATAATGAGGCTAGATGCAGTGGCACACATCTGTAATCCCAGCAGTCTGGGAGGCTGAGGTGGGAGGATGGCTTGGGCCCAGGAGTTTGAGATCAGACTGGGCAACAGGGCAAAACCTATCTCTACAAAAACTAAAGAAATCAGCCAGGTGTAGCAGCTACTCGAGACGCTGAGGTGGGAGGGTCGTTTGAGTCCTGGAGGCCAAGGCTGTAATGAGCTGAGATTGTACCACTGCATTCCAACCTGACTGACAGAGAGAGACACCATCCCCCTGCCACACACACAAAAGAAAAGAAAAGAAAAGAAAAGAAAAGAAAAGAATGATAATTGCCAAAATCTATATATACGTACACATTTGTACACATACATGTAAAGGCAAAACATGAGATTCTCTTAAGTAGACCATAACACTTTCTGGAATTCACAATATTTATTTTTCTTTTAATTTTTAGCATCTTTATTGAGATATAATTTACATGCCATAATGCTCACCCGTTTAAAATGTGCAACTCAATATATTCCTACTTATTTTTTATTACAGTAAAAAACATATAACATAAAATTTACCATCTTAACCACTTTTAAATGTACAGTTTAGTGGCATTAAATATATTGAATATATTCACATTGCTGTACAACAGATCTCTGAAACTTTTTCACATTGTGCACAACTAAAACTCTACCCTCATTGAACATCTTCCCATTTACCCCTCCCTCAGCGCCTGATAACTACCATTCTCCTTCCTTCCTCCCCTCCCCTCCCCTCCCCTCTTCCTTCCTTTTTCTTTCTTTCTTTCTTTCTTTCTTTCTTTCTTTCTTTCTTTCTTTCTTTCTTTCTTTCTTTCTTTCTTTTTCTTTCTTTCTTTCTTTCTTTCTTCCTTTCTTTCTTTCTTCCTTTCTCTCTCTCTCTTTCTTTCTTTCTTTTCTTTCTTTCTTTCTTCTTTCTTTCAAGGGGGAGTCTTCCTCTGTCACCCAGGCTGGAGTGCAGTGGCACAATCTTGGCTCACTGCAACCTCCGCCTCCTGGATTCAAGCAATTATTGTACCTCAGCCTCCTGAGTAGCTGGGATTACAGGCAGGCACCACCATGCCCGGCTAATTTTTGTATTTTTAGTAGAGATGGGGTTTCACCATGTTGGCCAGGCTGATCTTGAACTCCTGACCTCAAGTGATCCGCTCACCTTGGCCTCCCAAAAAGTTGGGATTACAGGCGTGAGCCACGGCGCCCAGCCTAATGGCTGGTTTTAAATGACTATCACAGGACCAGAGTTCCTCCTCAGGTATTTTATGATAAACAACATCACATAGGGCCCGACATACCATTTTTTCAAGTAAAATAATAGAATCACAAATAGTCCCCAAAAACCTGATTAGGTGAAAACATTGTAGAGATGAAAAATATTTGGAAATGAAGACACGGAAGCTACTGTAAATACAGAATTTGCATGACTTCCAGGGACTCCAGCTCCTCAAATTGTAATTGTCTCTCAGATTTCTGTTTACAGAGCTCTGGGGAAATAAATGTGGAGAAAGTACTCCTTTCCCTGGATTGTTATCTTATCTTTATCTAAATGTATCTAAGTGTCAGCAATTTCATTCCCCGATGCTGACTTCAACTATGTTGCCCATTTTCTTTGAAAAAAAAAATTAAAAGGATTCAGCAATCTTTGTGTGGGGATATATATCCAAAAGAACTGAAATCAGGATCTCAAAGAGATATTTGCACACCCGTGTTCATTGCAGAACTATTCACAATAGCCAAGAAGTAGAAGCAACCCTAATGTTCAATGACAGATGAATGGATAAATAAAACATAGCCTATCTATTCAATGGACTAGTATTCAGCCTTAAAGAGAAAAGAAATTCTATCACATGCTACAACTTGAATGCCCATGGGAGGGGTTGGCCATTTCTAGGAGCTGTTAGGAATGTTAGTTGTGCAGAATCTTGCTGCCTTTAGCTCAGCAAAACACGCAGAGCTTCTCCCCTTTTGGTGGTTTCCTCCTAGCCAGGCCCTGATATTGTGGCTGGATTGGGCCAGTGCTCCTGCCTGTCACTATGCTATAAAAATCTGATCTCTGTGGCCTGGCAGAAAGCTTCTAAAACCCTTGGCATTTCCTGAGTGATAGAGGAGTGTCTTTTGTTATTCATAAGGACCCCCTTTCCAGCGTACCTGAGTTTATGCCAATGAGTGGTGAGGGGACCCCTAGATAGCCTCAGAGTGAGGACCGGTCACCAGCAAGGGCAAACCTGTGATTAGAGAATGGGAACTTTCAGCTCCATCCCCTGACCATAGGGAAGTGAAGCTGGGCACTGAATTCTATGAAAACCCTTAAGCAATGATATGCGGAGCTTCCAGGTGGGTGCACACACTGATGTGCTGGGAGGGTGGAGTGTCTGCAGAGGGTATGGAAGTTCTTGGCCCTGTGCCCCTCCTCACCCCCATGCCTTGCTCTATATGTCTCTTCCATCTGGCTATTCTTGATTGGTATCCTGTAAATAAGCCAGTAATAGTGATGTAAAATATTTTCCTAAGTTCTGTGAGTCATTCTAGAGAATTTTTATTGAGCCTGAAGAAGGCATTATGGGAACCCCCAAACTTCTAGCCAGTGGGTCGGAAATATAGGTGGTCTCTGGGACTTGAAGTATGACAGCCCTGTGGGACTGAACCCTTAACCTGTGTGGTCTGTGCTAACTCGAGGTGTTAGTGTCAGAATCGAATGGAGCTGTTGGAAACCCAGTTGATATCAGAGAATTGCAGAATTGGGATAAGAAAGTGACACATAGATGGTATCAGAAGTACTGTTCGAAAACACTATATGATCACACATCTTGTTAAATTTGTAAACTAAAAATAAAATCCTAAGCTCTCCACCAACTGATCAGATCCTGTCTTGACTGAGGGAACCCCAGAGAATCCTGAAAAACTGAGTTCTGGCCATGACAGGAAGGGAAGTTGTATTCGTCCGTTCTCACGCTGCTGATAAAGACATACCCGAAACAGAGTAATTTACAAAGGAAAAGAGATTTAATGGAGTCACAGTTCCAGGCGGCTCAGGATGCCTCACAATCATGGTGGAAGGCGGAAGACACGTCTTACATGGCAGCAGAGAAGAGAGAAGGAGAGCCAAGCAAAATGGTTTCCCCTTATAAAACCATCAGATCTCATGAGACTCTTTCACTACCACGAGAACAATATGGGGGAAACTGCCCCCCATGATTCAATTGTCTTCCATGGGGTCCCTCCTCCAACAAGTGAGAATTATGGGAGCTACAATTCAAGATGAGATTTGGGTGGGGACACAGCCAAACCATATCAGAAGTGAAACATTCTTCTTTATACCTCTTCTCTTTTGGAATTTAGATACAACTGACCAGCATTAATGTTAAAAACTTCTCCACCGCAAGACTGACAAGACCCTGTGGCAATTAGACACCAAATTATAAATAGAACCTCAGGCCATGCCAGGCAAAGGTTAAGTCATGCCTGCAGGCCATCAGTCTTCCCATACAGTTTCCTTATCTTAATCTAACCATTCTTTTCTGCTGACTCCAAGTTCCAGAAAGAGTCTTAGTTCGTTAGCCTGCTGCAAATTAAAGAATCTCTGAATCCACCTATAACCTGGAAGCCCCTGCTTCAAGTTATTCCACCTTTCAGGTCAAACCAATATCTACCTTCCACATATTGATTTATGTCTTTGTCTGTAACTCCTGTCTCCCTAAAACTAAACTGTAATCTGACCGCCTTGGGGTCACTTACTCAAGGCTTCTTGGGTTTGTGTTTTTCCTGGGCTGCGATCAATTATGGGCTCAGAATAAACATCTTTAAAATATTTTATGGAGTTTTTTTTTCCATTGATCAATTTCAATTTCATTAAATTCAGTCCAATGGTAACATTGGAGCAGAAAAACTTCTGGAATCTTTAACATGGCTGTATACTGAATAGAACATGTGTTCATTCTTTGCAGAACTTTGTGAAACAGAGCCAGCCAGTTATCTGCGAGACAGAAAACACTTAGGATTTTTCTATCCAAAAAGATAAATCTAACATTCAAGGCCACCTGGATTTCTCAAAACCTTGAAATGAGAAGAGTAAATCTTTTTTAGTAAAATGATTTGGGAATGCAAAGTGGAATATTTTTTAAAGCATTACAATAGAAAAAGGGTTTTACATTAGTAAGGAGAATTTTGTTATAGCTATGCAGATAATAATAATTGTTGCATATTCTTTGGGTAAGTACCTCTTAACATCATAGGGTTCTCAAGCAATGCCAATTTTGTCCACCAGGGGACAATGTCCAAAGACATTTTAATAGTTAGAGGTAGGGGAGTGCTCTACTACTGGCTAGTGGGTGGACGCCAGAAATGCTGCTAACCATCGTGCAATGCACAGGACAGCCCCATCACAGAGAATTATTGTAATCGCCCTGTGGGTTCTTCTTGCCCACTGCACAGACAAAATCAATCTACTGAGACCGTAGCATTGCAGTAATGGAGAAAGAGTTTAATTGACATGAGACTGGTCCACGCAGCAGAACTGGAGTTATCACTGAAACCAGTCTCCCTGAAGGCTTAGAGGTTAGAGGGTTTTATAGACAATTTGGTGGGCAGGGGCATAGGGAATGGGTACTGCTGCTTGGCTGGGGATGAAATAATAGAAGTGTAGAAAGCGGTCTCCATGCACTGAGTCCACCTCTGGGTAGGACCACAGGAACAGTGCAGTAATGAGTCCTGGGTCTGGGTGGGGTCAGCCTGAAAAACAACTCAGAAAAAAACAACAGTAGTGATGTTTTCTATAGGAGCGATTGGGTAGGTCACAAATCTTGTGAGTTGGCCACATGACTCCTGAGCAGTAAGGGATGAGAGAAACTATGTCTATCTTCTGACTCCTCATTAGTCTTACAAAGGTGGTTTCAGCCCCTAAAAGGGAGGGGATTATTTTTTAGGGAGGGACTATAATCATTCTTATTTCAAAGTTAAACCATAAACTAAATTCCTCCCAAAGTTAGCTTGGCCTATGCCCAGGAATGAGCAAGGACAGCTTAAAGGTCAGAAGTAAGATGGAGTCAATGATATCAGATTTCTCTTACTGTCATAATTTTGCAAAGGCGGTTTCATTATCAGGCCTCAAATATCAATAGTGCCAAGGTAGAGGATTCCATCCTGTTAGAGACTCCTGAAAAGTTGCCAGTCCCAAGATTCTAGCTTCTCCATTGTCGTCTTCTTCTCACGATTTTACTATATTTGAATGAGGAGGTGGGTGTCACGAGAAAAGGATGTTTTTAAAGGAGGAAGGAATATTTTCAATGCAGTGTTGTGAATTCTTCAGTCTGAAACATCAGTCCCTGAGATCTAGGCTTCTCTGAAAAGAGAGAGAAAGAAAGATTATTTTTATTGTTTTTAAATTTAAAAAAATTAAAGGAAATCAGAGACAAGGTTTTACATGGGAGCTTTGATGGATATACTCCCTCAAAAGAGGGCTCCTGGGTTGATCTAGGAATTAAGTCCTACAAAGAGAAGGCAAGACGCTGACCTAACTATCTGTCTGCCCTAAATATTTAAACAAAAATAGAAATCAGCAGGTGTAGAAAAGCCAATACATCAGCTATGTCCCTGTTACTTTTGCGGTGTGGCCAACACCCAGCCTGTCCAAGAAGGAAGCTGAAATCCTGTGGTCCTTGACTAGTCTTTATGGGTCAGGGTCAGCATTTTGAGGGCAATCAACTAGATTGTGCTTGAAATTACAATTTGGAATTGTACCTATCAAATTGGGCCATAGAATTTCAGAAAACTGATAACCCACAAGCCCAGTTTAGACAGTCAGTAAAACCCCTTGGGGAGAAATTTTAAAAATGACAGCATACCTTAATTCTCCACTTTTATTTGTACAAATGGTTGGTTTCCTTCCTGCTTAACTGTGCAAACAAGAAGAGCTAAAGGAGAAACCACATGACCAGGTATGAAGCTGAAATATTCACTTTAAAGCAAGTTACAATGAGTTACAGAATACTCCCAATAAAGGCCCTTCCATCACTGATAATAACAGAACAAAAGAAATCTCTTTGAAATGAGCATTCTGGACTCTGAAAGGTATGTTACTTTAAAAGTCCACAGAAAAATGACAAGTGGGGGGAATATTCTTTGTGGTTCAATGGGTGTGGGTTTCATTCTCCTTTGAAAATGTGGATTTATGAAGGCAGGCAGAGCTGAATTTTATAAATATCCTTCATTTTCACCAGGAGGTCATTACTCTCCACGATGCAGTGTGGTTGAGGGCAATCTTGTCAATTCTAACTAAGTATGAAATCAAAGTTTTTTGAATCAAGATACATAGAAAAACTTACAAAACCAGATTTCTTCAGAAAATAATTTGTAAAGAGAGAGAAAAGTAGCTGGAGAACAGAGTTCATTCAAAATGCTAATTCTAATATATCAATTGTGGTTACTTTCAGACTATATCCTTGTCTGTCAAGTCAACCAGTTCAGTCTCAGCTAATTAGCTTTTTTTAAGCCATTGAATAACATTAGAACCTTCTTCCATGAATTAGTTACCTCTGTGAACCCCAAATATCTGAGACAGGTCTTAGTTCATTTAGAAGGTTTATTTTGTCAAGGTTGAGGACATGCACCCATGACACAGCCTCAGGAGGTCCTGGTGACATGTGCCCAAGTTGGTGAGAGCACAGTTTGGTTTTATACATTTTAGGGAGACATAAGACATCACTCAATATATGTAAGATGTACATTGGTTCCGTCCGGAAAGGCAGGACAACTCAAGCAGGGAGGGGGCTTCCAGATGACAGGTATGTGAGAGACAAATGGTTGCATTCTTTTAAGTTTTAAGTTTCTGATTAGCCTTTCCAAGGGAGACAATCAGATATGCATTTATCTCAGTGAGCAGAAGGGTGACTTTGAATAGAATGGGAGGCAGGTTTGCCCTAAGCCGTTCCCAGCTTGACTTTTCCCTTTAGCTTAGTGATTTTGGGGTCCCCAAGACTTATTTTCCTTTCACATCTCTTAGAAGAGTTATTTCAGTGGTTCAAAAAAGCAGCCCAACTAGCTTTGTGTAATGACATGATTTGGCTTTGTCCCCACCCAAACCTTATCATTAGTTGTAGCTCCCATAATCCCCATGTTTCATGGGAGGGACATAGTGTGAGGTAAATGAATCATGAGGGCAGATTTTCCCATGCTGTTCTCATGATAGTGAATAAGTCTCAGGAGATCTGATGATTTTATAAAAGGCAGTTCCCCTGCACATGCCTTCTTGCCTGCCACCATGTAAGACATGCCTTTACTCCTCCTTTGCCTTCCACCATGATTGTGAGGCCTCCCCAGCCATGTGGAACTGTGAGTCCATTAAACCTCTTTTTGCTTATAAATTACCCAGTCTTGGGTATTTCTTCATAGCAGTATGAAAATGGACTAATACATGTACATTTTGTGGGATTCATGGCATTGAGAAAAGTGGATTCTTATTGGGCAAAATTGAGACTCAGATGTGGTGGGTGAAGCACCTTCCCTTGTGTGATTATGCATCTGTGGGCTTGCAGTGGAGAATGAACTTCCAGAGTGCTGTTGAATCCAGTGCATAAAAGAAATTCTGATCAGAGAGGAAGGCTGGGATTAAAAGTGCATTCTCATTTGAAAGATGGAATAATAATGCACTTAACAGCTTCCCCAAGGAAGTTATTCCTTTTCTATTCATATTTTTCAAATCAAGATTATAATTGCAAAACTATTTATAGGCTGTTTGCAGTAAAGTAACTAAATGATAATTCCACTTGGATATACAAGGTCAGACCGTGTGTTAGCGAGTTACCACAGAAAGCATGTGGATAGCAGAGTGACACATGGCATAGAGGTGGGGTGTCATTGCATGAGATTCACATGCCAGCCTTTTATGTCTACCCAATTCTATAATAATTTCCTTTCTGAACTAGAAATCAATTTTGCATAGTTTGCGATTTTGTAACTGGCTTGTGCAGCTTAACTGTGGCACCTTCTTGGTGCCATCTAAACTGCTGGATTTTCATGCCTGGGTACAGTAGAATTCAATGAAGGACTGGTGTAACTGAACATTATTATTAACCCAGCAGATGCTCAATATTGTCTGAAGAGTCCGCCTCTTGTCTTGATTCTATTCAGACTGTTCCATTCAAAGTGCATGAGTAGGTATTTTTGCATCCTTGATAGTTTATTTTAATATGTGCCTTCTCAGTTGATGGAAAAGGTTTAATGAGAAAAATGAAATGCCATTCATGTATCATGCTTAGTAGAAGAGATATACAGATATATATATATATATAATATATTATTTCTTATTCCTGTCTTATTCTGCTGTCTTCTGACTTTTTGTAACAACT
Organism: Homo sapiens; assembly: GCF_000001405.40. Classification (NCBI taxonomy): domain Eukaryota; kingdom Metazoa; phylum Chordata; class Mammalia; order Primates; family Hominidae; genus Homo; species Homo sapiens. The sequence continues at coordinate 6,640,526 of NC_000023.11, read as the reverse complement.
GAAGCATGAAATCTGGATTTGAGAATTGGAACCATAGACTCTACAGTTATAAAACATCCGTCTGACCTAGCAATCCATTACTGAGTGTACACCTAAGGGAATAGAAATAATTCTATTATAAAAATACATGCACTCATATGTTCACTGCAGCACTATTCACAATAGCAAATACATGGAATCAACCCAAATGCCCATCAATGATAGACTGGATGAAGAAAGTGTGGTTCATATACATCATGAAATACTATGCAGCCATATAAAAGAATGAGATCATGTCCTTTACAGGGACATGGATGGAGCTGGAGACCATTATCCTTAGCAAACTAACACAGGAACGGAAAAAAAAATATTGCATGCTCTCAGGTATAAGTGGGAGCTAAATGATGAGAACACATGGACACAAAGAAGAAAACAACAGATAGCAATGCGTGCTTGGGGCTGGAGAGTAGGAAGAGGGAGAGGATCAGGAAAATAACTAATGGGTACTAGGCTTAATACCTGGATGATGAAATAATCTGTTCAACAAACCCCCATGATGCACCTATGTAACAAAGTTGCTCATGTAACCCTGAACTTAAAAGTACACAAAAAAGCTAAACATCTATCTATTAGAAAATCTGAATTTTGTGCTTACTATTTTCATGGCAACAGGCTAGGTGCTGGGGGTAAATATCACATATAAGATATATGTGGTTCCTGCCTTGAGTGTCCATATATAAACAAAATAAAGCTGGACCCCTGCATCATACCATACAAAAACTTACCTCAAAATGAATCATAGGCCTAAATATAGGAGCTACATTATACAGTTGCTAGAAGAAAATCTATGAATATTTCTTCCTGACCTTGGGTTAGGCAATTATTTCTTAGATTTAACACTAGAAGCACAAATGACAAAAGAAAAAAATTCAAAAATTAGACTTTATCAACATTAAAAGTGTTTGCTCTTCAAAAGACACAACCAAGAAAGTGAAAAGGCAACATACAAAGATAAAATATTGGAAAGCCACATATCCTATGGGGGATGTTATCCAGAATATATAAAAAACCCTTAAAACTCAATAATAAAATAATATATCACCAAATTGAAAATGCAAAGGAACTGAAAAGACATTTCTCCAAGAAAGATAAATGAATAGCCAATAGACACACAAAAGATGCTCAATATCATCATCATCATCATCATCATCATCATCATCACTATTATTATTTGAGAGTCTCTGTTACCCAGATTGAAGGGCAGTGTTACAATCTTGGCTCACTGCAACCTCTGACTTCTGGGCTCAAGCAGTCCTCCCACCTTAGCCTCCTGAGTAGATGGGACTACAGGCACACACCACCATGCTTGGCTAATTTAAAAACAATTATTTTTGTAGGGATGAGATCTCACTATATTGCCCTCACTGGACTCGAACTCCTACGCTCAAGCAGTCCTCTTGCCTTGGCCTCCCAAAGTGCTGGGGTTATAGTCATGAGCCACAATGCTTAATAGTATTAGCCATTAGGGGGATGTAAATCAAAACCACATTCACACATCACAATCACTAGGATTGTTAAAATAAAAACAGCAGACAATAACATGATCATAAGGATGTGGAGAAGCTGGAGCCCTCATATATTATTTGGGAGTGTAATGTTGTGCAGCCGCTTTGATAAAATAGTCTGGCAGTTTCTCAAAATATTAACATAGAATTTGACACAGCAATTTTTTTTTCTTGTTTTTATTATACTTTAAATTCTAGGGTACATGTGCACAACGTGCAGATTTGTTACATATGTATACGTGTGCCATGTTGGTGTGCTGCACCCATTAACTCGTCATTTAACATTAGGTATTTCTCCTAATACTATCCCTCCCCCCTCCCACCACCCCATGACAGGCCCCGGCGTGTGATGTTCCCCACCCTGTGTCCATGTGTTCTCATTGTTCAATTCCCAACTATGAGTGAGAACATGCGGTGTTTGGTTTTCTGTCCTTGTGATAGTTTGCTCAGAATAATGGTTTCCAGCTTCATCCATGTCCCTACAAAGGACATGAACTCATCCTTTTTTATGGCTGCATAGTATTCCATGGTGTATATGTGCCACATTTTCTTAACCCAGTCTATCATCGTTGGACATTTGGGTTGGTTCCAAGTCTTTGCTATTGTGTATAGTGCCGCAGTAAACATACGTGTGCATGTGACACAGCAATTTTACTCTTAGGTATTTACCCAAGAGAAGTGAGAACACTTGTCCATACAAAAACTTGCACATGAATGTTCACAGCAGTCATTATTGACAATAGCCAAAAGGTGAAAACAACCCACATGTCCACCACCTGATGAATGCATAGATGAATGTAATATATACACACAATGGAGGAAGGAAAGAAGTACTAATACATGCTAGGACATGGGTAAATTTTGAGAAGAAAGCCAGTCACTAAAAAAAAAAAAAAATCACATACTGTAGGGGCAATAGGAGTTCTTTTTTGTTTTTATTTTTTTAGTAGAGATGAGGTTTCACTATGTTGTCCAGGCTGGTCTCAAACTCCTGACCTCAAGTGATCCACCCCCTTTGGCCTCCCAAAGTGCTGGGATTACAGGTGTGAGCCACCATGCCAGGCCCGGAGTTCTTGTTTAAGAAGAGCTTTAGTTTTGCAAGATGAAAACAGTTCTGTGTATGGATGATTGTGATGGTTGCACAACAATGTACTTAATGTCACTGGATTGTACACTCTAAGGTGGTAATTTTATGCCATGTATATTTCATCACAATTAATATTTAAATAAAGATAGATAGATAGAATGTATAAAATATGATTTCATTTATATGTACTATCCAGGAAAGGCAAATCTATAAAGACCCAAAGTAGTTTGAGAGTTTGTTAGAGCTAGGGGAAGGGTGGGATGAAGGAAACAGGTAGTGACTGACAATGAGCATGAGTTTTCTTTTTACAGTGATGGACATGTTCTTTTTTAAATTTAATACTATTTTTTAGAGATAGCATTTCACTCTGTTGTCAAGGCTGAAGTACGGTGGTGCCATCACAGCTCACTAAAGTCTTGACCTCCTGAGCTCAAGCCATCCTCCCACTTCAGCCTCCTGAGTAGCTGGGACTAAAGATCCATGGCACACATCTGGGTAATTTTTTCATTATTTGTAGAGATGCGGGGGGGGGTCTTGCTGTGTTGCCCCAGGCTGGCCTTGAACTCCTGGCCTCAAGTCATCCTCCTGCATTGGCCACTAAAAGTGCTGGGATTGTAGGTGAGCCACTGTGCTTGGCTGGAAATGTTGTAAATTACAATATGGTGATGGGTGCACAGCTCTGTGAATATCCTAAATGTCACTGAAATGTACATTTAATGCATGTGAATAAGATATGGAGGTTATGCCTCAATAAAGTTGTTACAAAACCAAACCACAATGGCATCTATATTTATTAAGCCATAATTATGGGTAATTGTCACCTTGGCTTAGTCGTTTGTAACCGGTTGCCATTTCATTGAGGAGAGGCTTAGGCACCCCAAATAAGAGGGTAAAAGAAGAAAATTGTTCATGATATGTGAAAACCATAAGGGTGAGGGCCAGATTCTGAAATGCCTAAGGCGAATGTCAAAATGAGTTTATGTAGGACCAGGAATGAGGAGACACCTAAAACAAGAAAAGAGATAAAAGAGAAGAGACGACAAAGAGCCTGTTTCATTTATCTGAGGCAAAACAAGCTCATTTCCAAATTATACGTCCATGTATTAAAAAAAAAAACACCTCATGCCATACGCAAACTTGCCACAAAATGAATCATAGGCCTAAATGTAAGAGCTACATTATACAACTCTTAGAAGAAAACCTATGAATATTTCTTCCTGACCTTGGGTTAGGCAATGATTTCTTAGATTTGACACTAGAGGCACAAATGACAAAAGAAAAAAATTGAAAAATTGGACTTTATCAATATTAGAAGTGTTTTCCCCTGAAAAGACACAATCAAGAAAGTGAAAAGACAACACACAGACTAAGATGAAATATTGTAAAGCCACATATCCTATAAGGGACATTATCCAGAATATATAAAGAACTCTTATAAGTCAATAATGAAAGAATAAATAACCAAATTGAAAATGCAAAGAAACTGAACAGACATTTATCCAAAAAATATACATGAATAGCCAATAGGCACCCGAAAGGATGCTCAATATCATCATCATCATCATCATCATTATTATTACTACTATTTGAGACAGGGTCTGACTTTGTCACCCAGGTTAAAGTGCAGTGTTATGATCCAGGCTCATTACAACCTCCTCATGAAATCGAAGTGCGTCTCTAACTTTCCACAAGCCAAAGAAACCCACCACCAGCTGACTGATTTTCTTTGTTTCCAGGAACCATGGGGTGGAGGTACTTGCTCCTGCTTGTGACTCTAATGGCAACACAGGAAGAACAGATCTCTGGAATGCCAAGTAACGGCTTTCCTAGAAGGGCTCTTTTCCACACAGGCACGGGCGATCAGTCATGAGAGGCCAATGTTGACCAGAGATGTCGTAGGCTGGTGGAGTAGACATCCTGCCATCCTGACCATATGGGCCAAGGCTTCTGCTCCCTAAACAGAACAGATGTGGGAGGGAACACAGTGAGGGCCCCCAGCCGGCAGTACAGACACATCCTGTTAATTCTTGCTTTGGATGGTATCCTTATTACTGGCTGGCGGCTGGGCTAATCCAGTACTGACACATAGGATACAATTCCTAAGATGGTGATAGAGCTTGGATCTGTGTCCCTGCCCAAATTTCATGTGGAACTGTAATTCCCAGTATTGGAGGTGGGGCCTGGTGGGGGGAGATTTGATCATGGGGGTGGATTTCTCCTGATAGTTTAGCACCATTCCTTTGGTGCTGTCCTCAAGATAGTGAGTGGCTTCCAGTGAGATCTGGTGGTTTAAAAACTGTGTGGCACCTCCTCCTCTTCTCTCTTACTCCTGCTCTGGCCATGTAATGTCCCTGCTTCCTCTTCTCCTTCCACCATGATTGTAAGTTTCCTGAGGTCTCCCCAGAAGCCGAGCAGACACCAGCATTATGTTTCCTGTTCAGCCTGCAGAACTGTGAGCTAACTAAGGCTCTTTTCTTTATGAATAACCAGTCTCAGGTATTTCTTTATAGCCATGTGAGAATGGACTAATAGAGAGGGATATGCCATCATCGTAGATTTGGGTGACCCTTCACTGTAATTTTCATGACCTCCAGGAGCAGTCATCAATAGCTTAAGAATGGTAATGTTATCAGGGTGTGGTTACTCAGGAGGCTGAGGCAGGAGGATAGCCTAAGCCCAGGAGGTGAGGGCTGCAGTGAGCTATGACTGCACCACTGCACTCCAGCCTGGGCAACAGAGCAACACTCTGTCTCTAAATAAATAAATAAAAGTAAATTTTGTTTTTGTAGATATATGAACCCTCAGACACTCCCCCACCTCCCTCAACTTTCCTGAATGGGTCTTGCAAAGAAATATGAATAGCTTTTTATGCTTGTCTCTTCTCTCTCTAATAGATTTCCCCACTTATTTCAACTCACATGTCCCTGTATCTTGAAGTATTAACAACAATGGAAATCACCATGGGCTTATGACAGAAGTCACTTCATTCTGTGTTTTAAAAGAACGAACACATAATACCTATCGTATAGCTTATTTTTCACGAGTTTACCCTCTAATAGAGGAAGGGCCCAAGAACTCCTCATCAAGGTGTTCGTTATCAGAAAATCTTTAAGAGACCTATCCTCTGTGTAAAATCTACCCACCCCAGTCCCTTTGAGTTAAACTCCAAGATTCAAAGAGGCGTAAAAACATTTCTCATGATAGAATATTACAGTTGGGGAACCTTTACAGAAAATTTTCCCTAAGCCACATGTCCTGTAGATATTTTGTTTACCAGACACATGATCAATTTGGTTGTGCATCCCTGACAGAGGCCAACGTTTATTGCTCCCACCTTCTCTTATTTTAGGAGCTCGAGTCTCTCCTCAGGCAATGACCGGACAGCTGGACAGTTAAACCTACATAGAGCCAAGATAATAATTACTGGTAATTACGACTATATATAATTGTGTTTTTTCAAGGGATTTGAGCCCTAAGGGGTAGTGCTGAGTGTTGAGCTTTAAATACAGACTCTGAAACTTATTAGCCATAGACACAACTCAATCCTTATTCTCTTTAAGCCTTCAAATCACATAAAAATGAGAATAACAAGACGGTGTGTGTGTGTGTGTGTGTGTGTGCGCTCCACATTTATTCAGATGTATTTCTGGTCAGAGGAGACTTTCATGGAATACTAGATATCATTTTTTCTATCTATCGATCTATCATCCATCTCCCTATCACCTATCAATCATCTATAATCTATCAACCTATCCGTATTATCTATATGTATACCTATCGCCTATCAATTCATCTATTATCTAGCTGTCCGTCTGTGTATCTTTGGTCAGGATTTAGGCACTACATGAGAGTGATCAGCAACTGCTGTAATCTCAGAAGCCAAGTTAAGCATATTCCATGTCTATTACAAGTTCCTTAATTTTAAACCCATAATTTGGCAATTATTCAGTATGATTGCTGTTACTCTTCTGATTTGGGAAAGTTTGCCTGGTTAAATTTGGACAAATCATTACATTTTATAAAATGATCTTTGCAGCATGTTGATGATGTTTAATTGTTATATACGAGAGTGTTTCAACCTAAAATATATCTTTGAAGTTCCATGACATTTTCGTTAGAAATGAATCTAGTGGATGATGATGCATTTTCTATGCCAAAGGAAGAAAAATATCCCACAAAAGAAAATTATGCATTTTGGGTCACACTTGATTATTTGAAGGCTATTTGCATAATGATAGAATTTCATTTGTTAAGAGTTCGAGTGCCTGCTGTTTATTCCCCACTTGAAGTCATAATCTTGTTTGTGATATCGCAATCATCACCACAGCAACCAATTGTGATTCAACAAATTGAGGATTATGACAGGAATCAAGTGAGAACAGAAGGTAGGATGGGGGGAGGGGAGCGGGTAAACTTTCCCCAAAAAAGATTTTTTAAAAAAACTCAGTGTTTACTTTAAAGTAAAAGAAGTCTTGCTGGAAATATTGTCCAGTGAATCATGGTTTTCACCAACTATATGCTTATTTCTGAATCATACTCACTAGCCTACAGGATGTGCAACAGAACTGCCATTTTGATTTGTTAAGATGTTGCTTCTAACAATTTACAGGTTGTGGTAGCGAGCCTTTTTCTTTCCTGAAACTGGCATTTCTCTGTCAAGCTGTTGTAAATTTGTAAAGGTATCCCCTCTAGACTTTTCCAAAGGATAGAGGTGAGTTCATTCTATGTTTAATTAATTTTCTAACCTCTGTGATTAGCCTTCCCCAAAATCACGTGGTAGGAAATAAACTGGGCTCGATTTAAATTCTGATTTTGTGACTCTGTTAATAGTCTTTCAAGTAACCTACCAGTGGCAAGGGTCCAACTATCAAATGATGAATATATATATTATATATCTTTTCCTGACCTTCCTTCAAAATGAAGTTTGCTTCTGAAACATGGCTAATTTTTTTTTCAAGTTTTAATGTAATGTGTTTTCTAGAGACTGGGGTTTGAAAAATGAATCTTTCCATGTCTAAAGTTTTAAGATCTTTCCTCAGTCAGTGCTTTAGAAAAGTGAACTTAGAGAGGAAATGTTGATCAAGGCTCACTGACATTGGTTGACATTCTAGGCAACACTCACAGACACGTGCATCCAATCCCACTTAATACTTTTAGAATACTCTGATGCGAAGATTGGTTGTTTCTGCATATTCATAGGAGTTCAGGCCAATCAGTTATTTCTGCAGGTAATAATGCAGAGGGATAGGCTGTGGAAGAGGGCATCGGGAACTGCACTCATATTTAAAGTGCTTATGACAGGCTGAATTTCATCCCCAAAAATTCATGTGTGGAAGACCTAACCCCCAGAATTTCAGGATGTGACTGTATTTGCAAATGGAGTCTTTAAAGATGTGATTAAGATACAATGAGGTCAGTACGGAGGGCTCTGATCCAATAGGACTGATGTCCTTATAAGAAGAGAAGATGAGGACAGAGACCCACACAGAGGAATGACCACATGAGGACACAGGGAAAGGACATCATCTACAAGCCAAGGAGAGAGGCCTCAGAAGGAACCAGCCATGCTCACACCTTGATCTCGGACCTCCAGCCTCCAGGACTGTGGGAGAATCAATGTCTGCTGTTTATAAGCTCCCCAGTCTATGGTATTCTGTTATAAGCCTGAAATGGACTAAGACACCCCATAAGAAGAGGAGATGAGGACACAGACACACACAGAGGGACGACCCTGTGAAGACACAGGGAGAAGGTGGCATTTATAAGCCAAGAAGAGAAGCCTCAGGAGGAATGAACCCTGGGGACACCTTGATCTTGGGCTTCCAGCCTCCAGAATGTGAGAGAATACATTTCTGTGGGTTAAGCCACCCAGTCGGTGGTATCTGGTTATGACAGCTCTAGCAAATAAAGACAACAGCCAATAAATTTTTAAATTTTATTTTAATGAGATTCCATTCCTTATTTGGACAGTATAAAGATTGAAAAGTGATTATGTCCTTGATTGTGAGAATAGGGCTTATGAAACAGAACAATTAGATGGACAAGAAGGTAGGAGAGAGGAAGTCTTCCTAATTCTATGATGAGCCTTCAGGGTCTGTACAGAATTGATGCTAAGGCATTCAAATTGTCTTCTGCAAAAGTCTTACAATGTGAACTCATAATGTGATTGCCCTGGGTCAGGAAACTGGGAGCAGGTTATCCCACACTTTTTTTTTTGAGCGAACAGTACCATGAGGTTAAAATTTCAGCTATCAGCCTAGGTACGATGACTCACACCTGTAATCCCAACATTTTGGGAAGCTGAGGTGGAAGGATCACTTTAGCCCAGGAACTCAACCCAGGTGAAAGAATTGCTTGAGCCCTGGGCAACATACTGAGACCTTGTCTCTGCAAATTTTTTTTAAAAAAATTGGCTGTGCATGGTGACCTGTGCCTGTAATCCCAGCTACCCAGAACGCTGAGGTGGGAGGATTACTTGAGCCCAGAAGTTGGAGGCTGCAGTAAGCTATGATTGCACTACTGCACTCCAGCCTGGGCAACACAGTGAGACTCTGTCTCAAGAAAATAATTCAGCTATCAGAAAAACAGTAGAAATTGCTTTAAATCCTACGAAAATATTTTAAGTGACTCCATTTATAAGCTTTGGTGTCTCTTCAGGAACATTTTATCATTATAATGTAATGTTCTGGAGGACAGAAGCAGGGGCAAGATTAACGAAGTAGAGCCTATGTAGGCCATTTTAAACATTTTGACTACCCAAATGTTAAATCAAAAAAACAAATAAAATAATTGCAAGATTTTAAGCAGAGAAGTGGCCCAATTGCCCAATCTAAATTTTGTTTTAGAAAGGTCACTCAGGCTGCCTTGAAGAGAATGGATTGGAGGTGCACATGAGGGAGTCTGAGATACCTTGCTGGGAGTCTACTATAACAGTCCAGGCAGAAGAAGACAGTGGTGTGAAGTTGGGTGGTTGCAGTAAAAATTAAGAAAATGCACAAATTTGGAAAAAGAACAAAACAAAGTACAGGTACACAAACGTAATCACACATGTACACATACGTAGATATTAGATTGAAGAGAACTTACTGATGGTGCATGATAAGGGATGAAAAGGTAGAGGAAAGTCGGCAAGGTCAGTCAAGGGTCCCTTCTGGAACTTGATGCACCTGCATGCCAGGTGGTCTTTCATGAGGGTTCTTTTGACTCTGAAATGAGTCAGAATTGAGGGCCAATGTTTGAAACCTGCCAGTCTATAGATTATAACTATGTGTGTTAGTTAGAGAAAAGAAGGTGGCTGAAATGAATGAAAGGGTCAGGAGACAGGACACAACTATTTAAAGCCAAGCACTGGAAACAATGATGTGAACCTATCATGTCCGAGGTAAAGACTCAAGAAAGACCTGGGAGGCTGGGTATCCCTCAGGCTGGCATTGGCCAGTGACCAGGTAAGGATGCTGATTTTTCTGGATAGATTCTGATGTAATAATGATTCCTAAAAATGGGTTCTGTGAACTACTAATAGGGCTAGGGTGTGTGACAGACAAATTTATAAGTCCAAATGTCCTGTGCTCAGTCCTCCTTTGCATTGCCTAACTCTGAAACTTCATAATGCCATTAAATGAACCGGTTACATATTATTTTTTGGAATACAAAATAGAAAGCCATACACTTCCATAAAGATCTGATAGACAATCCAAAGCGAATGGTGCAAAATCCTTGCAAATCTCTAGGAAAAGTACAGGCTTGTGTGAATCTAGCACAGTGGAAGTGGAATTCGGCCTAAGGTTATGAGGACGGGTTGGAAAATCCTGTACAGTTTCTCCAAGGCCCACGACTTTGGGAATTTAGGTCGTTAGTACTCCTTCACAAAAGTAGGTCAGAGAGAGCAATCAAAGCACTATTTTTGTTTCTGGCTGAACAAAGGTGGGTGGTATGAAGAGATTTCTTTCTGTAGCAGCTGTTGTCCTGGGTAACTTAGAGAGTACACTAGAGAGATTTTCCAGGGTGTCACTAAAATATGTTACCTCCCAAAGACTGCTGAAATAATCAGGAAAATCAATTTCCATCAATGTGCTTTGAAGAGGTACAAAGTCATTAAGGATAGCATAAATTATCAAATCCTTAGGAAATGATATGAGAAACAATATCAATTTTTGTTAAAAATTTTTTACAATCTATTTGCTCCAGCCTATATCCAAATTAGAAATTAAGGTTCACGGACATTAAATTAAATCTTTAATTGTATTCTGAATTGCTTCAGAGGACAGTTCCAGGATAATCATTGAAAAGATAATATTTTATTTTAAATATGTCATGTTTTATATGCAAGCTAGCAGAGCATCTCAATTCTAGGAAAATCGGCACAGAAACTCCATAAAGACAAGGAACTTACTGAAAAATATTTATTTAAAAATGTTTACCTTTTTTGTAGAAAGTTTGGAAAATACAGAAATCTTTAAAAGGAAGCAAAATTGACCTCCTTGGGAAGGACACAAGGGGGATTTCAAGGTTGCTCATTTTGATCCAGCTCTTGATGTGCATAGTGATTATATAGGTGTGTCCAATTTCTAAACATTTACCAAGATGTGCACCTATTCCTCCATTGGCTTTTGTTGATGAATAGTATTTGACATGGTTTGGCTATGTCCCCACCCAAATCTCATTTTGAATTGTAGCTCCCCAAATTCCCATGTCTTATGGGAGGGACCTGATGGGAGATAATTGAATCATAGGGGCCGTTTCCCTCATACTGTTCTCATGGTAGTGAATAAGTCTCACGAGATCTCATGGTTTTATAAGGGGAAACCCCTTTCACTTGGCTCTCATTTTCTCTCTTGTCTGCCACCATGTAAGACATGCCATTCGCCTTCACCATGATTGTGAGGCCTCCCCAGCCACGTGGAGCTGTGAGTCCATTAAACCTCTTTGTCTTTATAAATTACCCAGTCTTGGGTATGTCTTTGTCAGCAGCGTGAAATCGGACTACTATAGTATTCATTGTGTGACTCTATTGCAATTTGTTTATTCATTCCCCTCTTCATAGACATGTGGGTTGTTTCCTGTTTTTCTTTATTACAAATAATCTTGCTGTAGACATTCTTGAAGAGTCTCTGTGAGGACTTGTATTTTCGTTCCTCTTGAATAAATATCTAGGAGAAGGAGTGCTGGGTTGTGGCATCATCGTATGTCTGACTTTATAAAAAATACTTCAGATGATTTTACAAAGTAGTCTTGCCATTTACTATCCAACCAAAATGTATGTGTGAATTTCAGGTAGGTATAATTCTACCACAGTTATTTTCTACCTGTTTCTTATAATTCCATTACTCATTTCATACCTTCCTTTGGATTGACTCTTTCTTAGTGATATGACTGTGTCCCAACCGAACTCTCACGTTGAATTGTAATAATCCCCACGTGTCAAGGACGGGGCCAGTGGGGATAATTGAATCATGGGGGCAGTTTCCCCCATACTTTTCTTGTGGTGGTGAATAAGTCTCATGAGATCTGATGGTTTTATAAATGGGAGTTCTGTACAAACTTTCTCGTCTGCAGCCAGGTAAGATGCAGCTTTGCTCCTCATTTGCCTTCTGCCATGATTGTGAGGCCTCCCCAGCCATGTGGAACTGTGAATCCATTAAACCTGTTTCCTTTATAAATTACCCATTTCAGTTATGTCTTTATTAGCAGCATGAGAACAGACTAATACACTTAGTATGTGGTTTTATCTACTCTACTAAAAAATACACATATATGTATGTATGTACATATACATATATATGTATGTACATGCATGTATATATACATACACATGCATATATACCTATACATGTATATGCACATATACATGCACACACACACATACACATATTAGTGATTATTCTATAGCAAAGCTGTAGCCCACCACCTGGTTTTGTATGGTCTACTAGCTAAGAAGGGTTTCTACATTTTTAAATAGGTTACATTTTAAATAGTTATATATGTACCAACATGATATCCTTGACATTGCCTGTCAGTCTATAAATCCAAAACTATAGAACAGCAGTCCCCAACCTTTTTGGCACCAGGGACCAGTTTTGTGGAAGACAATTTTTCGATGGACCAAGCTGGGGTGATTGACTTAGGGAAGATTCAAGTACATGACATTTATTGTGCAGTTTATTTCTATAATTATTCCATTGTAATATATAATGAAATAATTATACAACTCACTGTAATGTCGAATCAGTGGGAGCCCTGAGCTTGTTTTCCTGCAACTAGACAGTCCCATCTGGGGTTGATGGGAGACAGTGACAGATCATCAGGCATTAGATTCTCATAAGGAGTGCACAATCTAGATCCCTTACAAGTGCAGTCCACAATAGGGTTTGCGCTCCTGTGAGAATCTAATGCTGCTGCTGATCTGACAAGAGACAGAGCTCAGGTGGTAATGTGAGCAATGGGGAGTGACTGTAAATACAGATGAAGCTTCACTCGCTCACCCACTGCTCACCTCCTGCAGTGTGGCTACAGTACTGGTCCATGGCCCAGGGGTTGGGGACCCCTCCTATGACTATATACTGCCTGGTGTTTAATAGAAAAAGGTTGCCCACCTCTACCCTGGAGCTTTACTTTCCAATATGGTACTTGCTAGTCATATATGGATATTGAAAGAAAGTAGAATTAAATACAATTTTAAAAATTTGCCCCTCAATCACACCAGCCACACTTCAAGTGCTCACTAGCCAAGGTGGCTGATGGTTACCATATTGAATGATGTAGAATACTTCTGCTATAGACTAAATATTTATGTCCTCTCACCAAATTCCTGTATTGAAACCTAACCCCCAAAATGATGGTAGTAGAAAGTGGGTACTTTGGGAGGTGATAAGGTCATGAGAGTGGGGCCTTGTGAATGGGATTCGTGTTCCCTTACCCCTTCTACTATGTGAGAACACAGTGAGAAGGTGTCATCTATGAAGCAGGAAGCAGGTCCTCATCAGGCACTGAATCTGCTGGTGTCTCAATTTTGGACTTCCAGCCTCCCAGACTATGAGAAATATGTTAGTGTTGTTTATAAGCTACACAGTCTCTGGTATTTTATTATATCATTTCCAACAGGCTAATGCAACTTTCATCATCTCAGAAAGTTCTGTTAAAAAGCATGACTGTAGATAATTCAATATTTATCTTTAACATATCACAGTCAACTTTAGAAAAATTATACTCCATTTTTTCCCCTTTACCAAAGGGGATATGTTCCAAGACCCCTAGTGAATGCCTGAAACTGCAGAGAATACTTAACCCTATAGATATTAATACTATATTTTTCCTATATCTACATACCTATGACAAAGTTTAGTTTATAAATTAGGCACAATGAGAGATTAACAGAACTGATAACAAAGTAGAACAATTATAACAACATGCTGGCATGTCCACTCTTGTGCTTATTGAGGAAAATAAGGGTTATTTGACCACAGGCACTGCCATACCAGGACAGTGGATCTGATAACTGAGATGGCTCCTAAATGTCTACCGCATAGATATGCTGAAAAGAAAGTTGATTCATGTTCCAGGCAGGACAGAGAGGGATGCTGGCAGATTTCATGATGCTATGATATGGTTAGGCTTTGTGTCCCCATGCAAATCTCATCTTGAATTGCAATCCACAAGTATTTAGGGAGAGACCTGATGGGAAGTGATTGGATTATGGGGATGGTTTCCCCATGCTCTTCTTGTGATAGTGAGTGAGTTCTCATGAGATATGATGGTTTTATAAGCATCTGGCATTTCTCCTCCTTGCATGCTCTCTCTCCTGCCACCATGTAAGATGTGCCTGCTTTGCTTTCTGCCATGATTGTAAGTTTCTTGGGGCCTCCCCAGCCATGTGGAACTGTGAGTCAATTAAACTTCTTTTCTTTATAAATTACCCAGTCTTGGGTAGTAATAGTACTGTGAGAACAGAATAATACATACTACTTAGAACAACATGCAATTTAAAACTTGGGAATTGTTTATGTCTGGAATTTTTCATGGAATGTTTCGATGCTATTTTTCAGGTATTGCTGGCATGCCTATTTGCTCTGTCTCTCATGCCCAGCTTTCTGTACCTCAAGAGAACTTTCTCCACCTTGTGACACTGCCTTCAGTCTTTGGAGGGCTATTGTCCCATACTCTGTAAAGGTCAGAGATGACCATGCAGGGTTTCATTCAGGCTTCCTTCCCTGATCCCTACCTTCTGAGAGAGGCTGCCTTGAACTTGGGGTAGATTCCTTGTGTCTGCAGAGCTATGTCTCCCAGCTCTTTCTTCCTGTCTCCACCACATTTGATGTACTATCACTCTACCCTCTGTAGAGAGGTTTGGGAAGCAGGTGGCAGGTGGATGAAGATATGTTCAGAGACTAGGACTCCTAAGTTGTCTAACCTGATATGCCTACCTGCCTGTGGTCACTACATTTTATAAAAAGTTTAGCTAGTGTCTCCTTTCCCACATTAGCAGCTTCCTCTGCCTCTCCAACTCCAACAAAGATGAAAGTAGTCAGGGGTATTTTCTTTCTTATATAGAGCTGTTACTTTTTGGAATTGAGTTTATAGGTGTTTCATTGTTTCCTGAGGTTTAATTAAAATTTTTAGCTAGGTGCAATGGTTCATGCCTATAATCCCAGCACTTTGGGAGGCCAAGGCAGGAGGATTGCTTGAGGCCAGTACTTCAAGACAAGCCTGGGCAACACAGCGAGACCCTGTCTCTATAAAATTATTTTTTAAAATTAGCTGGGCATGGTGGCATGTGCCTGTAGTCCCAACTACTCTGGAGGTTGAGGTGGGAGGATCCCATAAGCATGGGAGTTTAAGTCTGCAGTGAGCTACGATGGTACCACTGCACTCTAGCATGGACAATAGAGCAAGACCATCTCAAAACGAAACAAAACCGAAAACAAACCTAAAAAACCACAAATGTTTAAGAAACTATGATTTTTTTAACTTAAAACATCTTTTTAACAAATATCTATTGTTTTGTTTATTAAGATGAGAGTGATATTCTTTCTTGAACTGGAAGAGGGACTCCTAACAACTATATTTAATCCTGGGGTTCAATTAGGTAAGAAATGAATTTTTTTTCCTAAAGAATTAATCCAAATGCTTATAGCCTTGCATTACAAGGCAATCCAATACGCTTTTGCTTTTTTGCTTTTTCATTTGTTTTTTATTTGGCTACTTCATTTTTTGCATAATCAGTCACCACACAGCTATTATACTATAACATGATTTTAATAATTTGAAATTTATACCAAGATAATTCAAATCTTCCTCTCTCTTCCTGTATTGATCTTTTTACTCAAATTGCCATGACTGTGCTTGTATGTTTGTTCTTTCAGATGATCAGAAAAATCACTTCTTAATCTAAAGAACAGAGCAAAATTCCATTGTGGTTTTCATTAGTGTTGTGTCAAACCTGATATGCTAACTCTGAAATATCTAACATGTTAACAATATCGAAAAGTCTCATCCAAAATCATGCCATATGACTTCATTTATATTTGTGTCTTCTACGTCTTTCAGTAATGTTTGTATTTTTCTTCATTAAAAAAATTAATTTTGTAACAAAAACAACGGAGAACTGGGAAGTTTGTAGACATCAGGGACCTTGTGGACAGTTCTCTGTGCCTAAGGCAGCCTTGATGAAAAAGGACATGTAGTCCCTGGTCTAAGTTAACCATAGTCTGCTCACTCTAACCTTGTATTACACTGCACATTGTTACCTTCTTTTCAACCCACACTCCAGCCTCAGGCCCCATGTATGTTTGTCTATGATCACTTGCTTATTTTCATAGAGTAAGTGAGTTTTTTTTTCTTATATCAGCATTGAATAACTGATTCCTATTGTACACTTTCCAGAAATGGAAAAAAATTACTCCATTATCCTTTGAATATTAAATTTTCTAATATGCATTTTAATAGGACAAATTTTGATGGTCTGGTAATATACAACAGTTAGGATGTTCATGACAAATGAAGAAAAATGGATATAAGTATTAACTCCATGACCTTGTGAAATGTTGAAAGTGTAATTCTTCCTGAACTTGTTGCTAAAGATTATGGTTGTTAAGGTCTGGCAGAATCATTGCTGAAGAACAACTATTGCACCATTTTGCATTATTGAAGGGTATTATCATGCGCAGAGCAGAAGGTGAAAGAATGAAAAAGAAAAAAGAAAGATATCTAGCAAAGTCCTCTGAACTGATATTCACCTCTCAGCATTGACATAGCCTACAATGAAACTTGGATAGCAACTGGAAACCACTGTGGAAAGGTAGTCACTGCATCTTAACTTATTAGAGGCAATATGAAATCACTAAAATTTATAGGTCAGACCTAGCATAAATACCCAAGTGGTTTCATGCTGTGTATGTCCCAGAAATATAGGTATGAAGGCCAGCAGGTCATTCTCAGAGAAGGGCTGGAGTGGGCTGTGTTAACATATGTTATCAAATTTCAAAAGGAAGTCAAATCATGTCAAAATTCATGCTGTATGTATTAGCCTGTTTTCACACTGCTGTGAAAAAAATACCTGAGACTGGGTAATTTATAAGGAAAAGAGGTTTAATTGTGTTCGTGGTTCTGCAGGTTGTACAGACTTCTGCTTCTGGGGAGGCTTCAGGAAACTTACAATTATTGGAGAAGGCAAAGGGGAGGTAGGTCCATCTTCACATGGCCTGGAAGAAAGAGATACGGTGAAGGAGGAAGTGCTACACACTTTAAAACAACCAGATCTTGTGAGAACTCTATCATGAGAATAGCAAGGGAGAAATCCACCCCCATGATTTAATCACCTCCCAACAGGCCTCTCCCCCAACACTGGGGATTAAAACTCAACATGAGATTTGGGTGGGGACACAGAGCCAAACTATTTCACTGTAAATACAGATAACTAACATCCAAATTCTATCTGAATATATTAGTCCATTTTCATACAGCTATGAAGAACTGCCTGAGCCTGGGTAATATTTAAAGGGAAGAGGTTTAATTGACTCACAGTTTAACATGAGGCTTCTGGAGGCTTCCAGAAACTTACAATCGTGGCGGAAGGCAAAAGGGAAGCAAGGCACCTTCTTTACAAGGTGACAGGAAGGAGAAGTTCTGAGCAAAGGGGAAGAGCCTCTTATAAAACCATCAGATCTCATGAGAACTCACTTGAGAACAGCATGTTCATGAGAACAGCATGGGGGAATCTGACCCCACGATACAATTACCTCCACCTGGTCTCTCCTTTGACACGTGGGGATTATGGGGATTACGATTCAAGATGAGATTTGGTTGGGGACACAAATCCTAACCATGTTAATATATGTCAGCATATTCAAAGTAAAATATAGTTCCTCTTCAATTGTGAAGACCCATAAGATGTTATTAGATATGTTTGAAACAATCGCCTTTTCCAAGAACTGCAGATGTTAGACTTAAATAGTCCCATATCACAGAGAAAAAATGTTGGAGAATGAAATTGAAGTCAGAATACTGAAAGAAACTCTGTATGTGAACATAAGTAGGAGAAGTTTTTTTTTTTTTTTTTTTTTTAAATCTAGTGGTCCAGACAGACATTTTATATGTAGGAAAGAGAATTATGTTATGAAAGTAAACACTTTTTCTTGCATATTTTATTGTTCATCTTTAGGGTAGAATTCTACATGGTCTCACTGCTCTTGGTATGGCATCTTCCTTTCTCTCTCCCTTCCTTGCTTCCTTCCTTCCTTCTTTCCTTCCTTTCTTCCTTTTCTCCCTCCTTCCTTCTGTCCCTCCATTCCTTCTTCCTTCCTTCCCTCTTTCCATCCTTCCCTCCCTCCCTCCTTCCTTCCCTTTCTCCCTCCTCCTTCCCTTTCTCCTTCCTTCCTTCCCTCCCTCCTTCCTTCCTTCCCTCCCTCCCTCCTTCCTTCCCTCCTTCCTTCCTTCCCTCCCTCCCTTCCTTCCTTCCTTCCTTCCTTTCCTCCATCCCTCCTTCCTTCCCTCCTTCCTTCCTTCCCTCCCTCCCTTCCTTCCTTACTTCCTTCCCTCCCTCCTTCCTTTCTTCCCTCCCTCCCTCCTTCCTTCCCTCCCACCTTTCCTCCCTCCCATCCTTCCTTCCTTCTTCCTTCCTTTCTTCCTTCCCTCCCTTCTTTCCTTCCTTCCTTCCCTCCATTCCTTCCTTCCTTCCCTCCCTTCTTCTTTCCTTCCTTCCCTCCTTCCTTCTTTTCTTCACTTCCTCCCATCCTCCCTTCCTCCTTCTTTCCCTTCCTCCTTTTTTCCTTCCCTCCCTCCCTTCCTCTTCCCCTCCTTCCTTTCTTCCTTCCTCTTCCTTTCTTTCTCCTCCTTCCTTCCTTCCTTTCTCTCTTTTAAATCTTTTCTTTAGTACTCATGAATGGCTTGTGATTTTCTCTCAATTATTTCCTTACTTAGTCGATATCATGGTAGTCATAAAAATATTAAACAGCAAGCATATCACAGACGAGGAATCTGTTTTGCTACACACTTTGCTCCACAAGACTATTGATCTTCTACAGCAGGAACTAACAAATGTTTTTGGTGAAGGGCCAGAGGATGTGTATTTTAGGCTCTTGGGGCCATGGGGTCTCCACAATTTCTCAAATCTACTTCTACAGCATGAAAACAGCAACAGGCAATGTGTAAACAAATGGTCATGACTTCATGTCCATAAAATTTCATTTACAAAAACAGAAGCAGGCTGGGTTGGACCAGTACCATCATTTGCCAATGTCTGCCTTAGAAAGAAGGAAAACTCAATACTGCTCAGGTTACAGCAATAATAGAAGCAATCTGTTAGTGGACTTTTGTGTTCAAATTACTTCACGAAACCTTAGTACTCAAGGAATGGAATAAGAATTTAGTATCAGCCATACGCATCCTAAAACAATAAGATAGTCCAGTGATAACATGAACTCAAAGAAGTAGAACATTATTCAACATGCCGAATAGGTTTCAGGCTGGAACTGAACTTTCTTAGCCACAGAGGCTAAGTGTTATGACCAAGCCTCCACCTCCTCCTCCTCCTTTTCTTCTTCCTCCTCCTCTTCCTTCTTTGCCACTTTTCTCTTTTTCTTAGGATGAGGAAATGTAGACAACCTTACAACCTACAAGATGTCTTTTATTTCAAGATCTATAAACTCTTGGAGGCACAAGGCTGAGGTAAGTAACATTAACGATCAGATTGAGTTTGATATTATACAATAGAGCTTTCTGGCAACTGGTGCTAACTGGATAGGGAGTGGTTTCCCAGGTATAAAGGAGGCTGAATCTATTCAAAGCAGTGTCATGTGCATAAATGGTGTTAGGAATAAATAAACCTGCCCACTTTCCCCTACCTGCCCCACCCCCCCACCCCCAAAATCCCTGCACTAGATTTTGCTTGGAAATGAATACATGCATCACCAGACTTGGTTTCATTGTTCAACAAACCTTTTCTTTTTTTTTGAGACAGAGTCTCACTATGTCGCCCAGGCTGGAGTGCAGTGGTGCGATCTCGGCTCACTGCAAGCTCTGCCTCCCAGGTTCACGCCATTCTCCTGCCTCAGCCTCCCGAGTAGCTGGGACTACAGGCGCCTGCCACCACGCCTGGCTGATTTTTTGTATTTTTAGTAGAGATGGGGTTTCACCGTGTTAGCCAGGATGGTCTTGATCTCCTGACCTCGTGATCCACCCACCTCAGCTTCCCAAAGTGCTGGGATTACAGGCGTGAGCCACCACACCCAGCCATTGTTCAACAAACCTAAAATCCACAACTCAGAGGAAAATAAAATCAAAGAAAACACCCCCCTTGGTGATTTTGCTGCATCTCCATAGACTGGTGCCCAGGAATTCATTTTTCCTCCTCTACACTCTCCTTATGATAGCTCTGGCTTATTTTCTCCTACACCAAATGCTGTTTGAATTCTGTCCTTCCCTGTCACCTCTGCAATGACTCTCACTAATGTGACTGATGGAAGCCATACTATCAAAATGAGAGGGAGTTTATTTTAAGATGCAGAGGACTTGGCAATGGTTATAGAAAACTAGGAAACATGTTGAGAAGGAGAAAGACCAATAGATTAAAATATTTGAAGGAACCAGAGGAAAATGCTATGAGATCTGAAGTAAAAAAATAGTGTGTTGTTCATAGTTGGTACACTAAACATTGATGTTCTGCAAGATGTTCTCAATGGCTATGTGTTCATCTGCACCATCTATAAGGATGGTGTGCGTGTTGGCTGTTGTGTGAAGGACTTGCACACCCAGTTGATTAATAGCCTGCACGGATATGGCTATTTTGTTTTTCTAAGGCCGGAAGGCAGTCACAGATTCATTCAGACCCATGGTCAAACAGCTTGAACACCAGCTCTTCTCTGTCCTCAGCGCAGAGAACTTGGCCTCAGAACTCTGGATTTCTAGCCAATTGTCTACCATCCATTTCCATCTCAAATGTGTTACTGAGCAATCAATGGGCTCTTGTCTGACGCAAAAAGAAGCCAATTCCATGACACTGGCTTTTGAGAAAAGAAAAGCTTTATTGCAACTCAACTGGCAAGGAAAGGAGACAGGAGGAAATGCTCAAATCTGTCTCCCTGATTGGGAGATAGGTTGGGTTTTATAAACATGGAATAATGAGGCATGATGTGATTGGATCTTGCAATGAGGTGAGGGTGGGAGGCGTCATCTGACTGGATTCCGCCATGTGGTGACACCAGGGCTCAATCTGATTGGATCGTGGATCCTGCCATGCAGTGTCTGCTTCTTAATTCAGTTCCCATTCCTTGTTCCAAGGACTTAGGTTCCACCTTGGTTCATCTGGGAATGCCCAGGTTAGGTGACCTTAAACTGGGGATGCATGATAACTGAAAAACAACTCATAACTTTGTTACATAAAAGTTGAAACAGATTGCTCTGTCATGGTTACAAATGCAAGGTGTGCAAAAGAAAATATGTATTTATTCCCAGAACTACTCCTCTGTGGAAGGACCAGGTGAGAGATCCACCATCCATGTAGTTGTCCTCCACAACCTGGGAATCAACCTGCTGTCTCTCTCCTCATCTGTCCTGTATTTTCTTCCTGTGGCTGCGGTAACCAACTACCATAAACTTAGGGGCTTTAAAAAACACCCAAGTACTATTTTACTGTTTTGGAGATGAAAAGTCCTGCTTGGGTTAACATCAAGGTGTAGGCAGGGCAGTCGATATGATTTGGCTGTGTCCCCACCGAAATTTCATCTTGAAGTGTAGCTCCCACAATTCTCATGTGTTGTGGGACGACCCAGTGGGAGGTAACTGAATCATGCAAGCAGGTCTTTCCCATGCTGTTCTCATGATAGTGAATAAGTCTCATGAGATCTGATGGTTTTATAAAGGGGAGTTTCCCTGCACAAACTCTCACTTGCCTGCCACCATGTAAGATGTTCCTTTTGCCTTCTGCCATGATTGTGAGGCCTCCCCAGCCATGTTGAACTGTGAGTCCATTAAATGTCTTTTTGTTTATAAATTACCCAGTTTGGGATATGTCTTTATCATCAGTGTGAAAACAGACTAAAATAGCAGTGTTTCTTTCTACAAACTGTAGGGAAAAATCTGTTTCCTTGTCACTTCCAATGTCTATAGGCTGCCAGCATTCCCTGGCTCATGCTTTCCTTCTTCAAGATCAGATTTGAAGATGCTATTGATCATTCTTCTGCAATATCAATAGCACCTTCAAATCTCTCTCTGACTCTGACCCTCTTGCCTCTTTCTTATAAGGACCCTTGTGATGACACAGGGCCACCTGGCTAATCCAGGATCAACTTCCCATCTCAGGAACCTTAACTTAATCACATCTGCAAACTCCCTTTTGACAAGAAAGGTTGCGTATTCACAAGCTCCAAGGATTAGGACATGTGCATTTTTATTCTGCCTGCCGCATGCCCCAAACCCAGTTATTAGTCTCAGGTCATGCTTATCTTTAATATCCCTCCAACAAGTTCTTTTCTCTCTATGTTGATGCCCACAGCCATGGACTGCATCCACAATCTTACCTCCTCTCACTTGTATCACCCCTGCAGCTTTTTAATTTGTTGACTTTGATAAACTGCAGGTCACATTTGGCAGGGGTATTAGCCCATTCTCACACTGCTATAAAGACATACCTGAGACTGGGTAATATATAAAGAAGAGAGGTTTAACTGGCTCATAGTTCTACAGGTTGTACAGGAAGCACAACGCTGGAATCTGCTCAGTCACTGGGGAGGCCTTGGGAAACTTACAATCATGGCAGAATGTGAAGGGGGAGCAGGCATATCACATGGCCAGAACAGCAGCAAGAGAGCCAGAGGGGAGGTGTTACACACTTTTAAACAACCAGATCTGATGTGAACTCACTATTATGAAGGCAGCACCAAAGTGGATGGTGCTAAATCATTCATAAGAAACCCACCTCCATGATTCAATCACCTCCCACCAGGCCCCACCTCCAACACCAATTTTCTGTGTGAGTCTGTTCTTGCATTTCTATAAAGAAATACCTGAGAGTGAGTAATTTTTTTAAAAAAGGTTTAAGTGGCTTATGGTTCTGTAGGTTGTATAAGAAGCATGACAGCTTCTGGTGAGGCCTCAGGATACTTTCAATCGTGGCAGAAGGTGAAGGGGGAGCAGGCATGTTACATGGCTGGAGCAGGAGGAAGAAAGAGAGTGGGGGAGATGCGACACACTTTCAAACACCCAGATATCATGAGAACTCGCTCACTATCACAATGACAACACTTGGTGAATGGGGCTAAACCATTTATAAGAAATCCACCCCCATGATCAAGTCACCTCCCACTAGGCCCCACCTCCAATGTTGGAGATTACATTTCCATATAAAATTTGGGTGGCAAAACACATCCAAACTATATCAGCAGGCTTCCAAACTAACCTGCCTTAAGAAGGTCTTGTGATGCACGGAGACTCCATCTCTGAGCAAAGAATCTTAACATAAGTTTCTCAGACTGTTGACATACTGATTAATGCATAACCTACTGACATTGAATAGGATGCTGATTTACTTCTGAATTACAAAGTTTTGTTGATGTGTTTCGGAATGATGAAGTTTTACTGATTGTCTTGTTTGTAGAGCATTTTAGCCTATGTATTGTCATCAGTAGTCAATGATTGTAACCTCTAGATCTACTCTTGTACACTTAAGATATTTTCAGACCTAAGAAACCAATCCCTGTCCATCTCTGCTCTCCTCCCATTACCCTTAAAGTACTCAGCAATGTGGCCTTAAGACACTGCGTGGCGTGGTCTTCCATTCTGGTTCCAAACTCATTTTATGATGCTGTCTCTCCTCTGTTCGTTGCCCTAGTCATTCAGGTTGGCTTTCAGTCTTCCAATGTAGCTAGCTTCTTCCTGGTTTGTGCTAGAAATAGTGTAGCTCTGACAGATTACCAGATATCATGTGGTTTCCTATATTTCTCAGACTGTCCCACAATTACATAGCACCAAGTACTAGTTCTGCCTGGTGAGATGTGAGCAGAAGGCACATGTGGCATTTCTACATGCAGGCAGTGAGTAGTCAATACTCCTTTTTCTTCTGTCTCTTTCCTTGTGAGGTGTCCCCTGTGAGGTCATGAGTTCCAGACGGCAAAGCTATAAGGCCTAGGGAGATGGCCCAGCCCCCATCAGACAGTGATGTGAGAAATTAATAACATTTGAAGCTGTGGCTATTTATGTCTCATGGATTTTATTTCAGCAGCAAAACCTAGCTTATCCTAACATATCTCATTGTATATGTTTATTCTTGCATTGCTATAGAGAACTACCTGAGACTAGGTAATTTATGAAGAAAAGAGGTTTAATTGACTCACAGTTCCACAGGCTGTACAGGAAGCATGGCTGTGGAGGCTTCGGGAAACTTTCTATGATGGCAGAAGGTGAAGGGGTAGCAAGCACATCTTACGTGGTGGAAGCAGGAGGAAGAGAGTGTGAAGGGGGAGGTGCTGCACACTTTTAAATAACCAGATCTCATGAAAACTCTATGATGAGACAGCACTAGGAGGATGGTGCTAAACTATTAGAAACCACCCCCATGATTCAGTCACCTCCCACCAGGCCCCACCTCCTACACTGGGGATTAAAATTCAACATGAGATTTAGATGGGGATGCAAATCCAAACCATTTCACTCATGGTCTTGGATTTGCTGCCAACTCCACCAACAATGCCAGTGCCTTCTCCTCCTGTCTCTTGCTCCTGGATATTGCTTAGGCTTATGCTAAAAGTCACACTCTCTAGTCCTGCTCTCTGCCTCCCAGACAGACCAAGGCCACATTGTTTTATTTCCCCATAGCCTTGTGCTCTCTACCTCAGAGGAAGTCATCACTCATAACCATCTGCCTTGCTTAACAATGCCTTTCTAGCCTCTAGAACATCTCCTACACTTAGTAAACCCCTGATACACATGGTTGCTTTATGAGTAGCACATGCTAGACAAATATTGAATGAATGGATGCAGGAAAGAATGAGTGAATTGAAGGTGGTGATTGTGGGATCTAATCATCTGGATCTAAACACATTATGTTCCTGGATTCAAACAAGAAGATCAGAGACTTAACCTTAAGATCAAAGTAATGCTTCAAGGTCAAAACATGTTCAACCTGATGACAGACAAAGCTTTTGAGCAACAGCATTCTGAAGAAGGAAGCCAGGATGATGAGAAATCAAAGTATGCATACTTTCTAACCCCAGGGGAGGAGAGAAGGCGGAGTTTCCATTTTCAATCCTAGAAAGAAAAATCACTAACTATGCACACAGATTTACCATAATCACTATGATTACTACGTTTTCTTTGGTATCGACTTCCAGAAAGGCAGGCAAATGTCACTGGTTTTTTTCACATCTTCATCCATCCCGGTGATACATTTGTGCATACACTTGTGTTATCCTGGTTGACTTGAATGAATACCCATTAGAGATGAAAGGAGCTATTAAGTCACCTCCCCTCTGCTTTGCACACAGGTCAAGCTCAATCCCTCTTCCTCAGCCAAAACACTCATTGGATCTCTCTTTGCTTTTCTGCAGTGACTGGAGTGTAGCTGCCGCCGCCACCACCACCACCACCACCACCACCACCATCTTATCACCGCCAGCAATGAGATCTCAAGACATTCTGTAAACATTTCTTTGGCATGTATCAGTGTCCCTGAGAGCGTTGATAATCTGCTTGAATGTGAGCTCAATGCTGGGACGGCCTCCCCGGACTTGGCAGGCAGCCCTTGAACAAACCTTTTGTGCCTGCATCCCTCTGATGGACAGGCACTGAGGATGCCGGTGACCCAGCTTCTAGAAAGAATCACAGCAGGGAAGGGGCATTGCTAAGTAGTCTTCCAACCTGGGGACACAAGCTAAAAATGAGAGAAAACTCAGATCAACAGTGCTGCTGAGCTTATTACGTTTAAGACGAAAAACAATACCTGATTAAAGCAACAAAACACCTGGATATTTTGCAGTTAGCCCCGTTAATCAGAGAAGGATGAGCCTTGGGGCTGTGGCTCAGGTTCCTAATCCTGTTGCTAGAGTTTTTCACTTTTGTTCTCATTTCTGCGGCTGACATGGGATCCTACAGATTGTTTATCCCAAGGCTGTCTGGGCCTGGGCTCTGTGAACAGTGTCACTCTAAAAATAACAGGCTGTGCCGAGAATAGCAGACTTTCTCCTTTTTCCTGCAGAAGACGACTTCTCAGCTCCTTGGAGGGGTCAGTACGAGGTGAGAGCCATAGAAAGATGGCAACGAAAAAGAAAGAGACATTCTGCAATGGGTTGAATGGGGTCTCCCTGACATTTACATCACCCAGAACCTCAAAATATGACCTTATCTGGAAACAGGGTCTTTTGAGATGTCATGGATTCTGCTGCCATCAGCAGAGAGACAGAAAGGTAAGCTCGAACAGGAGAATCAGGATGATTGAACTGGGTCTAATTTGTTTCCTTTTCATGAAAAAGAAATAAGATGATATCGTGCAGGACCCCAGGGTGAGAGCAGATGATTCACAACACAAACCCAAAAATAAGCTTGCCTTTCACACAACCTTTTTATGCATCGAACCATGCTGCAACGAAAACAAGTTTAATGACTTTATGACTTGCACCTCGAGGTATCCAAATACTTTTACAAAATCTAGATTCTGCCATGCAGTGTCCTTTTTACAAAAGTGCCATCAGCGTTGTTAGGACCTGAGGTTATCACAGCTCTTTTTATAAACATGGCCGAGCCAAGGGGGAAGTGAGATGGGGCAGAAGGGAAATTTTGGAGGACGCAGAGAGATCCATCTTAGTTCCTCTCTATTTTCATCTACTTTCTGTTGGTCCACAGGTCTGCCCTCTGGAAGTCAGCTGAAGCCCAGTGCAAAGTGCAGCTGGTCAAGACATTGTGGTTCTCAATCAGGAACCCTTTGCAATGTCAGCCTCCCCTAGGATGAGTGAGCAAGCTTGGCGGGAATATGGGGGTGTTGATTATGGTCTCTCCTCTGGGACATTCAGAATCAATCTGTCCGTCGCAAGATCGAAATAAAGTGGTGATATAGATGAGTCTGAGAACTTATCTACAACTCACAGCAGCAACTCTCTGTGTAAATGTTAATTGTACAATCAGGGTAAAAAAAATAACTCTAATACCATATGTGCATGTTAGGAAATTATCTAAGTGCATATGGAATCGGGAGCTCAGAGGCTGAAGGAACTGAAAGGATTTTCCATATAAAATTCTTTACTGCATGTTACAGGCTGAATTGTGTTTCCTCAAAATTTATATGTTAAATCCTAAACATTGGGACCTCAGAATGTCACTGTATTTGGAGATAAGGTCTTTAAAGAGGTGATTAAGGTAAAATGAGGTCACTAAGATGGGCACCAATCCAATAGGACTGGGGTCTTTATAAGAAGAGAATATTAGGACACAGACATAAATACAGGGACGACCCTGTGAGGACAAAGGGAGAAGACAGCATCTACAAGCTCAGGAGAGAAGCTTTAGGAGGAGCCAACCCTTCCCATACCTTGAGCTTAGACTTCCAGCCTCCAGGACTGTGGGAGAATAAATGTCTGCTGTTTGTAAACCACCCAGTCTATGGTGTGCTGTTATAGCAGCCTGAAATGGACTAAGCCATCTCATAAGAAGAGGAGACAGATACACACAGAGGGACAACCATTTGAGGACACAGGGAGAAGACAGTGTCTACAAGCTCAGGAGAGAGGCCTCGAGAGGAACCAGCCCTGCCCACACCTTGATCTTGGAATTCCAACCTCCAGGACTGTGGAGAATAAGTGTCTGTTGCTTGTAAGCCATTAAGTCTATGGTATTATGTTACAGAAGCCTGAAATTGACTAAGACATCTCATAAGAAGAAGAGATGAGGACACAGACACACACAGAGGGACGACCACATGAGGACACAGGGAGAAGATGGCATCTACAAGGCTACGAGAGAGGCTTCAGGAGGAACCAGCCGTGCTCACCCCTTGATCTCAGATTTCCAGCCTCCAGAACCGTGAGAAAATAAATCTTTGTTGTTTAAGTCACCTGGTCTGTGGAACTTTCTTATGGAAGTCCTAGAAAACTAATATACTGCATGAAAAGAAACCTTCCTATAACATCATTCATGAGGATAAATTTAGCTTGTATTGTGTTTCTTCATCGTCAATAACTTAGAATAAAATGTGAGAAGAACAGTAATGTAAACATACTGATATTTACCCCAAATGGGAAAATTGTAGCTAGTATTTTCCCTCAAGAAGATCTGTTCCCTTTATTATAGAATTGCTATTCCAACCACTTCAATATTATAATTCCTACTATCTTCCTTAACATCTCTATAAAATAAACCTTAAACATTTTCCATCAACATCTTGCAAATCAATTTGCAGGCCAAAAATTATTTCTAACATCTTCCTGAATTTTTTCATATGATAATTTAAATTTATACTCTCTTTGTTTCCTTTGTGAAAAAACAATTCCTAGTTAGAATGAGAAGAAAGCCCCAATTATGTTGGGATTAAATGCCGGGAACAATTAAATGTTGGGAACATTTTAGTTCAAAAGAAGACCATGTTTCATTTCATTTACCCTTCAAGAAAGGTAAGGTGAATATTATCATATATTTTTCCTCAATTCCTTGCTATTCACCCATCAAGATTTTACACTTTTTGAGAACCATACCTAAGTTTGGGTTCCCCAAATGTAGATTCTGAGAGAAGAATTTTGGTAAAAGTAGTTTATTTGAGAGGTGATCCTTGTAGGTATGGCCAGAAAAAGACTGGGAGGTGAGGAAAGCCAACTGTATCAGTGTGCTATTGCTGTCTAACAAATTAGCACAAATGAAGTGACTTACAACAACACACTTTTATTAATATTACCTCAGAGCTTCCAAATGATGCCAGAGAGGTGAGCCTCAAAGCAGGGCTTAGCCTGCAAGGGTTCTTGGCTTTGCCCAGGAAGGAATTCAAGGGCAAGCTGGAGGTAGAAGAAAATTTACAGAAGCAGCAGTGTTACAGCTCCGTGGCTGCTCCTGCAGAACAGGGCTACCCCCTGGGCAGAGAGTGGCAGCTCAGGGTGATTTCACAGTCACTTTTATACCCATTTTTATTTGCATAAAGATTGAGGGGCGGTTTCTGCTGAAATTTCTAGAGAAAGGGTAGCAACTTTTGGATCATTGGGTCATTGCTGTGGAAATGGTTGGTAACCCCCGGGGGTTGCCATGGCAATGGCAAACTGACCTGGCACACTGGTGGGCATGTCCGATGAAAAGATTCTTCTGTCCGGGACCTGTTTTAGCTAGTCTTCAATTTGGTCCTGCATCCCAGCCCCACCTCTGGAGTTGAGTCCTGCCTCCTCTCTCACAAGGATCAGGTATCCAGGTAAAGGTTAGCAGCATCCTCTGCACAGGTCTCACAAGACTGCAGGGAAGGTATACTCATTTAAATCTCCGTGTTCTCTTTGTTGATTGATTTTTTTTTTTTTTTTTTTTTTTTTTTTGTGACAGGGTGTCACTCTGTCACCCAGGCTGGACTACAGTGGCATGATCATGGCTTACTGCAGCCTCTAACTCCCAGGCTCAATCAATCCCCCCACCTCAGCCTCCTGAGTAGCTGGGACTACAGGCATACATCAGGGTTCTCCTTCAAGCTCAGGTAGCTGTGGCAAAATTCAGTTCCTTTCAGTTGTAGAACTAGAGTTCCCAGTTTTCTGTAAGAGCTATGTTAGAGGGACCACTCTCTACTTCTCGAGTTCTGCCTGCATTTCATTGCCACGTTGTCCCATAAGCAGTTATCATCATGGCTGTTTGCCGACTCTTCCCCCTCTTAAAGTCTCCTCTGATTAGGTCAGACCCACCCAGGATAACTGATGGACTCAAAGTCAACCAATTGGTAACCGGTTCAAGTGAGTGACATTCATCATATTCAAAGTCCTTGTCCACTCTCAAAAGAAAGGGATTATACATGTTGGGAGCCCAGGAGGCTGGAATCTTGGGTTGCATCTTAGATTTCTACCATCTATAACAATACAAGAAGTGTTGACAAAGGGCTACTTCTGTGGACAATGAGATCTTCATCCCACTGGAGATTCCGCGAGGGACTATGGTGGCAGCAATCTCAGAATTGTCCAGCCCAGGGGAAAGGAAGCTGGAGCATTTATCTAGAAAATCCCATCCCTTAGTGAGTGAAGGTAGTTCCTGGGGTGTCCACTTACACCCGTAAGTTTCTAGACCCATGGGCCTACCATGCCCCTCTATGTTATACTGCCTGAGAAGTTCCCAAGCAGAGCCATACAGGGCAGACCTTGTCAAGAACTCACTATACAGATGGGGCCGATTTACCACTGAATTGCAGCAGCTTTATCATTATCCCTGAGGCTACCTGCAAGTGTGATTTCTGACTCTTTGTCAAATTAAGGGCTGTGGGATTTAGGATGTGCTGCTTAAAGTCTGAAGTGCCCCCTGGAGACCATCATGATTAATTTCTCCACTGATGGTTTGCAAAATTGGCCTAATCAGTTAGACAGAGCTGGTTTGATGACATAGCCAGAGGAGCTTTAAACGCTGGCCACAAACTTGTACTTTGCATTTTCCTGAAGAAGTCAGACTTTTTTGTGCATACCTTGATGGTTCAATTCTAAGGCAGAACAGGGTTTATGTGCAAATAATGCCCAAGGACTTTGTGTCTGGTCCTTGGAATATCTTTTGGATTCCTTATGTGTGCCTTCTCTGTCAATCTGTCTGTCCCTATCTCTCTCTCTCCCTCTCTTTCTTGATTCACCATACCTTTGCCTTTAAATGGAATCTCCCTTGATTTTGCTCTGTGGCATCTTGGGGAGTTCTCTCGTATACCCCCAATTGAAAACTCTTTGCAGTCTGCCCACCGGAGCTGTGGCTGACTCCTCCAGCAAACTGAAAGGTTATGATCCAAATGCCAACAGCATCTGCTTCAAAGTCTGACTGCTTTCAGTGACTGCATTGGCTTCTAGAACCCTTCTTGATATTAAATAAGTGTTCGAATATTCATTGAATTCACTGCCTTTCTTCATCTATTGGATTTTAGAAACAAAAATGGGTGATTATTGATTCCCCTCCTGCCATGTTTTCCTGGGTATCATTTGGCCATTCGTTTTGGTTGCTATCACTAGAAATCAGCCTTTTCCCTTGGCCTTTTTGCTCAATGGATTTGACACTCTTGTTTCCGTGGAGCCTCCTCAACCTTTCTGTCCTGCTCACCATGATTATTCCCCAGCTATCAATACACAGCATGCCTCAGACTGGGAAGCCTTGAAGTTGGCTTCAGTCAAATCCACATGAGTGTCTCTTTCTTCTGTTCCCCATACAGAGGTTGTTTTGGCAGTCAGCTGTCATGTGCCCTTAACATCACCAGCTCATCAGAGCACTCTGTTGAGTTGCAATGCCTGCGGATTACCTGAGCTCCGCGACCTTTTGATGTCTTCATACTTTCAAAAAGAAATGACAATGCGTTTGAAAATTCAGCAGAAAAAAGGTTTCCTTCCATCCTGAGATCACACATAAGATGTTACCTCCAGGGAGATGTCCCCGTATGTGGCTTATAAGTGTTACATAGGTAGGAATAATTGTTTCAGGGAAGAACGGGGAATTTGAGCCCAAGTTAAAAAAATTGGTCTTGGAGAGAGTGTCTGAATGGATATAGCTTAGGCCAAACATCTGCCTCTTTTCTTGGGAAAATCTGTCTCTTTGCACTCACCAAGAGGGAGGAGGCATATGGAGCTAACTTCTCAACAAATTTATGCACGTTGGGAGAAAGTATTTCCCCACAAAGAAAATCAGGGGCAGAGAAATGGATCCCTAGACAGTTTTTCCCCAGGAGCTGGAAGCAAAGACAAGAAACAGTGTAAGCGGAGTCAGGCAGGGAGAGAAATAACAATGGATACTGATGTAAATTGATTCAACTCAACTTCACAGCTCAAAGTCTTCACCATCACACCATAGTGCCCTTCATATATTGAAAAATGATTTGGAAAGTTTTCTTTTAAACAATATGTGACAGGAAAGGAGACCCATAATTTATGAACCCAATGCATACAGTACTTAGCATATCAGTTATCTGGGGGAGACACAAGGATAAATAACTCACCCCTCCTGGCTTTAAAAGCTTGCATCTTGTGAAGATAGAAAGAAGCTGAGTTCAAACCACCGGGTTGCACAGTGCCTCCTATGGCAGAGCTACGAATCTGCTAAGTGTTTTGTGGAATGTGAGTGACATTTACTTTGTACAATTGTGGTGAGAATTAAATAGGATCATAGTTTTAAAGGTTATGATATGTACCCCTCGTAATGTCGGGTCCTTCCTTCCTTTCTACCCAGCTAAGTCTGAGCTCCCAAAACTCATTGCAAAAGGGACCCTGATGAAGCCAGGAGTTAAATCTGTCATACTTTCTGTTGATGTTATTGATGGTGTCTCTGACTATCAATTTAGACCAGAGACAAAGTCAAATGCAGGAAGGATTTAAGATATGACCTTCCTCTTATTTTATTATTGATTGCTTTAATATTACCATGTAGCAATTTATTATCAAGCTGACATATTAATGCATTTAAAATTTACTTACATACATGTCTGGATGTGTTTACATACATACACTTATGCGTGCATACACATTCATACATGCATACACATTCATGCATGCATACACATTCATACATACATGTGATTATTTGTACGGTGAATGGGATTATCAAAACCTTTTCTGCATTTTCATCAACAAAAGGAAATCTGGGTTAAAAGTCTAGTACTAATCTGTCATGTTATAGTTGAAATTGTACTGGTTGCAAGTGAAAAGTGTGGGTTCTACAGGTTGAATATCTTTTTATCTAAAACACTTGGGACAAGAAGTGTTTTGGATTTCAGATTTTTTTTTTGGATTTTGGCATAATTGCATTATACTTACTGGTTTGACACCCCAAATCCAAAAAACCCCAAAATTTAAAACGCTGTAATTAACATATCCTTTGGGCATGATATTGGTGCTCAACAAGTTTTGGATTTGGGAGTATTTTGGATTTTGGAATTTCGGATGTGAGATGCTCAATCTGTATTTGAATCTCTGCAACAAACTTGTTGTGAGACATCAAACAAGTCACCCAAACAGTCTGGGCTCCAGCTTCCTTTTCTGCATAATCAGGGAGTTAGGAAACTGATCGTGCCCATCCCTTCCCATCTGTATGTTTGCAGATCGATTAAGGGAATTAACCTGAGCACTGAGGAACTCAGGTACATACTCTCTCCTGGGGGACACTGATTTGCATGGATTTCAGGGTGGAAGTTTTACTATAAAGGTGAGGGCACTAAAGGGTGGATGTGTTCAATTCATTCTGGGTTTATATTTGCATCGTATATTGCATCATGTGTTTAGATTTGCATCATTGGGCTGCCATAATTACAGTAACAACAATAACAACAGCAAACCATAGGATGGGTAATTTAAGAACAGAAATGTATGTTCTCAGCTCTGGAGGCTGGAAGTCCATTATCAAGGTCCCAAAAGATTGGTTCCTGGTGAGAACTCTCTCTTCCTGTCTTGTAGACGGCCACCTGGTCTCTTAGTCCTCATATAGCAGAGGGAGAGAGAGGGGGCTCTGGTGACTCTTCCTCTGCTTATAAGGACACTAATCCCATCATGAGGACCCCACCAGCTCGACATCATCTAAACTCAACTGTCTTCCCAAGGATTCACCTCCTATTACTATCGCATTGCGGGGGTCAGGGCTCCAACGTATGAGTTTTGGAGGAAGCATAATTCAGTCCATGGCAATACTGATGCTGCCGCTCCTGAAAAGTGTAGCTTTATGAAACAAGTGCTTTTGTAAATATAAATCCTTCCTCATCTGAACATTCGTGTCATAATTTTGAGCCATGACTTTTACTGGTGTGCAGTGGGCTTTTCACGTGGCTGGAACAGTCTCTGACATGAAGTGTTTGTTCAGCAAGCTGCTTTTCCCCGAGGGAAGAAGATAATGGTGTGTGTTTCATAAACCAGTCCACATATTTTGCTTCTGTGAATTGGAAACCCATGGATATTTGTATTCTGGTGGGAGACTGTTTTTTTCTTTTCCTTTTTCTCAATTGTTGGATCATCTTGGGAAACTCATTCCTAATTAGCTCACAAAGTAAACACTTGGAGTGTTTATGAGAAAAGCCAAACCCTGAGTACTACCATTGCCTGAGAGAGTTCCTTTTTTCTTTTTCTTTAATCTGTGGCTATAGGCTGAATTCCAATCAGTAGCTTCCATATTGGCCCAAACCAGTAATCATCCCCATAACTTGGAAGAATAGAACACAACAAAAATGAAATCACGTGGTTTGTGACATCAACTCAGTATTGGTATTTTTATACTGAAAGAATATAACATAGTGCCAGCAATATAATAATAATAATAATAGTAATAATAATAATAAGCATGACAATACTTGTAAGCTGTCTGAAGAGTTTCACCGGGAATAACGGAGTGCATAAATGACGATTAGTTAACGAAACAAATAGCCTTAGTTCCACGAGACGTGATGGGAAGTGTTATCTATAAGAATGAGATATGCAGAAATGTTTCCTTTCTTCTCTTAGGAGAGTAAAACAACTCTGCCTCACCACCCCCCAATTTCTTCTCCCACTCTATGTCTTCGCAAAACAAACAAAAAAGCTATATATATATGTATATTTCATTTTTACCTGAAAAATTACTGGGAAGAGATCAAAAGAAACTTTCAGTGCTTGGAATCTCACACAAAAAAAGTGAAAACAAAGGAGCGTTAAATCCCATTAAAAAAGCTTAAATAAAATATGCAAAAAGCAGGGGAATATTTAAACTCATATGCTTCATATGTAAAATCTTTAAAAGGGAAAGCAACATAGTGATGTTTTTCTGTAATTTGACATATGCTTTACTGGGAGAGAATCATGCTATTTGGTAATTACCAGAATTGCTACTTCTTAAATTCTCCTAATGATTTTACGTTAAACATGTCAGTCTGGTCCCATTTTTAAGCAGACATTTTAAATGTTATAGGGTTTTTTTCTGGTTGCAAAATTGTGCAGATAGAATAGTACTTCACAGAATATGACTTCATAACACGTCGGTTAATAGCATTATTTTAGGATATTTGTTCATCTCCTGGTTATTGAAAAAGCTCACAATGAGTACCCACAGCCTTGGTCATGCTGTCATATTATAGTTATTTGTGTGTGCATTCTCATGATCCTATATGATAGTGTCTTACATTTGTGCAGTATTTTACCATTTTCAAAAATCTGTGCCAGGATTTGTGCATTGTGTAGTGGGAATGTGAACCCAATCAATGTCATTTTGGTGTAGTCTAATTCTAATATCTTATTATATTTTATTTTATTTTATATTTTACAGATAGGCTGTGTTGCCTGAGTAACTATCCCCCAATACATAAATAGACTTCTTTCTCAATGTCTGGGTTAGCATTTTCAAAGGACCATTGAGGGATGAAGGTCACAGAAGAAATAGATACTGGTGGTCCCATTGTATCTCATCAGTGGATTGAATTTGGTATTCAGTCAAATATATGCTGACTTTTTTAACACCTGCTAGGAGCCAGGAATTACACTAGGTCCTAGAAATACAAAGGTGAATGACAGACCCTCCTTACTTCCCCCCATAAGAATGCAGTCAAGTGGGGTATACCATTCAGAAGGGAACTCAGCAAAGTAAAACAATAGGAAGTTTGTTGACAGGGAAAGGATGAGGAAGAAACATGGGAGAAGACAGGAAATGCTTACTGCAGGAAGAGTGAGTAGACATTTTGCAAAATATACATGTTGGTGGTAGATGTGGTGTTTCAAAACAGGAGGAGAAGGTAGAGAGTCTTTGGGGCAACATGAACTTCATGAGAGAAAGCCCAGAGATCTAACAGGCTAAGCCTCATGTAGGAAATAGAAATAAATGCAATGTGTCTGGGATGAAATGTGAAGAGGCCAGGGGAGTGGAGGCTGGGCCATCAATAGGAAAGGACAAGGTAAGGGAATAGACCTTACCCTAAGAGATATGGAAAGCCGTCCAAGTTGTGCATGGTTTCCAAGAGTGTCATGATCAGATTTCTATTTTTAAAGGTAGCTTTAGCTATAGTTTGAAAAACGGAGCAGAATAAGGGAGAAACTAGAAGCACGGATATCAGTTAGGAGTCTCTCACAATAATTAGAGTAAGAGATAACGATGACCTGAATTGGGATGATCTTGGAAACAGCAGGTGTAGGACACTAGTATTATAGAAATGGTAGCTACAGTCTAAAGAGTCTTGGTGTTTTTTGCCACATACCTATTCTCACCTTGGAAAGAGAACCATGAGACTCTAGTTCCATTCCTTACTTGTAATTTCTATTATGGTTTTAACACAAAGCTGAAATTCACTGGATGACAATAATAGCACCCCTGTTTACCAACCCAACCAGAGTCGACTCCACAGTTTCACATTTTAATACAAATTGTCTCAAGAGAATAAAACAAACTCACACACAAACTCAAAGTGCTTTTCCTCTGCTCTCACACTGCAATGACAATCCACATAGAAGCTGTCTACAACCAAATGTGTGGGGGCTTCTCCCCGCACGCCAAGCAAGCAAGCAGTTCTGCAGGGGACACCACCTCAGTTCACACAAGACTGCCTACTCCATCTCCCCAGTCACAAGTCTGGGCCTCCGGAAATTCTGACCAATCAGCTTCAACTTGGGGTAATTCCCACGACCTGCTCTTTGGGTTGGATTAATTTGCTGAAGTGGCTCACAGAACTCAGAAAAACACTTATTTACACTTCCTGGTTTATTATAAAGGATATTTTAAAGGACAAAAACAGTCACATGAAGAGATACATAGGGTGAGGTCTGGGCAGATCCAGACCACAACAGTGTCTCCCCGTAGTGTTGGAGTGCACCACACTCCAGGCACATGGGTGAGTTCTTGTCCACCTGCCTGCCAGCCTCCACGTGTTCAGCTCTCTAGAAGGTCTCCAAACACAGTCTTCTTGGCCTTTTTGTCCAGATTTCATTGGATAGGCATGATTGACAACTATGTAGAAATGTGATTGGACAAAAAGGCTATGATGTGACACTAGAAGGGTGAGTAAGAGGACACAGCAAGGCCTAACTGTTCAAATCCTTCTTGGCCTCTCTGTGCAGCAGTCGTTCTTCCAGGGTATGGGGCAGGCTGTCTTCTAAAATAAGGGTCTTATGTCCCACAGTCAGACTACTAGGGGAGGGAGGGTGTCTTAGACTGTTCTCATGCTTCTGTGAATAAATATCCAAGACTGTGTAATTTATAAAGGAAAGAGGTTTAATTGACTCGTAGTTCCACATGGCTAGGGAGGCTTCAGGAAACTTACAATCATGACAGAAGGGGAAGCAAACACATCCCTCTTCACAGGGTGGCAGGAGAGAAGTGCTGAGCAAAAGAGGGAAAAGACCCTTATGAAACCATCAGATCTTGTGAGAACTCACTCACTATCATGAGAACAGCATGAGGGTAACTGCCTCCATGATTCAATTACCTCCCACCGGGTCCCTCCCATGACATGTGAGGATTATGGGAACTACAATTCAAGATGAGATTTGGGTGGGGACACAGCCAAATCATATCAGTGGGTCAGTGGTGCAAAAGATAATACATCTTACTATGGATAGTAAAGTCAGGGAAAGGTCCAGGTGCAGTGGCTTATGTCTGTAACCCCAGCAATTTGGGAGGCCAAGGTGGGAGGATCACTTGAGGTCAGGAGTTTGAGACCAGCCTGGCCAACTTGGTAAAATGCTGTCTTTATTAAAAATACAAAAATTAGCTGGGTGTGGTTCCAGGTGCCTGTAATCCCAGCTACTAGCTGAGGCAGGATAATTGCTTGAACCCAGGAGGTGGAGGTTGCAGTGAGCGAAGATCGCACCACTGCACTTCATCCTGGGTGACAGAGCAAAACTCCATCTCAAAAAAAAAAAAAAAAAAGTCAGGGAAAGGTTATAGTCCTACTTTCGGCAGGTGGAAGGAAGGCAGGAGAAGGTCAGTGAGAAAGAGATTCTGTTTTCTGAAGTGTGCTTCTGAGGCCAAAAGCACCCCAACATTATAGCAAGGGTTATGGGAGTTATGACCCCGGAACTGTGGATAAAAAACTATATCTTATACACAATATATCGTATTTATTATATATATATATATGATTTAAAAAGGGGTGCTGCTTTTATCATTCAATGAATTTCAGCTTTTTGTTTTAAAGGGAACAAAGGACTAAACACTTGATAGAAAATGGTAGATGAGGAGTAGAATGTTTCTCTTTCCCAGGTGAGAATAGGTATGTGTCAAAGAACACCAGTGTTCTCCAAGACTCTTTACCTAGAGCTGTTGTTTCTACAGGGTCTTACATCTGCTATTTCCTGAACCACCCCAATTGATTGATAGATAGATAGATAGATAGATAGATAGATAGATAGATAGATGACAGATTAGATCGACACATGTAGATATAGATACAGATAGATATGCTTTGGCTATGTCCCCACCCAAATCTCATCTTGAATTCCCACATGTTGTGGGAGGAATCTGGTAAGAGGTAATTGAATCGTGGGGGCAGGTCTTTCCTGTGCTGTTCTCGTGATAGCAAATAAGCCTCACAAGATCTGATGGTTTTAAAAAGGGGAGTTTCCCCGCACAAGCTCTCTCTTTGCCTGCCACCATCCATGTAAGACGTGACTTGCTCCTCCTTGCCTTCCACCATGATTGTGAGGCCTCCCCAGCCATGTGGAACTGTAAGTCCATTAAACCTCTTTTTCTTCCCAGTCTCAGGTATGTCTTTATCAGTAGTGAGAAAAAAAGACTAATGCATATATATAATAATATCACACAACTAAACAGCAGTCTTCATGTCAAAATTTACTTTGGTGCAACTCTGTCTCTATCAAAAAAGAAAAAAAAAATTAGCTGGCCATGGAGGTGTTCACCTGTAATCCCAACTACTTGGGAGGCTAAGGCCTGGGGATCCCTTGAGCTGGGGAGGTTGAAGCTGCAGAGAACTCTGATTGTGCCACTGCACTCCAGCCTGGGAAGCAGGGTGGGACCCTGTCTCTAAAAAAATGATAAATTCAGAAAAAAATTATGTTAAATCAAGGTTAAACTTTACTTTTAAAAAAACTGACACAATTTAGCATTTAGTCCAGTGGTTTTTCTGGATATAGTCACAGTCTTAAAGTACAAAATGAGAATGAGTTACTTAATTCCTTATAAAGGTTGCCTTTGTAGTCATTTTTTGTGGATGAAATTGATACTCATGAGATAAATAATATGAAACTTAATTTCAAATGTTTATTCCTACCTCCTGTCACACACCTTCCACTGGGGAAACATCTATATCACTGTGGGTTTTAGTCCAAGGCAATCGAAGCTCATTTTGGAATTGGGAGAAATACATTGGAAAGAGATACAAAATCCACTTGAGTGTGGAGATAAACACTTGGGATCAAGTGCATACAAAGATATGCACTTGATCTCTGATCTTGATTCTAGAGGCTCCTGGAAGCCATTCGTTATCACACCAGTCTGCAGCAATTAGGCAAGGGCCATCCATCCCATGCTCGTCCCTTGCACAAGAGGCAATGCCCTGACTAGGGAGACTTAAGTCAAATGCCTGCTTCTTGGACAGAGACCACATTTGTCCCATTGGGCTTTCTAAAATGGAGACAGTTGACTTGGTCTACCTTAGCACTCAATTTCACACAATGAAAAGGAGACAATTCTCCCAAAAGGAAATGCAGATGCTCCTATAGACTGAGTGTTTGTGTTCCTCTAGCATGCATATGTCGAAACCCCAATCCCCAGTGTGATGAGATTAGGAGATTGGGGACCTTTGGAGGTGATCAGATCAT
The DNA here is from genome assembly GCF_000001405.40 of Homo sapiens. Lineage (NCBI taxonomy): Eukaryota > Metazoa > Chordata > Mammalia > Primates > Hominidae > Homo > Homo sapiens. The sequence continues at coordinate 6,600,513 of NC_000023.11, read as the reverse complement.
GAGGGTGTAGCCCTTGACGGAATTAGTGTACTTTTAAGAAGAGAAACGGGAGCTTTCTCTGTCTCTCTCTCTCTCTCTGTCTTTCTCTTTCTCCTTCTCTCTTTCTCTTTTTCCCTTTCTCTTTCTCTTTCCCTCTTTCCCCTTCTCTTTCCCTCTTTCTCTTTCTCTCTCCCCCTTGGCCATGTGAGGATACAGTGAGAAAGAAGGTGGCTGTCTACAAACTGGACAGAAGCCCCTTGCCAGAACCTGAGCATGGCAGCACCCTGATCTCAGATGTCTCAGCCTCCAGAACTGTAAGAAATACATTGGTTTTTAAAATTCACCCAGGCTAGGTAGGGTATTCTACAACAGCAGCCCGGACAGATGAAGAAAGATGCAATGATGACATTCTCAGTAAATCTTAAGAAGCAAAATATGGCATTAAGCCTTAAGGACCATCAGTTAATCAAATATTCAGACCTTTTGGTTTAGATATTTTCCTAGCCAGAACATCTGCCTCAATAAGGGACAACTTTTTTGACACAAGACCACATGCATATGAGTGAATAATTCTATAATATGTATGGTCATACACATTTTTCTATGTAAAGCAAACAGCCTGAATGGGCTGGTTTCATGATGATTTCTGGTAGGAGACTGATGTTCCTTACGATACCTGTTGAAATATAACTGCCTATTCATTGTGTAGTCCCAGAGAGCACTTACAAGATTTGAAAGATAAAATACGGTTTGCAGATAGGTTAAGTTAGTTATTTTACACACATTGCTAAAAATCTAAGTGAATTTCACCTAATCCATTACATGCAATGAATCAGATTTCATGTGACACTGCTCCTGTGTGACAAATGCATTTATAAAGTGTTACTCACACAGCACTATGGTAATCTGTCTGCCCAGTGGCTGGAACCCAGGCACTATATTTTCCTCTAACCATTCTAAATCTCATTTCAAAGCATCATAATACATGTAAATACTTCTTTCCCAACGGGAGATAAATAGGATATCCACACTGGAGTCACAACATTTTCCCCCAACGTTGTGATGAGACAGAGGAATCAATCCACCCTTCCAAAGTCCAGTAGCTCTCAGGGAAGTGATAGTATTTACAGGAGATTAGGAAATTGGGCACATTTACGTTTGTGCATTGGATATTCTCATTTTGAATGGTCTAGAGAGATTGACTCAATGGCTGTGTATCAAAGATATACTCCAAATGAAGCTGGATTTTAAAAAAGCCTCTCCTTTTCAAATGTTTTGCACCTATATTGCAATAAAAACATGCTTTTTGTAACCCATCTCATTCTATTACTTTAGTACAAGTGATATTTTGGTGCTGATTGTAGACATGGTAAAACTATTTTCCACCCCAATATTTTTATATTTATCACCATCCCTTTCCCCAATGCTGCATGCTCTGCAATTCCATTTTTAGATCCACATTTTTAATCATGTTTCGGTATATTATAGGAAATTTCATAGACAAGGTGCTTTCAGCTCCATATAAATCTTGGAAGATTATGATATTCTCCCAGAGGCAGTCTTTTCTGTAAATTGATGAGATATTGTCAGGTATGAATTTTCAAACCTTCTATGCTAAAAGGCTATCTTAGTTCAAATTTTAAAATCCCTCAGCATTGGGGAACTAAACCATTATAGTCATTTAAACATGAGGGTTTTCCTGAAAATACAAAGGATTTCTTTGCAGAGTAGGGGGAGAGGGAAGGAGATTTTATTTTATATGTTAAAATTTCTCTTTCTTCTTGTCTATGTCATCTCAGATGTGAGTGGGAAAAGAAAAGAAGAAGGTTACACCTCTGCCCGGTAATTTCTTTATGGATCAAGTAAAAACACTAATCAAAAACTCTGCTAGAAGGTAAATGCTTCTTCATACCACACAATGTTATGAACATAAAATGAGCTTTCCTCTACATTTTTGGAGCAGTATGTACTATAAAAGTACATCTTTTTTTGGTAGAGATGGGGTCTTGCTGTGTTGTTTAGGCTGGTCTTAAACTTTTTGGCTCAAGGGATCTTCCTGCCTCAGCCTCCCAAAGTGCTGGGATTACAGATGTTAGCCACCATGCCCAACCTAAAAGTGCTTTTTCAAGAGCACTTTCTACTGTCCTTGATGATAATGACTCTTCCGAGTATCTTTAGCAACCATCCTTGCCTGCAAGAACCTAGCACAAGGGAAGACCATGTAAAGAAATAGAAAACTGAACTATACCATACAGTCTCATCCTGGGAACTGTTTGGAAATAGTTTCTCTTGGTAAAATTTGTCCAGACCAAATTTTGGTGTGAGCCAGGGTTCTTGACCAATGGGACATCCGTTGTATACAATTGAAGACTATGGGAGATTTTCACATTTCGCTCTACTTTCTCTGTACATTTATTTTACCAGGAAATTTTAAATAATTGATTTGAAAGGAGAAGTAACATGTGGGATGTCTTTGAAACTACCACTGTCTTGAGGATTCCTAAGCTTTCTCATAGGATGTTGAATGATTTACGTCAAAGCCTAAGGTGATCAATTTGAACTCTGAAGGTACAACTGATAAAGAATGAAAAATGGCCATTAATCCCTTGAAGAATGTCATCTAATACAGAAGTACCCTGATGGAGCTAGAAGCACAGCATATGTTATTGGCAAGTATACATTGAGACAAAAATAATCAACCTGCAAATATCTTCTTTGAGAAATGACTGGTCATGCCTAAGCACATCAGTAATACAAGCAAGAGTTATAGGTAATAGAAATGGGGTGTGAATCAGAGCACATTCAAGTTAAAATAAATGCACTATAAGAACATGTCAATAAAGGAGCTTGGTATAATGAAATAAGGGAAAATTGTCTCATGATTTGTAGCAATTGTCTTCTACTCCAAAATAAGTTGGATTTGTGTTAGACAGATACGGCAGATTTAAAGGATATTCATAGAAGAAGCTGAAAATATTCAGTGATAAAATAACATCGGTAAAGAGTATACCATGAGGGAGAATTGAGCTCAGAGACAATTGAGGGCCAACAATTTATTGAGGGGAGATGATCCTCAAGGAGATAATACAAATACAGAAATTAAAGTCAAGAGTTAGGGGACAGGGAGCGAGGGCATAGGGGGAGTGGGTGTTCCCAATCTTTGAGAAGCTTGAGTTTAAGTAACACTTGATATAGTAACAAGCAAAGCAGGGCCATGATAAGGGTGGCCTTGTCATGCCACCATGGTGAGATGCTGATAGGCTAAGAGCTACATCTAAACTACTCTAGACAGCCTCATCCCTCACCCGCTGCAAATGGTCAGCATAGCATCACATTTGCCAAATCTTTCTTTTCCCCATCCTCCCTGTTAATTTCCATTCACTATATGAACTTCTTGCACTTCTGCCATTTTGTAGAGACCTTGTTCATGTCTGCAGCTTGACTCCGTATCATTTAAAGAATTGGTGTTCATAATTTTTGAGAATCCGATTTTTTTTTGCCATTTATTTCTGCTTATTCCCGTGCCGAACATTTCTCAGATGAGTATGTTTATCTCTAAATACTTAATTTCTTCCTTTGAGATCTTTAGATCTTTTAAAACTGTCCCACAGACAAGATACAAAATAACTGACGATGGCTCTTCAAAAGCATCAAGGTCATAAAATGCAAGGAAAAAAGTGAGAAAATGTCACTGATTGGAGGAGAATATGGAGCTATGACAATTAAATACAATGTGCAATCCTGGATTGGCTCCTGGTCCATAAAGAGTACATGATATATTTTGGCTCTGTGTCCCCATCCAAATCTCATCTCGAATTATAATCCCCACGTGTTGAGGGAGGGACTTGGCGGGTGGTGATTGGATCATGGGGGTGATTGGACTATGCTATTCTCATGATAGTGGGGGAGTTCTCACAAAATCTGATGGCTTTAAAAATGGCAGTTTTCTCTGCCCTGTCTCCTGCTGCCATGTAAGACATGCCTTGCTTCCCCTTCTTCCATAATTGTAAGTTTCTTGAGGCCTTCCCAGCCATGCAGAATTATAAGTCAATTAAACCTCCTTTCTTTATAGATTACCCAGTCTCAGGTAGTCTCTTCACAGCAGTGTGAAAACGGACTAATACAGAACACTAGGGGTAAAACTGTCAGAATTTTACTTAGATCTGTAGTTCAGTTAACAGCATTCTATCAATGATAAGTACCTGGTTTTATAATTGTACTATGATGACAAAAAACATTAACATTAGAAAAACATTCTGAAGGGTGAGCAGAACTCTCTGTACTATTTTGGAAACTTTTTGGAAAGTCTATAGTTATCTTCAAACAAAGTGCTAAATAATAAATAAGGCTTAAATTATTAAGAAAAAAACATCCTGCAACTCTCTGGCATTTTAAAAGTGGGGCATACATTCTTTTTCCTTTGTTTGTCTTAGAGATTTTTTAAAAAAGTTCTACAGACATTTACCTACATTCCTTATATGCTACCCAGTTTACCGGGTTCTGTTTCAGACTATTTTTATTGCAGAGAAGAGCTTCATTCTTTTTTTTTTTTTGATGGAGATAAAATTCACATAACATAAGATTAACCATTTTATAGTGTAAAATTCTGTGACTTTTAATGTGTTCACAATGTCAGGCAACCATCACCTGTATCTGGTTCCTAAATATTTTCATCACCTTAAAAAGAAACCCCAGAACAGGTTTGGTGGCTCACATCTGTAATCCCAGCACTCTGGGAGGCCAAGGCAGGTGGATCACCTGAGTCTAGGAATTCCAGATCAGCCTGGCCAACATGGTGAAACCCCGTCTCGACTAAAATTACAGAAAGTAGCCAGGCATGGTGGCACACACCTGTCATCCCAGCTACTCAGGAGGCTGAGGCATGAGAATCACTTGAACCCGGGAGGTGGAGGTTGCAGTGAGCAAGAGTGTGCCACTGCACTCCAGCCTGGGTGACAGAGCAAGACTCTGTCTCAAAAAGAAAAAGGAACCCCGTATCCATGCAGCAGTCACTCCTCCCACCCCATCCTCACACCCAGCTCCTGACAACTACTAATCTACTTTCTGTCTCTATGGGTCTCTCCATGTGATTAATAGAAGTGGAATCACCTAATATGTGGCCTTTTGTGTCTGGCTTCTTTCACTGAGCTTGGTGTTTTCAGGGCTCATTCACGTTGCTGCGTGCATCAGTACTGCATTCCTTTTTAAGGCTGAATAATATTCTATTGTATGAATAGACCACAACTTGTTTATCCATTCATCTGTTGATAGAGATTTGGGTTGTTTTCACTTTTTGATCATTGTGAATAATGCTGCTAATCCCTGTTTCAGTTTCTGCTTTTATGTCTCTTGGGTATACACGTAGGGCTGGAGTTTCTGGGTAACATATGGTAATTCTATGTTTAACTTTTTGGGCCTCAATGTTTCCATGCCCCAATTCCATTTTTTTTGACAGAAATTTTGCTGGATTAATGACTTTTTCTGTGACTATACTTCTCAACTGTTTTGTAATGTTATAATTTAGTTCTAAAAATCTAAAATCATAAAATATAATCTTCCAGAGGTGTAAAGGATGCACATCAGGATTATATTTTATAATGTTAGTCTCTTAGAACAATTATCAGGTATGGCTTTTTTAGAGCATGCTGGATTTTCTTTTTTTTACAGTTACCATCTGATATGGTTAGGCTTTGTGTCCCCACTCGAATCTCATCTTGAATTATAATTTCCATAATCCCCATTACTCCCATGTGTCAAGGGAGAGACCAAGTGGAAGTGGTTGGATCATAGGGCAGTTTCCCCCATGCTGTTCACGTGATACTGAGTGAGTTCTCACAACATCTGATGGTTTTATAACTGTTTTGTAGTTCTTCCTGCATTCATTCTCCTTCCTGCCACTTTGAGAAGAAGATGACCATTTCTCCTTCACTTTCCATCATGATTGTAAGTTTCCCAAGGCCTCCCCAGACATGCTGAACTGTGAGGCAATTAAACCTCTTTCCTTTATAAATTATCCAGTCTTGGGAATGTCTTTATTAGCAGCCTGAAAATGGACTAATACATCATCCTTACATACTATTGACAATTATAACATGATCACATATCCGAGGTGTTTTAATCCACCTTTTATATTGATGAGCACACACATTTCTACCAACAATCTTTTTTTTTAAAAAAAAACTCTAAACAAAATAACCCAGGCCTATGTTTTGCTTATGTCAGTATGAGCTCCATAGCAACCTACAAAGTTGTTATCCTCACTGAAGAACATTTTTTCTGTCTTCCTTCTTGATACTTGTTTGCTATGACTTCCACTCATCTCACTGCATTCAATTTGCTCTACAAGAAATCTGTCTTTTTATGTTCTCCCATTTCTTGCCTTAGGGACAGTTTTTGTTACCTTCCCTTCTTCTGCCTTGAATTCATTTAGGTAGATACCACCACTTCTATTCAAGTCCCCTGGAAGTAGCACGTTCTGGTCAGAGAACTGCTTCTGATTAAGTAATTTGCTTTTCATGTTTTTTTGTTTTGGTGGAGGAGGTGACAGGGTCTTTCTCAGTCACCCTGGCTAGAGGGCAGTGGTATAGTCACGGCCCACTGCAGCCTCCAACCTCTGAGCTCAAGCGACCCTCCCACCTGAGCCACCAGGTAGCTGAGACTGCAGGTGTGTACCGCTGCACCCAGATAATTGTTTTTATTTTTATTTTTGTAGACGTGGAGTCTGACTACGTTGCCTAGCTTGGTCTCGATCTCCTGGCCTCAAGTATCCTCCCTCTTCAGCCTCCAAAAGCACTGGGATTATAGGCATGAGCCACCACCCCTGGCCTTTTTTAGGTTTATTTATATTTTGGTCACATACATATTTATCTATATTCCATATTGTTTTAAATATATTTGCATATTTGCATATAGATACATCGAATATATTAGTAATATTTTATGTCATTCTACTTTTCATGTTTTGATATTATGATAAATATGATCGGACTGGACCAATTTTTCTTTGACTTTCTTAAAAAAATTTAACGTTATGCTTGTAAATTGCTTTAGGTTGGAATATTTCGCTGTAATTTATTATTTATCACTACTCCATTGTGTAAATCTATTCTATCAATAGACCATCTGAAGAAAAACTGATAGCTTTGTGATGTAATCATAAGTGGGTCATTATTGATTTGCTCTTGAATATTTTGATGTGCACCCAATTAAAGGATACTTTTGCCAGGTTAAACTTCCCATAATACATAGATTATGTACTTGAATTGTTGGGTTTTACTGTGAACTTCTTTTCCTACACTTAATTCTCTTTAATGTGAGGTATGAGTGGATGGAAAGCTGTCTGTTAGTAATGGAGTGTCCATGATGGTTTTCAAAATTGCATTCCTACATTCTGATTTCCAAATATACCCACTTTTGCTTAAATGAGCCATTTTCCTTTAAGGGTATATTCACAATATTAATGCCATGTCAGCAGCCAAATTTTTCTCATTCTATTATTCTACAGAATTTAAATGAAATCCATGAGTTCTTTGAGTGATTTCAGTATTAGAGTAAAAATTATCCCCAATAATAGAGTATTAGAGTAAAAATTATTCCCAACAATAGGTCCATCCTACACTACTCATATCCATCCACAATTATGCTTTTATTCCCTGCATTCAGTTAATCATTACCCACTCTACTCTTGAGTTTAAAAATAATAATAATCAACAGTGCAACCAAATTGACAAAATAAATCGAAATATAGGGATTTCCCATTAGAATGTGCTGAGGCAAAGAAAAGCAGGTCCATTGTTCAAGGAATCATGGCTTTGAATCTCAGACTTTAATCTAATTAAAAATTGGTTTTTGTATGCCACTAAGAGGGTGATTTACATTAGAGAGCTTTATATATTCTTTTTATTACCCATATACCTTCTGGTATTCTTCAAAATACAGTTCATAGGTGCAGTGTTGCCTTTGAATATTTACAGCTACCCAAGATATCCCTAATGGCTAATTATGATAGAAACTGCAAGGCAGTAACATATTTTATCAAGGAATGCTAAAGGGGCTTAATGAGCCCGTTAAGAAGAATGAGGTGTTTGACTCTCTGAGAATACAAGATTGTGAAACCGCTCTCTGGGAAGAGGAAAATTTAAGATCCTTGACAAAAACTCTTAATAGAACCAAGTAGATGAATACATTCATACGTCAAGTAAGTGGCATGGATAGATTTAAGGTTTCTCATTTTTTCCTTATACATCTCTAATTAATTTTAGAGTTTCAAAATACATGACTCTGTACACCTGGGTGCTATGGAAACTCTATCATTCATAAGCACATTTGGACTTCTGCAATCCTACTATCTCTTTCTAATACAACCTTAGCACTGGACCACATCTGATATTCACTGCCATCTAAACTTCCTTGATCTCAACTGAATCCCATCTTATGCTGTGAATTCAATGTCTGCGCATTGAACCTAAAAAAATAATGAAGCTGTTTTTGGATTGTGCTAAAATGTTGACTTGTCTTGTCCCAAATAGTTGTTGCTTTAGGATAGAGCGTTGGCCTTGAGCATCGCTGAGATGATAAATCAATAAATCCATTTGAACATTCCCATGAATGTTTGTTTTACCCACTTACTGGAGTTCATAAGAGAATGTAAAGCCAGACAGTGATTCAAAAGCGTGGAATTCAGAAGAAAAAGCAGACACGTTTTCCTACACTATCAAGACTGAACAGGGAGCGTGGGAAATTTTATACATCAAAGAGATATATGAATGGATACTCTAATGGTTCTATCATTCTTCAAACATGGCCGGAATCAGGACTTTTGCTGGGATAGGTAAGAATGTGCCCTAGGCAAACTACAAAACCCAGTTTGTCATCATATGACATCTTAGGATCTACAGTCTTATCCAGTGATAGTCTCATTTCCTAAGAAATTATTATACAGTTAAAGAAAAAACTTCTTATCACCATTTTGTAGTGGAAAAAAACCAGCATCAGGCGAACTTTTTAGGATTCGCTCCAAATCCCCATAGGTGGTCAGTACCAAGGCCATGATCAGAACCCAGAACTTCTGAATCTTTGTGGAGTGAAGTCCTCTCCATCCTAGTTTTCTCTCCATCATATAGAGAAGGAAACTTCTAAAAACTGTACTAGTTAGAAAGAAAGAATAAGTTCTACTGTTCGATAGTATGGTAGAAGGATTATAGTTAATAATAATTTATTATATATTTCAAAATAACTAGAATTAGAATGTTCCCAGCACAAAGAAAAGATAAATGTTTGAGGTGATGGATACCCCAATCACCCTAACTTGATCATTAAGCATTGTATACAGGTACCAAAATATCACATGTACCCCCCAAATATGTACAACTATTATATGTCAACAAAAATAAGTTAATTGATTTAAAATAAAATAAAAACTAATTTATTTTTATTGGAATCCATATTCTAATTAATTGGAAAGATTCATGTACTCAATTATCAAATGTGCAGGGCTTTCCAATATGAAAAATAAAACGGCATTATTGCACCTGAAGTCTGAATAAAAATGAGAAAAGCTGATAGCAAAAATTTAAAAATTGGGACATACTGCAAAAGCATCAACAATTCCAAGTTAAGAAAATAAAATAGGGCTTTATGTTGGGTTACGAATGAAGATTTCCAAAGGTACCTCTTTATAAAGGCATCTTCTGGTGGAATAGCTATTAGTTTTGACTCTATATTATTGGACCTAATCCACTTGGAAAAATAAAAATATTGTGGTGATAAAGGAGATAAGAAGAATTAGCTTTAAAGAGTTTCATGTTTAAAAGAAAAGTCGATTGTGAATCAAGTCTAGATTTCTTGGCATTGTCCCAAGATAAAAACATTTAATAGTGCTTTAAAAATATGAAGAACTGTGTTCATGAAAGCATTGATAGTATTATATTAACGTTTGCAGAGAATTGTCAGTAGGAAACCTTGTGTTTTAGTGGCCTTTTGGAGGGAAAATGAATAAGCTGAGTAATTCGGGCTCTTAAGTGTTTCAGAGGGAGAACGTGAAGACAGAGCCAATTAAGAAGGATGGTGAATATGTAAAAAAGAAGACGCTTCGAGAAGGAATTTTCCTAGAAACCAGTCAATAAGGAGCCATTTGAAGAACCTGGGAAGAAATAAAAAAAGACTTGGAAAGATAAGTCCTCTTCTGTTTGTGGTTTCTAAAGGGTAGTTTTAAAATCTCAGCAAAGCAATCCATAAAATAAAAGATTGATGTATTTCTTGTAAAGTCTTGAAAAATGATTCATTGCTGTTCATGCAATTTTCTGGCTTTAAAGTTGTACATACATTATAGAGAAGCAATACAAAGAAAGCCAAGAAGAAACGTAAACCTCCCATTAGAATTTTTGTAGGAAAAAATCTACAGAATATCACTATTTTGAGAAGAGAGAATGGCTAATAGGCAGGAAGGTGAGCCCATCATTATGGAACTCATGAAGCTGAAAATGAAAATGGTTTGTGGATCACGTTTTTAAATGGGATGGAGACAGCGTGACAGTTTGTTATAAGTGTGCAGAAGACACCAGGAAGGAAAGTATCCATGGATAAGAGGGTTCCAGCCACTCTTGTGAATTTTCTGTGTCGTGCAACAGCAAAAGTAACCTTGTAAGTCTGAATGCCAAGAGGTTCCTCAAACACAGAGACTCTATAAAAACACCATAGAATATTCTTCCTGTAAGATAAAATGTCAACATTGTGAAAGCAACGATTAAGCCAACTAGGTTATCGAAACGGGGGCAATAACCAAACATTCATGCGCAAAAGAACTACAGACACATTAAGATACATAATTTTGTAGGTCTGTGGGAGATTTCTGCCCCACTGTAATCAGGACTTGAAAACTTCAGAGAGGAAAGAAATTTAGCACATCAGGAGTAGATCCTACCTCTTTGAGGAGCCGTAAGAATTCGCCTGCTTTGGGGGTTCTCAAAATGTGGTCAGCAGCATCAGGCTCAGCTGGAAACTTGTTAGAAATACAGATTCTAGGGTCCTGCCCTTGACCTAAAGGAATCAGGACCTTGGGAAGTGGGGCCATTCAGGTGATTGCAAATGCCTACTAAATTTGGAGAACCCTGCTCTAGTTGACCTTTGCATCCAACCATCCTCCAAAGCACAATCTTATTTAAAAGAGCTTCTTTGTTGCATTTCTAAAATGGCAAGCTCTCAGTATTAGGGCATAATGAGTTTTCTGTTAACACTCAGCTCTTCCTGTAGGTTTTTGCTGAATAGTTTAGGTTCCTCTGCACCACTCTCTAGGCACACCTGCTGGTGCCTGTTGCAAGAATCCTATGCATAATGGAATTGAAGCTGTGATAAGATCATCTTTCTAACGACATGCTGGAAATGAAATTGCTAAGAAAATTGCCTCAAGGTTAAAAAACATAAGATAAGTAATAAATAGCACCTGGGTGAGTTAAAGACTTCTGCCTTATTTTTCTCATTAAACTTTTCCTTCTGAAAGATGAAAGTATTAACTATCACGGGTGGAGTCCGATTACAAGTTGATTTTCAGGTGCAAAGAAATGCCATTCTTGCAGAAGGAAAAAGATACCCTTCTCATGAAACTCATTGTCTTTCATCAGGAACTTGTAAGATTATTGATTAAATTATTCTTGCTTAAAGGAGCTGACGGAGCTGAAAACCAAGGCTCGAGAACTACGTGAAGAATGCAGAAGCCTCAGGAGCCGATGCAATCAACTGGAAGAAAGGGTATCAGCAATGGAAGATGAAATGAATGAAATGAAGCGAGAAGGGAAGTTTAGAGAAAAAAGAATAAAAACAAATGAGCAAAGCCTCCAAGAAATATGGGACTATGTGAAAAGACCAAATCTACGTCTGATTGGTGTACCTGAAAGTGATGGGGAGAATGGAACCAAGTTGGAAAACACTCTGCAGGATATTATCCAGGAGAACTTCCCCAATCTAGCAAGGCAGGCCAACGTTCAGATTCAGGAAATACAGAGAACGCCACAAAGATACTCCTCGAGAAGAGCAACTCCAAGACACATAATTGTCAGATTCACCAAAGTTGAAATGAAGGAAAAAATGTTAAGGGCAGCCAGAGAGAAAGGTCGGGTTACCCTCAAAGGAAAGCCCATCAGACTAACAGCGGATCTCTCGGCAGAAACCCTACAAGCCAGAAGAGAGTGGGGGCCAATATTCAACATTCTTAAAGAAAAGAATTTTCAACCCAGAATCTCATATCCAGCCAAACTAAGCTTCATAAGTGAAGGAGAAATAAAATACTTTATAGACAAGCAAATGCTGAGAGATTTTGTCACCACCAGGCCTGCCCTAAAAGAGCTCCTGAAGGAAGCGCTAAACATGGAAAGGAACAACCGGTACCAGCCGCTGCAAAATCATGCCAAAATGTAAAGACCATTGAGACTAGGAAGAAACTGCATCAACTAACGAGCAAAATCACCAGCTAACATCATAATGACAGGATCAAATTCACACATAACAATATTAACTTTAAATATAAATGGACTAAATTCTGCAATTAAAAGACACAGACTGGCAAGTTGGATAAAAAGTCAAGATCCATCAGTGTGCTGTATTCAGGAAACCCATCTCACGTGCAGAGACACACATAGGCTCAAAATAAAAGGATGGAGGAAGATCTACCAAGCCAATGGAAAACAAAAAAAGGCAGGGGTTGCAATCCTAGTCTCTGATAAAACAGACTTTAAACCAACAAAGATCAAAAGAGACAAAGAAGGCCATTACATAATGGTAAAGGGATCAATTCAACAAGAGGAGCTAACTATCCTAAATATTTATGCACCCAATACAGGAGCACCCAGATTCATAAAGCAAGTCCTGAGTGACCTACAAAGAGACTTAGACTCCCACACATTAATAATGGGAGACTTTAACACCCCACTGTCAACATTAGACAGATCAACGAGACAGAAAGTCGACAAGGATACCCAGGAATTGAACTCAGCTCTGCACCAAGCGGACCTAATAGACATCTACAGAACTCTCCACCCCAAATCAACAGAATATACATTTTTTTCAGCACCACACCACACCTATTCCAAAATTGACCACATAGTTGGAAGTAAAGCTCTCCTCAGCAAATGTAAGAGAACAGAAATTATAACAAACTATCTCTCAGACCACAGTGCAATCAAACTAGAACTCAGGATTAAGAATCTCACTCAAAGCCGCTCAACTACATGGAAACTGAACAACCTGCTCCTGAATGACTACTGGATACATAACGAAATGAAGGCAGAAATAAAGATGTTCTTTGAAACCAACGAGAACAAAGACACCACATACCAGAATCTCTGGGACGCATTCAAAGCAGTGTGTAGAGGGAAATTTATAGCACTAAATGCCTACAAGAGAAAGCAGGAAAGATCCAAAATTGACACCCTAACATCACAATTAAAAGAACTAGAAAAGCAAGAGCAAACACATTCAAAAGCTAGCAGAAGGCAAGAAATAACTAAAATCAGAGCAGAACTGAAGGAAATAGAGACACAAAAAACCCTTCAAAAAATCAATGAATCCAGGAGCTGGTTTTTTGAAAGGATCAACAAAATTGATAGACCGCTAGCAAGACTAATAAAGAAAAAAAGAGAGAAGAATCAAATAGACACAATAAAAAATGATAAAGGGGATATCACCACCCATCCCACAGAAATACAAACTACCATCAGAGAATACTACAAACACCTCTACGCAAATAAACTAGAAAATCTAGAAGAAATGGATACATTCCTTGACACATACACTCTCCCAAGACTAAACCAGGAAGAAGTTGAATCTCTGAATAGACCAATAACAGGCTCTGAAATTGTGGCAATAATCAATAGTTTACCAACCAAAAAGAGTCCAGGACCAGATGGATTCACAGCCGAATTCTACCAGAGGTACAAGGAGGAACTGGTACCATTCCTTCTGAAACTATTCCAATCAATAGAAAAAGAGGGAATCCTCCCTAACTCATTTTATGAGGCCAGCATCATTCTGATACCAAAGCCGGGCAGAGACACAACCAAAAAAGAGAATTTTAGACCAATATCCTTGACGAACATTGATGCAAAAATCCTCAATAAAATACTGGCAAACTGAATCCAGCAGCACATCAAAAAGCTTATCCACCATGATCAAGTGGACTTCATCCCTGGGATGCAAGGCTGGTTCAATATACGCAAATCAATAAATGTAATCCAGCATATAAACAGAGCCAAAGACAAAAACCACATGATTATCTCAATAGATGCAGAAAAAGCCTTTGACAAAATTCAACAACCCTTCATGCTAAAAACTCTCAATAAATTAGGTATTGATGGGACGTATTTCAAAATAATAAGAGCTATCTATGACAAACCCACAGCCAATATCATACTGAATGGGCAAAAACTGGAAGCATTCCCTTTGAAAACTGGCACAAGACAGGGATGCCCTCTCTCACCACTCCTATTCAACATAGTGTTGGAAGTTCTGGCCAGGGCAATCAGGCAGGAGAAGGAAATAAAGGGTATTCAATTAGGAAAAGAGGAAGTCAAATTGTCCCTGTTTGCAGATGACATGATTGTTTATCTAGAAAACCCCATCGTCTCAGCCCAAAATCTCCTTAAGCTGATAAGCAACTTCAGCAAAGTCTCAGGAAACAAAATCAATGTACAAAAATCACAAGCATTCTTATACACCAACAACAGACAAACAGAGAGCCAAATCATGAGTGAATTCCCATTCACAATTGCTTCAAAGAGAATAAAATACCTAGGAATCCAACTTACAAGGGATGTGAAGGACCTCTTCAAGGAGAACTACAAACCACTGCTCAAGGAAATAAAAGAGGACACAAACAAATGGAAGAACATTCCATGCTCATGGGTAGGAAGAATCAATATCGTGAAAATGGCCATACTGCCCAAGGTAATTTACAGATTCAATGCCATCCCCATCAAGCTACCAATGACTTTCTTCACAGAATTGGAAAAAACTACTTTAAAGTTCATATGGAACCAAAAAAGAGCCCGCATTGCCAAGTCAATCCTAAGCCAAAAGAACAAAGCTGGAGGCATCACACTACCTGACTTCAAACTATACTACAAGGCTACAGTAACCAAAACAGCATGGTACTGGTACCAAAACAGAGATATAGATCAATGGAACAGAACAGAGCCCTCAGAAATAATGCCGCATATCTACAACTATCTGATCTTTGACAAACCTGAGAAAAACAAGCAATGGGGAAAGGATTCCCTATTTAATAAATGGTGCTGGGAAAACTGGCTAGCCATATGTAGAAAGCTGAAACTGGATCCCTTCCTTACACCTTATACAAAAATCAATTCAAGATGGATTAAAGATTTAAACGTTAGACCTAAAACCATAAAAACCCTAGAAGAAAACCTAGGCATTACCATTCAGGACATAGGCGTGGGCAAGGACTTCATGTCCAAAACACCAAAAGCAATGGCAACAAAAGCCAAAATTGACAAATGGGATCTAATTAAACTAAAGAGCTTCTGCACAGCAAAAGAAACTACCATCAGAGTGAACAGGCAACCTACAACATGGGAGAAAATTTTCGCAACCTACTCATCTGACAAAGGGCTAATATCCAGAATCTACAATGAACTCAAACAAATTTACAAGAAAAAAACAAACAACCCCATCAAAAAGTGGGCGAAGGACATGAACAGACACTTCTCAAAAGAAGACATTTATGCAGCCAAAAAACACATGAAAAAATGCTCACCGTCACTGGCCATCAGAGAAATGCAAATCAAAACCACTATGAGATATCATCTCACACCAGTTAGAATGGCGATCATTCAAAAGTCAGGAAACAACAGGTGCTGGAGAGGATGTGGAGAAATAGGAACACTTTTACACTGTTGGTGGGACTGTAAACTAGTTCAACCATTGTGGAAGTCAGTGTGGCGATTCCTCAGGGATCTAGAACTAGAAATACCATTTGACCCAGCCATCCCATTACTGGGTATATACCCAAATGACTATAAATCATGCTGCTATAAAGACACATGCACACGTATGTTTATTGCGGCATTATTCACAATAGCAAAGACTTGGAACCAACCCAAATGTCCAACAATGATAGACTGGATTAAGAAAATGTGGCACATATACACCATGGAATACTATGCAGCCATAAAAAATGATGAGTTCATGTCCTTTGTAGGGACATGGATGAAATTGGAAACTATCATTCTCAGTAAACTATCGCAAGAACAAAAAACCAAACACCGCATATTCTCACTCATAGGTGGGAATTGAACAATGAGATCACATGGACACAGGAAGGGGAATATCACACTCTGGGGACTGTGGTGGGGTCGGGGGATGGGGGAGGGATAGCATTGGGAGATATACCTAATGCTAGATGACACGTTAGTGGGTGCAGCGCACCAGCATGGCACATGTATACATATGTAACTAACCTGCACAATGTGCACATGTACCCTAAAACTTAAAGTATAATAAAAAAAAAAAAAAAAAAAGAATTTTAGTCCTGGAAACCTACATTAGGAAGTATTCTTTTATACTCTAGCTGATTTGAACTTTGTGTGTTACCTAAACTCTTCTAATCAATCCTAAATAGAACAGAAAATATATAGCACATCAAAAACCACTTAGTGCAAATCAAATAAGTAGAAGGCTGTGAGAAAATAATGCCAAAGCAGGCAGGCCTTCTTAAGTAAACAAACAAACAAATAAGTTAATACATGCAAAAAAAGCCATGGTTAGCCATCTACAAGAACTCACATCATTGCAAGGTATGTCACACAGATACATGTAAAATGTAATGAAGTCATTTCTTGAGTAAGTCAATCTTTACACTTTTTTTTCCCTTTTGACTCTAAAAATACGTTAAATAAAAGATACAAGATAGAAATATGGGAGGTTTTTCACTGCCAAAATATAGCTGTGATGGTCATAAACACAATCATATCTTTATACAAAGAGTTATTTATAAAAGGAACAGCAAGAATTATAAGTCAGAGACCAACATGAGGTCCTCACAGGTCATGATAGTTCAATTATAATTTATTTGACCAGTTTCAGATGATAGAATATTTTAAACAAATTTATTAGAAATACTACTCCACAAAATAAAAAAAGTTGTAGTCGATATAAAAGTAGACATGGTAATGGAGTTTATCATCTTATAAGAGCACTTATTAACTAATAGGTGAAAAATATCTAACACTAGAACAAAATAATACCCAAGGGATACAGATTAGAAAAAAAAAGTAGATGGCTCTTAACCATGAGAAACAACCACATGCATTACAGTAAGAAAAGTATGAACAGATTTTTATCTAAGAAACTAGCATATCATACACTCCTGGTGGGACTGAGAACATTCTGAAATGTTCCTTTAAAGCAATTAGGGTATTGAAATTGAGTCTCTGCTTTTGACCAAGTAACCCCATTTTTAGAAATATTTCATACAGAAACTGTCAGACATGTAGTAAGAGATTTATCTTACTACCTGGATAGTCATAGTCATATTTTTATAATACCTATAATAAGAAGCAATCTAAATATGTGATAATATGTAAATTGACTAAGTAACATATGTGATAATATGTAAATTGGCTAAATATGTGATAATATGTAAATTGACTAAACAGCGTATTCATATGATGATAAGTAGTGGGGCCACAGAAGGAAAACACATACTATATATTACATGAAAAAACTAGGATATAAAAGAGTATACATGGTCTAATCCTCATTATAGTATTTTATGTTGGCATATCAATGTAAGTTTGGACATTTAAGCCCCATTGACTCACTCAAATTCTCCTTTCATAACCAAACAAAAATGGAAATCAAGTAACTTGTCTCATACCAAATATGGTATCTATATACTAGAACTTATGGAAAGAATCAGGAGAAGTTATTTGAAGATTTCTGGTCCATTAACACATGCATGAACATACACATGCACAATTCAAGATGAAAGCACATCTATACACAAGAAAAGGAAGTCATAGAGAGGTGATTTGAAGTCAGACACTCATGGATGGAGACAAAACAGAGAAACTCAGTGAAAGCAGCCAAGGAGACAATAAACAGCAGAGTGGATACTAAAGAAAGCTGAATTATTGAAATAAAAACAAATGTGAGAAGGAATGCCAAGACAAAGGCAGTGGAAAAATGGATGAGAGTAATGGAAAAAAGATGAATGAATGATAGATAGATAGATAGATGATAGATAGATAGATAGATAGATAGATAGATAGATAGATGATAGATAGATAGATAGATAGATAGATAGATAGATGATAGATAGAATGGATAAATGGATAGTAGATAGATAGGTGGATAAATAGATAACAGATAGAGATGATAGAGATGATACTTAGATAAATAGAATAGATTATAGTTATAGGTAGACAGAATAGATGATAGAAATAGAGAGATAGAGAGATAGATAGATAGATAGATAGATAGATAGATAGGCAGATATGATGGGTGGAGAGGTAGGTAGGTAGGTAGGTAGGTAGGTAGATTGATAGACAGACAGATAGACTCCTAATTTCAATGTAGGTCTAAGGAGAAACTTTGGACCAGGAGCCACAGAAGCAAACAAAGAAGAAGAAAGCTCCATAAAATTTATGAAAGACCTGAAAACTGCAGAGCAAGAGGACTTTGCCCAGGGCCAAATAATATTACTTGCACTAGCATAAGGAGTGTGCAATTTCTCCCACGCACCACAGAGCTCTGAGCAGAGGAGAAACAATTTCAAAAATTTAAGGGGAAAAGTTCATGAGGAGAAAGAGAAACATCTAAAATGGCAGGAGGAGACTTTTAGTGTTGGGGCCAGAAAGTGGGTAGTTCCTGCATCCTCTGGTCACACACAATGGAAAGAAACCACTGCCTCTGTGCATTACAATGCAAAGGGCAGGTCCAGTAGATGGCAACAATCCCCTTAGCGCCCTGCTCCCACCCCTTTGGGAATTGCTAGATCTTGCAATGGGATTCTGTCTTCTCTGCCTGGGTCACGAAGATGTTTCGTGTGGCCAGACTGAGATATTCCAGCCACTGGTCCTGATCAAGATTCTGAATTATTGAGATGATCTGGCTCCCGAGAAATATCAAGTATTCAAGAAACATATGAGATGAAACAGATTCACAATGAGCAAGGAGGCACGCTGTACTAGGCGGAAGTCTGGCTACACTAGGAAACGTGATAGAAAGGTGGTTCTGTCAGAGTCGTCTGCCATCAGCCACGTTACCTGATACTTCTCAGAGATTCAACTTCTCAGGCACCGCGTCGGACCTACTGAGTCAGAAGCCTTAGGGACAAGGTCTATTAATCTATGTTTTAAGAAGCAACTAGGGATTGTGAATAAGCCATAGATGTCACACTTGTGAAATAATTTTCCACTTATTCCTGCCATGTGCATTTATCCTATTATTTCAAGAAAAAAAAAACTAACAGCAAATGAACGAGAGCAATTCAATCCTTCCCAATGCAGGGCATAGCTCAATCTCTTCTAAATTGAGACACAAAGTCTGAATGCAAGAATTCCTGGAGTTTCTTTATATTATTCAGAGAAATGAAAAGCACAATCATTAGCTTCTACACGATACTCAATTGAATGCGTGCTATGACACTCCTAAGTTTTACTGATGTGACAGGGCTTACTTGTATTCTTCCTGAATAACAGAAAACTTCACACAGTATGGTTTCAGCAAAAGTTTCATGTCTCATCATCTAGTGTCTGTTGCACTATTTCTGAAATAGACCCGCAGGGAAGAAAGACAGGAGATTTTGCAATTTGTCATTGATACCATAGAACATGAAGTATAGTGTGAAAAATCAATTTATAGAAATCTCGCTTACAATTAGTGGATTTATCAGCCTTGGACATCCATATAGCTAAACCATAATAATCTGAAAGAGTGAGTTATGGACCTTGCCGAACTGAAATACACTTCAAATGGACATCTGGCCAAGGTTCCTGCCACTGAGAAATAAACACCCAACATATTGCTTTAAATAAATCTGAACCACTTAACCAGTAAGCAAAGGCTTTCTTTTAATAAGAGGAAGAAAAAAGAGAGGAGACCATATCTCCATGTCCAAAGCTTCAGGGGCATTATGGATACTGCCTTGTGTTAAATTTATGGGAAGAATACAGATTTCTGTTTATACAGTTAGAAACGGCCAAATACTTAAAGCATAGGTGCTACTGTTGTTGAGAAACACAGAGGTTGCATCTGTCTCCAACTGATTTTGTTTGGCTCTATGTCCCTACCCAAATTTCACGTTGAATTGTAATCCCCAGTGTTGGAGGTGGGGCCTGGTGGGAGGTGATTGGATCATGGGGGTGGTTTCTAATGGTTTAGCTCCATCCCCCTAGTGCTGTTTCATGATGGATTTCTCACGAGATCGGGAGGTTTATAAGTGTGTGGCACCTTCCCCATCACTCTCTCTTCCTCCTGCTCTGGACATGTAAAATGTGCTTGCTTCCCCTTCGCTTTCTGCCACAATTATAAGTTTCCTGAGGCCTCCCCAGCCATGCTTCTTGTAAGGCCTGTGGAACTGTGAGCCAATTAAACCTCTTTTCTTTATAAATTACCCAGTCTCAGGCAATTCTTTATAGCAGTGTGAGAACAGACTAATACACCCAGCGAACTGTCTCTGTTATAGCTAACCAAAAGTAAAGAAAGTGAGAAAATCACAATAAATTTTAAATTTTAAAATTTATTTTTAAATTGGATATTTCAGTATCCAATTCTTAAGTTTGCCATTGGTCTTAAAGGTTATACTAGAGCAAGTCTTCCCTGAGTGAGTGGTATCCACTGAAATATAGAAAGAAAAAGAAACATACAAGAAAGATATAAAGATGGTTAAATCATAAGCAATTTTCAGACCTTCATACTGGCTCTTTAGGTGATGGGAGAACCTTGAAAGATGAAGAGTGTAACAATGTTTTCTGAGCAACTCATTATAAAATGACACTGAAAGCTACAAAAACCTGAGGGGTTGGCACAAATAAAATTAGATTTAATGTGCTTATAGGTTTTAAAAATTTTATTTAAAATTCATACACTGCCATTTTCAAGATAAATGGAAACATTTACTCTTCAACTAAAATATAAAGTACAGGCCGGGCATGGTGGCTCATACCTGTAATTCCAGCACTTTGGGAGGCCGAGGCAGGTGGATCACTTAAGGTCAGGAGTTGAAGACCAGCCTGGCCAACATGTTGAAACCCTGTATCTACTAAAAATACGAAAATTATCTGGGCATGGTGGTGGGCCCCTGTAATCCCAGCTAACGGGAGGCAAAGGTTGCAGTGAGCCGAGATTGCGCCACCACACTCCAGCCTGGGTGGCAGAGCGAGACTCCATCTCCAATAAATAAATAAAGTACAGTCTGTGTATATGTAATATAAAATATACTATGTACTATTGTTTAAAGAGTCTAAATATACATGAGATGCATATGATTTCTTTTTTTCTGTATGAGTTTGACTTACTATCTTGTGACTCAGATTATTTGGAGTAGGATTGTCTTACCCATCAAGTTTGAAGACAGAGCAAATTAGTTTAAATTTTAGGCAGTGACTGGGTTTAGAACTAGATGATTATGTCTAGACAAGGTTCTGGCTCTGAGCTATGTATTTCCTGTTGTGAGATAGCAAATGTAATATTTGCCTAGATACCCTCTTTGTTGGTCCTTTAAAGAGGCAGTGGGCTGAATGATGTCCTTTTTCGTGCTTGGTGGCAGACAATACATTTTTGAGACTTTTTTTGTTTCAAAATATGCTTAGGGTCTTTGTATGACAAGTGTGAAATATTAAATTGTGGAATGTCAGAGACTAGGTGCGGTTGTGCATGCCTATAATCCCAGTGCTTTGGCAGGCTGGGGCAGGAAGATCACTTGAGCCCAGGAGGTCGAGGGTTCAGTGACCTATGATTGTGGCACTGCACTCTAGTCTGGGTTACAGAGCAAGACCTTCTTTCAGTAAATAAATAAATAAATAAATAGTCAAATAACAATAGTCCTGAATTCTACATTACTATGCTGCAGGTTGAAAAAAAAGTCCATTCAAAAGTGAATTAGGGCAGGGTGCAGTAGCTCACACCTGTAATCCCAGCACTTTGGGAGGCCGAGGTGGGCGAATCACCTGAGGTCAGGAGTTCGAGACCAGCCTGGCCAACATGGTGAAACCCTGTCTCTACTAAAAAAATACAAAAATTAGCTGGACATGGTGGTCGGATTACAAATTCCAGCTACTCGGGAGGCTGAGGCAGGAGAATTGCTTGAACCCAGGAGGTGGAGGTTGCAGTGAGCAGAGATCCTGCCACTGCACTCCAGCTTGGGCAACAGAGTGGGACTCCATCTCAAATAAAAAATAAAAAAATAAATAAATAATTACATAAGTAAATAAAGTGAACCTGTCCTTCTGCTTTAGATCTTGTCTTTAGGAAGATGAATGGGCATCTAGATTTTCTCATGTTGCTTGGCAACATATTTTTCTATTTGTGATGAACAGGACCAGCTACACAATTTGTGGGGTTCAGGAAAAGTGAAAACGAGTGGCCCAGTGTTTATAAATTAAGGACTTCAAGACCACATTAGCAGAGCATTAAACCAAGCATGAGCCCTTTGAGCTGAGGCCCTATAGGACATGGGTCTCACCCTCGTGAAGTAGGACCCACTTGATGAAGAGCAGGTGCAAGCCTGGTGAGTTTCTGAATATGCTAACCTCGGTCCCCTGCATGAGGATTAAAATAGATGCAATAAATTCTATTTGGTTCACAAAGCTGGTATGCAGTCTCTCCATTTAAAAAGGGACATGCTTCTTCACTATGTACAATTTGCCAACCTATTGTTTGAATTTTAAATCTTCTATTAACTCAGCACAATTTTGGGTATTGTCTATGTACCAGGCAATGGGTAATACCTTTGGTGTGGATGTCCTGCAAGAGTTTGTGGCTTCTCTAGGGAGACAAGGAGAGGAGGCATAAAACATGTGGTGGTGGATGCAAACTGGAGGAACACTTTCACCTGTCTGGAGGATTTGGAAGCTCTCAGGACAAGAAGAAAATTAGAGAAAGATCCAGAAGGCAAGTGTGATAAGAGAAAGAGAGATCAAAGCAACCATGGAGATAGAAATAAGCATAAAACCAAACCAGATAGGTTGTTATGTTTTTTTCTAGTAACCGGCACATATATTCAATGCATTATCACATGCTATGAGAAGGATACAGTGAGGTGCTGGGAAAAGATCGTGGAGACAGACCCAAATTGTTTTCTAGATAGCTTCAAATTAAAGTCTTAATAAAGTTTGTATTTTATCTGAAATATCACCTTTGCACATGAAGATAAAACACTCCAACATTTACCTTTTTCTCATGTAGTTTGAAGTACATGGTAAGCGCATACAATTTTTATTTGTCAATGACAAAAGCATTCTAGATAAAATAGAAATATAAATAAACTACCTTAAAAAAAGAAGTTCTACATGAACTCTGTGTTGTTCCTTTTTTTCTCTTCACTCTTCCATGTAAAATATGTTCAGCAAGGGCAATCTCCATCTGTATATCCACTTTATAAATTGTCTTCCTCTCTCCAAAATACTTTTATCCTCTCTCTTTTGGGCTTCTGAAACTTTTGATTGGTATACCATGTACATTGAGAAAAATACAAAGGCCAACATGTGCAGCTTGACGAATTTGCCTGAGAAAATTCATGTCACCAACATTCAGATCAAGAAACTGGACATTTCCAGCACCCAGTAACTTGCCCTTAACCTCTTAGAGTTACCACCCATTCCGAGCACAGGCCCACACCTGATTTTAGCAACCTTGATTAGTTTTGCCTATGTTGTGAACTTATTTAAAGAAAACGGGACAGCATGTAACCTTTTGTTTCTGGTGGCTTTTAGGTAACATTGTTTAGGGATTTATTCATATTTTTTGTGTAGTTGTAGTTTATATTTTCCTATTACTGCAGGGTATTTCCTTGTATGAATATAGCATAAACTGTTTGTCCATATTGATATCGGTGGACATTTGACTAGCTTTGGGGTTTTTTGGGAGTTAATATGTCTGTTTGGGTGAATGTATAAAGCTAATTTGTCTGGGTATGGAATTGCTGTGTCACAAGTGGTTGTATGTTTAATTTTTGTGTAAGCTACCAGTTTTTCCAAAGTAGCTGCCCAGTTTTCATTTCCAGCATACGTGAGTGTGATTTCCAGTTGCTCTACATTTTCTCCAACATTTGATATTGCCATATTTTCAAATTCTAGCCATTATGGTAGACTGTAGTTTTCATTTCTTCTCTCTGAAACTAATCAAGTTGAACACCCTTAAAAAATGTTTATCAGCCATTTGAATATTCTTTTTTTGCAGGATCTGTCTATTTTGGATTTTTCATGTGTAAAAATCTCGAGGTATCAAATATAAGCTTGTTTTTTCTCCTGGCCTTACTCCATTCATCCTTTTTACCCCAAGTATTTGGAAATGTAACAGTTTTAAAAGTAGGACTGAATGTTTAGCAAAGAACTCTTTTTCCTTTTGGAGTTTTCTCCTTGTCAACACATCACACAAATCTATGTAAATCCAGTGGCTTTTGAATTGGGAAAAAGTCTTAGGTAAGCAATAAGGCATGGGGAAAGAGTAAAGGTTTGGAAATGAAGGGCTTGTCTTGGCTCCATCATTTATTATCAGCTGTTACCTTGGGCAAGTTATTCAAACTCTCCACACCTCATTTTCCTTATCAATAAAATGATGCAAAGCGTTGCTGGAGGATTAAATGAAGTAGTATTTATAAAATTTCTTATAATGTGTATAGTTACTTATTTGGAATAGAAACTCACCAAAGTCGATGTTAGAATAGAATCTCACAAAAGCCAGTGTTGCAAAAGTTGGTGTTCTATCACATCTTGCGGCCAGTTACTATATCCTGAACTTGTATGGGATTTCTTTAAATAGTGTGTTAAGAGAGTAAAGGATGAACTTGAAATCACCATCAAGGCATTTTTAAAGAATCTACTTTTATTTCATAGCTTTCACAAATTTTGAGGATAAAAATTCCATATATTACATAAATACTACCAGTCACAAGGCCTTTAAACACTGTGATGGGACTTGCCTCGCTGGACATGAAGAAACTGCAGGAAGAATGAATAACTCCTAGAAAGCTGTATCTCTTCTTTGCTTTGTGCAAAGAGCATCTCAGAAATAGACTGAAATATTCCTGTATGGGCGGAAAACAATAATTAGAGGCATCTGGTTGGTCCGATCCCCTAGGAGCTTAAGGCTGATCCCAGCAATACTATTGCTAATTAGTAGAGTGTTATTTTTCTTCATTTGATTTGTTTCTTCATCTGATTAAAATGAAGTTGAATACATTTCGGGAGGAAAGATTTTAGTATTACCCACCTGAGTTTTAAAGGCAAGCCGGTTTAATAAAGTTCCCTATTTTAGGAAAACCTGAATAACCTAAGCAGCATTTGAGAGGTTGCTCTAGATTTTTCGATTTGGCATTTCTTGTCTACTCCCTGGAGGGACCAGCAGGGGGCACGGTGCAGAGTCAAAGCCAGAAATGGCAGGAACAGTTCAGAAGCTTGATTGGAAGAGAGCCATCCCCAAACCCACCCCTCTTGTGTCTGTGCCCTGCATATTAGTTTCCTTTAAGCTCTTTCTCTATATTTGACGGTAAGTTAGAATTATAAGGAAACAGATAAAGTTGGAGGAATGAATCAAAAATATGACTAGTCTCAAAAAAAGCTTTCAAATAATAAGAGTAAAAACCTGTCTAGAAGTGTTGCAAAGAATGAAGCCATTCTTTTCCACTTTCCCCTCAACCGTCTTTCAGCCACTTTCAAATGAAACGTTTATGTCAGAAACCAGTTTACTCTTACAAAAGTAACCTTTTTTGTAGGCAAAAACATACTATAACTCCTTTTAAAACTTACCCTGAAAAGCTGAGGCCAAAGTTGTATAAAGGCAAGGATGGCCTGATAAAACATTAGTAATGCATAAACAGTATCCTTTAGAGATGTATCCCAATTTTGAGTCCAATATTCATTTCACATGAATGTAAAGAGCACTTTAATTTTTAATTTAAGAAATTCTGTAGTATTTCAAGGGCTAAAGTAGAACTTTGCAATCACACCTATTCAATATAGAACAGAGTTAACATTACTAGTACAAGTGCTCTGGATACTTTACATGAATAGCTCTATGATTCATACTAAACTTGATAAACACCATAATGGTCTAGGACTGAATTATTATTGCTGAACTTGGAATGAAAAGAAAAGGAAGATTAACCTGCCACTTCAGGAATATCACCCTTCTATTTTGTTTTGCTTTCAGACTGAGGTCATTTAAGTCACTTAGGAATTCCTTGATGTTGATGAGAGCAGTCATCTAGGCTTACTTTTTGCATGAAAGGATACCATATGCCAACTGGGGTTGGACTTTCCATGTAGTTGCATGTGTTGTCAAATTATTTTTAACCTCACACATAAATATTGGACCAAAGAAAACCCGATGTGCAAGTTTTCTTGCCTGCACCATGTAAGACGTCCCTTTGCTCTTCCTTCGTCTTCCACCATGTATGTGAGGCCTCCCCCTCCATGTGGAACTGTAAGTCCATTAAACTTCTATCTTTTGTGAATTACCCAGTCTTGGATATGTCTTTATTAGCAGCATGAGAACAGCCTAATACACTGTAAAACAGGGATGACTCCTTAGGGAGGTGGTAAAATTAAATACGGCAATGGTCTATAAACATGATCTGTGATTTTCACCACTTAAATTGGGTCACACCAACTATGATATCCTCAGAGCTTTTAATGGAAATATATCTCTTCTCCAATTAGCAAGTTAATGGTTTTGCTGTGCCATTCTTCTGGTGAAAAACATAAAAATAAATTAATTGTAATTCTCCCATGTTTCTTCATACTCTATTAAG
The DNA here is from genome assembly GCF_000001405.40 of Homo sapiens. Classification (NCBI taxonomy): domain Eukaryota; kingdom Metazoa; phylum Chordata; class Mammalia; order Primates; family Hominidae; genus Homo; species Homo sapiens. Next base: position 6,573,554 of record NC_000023.11, on the reverse strand, counting down.
CCTTGCAGATACAACAGGAACATGCCTTAAACTTGCATAGAACGTACAACGCATTGGAGTGGCGGAGATCAGCCACGACACAGATAACTATGCAAATCAATAACCAATTTTAATAGGGGCAACAGTGATTCAGAAGAATATTTTAGAGGTGAGAAAGAAGGGATCAGAGGTGGCAGGTGGCACTGCAGTTTAAAACGACACTTATCAAATAGACACATCCCGTTTTTACCCATTCATGCTTTATTAATGGATATCACTAGGTATTGATTTAAAAGACATATTAAAATTATCTAGTGGAGTCATTGAAAGCTTATTATCTAATTTCCTAGATAACATCAACTGGTGGAAAATAAAGCATAAAATGATAGATAAATAAATCCCAAATTTCTGATGTATTTGGGATGAAGAGGTAGCTACAACAATGACCTAAATATCCACATTGAGTTTAGACACTGGATCGAGAAATGACACACAAGTTTTATAGAAAAACAATCAAAGATGCAAAATTGTAAAGAATGAGCGATCATATCCCACCCTCTAATTTTCTTAAATTTTGGAATCAGCATCCTTTATTATTCAGCATGCTCTATGTCCGTCTAGTGAGCCAAAAGCCATTTCTACTTTTATAGATGTGAGGCCATTTTTACTCTTTATTTTTCAGGCATTAAAATGGATTAGTGAAATCTAAGCAGTCCATTTCCAGGTCAGTCCTTACATTATGTTTTTCACAGGAGGGTTTTTTTTTCCCAGCAAACCCAGGCAAGGTAAGAAAACTAGTACACCCCAGGACCACTCAGTTATCTTTAAAAAACCCTACAGTAGATAAAGTGTTCCAGAACACTGTATCTGCTACCTTTCACGACAATGCCCAACACTGAATATTGACTGCCTTATGAAACCAACAAAAACTTATTCATGATAAATTGCCACCTACATTTGTTTCATATTAGAAGGGTTTTTTGTTTGTTTGTTTCTTTCTTTCTTTTAGAGATGGGGTCTTTCTCTGTCACCCAGGCTAGAGTGCAATGGTGTGATCATAGAATCACACCTGAGCTCACTACAGACTCAATCTCCTGGGCTTAAGTTATCTTCCTACCTCAGCCTCCCAAGTAGCTGGGACTACAGGTGAGCACCACCACATCTGACTAATTTTTTAAAAGAATTTTCTTTTTTGGTAGAGATAGAATGTCACTATGTTGCCCAGGCTGGTCTTGAACTCCAGGGCTCAAGCAGCCCTCCCACTTTGGCTTCCCAAGGTGCTGGAATTAGAGGCAAGAGCCACTGCACCGAGACATACAGGTTTTCTTTCATCCTCCAAGTTAAAAAAATTGAAAGCAAAAATTCTGAATTTAATATGTTCTTTTCTAAAAAGTATCCCATTATGGTAATTCTAATATTGATGGCTTAAAAGCAATCCTAACTGTTATGATTCTCCAACTAATTATACTTTATTCATTCCTTGGAGTTAGAACAATTTTTTTTTCTGTGTTATATTCAGACTGGGTGATCACTGGGACTAACTAGTATTCTTTTGAGTTCTGAAGAATGAGTTCAGCAGTTTAAATTCAGTATTAAAGAGTCTACTCCACCTGAAGCATTAAAGGGACCCATGATGAAACATTGGGGCACCCCAGGAATGTGCAAATAAATCCCTGATTTCAAGGTTCCAATGATCCAATCATGTTGTGTTTAGAATAATCAAAAAGTAGGCTGTTGTGCCCAAATAAACATAAGTAAAATTTTCAGTGTCTTCAAATACATTTCTTCAAAATGTCTTTGAGGTTTACACACCTTTTTCTATCAGATTAAATGTAATTAATTTCATTAGTTCAAAAGCCTTCATGAAAAATATAAAAAGAACCCAAGAGAAGTCCGAACAAGAAAAAGTACAAATGCCTTTCTTAATGAGCAAAGTGAGAACAAAAGCCAATCTCTAGGCTCTGTGAGGTCAGAAACAGGGTTTGTCTTGTTCTATTCCTGGTGCCTGGTGCCTGCCTCTTAGATGAACAAATGAATAAACATAAAGTACCCCACACTGTGGGGCTCATTCGAGGAATTTCAGTTCTGAAACTGCTGACCCTAAAATCAGAACCTCTCTGCCAAAGGTTGATGCCCAGTGCTGAAGAAGAAATGTCTTTTTTAATATTATCAAATTTAAAAATTATTAGGAGACTTAAAACTGTTTCATTCTGTAAAATATAAGAATGGATCAATATTTATTAATGTCATTCTCCACAATAATAAATCAGAGAAGATATAAACCATGTGATCTTTGTGTGCCAAAAGGAATCTGATAAAACTCCATGTGTATTCTGATAAAAATGAGTAATAAAAATGGACTGATAATTTTGTTATAAAAATACACATTTTAAGCCATGAACCAGCACCTTAATTCATATGAAAACATTAGAAAAAAATCCTATTAAAGTCAGTGCAAGATAAGGATGCCCATTGTCCTTGTAATAATTTAATGTTGTTCTGAAATTACTAGTCAATTTAGTGGGAGAAAAGAGAGAAATATGGAAGGAATATTAGGAGAGAAGAGACGGAATAATTTGTAGATATGAGTCTATAACTGAAAAATATCTAGACTGTTATTCCAAAACCATTGGAAACAAGTAAATATATACATATATACAATTTGTATTATATTATAAATATAATATATAATTATATAACATAAATTATGTATAATATAAATTATGTATTTATATATAATACATAATACACCCAAATATATATGTTTATGAATTTAAAGAAGTATATGAACTTTATAGAAGTTCATACATATTAAGTTCATATGAAAAAAAAGAATTACCAAAACATTTCTGAAAGCATTGAGATAGGACTGGTGTATGTAATATGGAAGCATGGTATTAAGCAATATTAATAAAAATTTCATATAGATGTGTAATTAGATCTATAGAGGAATGGAGAATCCTGAAACTGCCTTCAGTATGCTTCAAAATTTTATTTTTAGTAAAGATAGCAATTCAAACCAACTTGGAAAACATGGATTTGTCCATCTATGTATTGAGTCAAATAAGTAACAATTTGGGAAAAAAGAAAAAAAGGGTAAGTTCACTTGTTCCAGTAAAGATAATTATACATAGTCCAAAGATTTAAGCGTTAAAGAAGGAAAAAGTCCATTCAGACTAGAAGAGATAAGATGAAATTTAAGAGTATCACAGGCATTTCTGATACTCAGAATGGTATTTCAGATACCATTTTTCTTTATGTTATCTGAATTTCTGCTTTAGCAGAAAAATTGATAAATTTGATGATATAAATTTGAAAAACAATAATTGCTGCCCAAAACAGGAAAAGTCAAAATAAATCAATGCAAGATATTATATATAGTGTATATATATATGTGTGTATGTGTGCGTGTGTGTCCCATATATATATATATGCCTAAATTTGCTTAGCAGTGAAAGAGTTTTTACAGTTTACTGAGAGACCAAAATCCTGGCAGAAAGAATGGACAAAAGATAGGAACAGATATTTCACAGAAAAATAAACCGTTTACTTATAAACATACGAAAAGTTGCTCAATAATATTCATAATATTAATTGGCAAATTAAAACAGCAAAAATTCTTCTTAGCCTGTTGTTTCAAAAGTTTGAAAATATTTACATTAATGGCAAAGATAACAGGCTCACTCATATGGCTGTTGGTCACGATGTAAACTGGTTCAACCTCTTTGGAAAAAATTTGATATGGCAATTGAAAATCTCAATATGTAACTACCCATATATTCAAATATGCACAAAGCCCTACAGACACAAAGGTTCATTTTGACGTTATTTATAAAAGGCTGGAAACAACCCAAGTGGACATAATCGGGGACTAGTAAAATAGAGTACTCTCGTACAAAGGATTACTTTGATGCTATAATGTATGTGTGAAGATATGAAAAGGTTTTCAAGATAAGCTATTGAAATAAAAAATACGGTACAGAAGATTGTATATGTGTCTCCAATTGTGAAAAGATAACATGCATAAATATATATATAAATACACACAGACACGTAGATACATATATACATACACATTCATATACACAACTAAACACAGATGTCTGTTCACCAGAACAATACACAAAGGGTATAGAAAGAGTTGTTCATCTGGATTTTGACAGTATTATTCTCCATTGCACACTGCTTTTTTCCCTTGAGATTTTCCTCCCATGTATGTGCCTGACTTTTAATTTAAATTTAAAAGCAAGTTAAAATTAAAACCCAACGAAAGCAGAAAAAATAGATAAAAGGTATTTGTCACCTTACTGCTCTGATTGTTTTTTTTAATAGCTTTTTAAATTTTTTAAACCCAATATCATTCTCTTTTGAGAGGCAAACAAAAGCTGACAACCTCTGGGATATTTTTCCAAATAAACACAGAATAGTTACTGAAGTATAAACTAAAATCAATCTCACTTTTGTCCTGAGTGAATTCATAATTTAATATTTCTTTGACAACTCAGGAGATAGATTAGAAACTTTCAGTGTCTTGTACTTGGTCTTATGACTGTCAATTATTGTTGTGCATTAGATGCGCTGAAGTCTATGTTAAAAATGTTAAGAGTACCTTTTGAAGGAATGCTAATGAAAGCAGCACTTCTTGATGTTATCTATAGCTTTTTATATTTTCATTGATATTATATTTTTACTTTATCTCCCTCATCACAGAGGATATGTTATATCCGTATATCTATGTATCTCTCTCTCTCTTTCTCTTTCTCTAATCTCTATATAATTATATTCATTGTAAGACGCAATATTTGGGAATGAAATATATAACAGACACATACCTAACAATTTTAAAACAACATTCTTGGTAACAACGATTTCCTCAGTCTAAAAATAAAATCTGATGCTCACTGGTAGGAATTTTTCAAGCCATAAAAAGTCGCATCTGACTCATTTGAGTTCTGTGAAGAATGGTACTATAGAAATACAAAATACTACTATCGTACTACAGCACCAGGTTGTCAGTCTGGTAACTTCACTACCCTCACCTTTATAAGCCTATCGTTTGCAAACATCCGCTTCCTGCCTGCTTTCTCCTCCTAACACAGAGCTTTACGACATCACATTAAATATCCGTGTAGCTCCACCACAAGATGGGCAGATGAGAAATTAAAGAATTAAAACTGTCCTGCATTTTACTAGCATCTATATCAACTGCAATAAACATGTGTGCAGGCTTCTTGACGATGGTTGCTTCTGCGATAATGGTTCTTAGAGCTTGGCAGCACTTGCTGACTCTGCTAAGTAAATGACAAATGGAAAGACGGAGAATGCAAGTGAGGAGGTGGTGGGGGTGGATTAGACTCTGTGACAGTGGCATGCATTTTATATTTAGGTCACTTGTCAGGAACATAAATCAGACCACTCATTTCCCTATGTTTAGATGAGGGACCATCAGCTCTTCTAGGTTTGGCTGCACTTGGAGGCTGTGCAAACAGATCCTGAGACATCTTTGATGAGGGAGCATAGTAGAACACACCTGGCTGTTGGAGATGGGGAGATGCCAGCAGGTGAGGCATCAGGACCACATGGGAGAATGTAGGGAGACCCCCTGAAACTATTGCTATGGAATAAAAGATGAAATGCTCCTGAGTATTGTAAATACAAAATTGCATGCAGGATTGTGTAAAGACAATGCCAGGTTGGACTGCCAGAACGAGCCAACAGTGCGTGATGTGCTTCCCCCTGCAGAGAGCCTATGAATGGACGTGCAGTCAGGGAGGTTTCACATCACCAAGATTCCTATCCCAGAAAAGCAGATGTTCATAGCTCTGGGAATGGAATGCGACCCTTGTGGAGAGCCTATAAATGGAAGCATGGGGGGCGCCTGTCCATATGGATAAGATAGGGCTATAAACGCCCTCATCTTGCCACAGCTCTTCTAGGCCCCTTTAGGGTTAAAGCATACTCCCTTCTGAGAATTTCTGGTCTAACCAGTTGTTTAGCTTCACGTCCTGTTTCCATGGATTGTTTGTAACCAGCTTTTGTTGCAATTGTTACTGCTGATTAATATCTTGCTAATCATAGGTTATGGAAGGACTGTGTTTCTGTTCTAAGGCTCTGTTAGAAATTACTGACGCACACACTATATTGTAAATTCTTATCTCTGTATGCTGTACTTCTACATACAAATGTACTGTACTTCTACATACAAATGTTATGTTGAAGAATTACTTCATCCCCATGTGACCATCTCACCTCATAATCAAATGACCCTAAATCCCTCACTAACCTACCCCCGCCCTCACTAAACTTAATAATAAATGCTGGTATATCCAGTGCATGGTTGGCACCGTGGAAGCATAAGGCGGTGACCCCCCTGGACCCAGCTTTCACTATATTGTGTGTCTCTATTATTTCTCAACCTGCCGATCCACCTAGGAGCAGAGGGAGAGCCCCGTTGCATTGCGGGCTGCTGGCCAGATCCCGCAATAGGGGAAGGCTAGGGGCACCAGGTGGAGGAGGAGGGTACTGGGATAATAAGTTTTAATTGTTTTTCATTCTTTGTGTGTTTTTTTTCCGCATTATTATTTTTTTTTAGGGACTGTTTTTTAAATTTTAGGTTTGAAAGTGCATGTGAAGGTTTGTTGCATGGAGGTATTGTGTAATGGTGGGATATGGGCTTCTAGTGAACCCATCACCCAACAAAGTAATAAACATAGTACCCAATAAGTAGTTTTTAAATCCTCGCTCCCTCCCACTCTCCCTTGGTTTGGAGTCCCCAGTGCCTATCGTTTCCATCTTTATGACCATATGCACCTACTGTTTAGCTCTCACCTATATGAGAGAACATGTGATGTTTGATTTTCTGAGTTATTTTACTTCAGATAATGGCTAAGTCCATCTATGTTGCTGTGAAACACATGATTTCATTCTTTAAATGGCAGCGTAGTATTCCATGGTGTAAAAAAAAAAAATCCCATGTTCATGGATAGGAAGAATCAATATTGTCAAAATGACCATACTGCCCAAAGCAATCTACATATTCAACACAATTCCTATCAAATTACCAACATCATTCTTCACATAATTAGAAAAAACAATTCTAAAATTCATATGGGACCGAAAAAGAGGCTGAATAACCAAAGTAATTGTAAGCAGAAAGTACAAAGCTGGAGGAACCGTATTACCCAACTTCAAATTATACTGCAAGGCTATAGTAACCGAAGCAGAATGGTACTGGTAGAAAAATAGACATATAGATAAATGGAATAGAGACCCAAGATATAAAACCACACACCTACAATCATCTGATCTTTTGCAATGACAACAAAAGTAAATGGGGAAAGGACACCTTATTCAATAACTGGTGCTGAGAAAACTGGCTAGTGATATACAGAAGAATGAAACTAGACCCCTGTTTGTTACCATATTCAGGAACTTTTAAAAAGTAACACAGAGATGTTTGAGAGGAAGAGACTGATGGAAGGACATCTCTGTTGCAAATGTCTCTGAATGAGGCAAAGGAAAACTGTTCAAAGGCAGAAGTAGTAAGAATGTAGAAAAGAGGCTCAATCTGTGAAACCCATGAAAGGAACTAAAACAATCTCCTAGGAATGCCAGATATCTTTCATTCAGATGCAAAACCAAGACTGAAGTCTTATGGGAGAGCCTGATCCTGCACACAAGAACAGACATTGTAGAGCCAAGAGCAACTATCTCAGCTGCCCCTTTGCTGAAATCTCTGCTTATTGATTCAACTCCTTCCCAACATAAAGCCACCTCCGACCTGTTAGACACCAGCAGGTGTCTAAATTTCGACATGCAGCTTCAGAAAAGCATAAACATGCCTGTCTCACTCCTTGTAAAGGCTGATGAAAATATTTGCAAGCTATCCAAAAATTGAGAGAAGCCAGCTCAAAAAGCCAACTCTATTTTTCCCTCTATTATTACAAAATGGAGGAAAAACATTTATGTGGACACGTGTTTTTTAAAATATATTTTTGTTGGTATACAGTAGTTGTATGTATTTTGGGGGTAAATGTGAGATTTTGATACCTGTATACAATGTGTAATGATCAAATCAGGGTGATTAGCGTTTCTATCACTTTAAATGCTTGTCTTATTTTGTGTGTCAGGAACATTTCAATCCTTTTCTTCTAGCAATTTAAAAATATGCAATAAATTTGTGTCAATTATACTTTCCTTATCTGGTATCAAATACTAGAACTTATTCCTTCCATCTAACTGTATTTTTGTACCCATTAACCAACTTCTGTTTATTCCCTCCTCCCCACTACCCTTCCCAGCCTCTGGTATCTGTCATTCTATTCTCTACCTCCATGAGATCCACTTCCTCGGCTCTCACATGTGATTGTGACCATGCGATATTTGTCTTTCTGTGCCTGGCTTATTTCCCTTAACATAATGACCTCCAGTTCCATCCATGTTGCTGCAAATGACAGGATTTCATTTTTATATGGTAAAATAATATTTCATTATGTATATATACATATATATCACATTTTCTTTATCCATTCATTCATTGATGGACATTTAGGTTGATTTTACACATTTTCTATTGTGAACCCTGCTGCAAAAAACATGACAGTACAGATATTCCTCTAATATACTGATCTCCTTTCCTTAGGGTAAATACCTAACATTGGGATTGCTAGATCATATGGTAGTCCTAATTATAGCTTTTTGAGGAACCTCCATATGGTTCTCCATAGCAGCTGTACTATTTTACATTCCCACCAACAGAACATAAGAGCTCCCTTTTTCCACATCCTTTCTAGGATCTGTTATTTCTTGTCTTTTTGATAATAGACATTTTAACTGGGGTGAGGTGATATCTCACTGTGGTTTTGATGATGCTTGTCTTATTGTCACAGAGAAACTTCTTGAAAGTGTTGTCTTTAGTCAGTGTGTGAATTTCTCAAATTGCCAATCACATCCACAACCATGATCATGTTCCCTGTCTTTAGCTCAACATCCTATTGAAATTGATTTCTAACTTGGCTTTAGCCATACTGGCTTTTTAATGTCTCAGAACACACTCACCTTTTCTGACGTGCTGGGCTTTTGTTTGCCATCCTGGATCCCTCTCTTTTCCTTTTCCGTCTGATATTCTCTGATCCCTCAAGGCCCACACCCAATGTACCACCTCTATGAAGGTACCCAGGCTCCCCTAGGAGAAGTAAATCCTTGTCCTGGCTCCTAGAGGCTAGGGTTGCCCCATTATTAAATTGTACAGTATTGTAGTGTGTATGATGGGATTGTTTGTTTTGACTTGTGTTGAGTTAACTGGGCTATGGGTTGCCCAGGTTGAACATTATTTCTGTGTGTGTCTGTGAGGGTGTATTAGTCAGGGTACTCCAGAGAAACAGAGCCAATAAGAGATAGATAAATAGATAGATAGATAGATAGATAGATAGATAGATAGATAGATAGATGTAGAGATAGGTAGATGTAGTGATAGATAGAAAGATACATATTAATAGATATAGAAATAGATACAGAGATAGGTACAGATAGACAGTGTATTAGTCCAATTCACCGAGAGCCTGAATAGTACAAAAGGAGGAGGAATTAGGAATCATCCCTTTTTTTCTGACTTACTGCTTGAGGTAGGACATCCCATCTCACCTTCTCTTGCTCTTGGGCTGGTTGACACTCCTTGGCTCTTGACTGTCCTGGTTCCCAGACCTTCAAACTCAGAATGAATTACAAGACCAGGTTTCCTGAGTCTCCAGCTTGCAGATGGCAGGTCATGGGAATTCTCAGCCTTCATAATTGCATGAGCCAATTTATCATAAATCTGTCATTTATCCATCTACATATCTATATCTGTCTATCCATCTATCTATCTATAGCTATCTGTATCTATATCTATATCTCTATATATCTCTATGTCTATCTATGCCTCTATATCTATTTAAATTTATCTATCTCTATATCTATGTCTTTATATCTATCTGATATGGTTTGACTCTGTGTCCCCACCCAAATCCCATCTTGAATTGTAATCCCCATGTGTTGAGGGAGGGTCCTGGTGGGAGGTGATTAGATTATGAGGGCAGTTTCTCCCATGCTGTCCTTGTGATTGTGAGTGAGTTCTCATGAGAGCTGATGGTTTTAAAGTGTAGCACTTCCCCTTTGCTTGCTCTCTGTGTCCTGTCACCGTGTAAGACATGCCTTGCTTCCCCTTTGCCTTCCGCCACGGTTGTAAGTTTCCTGAGGCCTCCCCAGCCATGCAGAACTGTGAGCCAATTATACCTCTTTTCTCTATAAATTACCCAGTATCAGGTAGTATCTTTATAGCGTGTGAAAACAGACTAATACACTATCTATCTATACCTATCTCTACATCTGTTTATATCTATCTATCTCAATGTCTAATTATCTCCCTATCATCTATCTATCTATCTATCTATCTTTTTATTGGCTCTGTTTCTCTGGAGTACCCTGACTAATACATGTGGTTGCACATCTACTTTCTCTGCTGAACTTCAAGTGTTGCATGAGCATTTTACTTTGCTTTTTATCCCCAGGCCCTATCATAGAATTGAAGCTCTTTAAAAGTTTATTCAAACAAAACAAATTTAAAAAACCAAAATTTAAAAACTGAATTAATATTTGCAAGATGTGATGAACCTCCAATTCATATTAGATTTATTACAAGCATTATATTAGTTAAGGTTTTCATTAATTTTGTTGTGCTGTTTCCCCCACTGTGTGTCAGAATTATCAAAACTGAAGTGCAGCAGAGTTTCTCGAGATCAACACTATTGACACTTGAGGCCAGACAATTTTTGGTTTTGGAGGTCTGCTATGAGCATTGTAGGATGTTTAGCACCATCCCTGGCTTTTACCCAGTAGTTCCTTTTCTCCTCAACTGTGACAATCAAAAATATTGTCTCCAGACATTGCTAAGCATCTCCTGGAGAAGTGGTACAAGATCACCCCCAAGTTGAGAACTACTAAGTACCACTAAGTATCTTGTACCACTTATCTTTCTTCTCTTCCAGAGGAATGAGAAAGGAATAGAATTAAACAGAGACAAACATAATAAAGACATTTCCAACCAATGGGCCTTGTTTGGGATTCAGGCTCAGAACATGGGCACATATCATACAAAAGCTTGGTTTGGAGTCAGCAACTGGGGAGTGGAATGGTTTAGGTGCTCTTTAGTCTTGACTGTATGGCCCATTGTGCACACATCTCCCTCCTGAATGGTCCTAAATGTTCTAGGGTCTGAATTCTGTCTTCTTCACATCTATATTTTTGTACAAGTCATACAACAATGCTTTGAACATGAATTGGATTAACAGCCTTGTCAGTCTTAAAGGTCAGATTTACTTTCATTTGAATTAGAGGTATTACTGACAAGCAACAACAAAACATTTTTCTTAGAAATCACATAATTTCTTAGAAATGGTACATCATATATTTACCATTCTCGCTTTAATGGGCAATGAGAGAGATTTACTGTAAAGAATTGGTTCATATGATTGTGGAGGCCGTGAAGTCCCAAGATCTGCAGTGGGAAAGCTGGAAAGCCAGGGGAGCCCATGATGTGAGTTCTGGTCTGAAGGCCTGAAACCCAGGAGAGCCAAGGGTATGAGTTCCAGTCTAAGTCTGAAGGCCTGAGACCCAGGAGAGGTGTTGGTGTGAGTTCTGGTCTGAGTCTGCAGGCCTGAGACCCAGAAGAGCTGAGAGTGTGAGTTCCAGTCTGATTCTAAAGGCCGAAGACCTAGGAGAGCCAAGGATGTGAGTTTCAGTCTGAGTTTGAAGGCCCGAGACCCAGGAGAGCTAAGGGTGTGAGTTCTGGTCTGAGTCTGCAGGCCTGAGACCCAGAAGAGCTGAGAGTGTGAGTTCCAGTCTGATTCTAAAGGCCGAAGACCCAGGAGAGCCAAGGATGTGAGTTTCAGTCTGAGTTTGAAGGCCCGAGACCCAGGAGAGCTAAGGGTGTGAGTTCCAGTCTAAGTCTGAAGGTCTGAGACCCAGAAGAGCTGAGGATGTGAGTTCCAGTTTGAGTCTGAAGGCTTGAGACCCAGAAAAGCTGAGGGTGTGAGTGCCAATCTGAAGGCCTGATACCCAAAAGAGCCAATGGTGTGAGTTCCAGCTGAGTCTGAAGGCCTGAGACCCAGGAGAGCTGAGGGTGTGAGTTTCAGTCTAAGTCTAAAGGCCTGAGGCTCAGGAAAACCGATGGTATGAGTTCCAGCCTGAAGGCATGAGACTCAAGAGAGCCAATGGTGTGAATCCCAGTCTTTTGGCTAGAGACCCTGGAGAGCTGAGGGTGCAAGGTCCAGTGTGAATCCAAAGGTCTAAGGATCAGTAGAGTCAACAATGTTATTTTTAGTCCAAGATCAAGTCTGAAGACAGGAGAGGACCAGTGCCTTAGCTCTAAGACCGTCAGGCAGAGAGAAATAATTCTATCTTACTCAGTCTTTTATTGTATTCAGGTCTTCCATGGGTCAGATGATGTGTACCCACAGCAGGGAAGATAATATGCTTTACCCAATGTACCAGTTCAATGCTAATTTCAGCCAGAAACACCCTCGGAGACACACCCAGAATAATGTTTAATCAAATATCTGGGCACTCTATGTCCTTGTCAAATTATTGCACACAAGTAACTGTTGTAGACTTTATATACCCTTTTAATACTTTTACATTTTTATAGGGAGAAAATTTACATTATTTGTGACAATAAAAGAGAAATCACTGGGGTATGAAATCTTTAAACCATTTAAAATCCTCAAATTATTCTATTTGAAACTTGTTCCCTAAATTTGCAAAATGACAAATTCTGACTATGATTTGCAGAGATCTTGCTGTTGTTCTCATGCACATTTGAAGGTATTATTAATTAGAAGGATAAGCAAAGATCATAGTGTGGCTGTACAAGCCATATGGCTAACCACTTAAAAAGAAATCTCTTCCCTCATCCCCCATCCTATACCCATGAATATCTATATAATATGTACATAGATGCAGACATATATACTGTCATACAGACTTCACACGGGCACACACATACATATATCTGAAAAATGGAATAAATGAAATTAAAAAGGTTTTCACCAGGTGCGGTGACTCATGCCTGTAATCCCAGCATTTTGGGAGGCCGAGGCGGGCAGATCACTTGAAGTCAGGAGTTTCAGACCAGCCTGGCCAACATGGTGAGACTGCATCTCTACTAAACATACGAAAAATTAGCTGGGCATGGTGGTAGGTGCTTGTAATCCCAGCTACTTAGGAGGCGGAGGCAGGAGAATTCCTTGAACCCAGGAGGTGGAGGTTGCAGTGAGCTGAGATCCCGCCATTGCACTCCAGCCTGGGTGACAGAGAGAAACTCCATCTCAAAAAAAAAAATTAAAAAATTAAAAGAGTTTTATAGAAGTTCCTTGAAAACAAATGCAATGTGCTAACTCAACATATTTTTTAAAATAAAAATATGATTAATGTAAATTTGCCTAACAAAATTCAAAAACCCTAATTATTTCCCATTTATGAGATGAGAAATGTTGGTCTCAAAAGTGTAACTCTCCTTTTCCTTGTACTCTTCAAACATATTTTCAATTGACAGAGGATTTTATGCCAATTCCATTAAATATTGCAAATTTGTCAGATGAAACGATAGACTTGTCATGATATTTTATTGTAATTTTACAAAACATTCAGACCAATTCACTTGAAATCGTGAGACAAAACACATGCACACATACACACATATACACACATCTAGGTATTTGAAATATTCCTATTTGAGAGCCATCAGTATATGTAGAAGCCAAAATTTGTTATAACTCAATATTCCTATAAACTACCATTTTTATTCTTGGATTAGAAACAATTCTATTTTAACGGAGTCTTCAATATGTGATTTTTTTTTTCCTTTGGAGAAATCATTTCTACTGGTGATAAGTACTCTGCTGTTATGTGGTACCTTAAATAACTTAGAACTATCAAGTTTGAAACCCTGACTTTTAAAAGATCATTTCAGGCCATCAGATAGCAATGCAGATTCTATGAAAATGTTTGTTGGGAGACTATCAATCACACCGGTGTTCAGAGTGTATCAGGAATGGTGACGTGCTTTCTATTACTGGACTCCTCATTTGTGTGCATTTGCCCTTCACACTCTCCTTATTCTAAAAAGCCTTTTATAAGTCTTGAAGCTCTTCACCTTTTTTAACCCAGGGCTGTTTCTCCAGATTTGCAGCGTAAGTGATGCAGCAGAAGGTCAGTGATGCTCGAGTAGATCTTCTGCCCTGAACTCTACCCTGTTACCACTTGAGTGAATTAAGTTGCCTACAACGATGGTCCCTCTAGAACTAGTGATTCAGGGATCTCAATCACAAGAAGTATAATTAGATTTACCTGGGATGGTGATTCTGATGTGCGGCCAAGATAAGGGATCTACCACCATGGAGGAAGAGCAATTAAACAATGGCTAGTGGGCCAAATCTGTCTGGCCATCTGTTCATTTAGGGCCCATTGGCTAAGAATACATTTTCATGTTTTTTAAATGACTGGGAAAAGAATCAAAAGGAGGCTTATGTTTCATGACAATAAAAATTATACGATATCCAAATTTCAGTGTGCATAAATGGGAAAACTACCATATTCATTCATTTTCATATTGCCTGTAGCTGCCTTCTCCATATGACAGCAAGGTTGAGTAGCTGCAGCAGAGACTGTGGGGTCCAGAAAGCTGAACACATTATCTGGCTCTTTCCTCCAAACATCTGCCAACTCCTGCACTAGAGGAAACCTTAACTTAACCCTTTGACTTTTAACCCTTTGACTCTTAACCCTTTGACTCTCTCCTTAATACACAGAATAAACACAAAATTCCCAGCATCAAACGATAAAATAATAAACAGATGTGTTCTAGTCATAAGAATTATTGAAGTCCAAGCATATAGGAAACTGGAGATAGCATCCACGCTCAAAAGTACACTCCCCAAAGCTGAAGGTTCCAAGCTTAGCAAACAGCCCTATAGTGAGACTTCATCCATGCTCAAGGTCTTCTTACCTCTCACTCTCAAGGTTTTGTGCATAGTGTAGGGGGCATCTGCTCATGGCTTCTCCTGCTTTCCTAAATATTTTGGTTGCTACATGGTTCTGAAGAAGATCACCATGGCCCTGGATTTCCAGGTTGAGTATAGGCAATGTAGATAAATTGTATCATAACATTATCTCCCCCTGAGCTCTCTGATTGGCCGGGAATGTTGGGGTAAGTGAACTCATGCCTCTTTTCTGGACGTGAATCAAGAAGCAGTGAAATTGGAAGTGACCTTAGGCCATCAATGGAGTCAACTTTAAGATGAATGAGACAACAGGCAGGCCAGTGTGAGGAGAAAAAACAAGTGCTTGGTTCATAAAGGAGTTGCTAGATGAAGTTTCTCCAAAGTATGCCCAAACTCTGAACTTTCCATTTAGAGTTGTCAGAACTAGTAAATGATACAGGACGACCAGCTATATTCAAATTTTAGATAAACAACAAAAAACTCTTTAGTATAAGTATTATAAAAATAAGGAACTCAAAATTAAAGCTGTTGGAACTTTAATTTTGTTTTAGACGTAAAGGAATGTAATTATGAGAACTGAGTAACCTGACAGACAGCTGTAACCTACGCAGCTGCAACATTTGTTCCGCTGATTATGAAATAGCCTTTGCTTTACCTACATTGTTTTGTAAAATGTTGTGAAAGGCTAAAGGGCACCAGGGAAGATCCCTTTCCCACTGCACTGTTGATTTTCATTATGGATTAACTTCTCTCTTACTTCTCATACAGAAAGACCTCACAATTACCACATTGTCTAAGATGAAATATTAAATATATTTTTTAATTGGAAAAGGAAAATAAAACAGCTGTAATTAATCAAATTGCTGAAACTCATAAACTAGCCTTGTAGAAAAACTATTGTAATCCTGTTCAATTTTTTTTTGTTTTCTCCCCATATAAGCAAGACCTTAGCGTTCCCGTTTAGAAGCAATGATCCCATTTCTTCAGAATCTGTGTTACCTGAATGGCTGTTCTTAGCTTTGCAACTGAATAAACTCTTTTATACTGGATTCTGAGCCTTTTGATGATTTTAGGTTGACAGTATGTTGTATGATAGTGTGTATGTACATGTGTATATATGTATATGTGCATATATGTATATATATGTGCGTGTGTACACTAAACTCTTCTTTTTTCCCCTACTGCCAGTTCTCATTTATTTGGATAACATCTTGAACATCTTGTTACTACCTGTTATTACTGTTCAGAAGTTTGGCAGCAAAAGCAGATATTGAACCCAATTAAAAATTCTAAACTTGCATAAATGCTAAACTTGCATTAGCTAAACTTACACTTATTCTGTATTTTTTAGAAAAACAAATCATTTGCCAAAATGAGCTCTAAATACCTAGAGGTGTTCACTTCTTAGGGAAACCTTATCAGAATCACTTATCAAAAAAGATAGGTGGCACAACTCTCTGGACTTGCCATTTTAAAACCTATGATCTTTATCTGTGAATTACATGTAAGGTGTTTCACTGACAGACTTTTTTTTCTACAATGAACCACTCTTCTTGGTATCAAGGCATGTCCTGGAGCCTGACTTCCATATCCCACCACTTTTGAGTGGGTAATTGTGACTGATGATAACTCATTGTGCTGTCTTCTGGAGGCTGCTGCTTTTTAAAAATTTTAGCCAGTAAATATTTGCATAGAAGAGTAGATAAAATGTCTGCATTTTGCTTAAAAATGCATACAGAATTCAAGAGGTGAAGAGTCACAAGAATAAGAAGCCCACTTAATCTATGAAAATCAATAATTTGGTTGAAGGAAGAGGGGATGAGTGTATAAATGCAATCTAACTCTGTTTTGGGAATAATTCTCATATATAAATCAATAGTCGGGTTCAATTTCAGCCCAAGAACCATGGCTCTCTGAGCCGCGCTTCAAAACCACTTGCCGTGAGGAATACATGCACTAAACATCTACTCTTTTCAGCTGTGTCTTCATCTATTTCCATTAGGGACTCTGCAATCTATTTTTTAAAATAATGGTGTCCATATGAAGTGGCTATGTTTCCTGGGGTATATACCCTGAGATGCGTCATCGCATGCCAGGAAAATTTAGAACACGGACACACATGAGGAGTTTAGGATGGAGGTTTAACAGACAGAAGAGAAGAGAAAGAGAAACAGCTCTCTCTGTAGAGAAAGGGGTCTCCAAGCAGAAAGGACCGGCTGGCAGAGAATGCGCCAGATTTTATAGACAGGTTTGAGGAGGCAGTGTCTGATTTACATAGGGCTTAACAGATCGGTTCGATCAGGTATGACATTTACATAGTGTGTGGGTTCGGGGGGAGACTGGTTGCCCCACCCTAATCTTATTATGCAAATGGGCTTTCCAGTTGATCAGTGCCATCTTGTCTGCTCCTTATAGTACATGTGGCTGACAGAAAAGGGAAGATGGAGCTGCCATCTTGAACATGTCTAGTCTTAAGTTCCTGCCAGCATTCACTCGTGGAAGCTCCCAGCTTGCTTGTCTATGTCTGCAGCTCGACTTTACAGGCTGCTCTTTCCTAGAAAACGATTTGGGGCTGCTTTTCATTAAAAAGGAAAGCCTTACTGAGGACTCCCATACCCTTACTATCTGCCTAAGTGATTTCTTCTTAACTCCTGTGTCACATATACCAATGAGGTAAGTCTCTGCAGAATACACACACTTTAAAAAATCACTTGTTGTTCAACAAAAATTCAAACTTCACTGGGAATCCTAAAATTTATCCCTCAACCCCAATTAAGTCGGGGAAGCCAATGCATCCATTCCCTTTTGTTCAGACCATGCCTCTATGATTCTTTCTTGCATGCAAGGAGAGAATTTGTTTAAAAAATAAAGAGAAAAAATACGAAGGGGAGTATTTTTCCATGTTCCCTGCTCCTGCATGGAAGAGTCTTTTATCTGTGCTCATTAATTTTTCATCCTTCATAAATTTATTTAATCTCAATGGCTGTCTTAGTGTCCTATGGTTGTCACAACAAGTTACCACAAATCCAGTGGCTTAAAACAATATAGACGTATGTTGTTGTATTAGTCAGGATTCTCTAGAGGGACAGAACTGATAGGATAGATGTATATATAAAGGGAAGTTTATTAAGGAGTATTGACTCACATGATCACATAGTGAGGTCCCACAATGGGGCGTCTGCAAGCTGAGGAGCAAGGAAACCAGTTCAAGTCCCAAAGCTGAAGAACTTGGAGTCTGATGTTCACCGGCAGGGAGCATCCAGCACGGGAGAAAGATGGAGGCCAGAAGACTAAATTAGTCTGTCTTTCCATGTTCTTCTGCCTGCATTTATTCTGGCCATGCTGATAGCTGATTAGATGGTGCCCAACCAGTTGAGAGTGAGTCTGCCTTTTCCAGTCCACTGACTCAAATGTTACTCGCCTTTGGCAACACCCTCAGAGACACACCAGGAAGAATACTTTGCATTCTTCAATCAATCCAATCAAATTAACACTCAATATTTACCATCACAGTTGTCTTACAGTTCTATAGGTCAGAAGTCCAAAATAGGTCACCAGGGCTGCATTTGTTCTGAAGGCTCTGAAAGAAAGTCTGCTGCCTTACCTATCCCATCTCCCACAGCCCGCCTGCATTCCTTGGCTCATGGCCCCGCATCACTCTGACATCTCTTTCTATCCTCACGTCTCTGTCTCTAACTCTGACCCTCCTACCTCTCTCTTATAAAGACCTACCTGGCTAGCCCAAGATGATCTCCCCATTTTAAGATCCTTACTCATTTCCTTTTTTCCAGGTACAGTGACATTTTCATAGCTTCTGGGATTAGGATGTGAACAACTTTGGGGACTGTGGATTCAACCTCCCACCATTACACAAAAAGAATTTTGATTTAATCCTTTTTTTTTTCCATGGTGTGTCCTAGATATTGTGTGGACAGACTTCTTTGGTCACATAAGAAGAAAAGTGAAGAATAGGGGTCATATATTTTGGTCCCATTTGTGATAGAACCGGAGAGATCTATCCAGCATTAATTATTGACATATTCTTACTGAGAGGTAGTGTGGTGTCTTGGGAGAAAAATGATGGTTTCCAAGCCACACAATAAATATTTAATTCTTTTACTAACCAGTTAAGCAAAATTGCTTAATCACTGTGATCTTCCTTTTCCTCATATATACTGGAGGCATAATCAATACTTTACAGAATTGTTGTGAGCTGAATGAGATAATATATATGATGTTCAGCTTGAAGCACATTGAAAAATCCCCTTACCAAACAGAGAGGCAACCTGATTTTGGGTGCATTGCAACTCTTGGCAGGTGACAGGGTGCTGAATGTGCAGAAGCTTCTGGATGAACAAGAAATCATCTTAGACTTCAAATAGGTGTCAGGTAAGTGAGGCAGATGTATAACCTGGTCCCCAAAAAAGATAACAATTCAAATGTTGACTGAGAAATGCGACTAATACTAAGAAAAATGTAGTTTCTTTCAAAGATATTTAATAGGGCTGGGCTGATTGTGGTTTAAAGAAAACAATGAGATGGAAGAAGTGAGAAACTAGAGAAAAATCAGGGAGGTGCAAATACAACGGGGTGGGCAAGTGCTTGATGAATGCAAGGAAAAATCGAGAGAAGAATTCAGAAGAGACGTTTGAAAGCTGTAAATAATAGATTTTGACAACCAATTGTATTGCTGAGTGGGTGGATGGGAAGGAGACCATGATAAAACAAAGCGAAATGTTGAGTCTGCAGGCAAGGAAGGTGGTTTTTGTTTGTTTGTCTGTTTGTTTTCTTGAGACAGAGTTTCACTCTTGTTGCCCAGGCTGGAGTGCAATGGCACGATCTTGGCTCACTGCAACCTCTGCCTTCCGGGTTCAAGCGATTCTCCTGCCTCAACCTCCTGATTAGCTGGGATTACAGGCATGCGCCACCACGCCTGGCTACTTTTTGTATTTTTAGTAGAGATGGGGTTTTGCCATGTTGGCCAGGCTGGTCTTGAGCTCCTGACCTCAGGTGATCTGCCCACCTTGGCCTCCCAAAGTGCTGGGATTACAGGTGTGAGCCATCATGCCCGGCCCTTTTTTTTTTTTTTTTTTTTTTTTTTTTACATTTTTCAACTTTTATTTTAAATCCAGGTTTGTTACATGAGTATATTGCATCATCCTGAGGTTTTGTGTATGGTTAAACCCGTCAGCCAGGTAGTAAGTAGAGTCCCCAGTAGGTAGTTTTTCAACCCTTGCACCTCCCTCTCTCCCCGTTCTAGGAGTCCCCAGTATCTATTGTTCTCATCTTTATGTCCATGAGTACCTCATGTTTAGCTCTTGTTTGTAAGTGAAAACTTGTATTTGGTTTTCTGTTTCTGCATTAGTTCACTTAGGACAATGGCCTCCAGCTGCATCCATATTGCATCAAAGGACATGATTTCATTATTTTTTATGGCTGCGTAGTATTCCATGGTTTTATTATTAAATTAGAGAACACAAATAAACAATCAAGACTGCAAGAAGAGAGTAGGCAATCACGAATTTAATTTTAGAAGTGCTGAGTTCCGGGTGTAGGTGTTTGGCATTTAGAAATGAGAGCAGAGAATCACAGATTAGGGACTTAGCAGCAGAGAACTCATGGTGGAAGCTATAGGGATGGTTAGGAGCCCATAGAAAGCAGAGTTTGGAGGCACAGGCTGAACTCAGGCATAGCTTTGGGAAATTCTGACTTATAAGAAGTGTTGTTGAAACAGAAGTCAATGAAGAAGGCAAACAGACTCAAAGCCACAGAGCCATGCCTTGAAACTGAGATGCACGTGAACAGAGTCAAATACTGTAATGTCAATAATGGACTAACAGGAGTTAACGGGATCTGACTGCTTTTTCTGAGGTCACTGGTAACCTTGGAGAAAAAAAGTAGATTCAAAGGGGTGGTGTGGATGTGCACTGGGGGATTGGTGGGAAAATCAGACAGCAAGAGGTTACAGGTATCAATCAATAGGGACAAAGGTGGATGCTGAGAGAGTACTGGGTGATCCCAGCAGAATCTGGGGGAATTATTGGACAAAGCAGGAATGAAATCCCAAACCAACAAAAACCTCAAGACAAGACATGGGAACTGAGAGAATCCACAGATGACCGATGGAGCTCTGTGTCTCTAACGATTTGGGGAAAGTCCTAAATCCCACTGAGTGCACTTTTGCTGTTCCTAGATCGATAGATGTACGGCTTGGACAAAGGCTGTGTCAAGCTTCTTCTGACCCCGAGCCAGGGCTAGTCCACCCCAGAAGTCCCCTGAGCCCAACCGACCATTGCTCATTTGCTCAAGGTCCAGGAGCAGTGTGTCACTGTGAACTTACCCTGGGAATTGCCTCAGTGTCTAAAGTCGTCGTTATTCTCTCTCTCCAGGCATTTTATCTCGTTGTGCCTTGAAATCACATCCTGGGATAGGAATTCAGGCATTCTGTTCTATCACAGAATCTATCCTTATGTTTATTGTGTTTTAACATGCATTCTAAAATGCTCCTTCACCTTCCACATTACACGGAGTTGTATGATTTTTAGTCTCACTGGCATACTTTCAATCCAATTGCCTGTTTGAAGAGTGTGTATGGATGCATAAACGTAATTTATTTCCAAGTTATATCCTTTTTCACAATAAGAATGTCAAACACAGTCAAAATCACGTGTACCACATTGTAAATATCCCACTCAGAGCAATACTACCTGTTACCTTATCTATATCTATATCTATCTATCTATCTATCTATCTATCTATCTATCTATATCTATATCTGTCTATCTATCTATCTTAAATGGAGAGGTGTGTGTGAAAGAAAGAGAGAGAGACAGAGACACAGAAAGAAACAGAGAGGCAGGCATAGAGAGAGAGAGACAGAGACAGAGAGAGCAAATGCTATTTCTATGTTATTTACAGTTTTCTGTAATACAGTAAATACAGTTTTTATTACTTACTTAAACTGATGTGAATATTCAAGATTTCTAAGATTCTCTTTATTTTGTCTTCTATCATAATTAAGTAAAAAAAAAAGGATTCACTTTTGCGTTTCAATTACCTTGAAATATCCTGTTTCTAGTGTATCTTCCCTTCACTCTCACTTTACTGGGAAGACTAACTTTCACATCCACTTTCCTGCTGCTCTATGATTCTCCTGTGTCAAAGCACTCCCTCAACACACTCACACAAATATTCTATACGATTTTCACTTCTTCAAAATGGAAAGATGGCTCATCTGAATGTAGCCTTTTGGGTATAACCAGATGAGAAAACAAATTTTATTCTCTGATTGCAATCCTGTCATTATCGAGGAGATGATTTAATTTCGTGTTGCATTCTTTTTTACTAGAGCTAGGACTGTCATCAGTAATAAACTCAACAGGCTTTATGCAACACATACGGCTGGGTCTGCAAAGCGGTTTTGAAATCTAAATAAGCTTTGGAAAATGGGGACACGGAGCCTACTGGTCTCACTCTTTTCTGGAAATCAAGAGAGACGGGAGAGTAAACTTTTCAGTTTTTCTCTGGAGTTCACCCGCACCCCTTCTCCAGGTCACCTGTGTATCCCACAGAGACGCATGGCTTTGCATCTCCCAGGGTGGGGCTCCAACTGAAGGTTGATTTCATCCTCTGGGAACATATTAACTTTTCCTGGAGAGCAGCTTGAGCAGCCAATTTAGGGACGAGGCTGTTACCAACTGCTTCAGGAAGGGAAAACTCAGCACTGATTCCAGGTTTTCCCCAGGGGCGTGATCAAAAATGGGCTCTCCTGCAGCCATTTTCCGCAGCCAGGTTTTGTCCAGATGTAATTTATTAGCTGAAAACCTGTTATCACTAAGGTTTAATAATAAAATGCAGATTTCCCAATAGCCAGTCTCGTTAAGAAACCATTAAAAGGTTACATGTTCGGTTCTCCAAAGTAGTAAAAACTATATTCTTTCTATACAATTGTCACATTCTCTATGAAACTACTCATAGAGCTAGTAGAGTAAACGGTTTCGTGTTAGCCATATTCTAGCAGAAGTTTTGCATCTGCATCTCTGGGAGGACTTGTCGAAATGCAGATTTCTGGGCCTCACTCTGGAGCGTTTGATTTAGCAAGTCTGACTGGGGTGGGACCTGAGAATGTGCATTTATAAGCAGGTCCCAGATGAGCCTGTTTCTGCTAATGTGGACACTGCTTTGAGAACCTCTTCTCTAACACTTGTTTCTCATAATTTATCTAAAAAAAATGTGTAATCAAATGATTCTTTATTTTGGTCTGATTCCTAATGATTAGCTCCATTACAGATACTCACCTTCTCAAAACTTCATAGTTTAACTATCCTCATCTTGGCACTTTAGGATACTTTAATTCTAGCTTGTAAGAGAATCAAGTTAAGAAAATCAATGTAGGCATCTTCTGATGTGCCCGTCACAGACATAATGTCTTCTTAGAATTTACCATTACAAGTTATTTCTCCCTTTATTAAAATTAATTTTTAAACTCTTCTTTATCTGTTTGAAAATACACTAGGAACACCTACCTACCCACCAATATCGGAGGCACCTATACAGTCTACTCATTCATGGAAGGCCTGTGTTAGCTGAGGCATGCCTATAGTTCATCTTTAATGTGTGCTTATTAACCCAGGGGTCTGGGAGAGCTGTCTGGGCGGCTCGTTACCTCACCTAAGCAGTGGAATTTCAAGTGGCTCACTCCTCTAAACAGAATCTCCCTCACCTGCAGGACAGTATCTGAATTTACATCCTCTATTTGATTACCAAGTCTTTTATTCAATAATTGGAACACAAAGTCAAAATGTAAGTGTTCATTAAAGAGATGAGCTATTGAGTAAAATTCATAATTATACTACAGGACAGTATTCATTTCCTAGGGATGCCAGAACAATTTACCAAAGGCTGTGTGGCTTAAACAACAGATATTTATTCTCCTGCTTCTGGAGAAAAAAAGTCAGAGATCAAGGTGTGGAGAAGGCCATGCTTCCTCTGGAGGCTCTAGGGAAAGAATCTTTCCTGCCGATTCCAGCTCCTGGTGACTCCAGGTGTCCCTGGGCTTGTGGCCTCATCACTCCAGTCTCTGCCTTCATCACCACGTGGCTTCCCCTCTGTGTGTCTTCTCTTCTCTTATAAACTCATGACACTGAGGGCTTACCCTAATCCAGAATGACCTCATCTCAAAGTCCTTAACTCAATTACATCTGTAAAGACCCCTTTTCCAAACAAGGTTCCATCCACAGGTTCTGGGTGGACATGTCTGCATGGAGATACTATTCAACCCATTACAAGGACAAATGACAGAAATGACTAGACTGTATGCTCTGCCTCATGGGGGATATGGAACAGGCAGGCTTTACAAGCAGATATTCTGTGAATACAGGCTACATAGAGAGGAAATGGTGCTCCTATTGGAAGGGAAAGTGGGACTTGAATGTTGATTTTCTATCTCTGCTGTCTGTCATGATCTATAGAAGCCCAACAGACACACAGGATGCCAGAGATGTCATTTGTGAGTGACACTAAGAACATAGAACTGTATTATCTTTTGACTTATAGGTAAATGGAAGAGACGATGGCATATTGCTTTTGCATAGTTCATGCTAAAAGACTCATATGGATCTGTGTATTCAAAACAGCCACCGAGGCTGGGTGCGGTGGCTCACACCTGTAATCCCAGCACTTTGGAAGGCTGAGGCAGGTGGATCACCCGAGGCCAGTAATTTGAGACCAGCTTGGCCAACATGGTAAAACCCCATCTCTACCAAAAAATACAAAAATTATCCAGTCTAAATTAGCTAAAGCTTTAGCAGAAAAATGCCCAAGAAAGCTTCACCAGAGAATCCTTCTCCACCACTACAATTGGCGTGGCGCACGCCTTTAGTCCCAGCTACTTGGGAGGCTAAGGCAGGAGAATCGCTTGAACCCGGGAGGCAGATGTTGCAGTGAGCTGAGATCACGCCACTGCACTCCAGCCTGGGCGACAGGGTGAGAATCCGTCTCAAAACAAAACAAAACAGCCACCGAGAATATAAAAATGAGAGATTGTGAGCAATGCTTGCATACATAAGCCCTCCCCTTTCCTGAATCATATCATGAACTACATTTGGAGATTGAGTTAAAAAGTAGAAGTGGGAAGTTAGCAGGATTTTATCAACAATTTCTTTTTGGGAGCCCACATGGAGAAGCTGTGTGAGAAATTGTCTAGCTTATCCTTCAGTCGCTTATTTTGTAATTATGAGGATGTCTTTTCTTAGTTGCACTTTCAGTGTGAAAGAGGATCTCTTCTTTGCTACTGTTTACTCACACAGTAGGTGTTACTCACACAGTAGGTGTATCCATTTTGAAGGTAGCAATGGAAAAAATAAACAAAGAACACTCTTTTGAATGAGACATAGAAAAGAAAAATAGTTCTGGACCCTGGTAGTGGGGAGATTTGAGACTTGGCTAGAGGAAAACCAGAAGAGACAGCACCTGATAAATATTCCATGTCCAAGTCTGATCATATGCGAGATCAGGGCTGGAATTAGGCAAGAGATTTCTCTCTCCTGATGAAAGGTACAGCCAGGGAAAGGGCCTGGCAGTGGGAAGTGGCTTATTCTATTGAATGCATATAAAGAATTCCTCTGCCGTTAGACATGAGGGGACTTCAAAAAGTTCGTGGACAAATGGAATTAAAAGATAAAAATGTAAAAAATATAAACTATATTTCTCAACTTAATCTCCATCAAGTTCAAGTTCTGTAAGTGATAATACCAGCCATTTTAGTCCATTCCTAAAGAACTCAGACTCCTGGGAAGTTAACCGTCTCAATGCCATCTTTTCTACATTATTAACTAAAGAAAAATGGGTGCCCTTTAAATGGGTTAAAAAAATAAAAGTGCCCTTTAATTTTTTTTTAAGATTAGGAAACAAAAAGCAGTCAAAAAGAGCCAAATCAGGACTTTAAGATGGATGCCTAATGATTTCCTATTGAAATTCTTGCAGAATGGCCCTTGTTTAATGAGAGGAATGAGTAGAAGCATTGTAGTGGTGGAGAAGGATTCTCTGGTGAAGCTTTCTTGGACAATTTTCCACTAAAGCTTTAGCTAATTTTTTCAAAACACTCTCATAATAAGCAGATGTTGTTGTTCTTTGTCAATCCAAAAAGTCAACAAGTAAAACGCCTTGATCATTCCAAAAAACTGTTGCCATGATCTTTGTTTTTGATCCATCCACTTTTGCTTTGGCAGAACCCCTTCCACCTCTTGGTAATCATTGCTCTGATTGTGCTTTTCCTTGAGGATGGTACTGGTAAAGCTATGTTTTCTCTCCTTTAATGGTTCTTCAGAGAAATGCTTCAAAATCTTAATGTCACTTGTTTAAAATTTCCATAGAAAGCTTTGCTCTTGTCTTCAGTGGATCCAGGTGCAACAATTTTGGCACCCATCTTCTGGAAAGTTTGCTCAACTTTAATTTTTCAGTCAGAATTGTGTAAGCTGAGCCAGTTGAGATGTTTATGGTGTTGGCTATTGTTTCTGCTTTTAATCATCAGTCCTTTTCAATTAGGGCACAAACAAGATTAGTTTTTCCTTTCAAATTGACGTGGATGGTCTTCCATGCAAGCTTTATCTTCAACATTATCTTATCCCTTCTTAAAATGAGTTATCCATTTGTAAATTGCTGATTTCTTTGGGAGCATTTTCCTGATAAAACTTTCATAAAGCATCCATGATTTCACCCTTCTTCCACCCAAGGCTCATCATAAATTTGATGTTTGTTCTTGCTTCCATTGTAGTGAAATTCATATTGCTCTGATAGGGGCTCTTTTCAAACTGATGTCTAATCCTTCTTCGTGCCTCAAACTCGACCCATGTTATAACAAGCTAGTATGAGTTTATCTTGGTGGAACAAAAATTTGAAATCCATGCATAGTTTGTTCATAACACAATATTTCCATGAACTTTCTGAAGTCTCCTTTTAGAGTGGACAATGATGGTGCAGAGGATAAGATGGAGTTGCATAAACCAGGGCCAAGTGTTCCCAGTGCATTTCAAATGCAGCTGTACATTGTTGCAGAGGTATGAAACTGCCTTCATAGAATTTTAAAAGGCCACAAAATTAAAATTATGGTAGGGGCCTGAATTTCAGTAAGATATTTTCCTTTCTCTCTGATGTTTTCCTCCTCCATGCATGATTGTTTGTTTATAGTCATTTCAGTAAGTGGTAATCACTAATAATTGATTATCTTCCTGTCCTAGCCCCTAGGCAGGCTGCCCGCAAGATTAATGAACTTGTTTTTTCTTTTAAAAAACAGGGATCCTTAGATCATGCAGACCCCCTCAATGGCTTCCAGAAGTTGAGCTTGCCAAGGGGGGTGCCAGGCAGCTTTGATTACTGGAAATATCACCTCCTGAAAACTTTTCTGCTATACTCCAGGCATAGTAAACGATAACCTACCACTGCTTCCCAGCTTGCTTTCCATAGTAACTGGCAGTCACAAAAGGTATTGTAAAACCTAAAACTGGTCTTTGGGATATTTTTCAGACCTGGCTCGCGAGTGGGCCAACTGACAGCAACCAGACTAGTGGCCTGTCACCCCAACCAATGAACTGACTTGTCTGGTGTTGTGACTCCCTCTCTTTCCAGGAACTGATTCAGTACATGAAGACAGTTTCAACACGCCTATGATTTCATCCCAGATCAATCAGCAGCACCTGCCACTAGTCCCCCTGCCTGCCAAATCAACTTTAAAAGCCCTAGCCTCTGAAGTTTTGAGGAGGTGGCTTTGAGAAATATCTCCTGTTCTCTTTGCTCGGTTGCCTTGCAATAATTAAACTCTTACTTTACGGCAACATCTCTGTCTCAGTGTTCAGCTTTATCCAGGCAGTGAGTGGGCAACAACCTGGTCAGACATCAACAGGCTTAGCAGCAGAGAGCATGCTATGGTTTATGTTTTTAGAGAAATACCCTGGCCTCTGAGCTGAGCACAGATTGCAAGAGCAGGAATTGCAGAACTCAAAATGAGGGAGGCTTTATGACAGTCTAGGGCATGTCTGCATGACTCCCAGAAGCCAGAAGCAAGTGGGAGTCATGCAGACATGCCCTAGACTGACACAGAACCTCCGCCAGGAACCTGCAGAAGGAAACATATATTTCCATATATGAGGATCATAGAGAAAGAACTTTTCTCAGGAGTCCATAGCTATCCTAGATGCTTCTTAAACTTTTTAAGGCTCCTAGGACATCAGAGAGATTTAAGTAAAAACCTATGTCCTCATTTTTCAGAGTTAGGATATACAGTTTTAAAACTTTTTTTTCTCCTTTACAGCAAACACTTCCTTCTCTTTGGCCCCTCTGGCTCTAGGATGTATCACCTACAATGTGTTCTAGTCTCTGTAGTCAGAGTTTATAGAATTTTCTAAAACAAAAATTGGATCATGTCATTTTCCTGCATAAAACATTTATTGGTTCCCCATGGCTATTTGAAAAAAAAATTTTTTTACCTGGCCTGTAGACTCAGCGGAGCAGATGACATGAAGGGTGGCCATTAATGTAATACACAAGGATGCCCTCTCTCATCACTCTTATTCAACACAGTATTGAAAGTTCTGGCTGGGGCAATCAGGCAAGAAAAAGAAATAAAGGGTATTCAAATAGGAAGAGAGGGAGTCAAATTGCCTCTGTTTGCAGATGACATGATCCTATATCTAGAAAACTCCGTCGTCTCAGCCCCAAAGCTTCTTAAGCTGATAAGCAACTTCAGCAAAGTCTCAGCATATAAAATCCATGTGCAAAGATCAGTAGCATTCCTATACACCAACAATAGACAGGCAGAGAGCCAAATCATGAATGAATTCCCATTTGCAATGCTATGAAGAGAATAAAATACCTATAAATACAGCTAACAAGGGAAGGACCTCTTCAAGGAGAACTACAAGCCACTGCTCAAGGAAATCAGAGAGGACACAATCATTTCATGCTTGTGGATAGAAAGAATCAATATCATGTAAATGGTCATACGGCCAAAGTAATTTATATATTCAAAACTATTCCCATTAAACTACCACTGACATTCTTCACAGAATTAGAAAACACTACTTAAAAATTCATATGAAACCAAAAAAGAGCCCATATACACAAGACAATGCTAAGCAAAAAGAACAAAGCTGGAGGCATCACTCTACCCAACTTCAAACTATACTACAAGGCTACAGTAACCAAAACAGCATGGTACTGGTACAAAAACAGACACATAGACCAATGGAACAGAATAGAGATCTCAGAAATAAGACTGCACATCTACAACCAAGTGATCTTCAACCACCTGACAAAAACAAACAAATGGTGCTGAGAAAACTGGCCAGCCATATACAGAAGATTGAAACTGGACCCCTTCCTTACACCTTATAGAAAAATTAACTCATGATGGATTAAAGACCTAAATATAAAAACCAAAACTATAAAAACCTTAGAAGAAAATGTAGGCAATACCATTCAAGATGTAGGCACAGGCAAAGATTTTATGATGAAAACCTCAAAAGCAATTGCAACAAAAGCAAAAATGGATAAATTGGATGTAATTAAACTAAAAAGCTTCTGCACAGCAAAGGAAATTATCACCAGAGTAAACAAGGTAACCTACAGAATGGGAGAAAAATTTTGCAATCTATTCATCTGACAAAGGTCTAATATCCAGAATCTACAAGGAACTTAAACAAATTTACCAGAAAAAAATCAAACAACCCCATTAAAATGTGGGCAAAAGACATGAACAGACACTTCTCAAAAGAAGACATTTATGCGGCCAAAAAACATGAAAAAATGCTCAACATCACTGATTGTTATAGAAATGCAAATCAAAACTACAATGAGATACCATCTAATGCCAGTCAGAATGGCAATTATTAAAAGGTCAAGGAATGACAGATGCTGGTGAGGCTGTGGAGAAACAGGAACCCTTTTACACTGTTGGTGGGAATGTAAATTAGTTCAACCGTTTTGGAAGACAGCATGGTGATTCCTCAAAGACCTACAACCAGAAATACCATTTGACCCAGCAATCTCATTACTGGGTATGTAACCAAAGGAATATAAATCATTCTATTACAAAGATGCATGCATGTGTATATTCATTGCAGCACTATTCATAATAGCAAAGACACGGATTCAACCCAAATGCTCATCAATGATAGACTGGATAAAGAAAATGTGGTACATATACACCATAGAATACTATGCAGCCATAAAAAGAAATGAGATCATGTCCTTTGCAGGGACATGGATGGAGCTGGAAGCCATTATCCTCTGCCATCTAAGACAGGAACAGAAAACCAAACACTGCATGTTTTCAATTAGAAGCGGGAGTTGAACAATGAGAACACATGGACATGTGGAGGAGAACAACACACACTGGGGCCTGTCAGGGGAATGGGGGGAGGGAGAAAATCAGGATAAATAGCTAATGCATGTGGGGCTTAATACCTGGTTGATGGGTTGACAGGTGCAGCAAACCACCATGACACACGTTTACCTATGAAACAAACCTGCACATCCTGCACATGTATCCCAGAACTTAAAATTTAATTTAATTTAAAAATAAAATAAAATAAAGGCACATTGCTTGTTTTAAGGCAGAAGTTTAGCCCATATGTCCATATGTATATATATACACACACACATATAAATATACACACATATATATACACACATGTACACACACACATATATATGGGCTGATGGAAACTTGTCCCCTACAGAGTATATCTCAATGTATTTTACACTCTGTATTTTATTATTTCAAGACTGCTTAAACATTTTTTTCTTATTACTTATATCTGGCATATACAAAAGATATTGAAATACTTTAGAACAAATCAATTTGCTCAACCATCTAATAATAGATCATCATGCTTTTACAGCAGACATTCGGAGAATCTGCAAATAAATCTAATTTTTCCTTGTCATTTCCAATATTTGGACCTTTCATTTCTACTCCAAATCTTAGTTTATTGTGCAGAATTTCCAATAATCATATCTATATGGGGATCTTTGTTTTGTTCTTGGTTGAATGAGCCTATCTCGATTTTGTTCAGTATAATTGGCTTTGGGTATGAGGTCAATAATCATCATGTTTAAGATCTATTCAAAAACAAAGCGAGCTTTAACTTCTTTCGGTAGAATTTAAGGCAGGGTAGCAACTGGAGAGAAGAGAGGCAGGGAAATTTGTGCAGTGCATGGTCAAGTTTTTCTGATTCAGCTTCTTGCCAGCTATAGAAACTGCTATTATATGTTCCTTCAATGCATGTATTCAAATACTGTTGGACACATTTTAAGAAGTAAATATTATCAGTTTTAAGTGGGTCATGTAGCCAGTATCATTAGTCCAGCTGTTCTAAGTGGACTAAGAATTATTTTAATTTGTATTTAGGTTATTGCTACCTCGGTCAATATCATACTTGTGCAAAGGCTCCCAAAACTTCTGGGTTGTTAGTTATCAAACTACAACAAGCAAATGAGCAGCAAAGCTTTCTGACTATTTTTGGCCAAATTCAACCATCCATCTAGTACCTCATTTCCTGGCTATACAGAATTTCTCCCAAGTCTAGCTCTCCCAGAATATTGCACTCCTGCTCCCAAAACATTACCTCATTCTGCATAGTTACAAAATCATTCCCGAGAAGGTATTTCATGACTTATTACGCATTTGAGAAATTCTGCATTTATTTATGCAGACCTTCTTAGAACCTTGAGTGGACTGGTATACATTTGGTTAGTCAAAGATGAGCATACCCTCAGGAGCTCTCATCAAGAAAGTGGGACAGTCTTCAGGAAACATCAGCCCAGTGGAAAAGGACCAAGTTCTCCAGCTATGTTTGCTTCACATCCTTGCCTTGAGAAAGAAGCCTCATTTACCTTCTTCTCCTGTTAACCTCTGCAGTTACCCAGCTGGAAATCATCTCTCTATCTTCTGGAAACCTCTTCCAGTATTTTTGATAATTTTGTTATTGCTCTGAGTTTTAACCACGTGAAAAGGTTTCTTTTTCTGTTAGTTGCACATAGTAGATGCTCTAAATCAGAGTTCTGCAACCTTTTCCTGTAAAGGACCAGACAGGAAGTATTTTAGGCTTTGAAGACAATATGGTCTCTTTTACAACTACTCATCTCTGCCTTTGTAGCAAAAAAACAGCCACAGACAATATGTAAATTAATAAATGTGGCAGAGTTTCAATAAAACTTTATTTACAAGAACAGGCAGCTGTCAGTTTTGCCTCATCGACCACAGATGGGTCTCCATGAACTTAAAATAATGAAGTCACTAAAGATGCATAGTTTTGTCAATTTGATGTTGTGATTATTTCCTATACATTATGTGTATATTGTCTTCTGGGATACCAACGCATACATGCATATTTGTCCTTCTTGTTTTGCTGTTATTCTTTGATGAAAAATTAAATAAATGCTCTGTTAATATTTCTGCAAAAGGAGCATTTGTTATGAGGCAGGTTTTTGAGATGGAAAAGAGAGGAATTATAACAATCTATTAATCTAAAGGAGTTTAAAGCTACCCATGGTTTTTTGACATAGCATTATTTATTATAGTAAACTCGGTTCAAAAGGAAATAATTTTTGTCTAGACAATAATCTAGGAATGTCAGGACAAGGCAAAAAGAGAAGCTCAATCCTTTCAGAAATTCTGTGACTGACTGAGCATTGTGGCTCATGGCTGCAATACCAGCACTTTGGGGGAACGAGGTGGGAGGATTACTTGAGCCCAGGAGTTAGAGACCAGCCTGAGCAATTGTATTAGTCCGTTTTCATACTGCTATAAAGAAATACCAGAGACTGGGTAATTTATCAAGAAAAAGAGGTTTAATGGACTCACAGTTTCACATGGCTGGAGAGGCCTCACAATCATGGTGGAAGGCAAAGGAGGAGCAAAGGCACATCTTATATGACAGCAGGCAAGAGAGCATGTGCAGGGGAACTCCCGTTTATAAAACCATCAGCTCTCATGAGACTTATTCACTACCACAAGAACGGCATGGGAAAAACCTGCCCCCATGATTCAATTACCTCCCACTGGGTCCCTCCCATGACCTGTGGGGATTATGGGAGCTATAAGTCAAGATGAGATTTGGCTGGAGACACAGACAAACCATATCAGCAATATAGTTAGACCCTGTCTATAATAAAAAAAAAGAAGAAGAAATACTGTGACTGATATGAACACATTAGTTAATTGACCATTTCCCAAATTGTGTGTATTGCCTGCCAATAAAAACAGGATTAGTTTAAATGAAGACATGAATGGACTCCACATAATTTGGCTATTTTTGTCACTTCATATAATTAATCAAGAAATGATTGAAAATGTATAAAATGAACAAAAAATTATAGCATATATTAAAAAGAAGATAAGAATCACTCCAGATCTCTCCACCTAACAGTAACTCTGTCAGCCTTTGGAAGCCAATTATGTCCAAGAGAAGGTGTATATTAGTCTCAGAGTCCAGTAACACAAATATACATATATATTTCTATTTAAATAATCATGCTATGTTTGAAACCATTTTCTATTCAGCCTTTTCTACTTGGCATCATCCTCAGAGCTATTTGTATAATGTTATAAATTTCATCTTGGCAAATCCAATAGATACTATGCTGCATCTTCTTTTAAGTCCGTTTAAGCATGATTTGATGGGAGCTAAATGGGATCCCTTCCTAGAATGCTTCTCTCTTGGAGTTGGTAACTTCACATTCTTCTGGTTTTCCTTCTACCTCTCAGTGTTCTCCTTATCCTCCTTTCTACAGGGTCCTGCTCTAATCAGTTTCTAAGTGCTGGACTTGCTGAGGGTGTGTGGTGGGTACTCTCAGCTCCCTCCACAGAGTCTCCATGGATAATCTCAACTGTTCCTCATCACCTTGCTGATGAGGTATGCATTGACTTCTCCTTCTCAGATCCATTTTCTGAGCTCCCACTTCCTCCTTGATTTCTGCAAGTATGTGTCTCACAACTCATTATGTCCAAATGTGAATCCTTTAATTTCATCTTATTATTATGTTTCACCATTCCCAGTTTCTCTAGCTTGATAAGGAGTCTACTACCTACCTGGCACCTTATGTTAGAAGTCTGGAGTCATCATGAAGACCACTTCAATAGTTGAATTCCATTCCATTTTCCATTCCATCTTCATTTCACATCTCTTCAAAGTGGTCTTGATTTCCGAATATCACAGAGACAAATGTGGGATATTTCAATGTACTGAGTTGTAAAACAATCCTCAGATCCCTGCAGCTGACAGAGCATATCAGACAGAATTCCACTCGGATTCAGATAACAGAAAAGCAACATTATTCCAGCTTCAGTGCTGAGCCGTGAGCTGGTGTGATGGCTCAGTGATAACCTTAGGTAGCTAGGCTCATCCCCTCCTTTCCTAAGGATGAAGCAACCACATCCCTAGGCTCCAGGCTTTCGTCCTCAGGCTTTATGGTTACAAGATAGTGCAACAACTCCATGCTTCAAGATCCCTAGTCCAGAAAAAAGGAGAAAGAGCAAAGGAGTGAAGGTTTTGCAAATAAATCTTTGTCTTTTTATATCAAAGAGTTTGTAGTCTCAGCCACCCAAGGCAGCAAGGGAATCCAGGGGCATTGATGGGTTTAATCAGTCTTATTACTTTTCTGAGCGAGCTTGAGGTCTGTTTATTGAAAAAAAGAAGGAGATATGGATAGTGGGTAGGCAAGAGACAGTGGTTGTCCTGGTGAGTCAGGCACTAATGAAATTATTCAACATCACTGCTATCTCCGAAGTAAAATCCCTGATGCTCAAGTATTGAAGCCTGCTGAGAAGTGCTCAATGCTCTGACAAACTCTGTCATCATCATCATCATCATCATCATCCTATCATCAATAACATTTTCTATATTAACAGCCCAAATCACAGGGAAAGGATGAGAAAAATAATTAATATCTGGAATTCAAGCTTGCCTCTTGATGGGAGCTGTATTAGGGGAGGTGAGATATTGGTCAGGTGAAAGCCTTGAGTAGTAGAGTCTTAACATCTTTGACAAACGCACATATTTCATGGCGGTGGCCATGACCTATATCCCAAATTAATTGGAATGCTGAATTGCCTGGATACTCCCAAAATTCTCATTCTCAGTCTGAATCATTTTGTAACACAAATTCAATTTAGAAAACAGAACTATGAGGATTTTTTCATCAACTAGACACTGCCAAAGAGGTGAAGGATAATTCTGTCTCTCAACAGATGGTTAAAACATAAGCAAAACAAACAAAATATTCTCTCTTTCCCGGATGGAATTGCTCCTGCTAACCAAACATGGTGGCGTATGAACTTGGAATCATAACAATGTCAATAAGTTTACAAAGGATCATCCATGCTGTCTTCCAATAAGGCTATGTGAGACAACGATGCATTATGAGATACTTGGCCAAGGTGAAGAGTTCGAAATGTGGTTGGGAATGTCTGGACACATCTTGTTTTCTTGTCTGTTTGCAAACACTCTTTTCTCACTGGATGGATTTATTTCACTGGCCTCATGAATACTCAGCCTTGACCAAATGCTTCAACACATAAACGAGTGTTAACCTCTGAATAATTTGTCATCTACAATGAGATACCTCTTCACACCCACAAAGATGGCTAGAGGAAAAAATCAGATAATAACAAGAGATGGAGAGGATGTGGAGAAATCAGAATGCTCATACACTGCTGGTGGGTATGCAAAATGGTATGGTGGCTTTGGAAAATATTCTCACAGTTCCTCAAATTATGTAAATTACTACAGCCACTATGGAGAAGATTATGGAGTTCCTCAAAATCCTAAAAGTAGAACTACTATATGATCCAAGTATTCCACTGCTAGGGAAAGAAACAGAGAAATAAATAAATAAATAAACCTGTACATCAAAGAGATATATCTGCATGCTCATGTGTACTGCAGCATAAGTCACAATAGCCAAAATATGGATTTAGCCTAAGTGCCCATCAATGGATAAATGGATAAAGAAAATATGGTATATGTACACAATGGAATATTATCCAGCCATAAGAAGAATGACATCCTGTCATTTGCAGCAACATGGATGGAACTGGATGTCATTATGTTAAATGAAATAAACCAGGCACAGAAAGACAAATATTGCATATTTTCACTCATTTATGGGAGCTAAAAAAGTGGTTCTCATGAAGATAGTGACTATAGTGATGGTTACCAGAGGCCAGAAGGGGAAGGGGGGGATGAAGGGTAAATAAAAGACTATAAATGTATTTATTACCACTGAACTGCACACTTACAGGTGGTAAGGAAGGTACGTTACATATGTATATTTTACCTCGATAAAAATAAATTTCAAAATAAAATCACGTTCTTCTCACCACTTACTGCTGAGTTATTGTTGGAATAATGAATTAGTACTACACGTAAGGCATGTACCTACGTAAATAGTAAAATAGAGACAACAAGAATAGTTCAGTGGAATGTAGAACATAGGGAATCTAGTCTCGTCAAATATAATTTTATTGGTGTTGAGTTATATACAAATTCTACTTAACTGGGCTTTCCCATGAAACACGTTACATAGAAACAGCTAACAATCATTACAATACCAAGTGAACCTGACCCTGAAACTCATGTTCTTTGCAAATCTCAATTATTGATTTTAGTTGGGATAAGAACTTAGAAGGATAGGTGCTGAGTGTTACCCAGGAAAAAAGGTACAAAGGATAACAGGAGATAATTTGAATATCTATGTGATGCCAGGAAAAAGCAAAATCCTTCCTTATCATTCTACTGTTTTGTTGGGATAATAAATTACCACAGACATCTGGTGGTAAACATTTAATTAGCAACCTAAAGATAGCTAGAATTAACCAGACCAAGTAATTGATCCCAGGAAGCTGAAGATAACTGGCCTATGCCAGGGAGTTCAATAACCATTTTCCTCAACGCAAAATTCCAACCTCATGTTAGAAATATTACCTCATACAATAGATATCTACTTTATCCAAGTAAGTAATTAACTAGAGATAACTAGATGAAGCCAGTACTTGAAATAAACAAATTCTTTTCAACACTACTTCTTATGTCTTAGTGACATAAAACTAGACATTTAGTGGTACCTAGGCAAACAGTTGAATAAAAAACTAGCAATTACTGGGAAAACTGGTTAACATAGAAAGTTTAGTAACGATTCTAGTCAACTCTGTGTTCTCATTTTTTTAGGATTGTTGACTAGGTACGATGGATATGGTAACTAGAGTTATCTGAGTAAGAGTTAAATACAGAATCCTCCATAAAACCAGAATAACTGGTTGAAGACAAGAAGCATAACATTGCATTTTCCTCAACATTTCTCATCTCTTTTTGGAATAATGAGTCAGTTCTGTCAGTGGGTAGTAGTACCTAGATTATTACAAAGTAAGAAATAAGAAGAGATGGCTAGAATAAATATTTGATACCAGAATGGTGAAAAAAAAAAAACATTCTTTTCAAATAGAAACTCTAATTTCCTGTGTGATTAATGAGTTACACTTAGTACTGGAGATATCTGTGTAAGATGTGGATTTCATTGTGGGAGTGGGGTACCTACTCAACAGATGAACTGCTGGGTCACATGGTAGATCTGTTTTGATTTTCCAAGGAACCATTACACTGTTTTTCCTAACGGCTGTACCAATTACACGTCTGTCAACAGCGTGTAAAGGTCCCGTTTTCTGCACACCCTAAAAGGGTTTCACTCTCTCCACAGCTTTGCCATCATTATCTTTTATCTCTCGACTTTTTGATAATAGCCGTCCTAACAGGTGTGAGGTGATAGTTCATTGTGGTTTTCATTTGCATTCTCTGATTATTAACGATGTTGAGCACATTTTCATATACCTGTTGGCCAGTTGTGTGTTTTCTTTCGAGAAATGCCTATTCAAGTCCTTTGCCTATTTGTTAACCAGACTATTTATTTATTTGCTATTGAGTTGTGTGAGTTCTTTATATATTTTGGATATTAACTCATTATTAGATATATGGTTCGCAAATAGTTTCTCCCAAACCATAGCCTGCCTTTTCATTTTGTTGATTGTTGACTGTGCAGAAGCTTTTAGTTTCCAGGCTGCCCACTTGCCCTACATATTTCAGCTTCCTAGACCCCCCCACATTGTGTGAATGTGTGAGCCAATTGCTTAGAATAAACTGTATCATATATATAATATTATTCATAAATCAATACTACATGATAGTAAATACATATTTATCATATATATTACACACTCACACACACACACACAAAAAGTATCCTGTTGGTTCAGTTTCTCCTTCTCTGAGGAACCCAGCCTGATACAGATACCCAGCTGAGCGAGTGTGTTTGCTGATCTTGACCTCTGGAAGCCAGTGCTTTAAACCATGAGAATGAAAAATTGTGAGGCACTATGTGGATGCTGGGAGAAGTATGTGAGATGGAAAAGTTGTTTCATGGCATCCAAGAAGTGAATGATCCTCAAGGTGTAGCAGAGGAATCTGTAGGAGAGAGGGATGATTGACGTCTTCGTATAGCCCTCCATCCATCCCAGTTAGCATGGAGGGATTTTAGGTAGGTCATACAGAAACTGGGTAATGATGGCAGGTGTGGAGGAACAGAATGTACCACTGAATGGGAGGTCCGGGGGAAACATGTGGGGGAAATATCCTCCCGTGCCACGTGATCTGCCAAAATTGAACACGGGGAGTTTAGGAGGGGTGACATGTCAGTTTGGGAACTATCTTTAGGGGTGCTAACCCAAATCTCCCTTTCTCCAATTAGAGCACCCTGCCTTCCTCATTAGATGTCACCCCCCCCCGCCCCCGACTTCATCCGCCATGTCCTGATGGTGCGTTGTGACGTATAAGGCCTTCCTTCCCACCCAGGGCTACCATTGGCTGGGTAGTGGAGTGTTGACCAATCACAGCTCAGGGGCGTGATTGTCTCGTCCTGGGATCGCGAGAGGGGTATATACAGGGAGGCCAGGCAGCCTGGAGTTAGTCGACCGTTGCGAGACGTTGAGCTGCGGAAGATGAGTCCAAAGCCGAGAGCCTCGGGACCTCCGGCCAAGGCCACGGAGGCAGGAAAGAGGAAGTCCTCCTCTCAGCCGAGCCCCAGTGACCCGAAGAAGAAGGTGAGTGACCCTCCCAAGCTCCTCCTCGTCTTCCCCTCGCCTCCTTCCTCACAAGAAGCCTCTCCTGTCGTCACTTGGCAGAACCCCCCAACCCGGCCCCCACCGCTTCTGAGGACACGTCCCTGTTCCCAGCCTCCTCCATCCTCGTCCCTAAACCAGAGCCCTTCTGTGATCTCCCTGTTGTCCTTCCAGACTACCAAGGTGGCCAAGAAGGGAAAAGCAGTTCGTAGAGGGAGACGCGGGAAGAAAGGGGCTGCGACAAAGATGGCGGCCGTGACGGCACCTGAGGCGGAGAGCGGGCCAGCGGCACCCGGCCCCAGCGACCAGCCCAGCCAGGAGCTCCCTCAGCACGAGCTGCCGCCGGAGGAGCCAGTGAGCGAGGGGACCCAGCACGACCCCCTGAGTCAGGAGAGCGAGCTGGAGGAACCACTGAGTCAGGAGAGCGAGGTGGAAGAACCACTGAGTCAGGAGAGCCAGGTGGAGGAACCACTGAGTCAGGAGAGCGAGGTGGAAGAACCACTGAGTCAGGAGAGCCAGGTGGAGGAACCACTGAGTCAGGAGAGCGAGGTGGAGGAACCACTGAGTCAGGAGAGCCAGGTGGAGGAACCACTGAGTCAGGAGAGCGAGATGGAAGAACTACCGAGTGTGTAGACGGCCAGCTACTCCCCTATCTCCGAGAGCAGCGACTAAGTTCAGGCCCAGCCGCCAGACCTCAGAGATCTCACCAGCGGGGTGCTTGCCATTCTGAAGATAATAAAATGAATGTGTTGCAAATTGATCTGAGTGACTCTGTGTTCTCTGATGGTGGGGAGGGAGGGAGGGAGGGGGGAAGAGGTGGTGTGTGGGGAGGGAGGGAGGGAGGAAGAGGTGGTGTGTGGGGAGGGAGGGAGGGAGGAAGAGGTGGTGTGTGGGGAGGGAGGGAGGGAGGAAGAGGTGTGTGGGGAGGGAGGGAGGGAGGAAGAGGTGGTGTGTGGGGAGGGAGGGAGGGAGGAAGAGGAGGTGTGTGGGGAGGGAGGGAGGAAGAGGTGGTGTGTGGGGAGGGAGGGAGGGAGGAAGAGGTGGTGTGTGAGGAGGGAGGGAGGAAGAGGTGGTGTGTGGGGAGGGAGGGAGGGAGGAAGAGGTGTGTGGGGAGGGAGGGAGGGAGGAAGAGGTGTGTGGGGAGGGAGGGAGGGAGGAAGAGGTGGTGTGTGGGGAGGGAGGGAGGGAGGAAGAGGAGGTGTGTGGGGAGGGAGGGAGGGAGGAAGAGGTGTGTGGGGAGGGAGGGAGGGAGGAAGAGGTGGTGTGTGGGGAGGGAGGGAGGGAGGAAGAGGTGTGTGGGGAGGGAGGGAGGGAGGAAGAGGTGGTGTGTGGGGAGGGAGGGAGGGAGGAAGAGGTGGTGTGTGAGGAGGGAGGGAGGAAGAGGTGTGTGGGGAGGGAGGGAGGGAGGAAGAGGTGGTGTGTGAGGAGGGAGGGAGGAAGAGGTGTGTGGGGAGGGAGGGAGGGAGGAAGAGGTGGTGTGTGGGGAGGGAGGGAGGGAGGAAGAGGTGTGTGGGGAGGGAGGGAGGGAGGAAGAGGTGGTGTGTGGGGAGGGAGGGAGGAAGAGGTGTGTGGGGAGGGAGGGAGGGAGGAAGAGGAGGTGTGTGGGGAGGGAGAAAGGAAAGAAGGAAGGAATAGGTGGTGTGTGGGGAGGGAGGGAAGTGGGGTCCCGTGGGGTTGAGGTCACAGGGACAGGTCACAGTTAGCCAGACAGGAGGATAAGGATTGCGTCATGGCTGAACACTGGAGACAAATTTCCCCTTCACAGGATGACTCCGCTTCTTACACGGTTTGTTTCTTCATGCAATCTTGCTAGCACATACACCAAGTACCAAGAACTGGATTCTACCTACTTAGGTTTCATTGTTAAAATACCTTTCCGGTTATAGAAACTGATGGAAGAATCGTTTCCATCTCTTTCCTTTCAGCGTCCCCTCCCTACAATCTAATATAATTAAGAAGAAAAATTCAAAATAGAGCAAAATCTATCTACTTGATAAAAGCCTTTTTATTTTTGCAACTGAAGAGACAAAAAGTACATTTCATATTTCCATACATTAGAAATACACAGGTCTTTTCTATATATAGTAGAATTTAGTATATACAAATATATGTAAATAAAATATAATATGCAACTATATTTACTATATACAAACCTATATAGATTATATATATTTATATATAAAAATGTAAATACAAATATAGAAATATAGATTATATATTTATATAATATACAAATATAAATATATAGATATAGATTATATATACACATGTTAGAAATACATAGGTCTTTTCTATATATACTAGAACCTAGTATACATATTTATATATTAATATATGTATTTTTATGTTTTTGTGTAGATTATATATATTTATATATAAATATATATTTTACGTATAAATACATATATAAAACATATTTA
This sequence comes from Homo sapiens, assembly GCF_000001405.40. NCBI lineage: Eukaryota > Metazoa > Chordata > Mammalia > Primates > Hominidae > Homo > Homo sapiens. The sequence continues at coordinate 6,531,957 of NC_000023.11, read as the reverse complement.
TATGTAAATATATATGTATAAATACACATAAAACATTTATATGTAAATATATATTTTATGTATAAATACTTATGTAAAACATATTTATATTTATATGTTATATATAATCATTTATTTTAGAAGGTAAGGCGTTAGTATTGTTCAAGCATGGTTCTCAGGCAAAAGGAGAAAGGAAATTATTTTAAGAAGAAAAGAGTACAAAATTCTCCCAATTTAATTTCCAGTTGTTACTAATTACAGGGACAGAATAACTCATGCCCTTTAATCTTATAATGAATAGCACGTTAAACTTTTATGTGATTATGAAAACATGAATTTCCATATAATAAGGAAAGCAGTAATTTTATAGGCAGTTTTCACTTGTTACATAGATTGTTCTTAGAGCTTTAAAGATGTTAAATTAATGGTGTCTTTGAAGAGACGGTAGCATCATTTGAGAAACAACAAATGAGTTCTGTTTCATCCTTTCCTTGGTGCAGTCATGGCTTCACTTCATTAGCTTAGGAAGGGATTTCAGAGCTTTGCATGTTGATCTTGTAGCTGCCTCCTATGGAATCCTACGAAACCTAGGACGCTATACCACAGAAACAGGGCCTTGCCCCATGTCCTGAGCACCATCATTTTGTGGTATGTTTCTTTTGTATTTCTTATATGGAAATACCATATAAGAATGAGCATGCTTGGTATAACTCAAAGCCTGTTTATTTGCAAGGCTGTATTGACCCTGAACGATAAATATTTGTATGTTACGGATGGGAAACAAGTCTGCATGAAAAGCTCCTGCTGTCTTTTAGGAAAGCCTATTGGCTGTGGTTGTATATATCTTTCCAAAGGGAAATTGGTGAACTTCCTGCTATAGTTTTTTCCATAATGACAGCATAAAAACTGAAATAAACTCATCTTGTCAGTGGTCACTTTTGGGTTTGGTGTATATTAGGGAGCAATTTTGCAATGTGTTTCAAAATTACATTCAAGAACTAATTTTGTGCACCTTATTTTAATGCCATATTTCCATTCAAGCTCTGCATGTCACAACAGTCTGTGATGATTCTTTTGGCATTGAAAAAATTATCCATGGCACTTAAACTGTGTTTCTTTCATCATTTCATGGCAGTAGGAGCTTCAACTGCTATTTGTTGGGAACCCATCCTGACTAGCTCTTTCACTGGGGCTTCATATTTTATTGTGGTGATTGGCAGACTCGTGTTTCAGGCATTTTCAGCTTCAGAAAGTTGCTATGATTTTGAAATTATAAATGCAAAAATATCAGTGAATTTATTTTCACAAACTGTTTTAATTCATTATAGACAATAAGTGGTTTAATCAGAAATCAATATTTTAAATAATCTTTTAATTTGTTGGAGCATTCACAAATACTACATCTTCCTTTAAGTCTTTCTTTATTCTACATGTTATATACATAGTTAAATTAATAAATAAGAGTTTTAAATATTTTCCCTCCTTTTCCAACTACACACAAGCTCGGGGTTAAAATAAACAGTGGAATGAGTAAAGACCTGAAGTAATAGCAGTAAAACTGTAGTTGATTTTTATAATAAAATAATAGATATCAAAGCTTCCTAGCATTATAGGCAAATCTTCCTGTGTCCCTAAAGGGAGGATCCCCTTGACAACAGTCATGAACAACAGGTGATCTTGAGATTCTCAGCTGTCAAAGACAGTTTGTGGGAGAATTTGAAAACACCTTGTACATATTAAAGAGCTAAGCATGAGATGATGTATACATACATATGTCTCTGTCTCATTAGACCGCAGGAAATACGGCACATGGCAGGAAGGCTCATGTTGATTCCCCTTGACCATGCAGCTTCCTTTGCTCCTGACTCCTAAGAACTTTCTGACCTATTGGTCATTCCCAGCTTCAGATCCCCACGCATACGGATTGTTTTTGGCCCCACGTCAGTGATACACAGGACACAGAATTGCTCTCAAAAAACACTCTGGAATTGAAAAATGACAGGAGAAGCTCAACACGATGGCTGGGTGCCAGAGGGAAGGCCTTCCACTGTTTTGAACACTGATGCTAAGCTCTAGAATAAATGCAGCTGCAGCCTATCGGACCTGGGCATGTGTCAGGCAGGGTGTGAAATGCTCCCCAAGCACGACCTCATTTCTCCCTCACGTTACCCCTGTGGATTAATCGGGGCTCTAGAGAGACACCACCAACAGGTTATCAGCAAAGATAGATGAGAGGGGATTTATTAGGGGAATTAGAGGGTGAAAAGTCTCAGGACAGGCTGTCTGCAAGCTGGAGCCCCTGGGATGCCAGGAGCGTGACTCAGGTCACAACCAAAAACCTCAGAACTAGGGAAGTGGATGGTGTAATTCTCAGTATAAAAGGAGCCTGAAGTTCTGGTGTTCAAGGGCAGGAAAAGAAGAATCCCAGCTCCAAGAGAGAAAGGGAGGAAAGTGCCTTTCCTTTGCCCTGTTTCTTCTATCTGGGCCCTCAGAGAATTGGATGGGGCCTGTCTCTATTGAAGACATCTTCCCCACTCTGTCCACCAGCTCACGCCAATCTTCCCAAGAATACCTGTGCAGGCTCACCTAGAAACAATGCTTTACTAATTCCTGACGTATTCCTTAAGGCAGTCACGTTGACACCTGAAATTAACCATCACACCCTGTAAAATGGGTAGTGTCCCCACTGGACAAATGAGACAGACAGTTTGGGTACCTTTCTTATACTGCTTATAGGTTATAGAGCCAGGATTAAAACTCAGGTCTGCAAAGACCAAATTCTAAACTCCACCCTCTTAAGGACTGCTGCTCAACACTGTGGAAGTAGTACTGCATTAGACACTGTACAAGGATTGAAGAGGCATTCGAGACACATCCCCTGCTTTAGGGACCACATCCTAGCTTGCATTCATGACAGGAGTCATGTTTCTGTGACTCTACTATAGACCCCGGAACCAAGTGTGAATTGGTACGCTTTAGGTGTGCATACGCTCTGCAGAAATCCTAAGAAAGAGCCAGATAATTATAGGCTCGATTCATATAGGGAAGTTTTTATGAAAACAGCTTTTAGCCAATTCCTGAAAGAAAATATTTTTACTGGCAGAAAAATGTTCTGCTAGAGAATAACTAGTTGAAGGGCTTTGGGGGAAGGGGCTCTGGACACATGTCCACGGAAGTGGGGAAAAAAGACACACAGAATAGAAACAGAATTGGGGACCCTTCAGGAAGAGAAGTAAGGAAAAGTGCTAGCCCAGCAAGCTGATATGTAATTTTGAATCTTAACTAGATTGAGAATTTGGATACAACTCAAAACTAGAAAAGAGTAATTGCACTAAAAAAAAAATGGCCCAGAGCAGGGTAAATTAAAATAAAAATTCATTAATAATGAATTAAATTATTCATTCAACAAACATTTATTGGGCACCTACCATGGTCCAGGTAGAGGGCTACATGCTAATCAAAAAATAATAATCGCTGCCAGGACTGAGCAATGCCTGTGAGTCATCCTTAGACTGGTGCTGGAAGATAGATGGGGCTGTCTTATTCCATCCTGAGTTTACAAGAGATGACCCTGAGGACCAGCCAGGCTAAATAACCTTTTCCAGATCACCTAGTACTTGAACCGAAGCTTGTCTGACTCCAAAGCCCACACGTTCTCTGATACGCCATGCAGCCAGAAAAGGGCAGTGAAGTACTAAGGTTTGCTAAGGTGTTGAGTATATGGAATAAGATACTCAGGAGTATTTTTAAACTTGTGGTAAAACACACACGACACGACATATACACTCTTAACAAATGTTGAGGTGCATGGTACGGTATTGTTAACTATATGCCCATTGTCCTACAGTGGATCCTTACAACTTTCTGGGATGGTTAATATTGTCAACTTGGTTGGGTTGAAGGATGTAAAGTATTGTTCCTGGGTGTGTCTGTGAGGGTGTTGCGAAAGGAGATTAACATTTGAATCAGTGCATTGGGAGAGGCAGACCCACCCTCACTCTGGGTGGGTAACATCAAATCAGCTGCCATTGCGGCTAGAATAAAGCACACAGAAGAAACTGGAAGGAACAGACTGGCTGAGTGTTCCAGCCTTAATCTTTCTCCTGTGCTAGATGCTTCCTGCCCTCGAACGTCAGACTCCAAGTTCTTCAGCTTTTGGACTCTTGGACTTACACCAGTGGTTTGCCAGGGGCTCTTGGGCCTTTGGCCACAAACTGAGGGGTGCACTGTCGGCTTCCCTACTTTTGAGATTTTGGGACTCGGACTGATCCACCACTGACTTCCTTGCTCCTCAACTTGCAGATGGCCTCTCGTGGGACTTTACCTTGTGATCATGTGAGTCAATTCTCCTTAATAAACTTCCTTTCATATATGCATCTATCCTATTAGTTCTATCCCTCCAGAGAACCCTAATACAGCTTGGTACACCAAGGTTGCTGTGCAGTTCTGGGCATGACATGGGGGGAAATATGTGATGTGGAAGCAGAGAGACCGTCTCCTCTTGTGTATATCTACTAGTTAGGAAGACGCATCTCACAAGAGCCTTGCGGAAGACATTCTTCCTCATCTTATTAGCAACAATAAGTTTACTTGCCCAATTCCTGAGCTGGTCACCAGCAGGGGTACAGGGATTGCCTGTGGTTTCATCAGGTATCCCATGGAGATGCACATAGCATCAGCTATTTCATAGATGCTGCGCTGGCTACATGGGGATAAAATTAGAGGATAAGAACATGAACAGAATCACACATCAAAGTGGATGAATCAATGGGGAAATATATCCTGGAAGGCAACTGCTGATGTTCCAACGCATATATCTACAAGGGATTGTTGGTTTTTGTTTTTGTTGCCAACAGAATAAATTTTCTAATGGTATAAGACTATGAATGCCTGCTTTTGTTAACATCAAATTGAGCAAAAGTTTAAAAGGGTTAGGAAAAAATAGCATGATAATGTTTATGCATTCTTTGGATTTTATTTTCACTCTGCTGAACATGACGGAACTCAGTAACAACGGTCCTCTTCATATAGCAAAGTTCTTGCAAGAGGAGGAATGAAAGTAACCAAGCTGAAATAATAGCTGAAGACTTCCCATCCCTAACATGCATTGGACTTTGTAATTTTCTCATAAAAGAAACTGACTCCATTTGAAAAGTCTTTACACAAAATCCTCCCTGTTGCAGCCGTTGTCACCAATGGTCCATTTGAACAAAGACAAAGCAAATAAAGTATCATGAATTCAACTTAATTAGTCTCAGGGCATTTTCTTGGTTTTCTCCATGTAACTTACTAGTACCTCAGAATGTGAACTGGGAGGATCTTTTCTTTTTTCTTTTCTTTTCCTTCCTTCCTTCCTTCCTTCCTTCCTTCCTTCCTTCCTTCCTTCCTTCCTTCCTCTTTCTTTCTTCTTTCATTTTTGAGATACAGTCTTGCTCTGTCACCCAGGCTGGAGTGCAGTGGCACGATCCAGGCTCACTGCAATTTTTTCCTTTCTTTTCTTTTTTTTTCTTTTCCTTTCCTTTCTTTTCTTTTCTTTTTCCTTCCTTCCTTCCTTCTTCTTTGTTTTTCAAGATAGATTCTTGGTCTGTCACCCAGGCTGGAGTGCAGTGGCACGATCCTGGCTCACTGCAATTATTTCTTATCCCTTCCTTCCTTTCTTCCTTCCTTCCTTCCTTCCTTCCTTCCTTCCTTCCTTCCTTCCTTCTTCTTTGTTTTTTGAGATAGAGTCTTGCTCTGTCACCCAGGCTGGAGTGCAGTGGCACAATCCTGGCTCACTGCAATTTTTTCTTTTCCTTCCTTCCTTCCTTCCTTCCTTCCTTCCTTCCTTCCTTCCTTCCTTCTTCTTTCCTTCTTTTTTTCTTTTTTTCTTCCTTTCCTCTTTGAGATGGAATCTTGCTCTGTCCCCCAGGCTGGAGGGCAGTAGCGTGATCCTAGTTCACTGCAGCCTAGAACTCCTAGGCTCAAGTGATCCTCCTACCTCAGCCTCCCAAGTAGCTGGGACTTCGGGTGCACACCACCATGCCTGGCTAATTTTTGTATATCTTTGCAGAGAACAAGATCTTGCTGTATTACCAAGCTCATCTTAAACTGAACTCCGGGCCTCAAGAGATCCTCCCAACTTGGCCTCCCAAAGTGCTGGAATTACAGGTGTGAGCCACTTCGCCTGTCCCTGAACTGGGAGTTTTTATACCCATTTGCACTGAAGGATTGAGAAGAAAATTTGAGCATTCCTATACACAAATCAACCAAATGAAATGTGTCAGATTGTAGCACAGTGATGAATGTTGCCAATAAGCCCTAGTAGTATTTTTGGATATACAGCAACTTAAATGGGTTATTCTGAACTAATTAGCAAAGTACCTATAATTCTAGTTTTCAATAAACATAGATTTTCACTAAATTCTTTTCTTTGACTTTACCTACTCATAGACAAAGACGTTCCTTCCTGCAAAATAGCTATTAGACCTCCATGATTCAACAGGAGTGGCAATACTTGGGAGGGAAGCTTCACTCACAATTTTGATAGAATGACCAAGAAAAGTTTCATTTTTATTCCTGTATGTGTAAATTCCTATTTTTATTACTATTTATTTAAATTTTTATTTATGTGTTTATCCAATTCCCATCAGGAACTGCTGTTTACTCAATGCCTCCTCAATCCTTTTGCTTCTGTTTCTTCAGTTCTCATCTGGCCTCAATAGGAGCACTATCTGAATTCACTCTGGATTCATGGCCTGTCCTGTAATTTCTGTGTCCTATAAAGAAGGTGTCTTGTGACTGGTTGTAGTGACTCATGCCTGTAATTCCAGCACTTTGGGAGGTTGAGGTGGGCGGATCCCTTGAGGTCAGGAGTTCAAGACCAGCCTGGCCAACATGGTGAAACCCCGTCTCTACCAAAAATACAACAATTAGCCAGGTGTGGTGGTGCCTGCCTGTAATTCCAGCTACTCTGAAGGTTGAGGCACAAGAATTGCTTGAACCCAGGAGGCGGAGGTTGCAGTGAGCCGAGATCACACCACTGCTCTCCAGCCTGGGTGACAGAGTGTGACTCTGTCTCAGAAAAAAAAAAAAAAAAAAGTGTCTTGTGTTGCTTTGGGAAATCCCAATAATCAAATAGCCACTGCATTTCCTTGTATCTAAGAGACCTTCAATGATAAGACACACCCCTGTTGTTGGCCTCTGAAAGAGACTAAGTAAACATCGTCATTTAAACAGATGATACAATATTTTCTTATCGTTTATAATTTGTATTTTATACTTATTCAAACAGCACTTTTTTGTTTATTTAGTTACACCAATTTTGTGTATATATAAAAGAGAAATGAGATTAAAACACAAATTAGGTAAGGGATCCCTAAAACTTTTTAAAAACTCAAAGCAATCAGAGATTACTCTGAAGTTTACATTCTTGGACTCTATGGCATAATTTTCCATGTCATTAAATGCACTACTAACATGCCGTTTTTTGCTGTGTTTACCATTTATATGGAACTATAGCATACATACAGACAAGTGCACAAATAATTCATATGCAGCTTGATGAATTATCACAAGAGAACACACCTGTGCATGTACCTCCATCTTTGAAAAATGGTCAAGAATCTGGCAAGCAGATCCTCTCACCACTAACTCCTCTGCTTCCTCTCTACCAGCCTCCCAATTATGACCGCACCACAGACAAGTTCAGTATCTTTTTGATACTCAGTAAATTAAATCATAGAATAATTATTCTTTTGCATCTGGCTTCTTTTGCTTAGTGTTATGGTTGTGAGATTCGCCAATGTTGTGTGTAGTGGTGGTTAGCTCATTTTCATTGCTATGTGATATTCTATTGCATGAAAATACTCATTTATTGATTGATATTACTACTGATGAACCCTTGGTATGTTTCTCACTTGGGGCTATTGTAAATAATGCTGGTGAGCACAGTTTTGAAAATGTCTTTAGGTATATACCTAAAAGTGAATTTGATGTGTCTTGGGGTATGTGTACATTCAACTTTAGTAAATAATGACATAAACTCTTCATAGAGTTTGTATTAATTTACACTTCCACCAACAGTGGAATTCCCATGGAGGTTCTGTATCTGCTCTATCCCATCTGGTAGCCACCAGTCACATATACTTGTTTAGATTTAATTATAATAAAATAAAATTAAATATTAAATATTTAGCTCCTTAGTCCAAGTAGCCAAATTTCAAGGTCTACATGACCTCATGCAGCTAGTGGCTTCTATATTTAATGGCACAGAATGACCATTTTTGTCATCACAAAAAGTTTTATGGGACAGGACTGTTCTAAGTCCTTGCCACACTCAGTATTGTGAATGTCTTTAAATATGGAAATCCAGGTGAGTGTGTGATGGTATCACTTTACGGCTTCATTTGCATTTACCTGGCTGCTAATAAGTTTGAACAACTTTTCATGTTTCCTGCCTGTTTAGGAATTCTCTTTCATACAGCGGCCATGAAAGTCTCTTTCTTTTATTTGTATTTGGTTGTCTTTATTTCTCTCTGATGGATTTGAAGCCGCCCATTATATATTCTACTATATCAAGCTCTTTTGGGGGCTATAATTGTTGCAAATATCTCCTTTCACTTACAGCTTTCCTTTTCATTCACTTAACTGTGACTGCTTTTATACAGAGGTTGTTTGTTATCAGGCAGCAACAATTTACAATCTTTAACTGTAAGGTTAGTGTTTTTGTGCACAGTTTATAAAAGCTTGTCTACCCCAAGGACATGAGCTCTTTGTTTATTGAGATGGACACATTAATGAGTGCTGTGTAAAAAAGAAACCTGTTAGATATTCAGGATAAATAAGAAAAGTAGAAACAAATGGATTTCTGCCAAAAGGAGCTTTCATAATATGGTGCCATGGCCAAAACCGCAGTTACTTTTGCACCAGCCTAATAGACCACTGTGAAGGAGGCAAAATCCTTCCATGAAGATTCTAGAAAGAGTGCCATGGTACAAGTGATCTTTTAAAAAATATCTTATTTTTATCTCAGTCATATCTTTAATATGAGTACTCATGACATCTATTAAAGACGTGATATGATTTTATGATACACTTTTGCATTTTTATGACTAAAATTACATGCATTATTTCTGTGTATAAGTTAATTCTAATTTCATTGACATTATTTTATAGGCACGTGAGACCAGCATATTTACCAGAATTTAATATATGATGAGGCTATCTTTTAATAATAAAAGGGCAAGCTAACCATTTGATGGGAAAAAACAACATCAGCAAAACAGCAATTAGATAACTAGATCCTTGCCTCACATCCTATAGTAAATACATTTCAAGATGGAAATGCAGGTAAAAAAATAATAATAAATACATTATAAAATATAGATAAACATTGATAGAATTTGGGAATGTAGAAAGATTTTCTAAGCTCGACTCTAAATATGGAAATCAGAAGGAAACCACCTACTTCGGCTACCAGCACACACCCAGTTCTGCCATCCACCTCACCTTCCTCCCACCCCAAACCCCTAATTCCCCCCACACACATAATGGACACCAAGTCATCCTTGAGACAGTAGCTCCAACATCATTTCTTGCCCATATACACCAACTCTATAGATTATAGAATCTCCCCGGGGAACATTTTGATATCCCTTTATAACATTTATGAAAATTATTAGCTACATATTTATTTCTGTAATTTTAAAAATCTACCTTCTTATCTCCAACACTTTAAGGCCCTCATGAGAAAGACAAGGTGTATTTTTTATACCATTAATACTCTGGTAATAGCGTCTCTTGCCCATAGACAGGGCTCAACAATATTTTTTTAATGAAAGAGAAAATACTTATAAGTTTTACTATACAAATAAATGCTTCTCTATAACATAAAGGACATGTACAAATATGCAGAGACTAGCTTTTTAAACATGTGGCTTACATGTATTGAACAATTATTATATAAAGAGTTCTTAACATCAATAGAAAAATATTAATAAAATAAAATGTTGGATAAGGCTATAAAAAACTATTTGCAAATGCATTTATAAGACCCATAAACATATAAAAATGTTGAAAGTCACTGGTAAATAAAAACTGCTAGCATTTAAACACTGCATAAGTTTTCCATGATGTAACTGAAATATAATGGTAAATCATAGACAAGGTGGGCCAAGATATAGGGAAAAAGATACTCTTGGACACTTTTGATAAATGTGTTTAACATGTATTTATTGTAAGCCATTAGGAAATATATAATAAAGACCTTAAAAAGTCTTAAATGGGTTTCTGTAAACATAATTTTAGGAATTTAACCAGAAAAAAATAGCAGAAGTGGGAAAATCAATAATACGAAGGAATTTTGCAACACCAAAATATCAGAATGAATTTACTCTCCTATGATAGCTATTGATTAATTAGTTATGACACATTTATGTAAGAAAACACTGATAATGAACACAGATATAATCATTACATGTTGTTTAGTGGCTGGAATAAAAATAGAGCCCTAAATAAGGTTGACAGTTTTTGTCTCTAGTGTGGTACAATAGTGGGTGATTTTTTTTGAAAATTGGTTAATGGTATTCTCATTTTTCTACAATGAAATTATATATATGCATATATACACATATACATATGTATATATGATTAAGAAAATGTGGCACATATACACCATGGAATACTATGCAGCCATAAAAAGGATGAGTTCATGTCCTTTGCAGGCACATGGATGAAGCTGGAAACCATCATTCTCAGCAAACTATCACAAGACCAGAAAACCAAACACTGCATGTTCTCACTCATAAGTGGGAGTTGATCAATGAGAACACATTGACACAGAGAGGGGAACATCACACACTGGGGCCTTTTGGGGGGTAGGGGGCTAGGGGAGGGATAACATTAGGAGAAATACCTAATGTAGGTGACAGGTTGATGGGTGCAGCAAACCACCATGGCACGTGTAAACCTATGTAACAAAACTACACATTCTGCACATGTAACCCAGAACTTAAAGTATAATAAAAAATAAGTAAATAAAAAACAGCTTTGTTGAGATATAACTCACAGTTTGTACAATGCACCCATTTAAATTGTACAGTCCAACAGCTTTTATTCACAGGGTTGTGCATCCATCGCCATGATCCATTTTACAACTTTTTACTGCCCCAGAGAGAACCCAACATCTCTTAGCCATCATCCCCTCAACCCCTCCCCCTCCAATCTCTCCAAGGCCTGGACAATCAATGGTCTACTTTCTGTCACTATGGATTGGTCCATTAAGGATATTTCAGAAAAATGGAATGATATCATATGTGATGTTCTCCATCTGCCTTCTTCTACTTAATATAACATTTTCAGGTTCATCCATGTTGTAATATGTATCATATATAATACGTATGTACAATACATCCATGTTGCATATGTACATATATAATATGTATTCATATTATATATGTGTTACATAATATGAACATAATATATTCGTTTCTTTTTAATTTCCAAGTAATATTTGCACGGATATACCACATTTTATTCATCTTTACTGTTTAGGTTTATATCTTTGAAACTTTTAAATATCTGCCTTATATACTCAACATTATATAACTAAAGTTTCTGTAGATTACTAAATATTCCACGTTTGTATTGATCGCTTTATAATATTTTATTATGTGGTTATGCCCAATATATAAACATTGGGCATATATATTATTTCATAGTATCATTTTTATTAATTGTTACACTTTTATAAACTATACTCACATCCTGTCAAAATAAGTTCCTTCCTTCCATTCTTCTTCCTTTAATTTGTTTAAAAAATTTGCCCTTTTCTGATAAAATTAGAAATATGTTGTCAAGGTCCAATAAAAATCAATATTATATGTTTTCATACAATTTTTTTAATAAATGGTAGTAACATATAAAATTTTGCTGTGAGGAGCAAAGGCCATATGGATTGGTCTATTCGGGATATTTCAGATAGAGTGCAGCAGGATGTTTAGAGCAGCTTTCTTCATCATTGCCAAAACTTGGAAGCCACCAAGATGTCCTTCAGCAGGTGAATGGATAAATGTACTGTTGTGCATCCAGACAATGGAATATTACTCAGCACTATAAATAAGTGAGAATCAAGCTCAAAAAGACATGCATATTACCAAGTGAAAGAAGCCAGTCTAAAAAGTCTACGTGCTGTATAATTCTAACTATATGACATTCTGGAAAAGACAAAACTGTGGAGACAGTAAAAAGATAGTCAGTGGTTGACAGGAGTATGCAGGAGGGATGGTTTAATAGGTGGAGCAAAGAGGATTTTTAAGGAAAGGAAACTATTCTGTGTGATACTATTAGGTTGGTGCAAAAGTATTGCACCAAAGTATTGGCGAAACCCATAATTACTTTTGCACCAACCTAATATAGTGATGGATGCGTGTCATTATACATTTGTTCAAGCCTCTAGGATGTATAACACCAGGAGTGAACCCTAATGTGAACTATAGACTTCAGGTGACAATGATGTGTCGATGTAGGTTCATCAGTTGTCACAAATGCACCACTCTAAAAGGGGATGTTGAGAGTGGGGGAGGCTTTGCGTGTGTGGGGGCAGAGGCATATGGATACTCTGTACCTTTTGCTCAATTTTGCTGTGACCCTAAAATCGCTTTAAAAAATAAAATATATTAAAACTGTCGAGTCAAACGAGGAAAGGAGGCTCCCAGGAAATGGCAGTGTCATAGTTAATCCAAAACAATAACTGCAAATCATGACTGCTTACATCTTAGAAGGGTGTGGTGGAGGTTGTATGTTCTCAAAGAGGTGGTTTGTTGGTGGAGACAGAGGCTACATGTGAATTGTCTGTATTTTCTCCTCAATTTTACTGTGAAACCAAAACTTCCTTAAAAAATAAGTTCATCAAATAAAAAATTTTTACATAGGAAAATAAATTGTTCTACCAAAAAACACCTACACTTGTATATTTATCATAGCGCTATTTACAATAGCAAAATCATGGAGTTCACCAAGGTCCCCATCAACAGTGGATTGGATAAGAAAATGTGCATACACACTGTGGAATAATACACAGCTGTGAAGAAGAATAAATTCATGTCCTTTGCAGCAACATGGATGCAGCTGGAGACTATTATCCCAAGTGAATTAACGCAGGAGCAAAACCCCCAAATACCTGGGGTTTTGTTGTTGTTGTTGTTGTCCCTGTGTAAATTCACTTAGGATAAGTGAAAACCCAAATACCACATGTTCTCGCTTCTAAGTGAGAGCTAAACACTGGGAGTAGATGTACCTACAGATGGGCACAATAGACACACACAAGGGAGGCAAGGGTTGAAAAACTCTGGGCCGGGTGTGGTGGCTCCCGCCTGTCATCCCAGCACTTTGGGAGGCCGAGGCGGGCGGATCACGAGGTCAGGAGATCGAGACCATCCTGGCTAACGCGGTGAAACCCCGTCTCTACTAAAAATACAAAAAATTAGCCGGGCGCGGTGGCGGGCGCCTGTAGTCCCAGCTACTCGGGAGGCTGAGGCAGGAGAATGGCGTGAACCCGGGAGGCGGAGCTTGCGGTGAGCCGAGATTGCGCCACTGCAGTCCGCAGTCCGGCCTGGGCGACAGAGCGAGACTCCGTCTCAAACAAAAAAAAAAAAAAAAAAAAAAAAAAAAGAAAAACTAACTATCGGGTACTATGTTCAGTACCTGGGTGACGACCGTACCTCAAACTTCAGCATCACGTGATTTATATCCAGTCATTAAATCTGAATATGTGCCCCCTGAATCTAAAATAAAAGTTGAAAAAAAGTCTTCATGTAGATCAGGCAACATTTTAGATAATCTTGCAAGGCGATTTCATTTGCTGTTACTACGTTAATAAAATCACTTTAAAAAAATTTGAGTTTCTTTTGTATGCAGAGATTATCTGTGTGCATCTTGAAATCCAAAAATAAAATACAATGTGAAAATCCTGCTTTGAAATATAGGATTATGAGGAATTAATCTTGCATGCTTTTTTCTTTCCTGAGGGTAAAAGGTAGTCATTTAAAATATATGTAAATTGTTTATACTTCTACCCTTTGTGTTCACTGGTAAGGAGGAATAAATAAAAATAACAGATTTGACCAAATCATAGTATTAACTGTATTTTCAGTTAATTTTCTCAGTGAATTGAATCTCATAATGAGATGATGTTTGTGAAGTGGTTTTGAGAATTGGAAAACAATGGAAAAATTTAAGAGTGTTTATTTAGAATGATCCTGCCCCAGTAAATACATTCATGGTACTCTCTGTGCGTCTACACAATCCACTTCACCAGAAATCATTCCAAATAATTTCGAAATTGAAACACTTCTTCTCTTACTGCAAGAGGAGAAAATAGAATGAGGGAAATTATTTCCCTGAGGACACATACTTAGTGCCGGAACTGATTAAAAATGGAGCCCAGAACCAGGGAAATGGGCAGTCCTGTGGGAAGAGAGAATGTGGCAGCTTACCAGTATTAAACATTTGATTAAAGGAACTACTTTGAGACCACTGAGCAAACGCGAACTTTCTTTTTGTTTCTAATAGCAGTATTTTAGAATGCCTTCTTCAATACTTTTATTTTTCATGAATGTCGGTAGACCTTCATGTGTACTGTGGAGTAGGAATTTATTGAGTGAGTTTAAGTAAATTCAGAATTAATTTTTTTTAAATCTGAACTTACTTGTCAGTAAAACACCTGAAAGCAGTACGAATTACATCATGGGTCATTTTAAGTAAAAAGAATTAATTAGCCATGGTAACTAGAATACCCCTCCCCCTTTTCCCCTATATACATCTCAGAAATCATAAATATCTATTGCATCTGTAGCAAATTGAATTCATGAGAATGAGATAGGTAAACAAACCAAGCAATCCCTCGGACTCTCCATTAATTGAAGCCTTGAAAATCAACAAAATTGGTATTCATGATAAAAAGCCTTAATAATTCATAAGTAGCTCCTTTTAATTCAGCCATATTTTGTAGTGTTTTCTTAATAGAAGAAAATCAGTGTGTACACTGAGATCCTTCTGGAATACTCTATCATCTTGTTGGATCATCCCTTGTTAGATGGGTTAACTGATCCCCATAATCCATAAGTGGGAGTCTGTGTACAGGAATTGCCTGTGAAACACACTGAAAAACGGTGCACCGTTGTAAGGCCCTGTCCGATACACTCTCTTATTCCTCCCATGTGCCCTAATCATAGTCTTCATTTCTGCTGAACTGGACTGTGCAGCACAGCTTCCCATTTAGGCCTACAGCCTTAGACAGAGAAATTGGACCCAGTCTTTCTCCTCTGACTGTGTCCCGAACTCTGTAGTATCATAAGCTAAGACTGTTTTCCAAAGAGAAGGCACAGTGCATCCCAAGTAAACTGAGAACAAGAATTCTCTCCTGTTGAGAAAATATATATATATAAATATTCAAAACTCCCTCCACATTCTAAAAAAAGATCGTTCAGTGAAAACATCTCTGAAAAACCTGGTAATCCTATGTCTTTTACACAGTCTTGTTTCCTACTAAATGGCCTAGCCCCACCTAGTGATATCCACAACTTGGACCGGGATGATGTGGGATAGCAAGAGGGTGGAATAATGTAAAGAAATAGAAATGTCTGTCTTACTTGCTATGTTAAGAAGGGACTTCAGTCTAAAATCTGCCTTTTTGTCATTTTGTAATGATTTCCCCTTTATCCATTGTGTACTCTGTTTGCCACTTTTTCTAATGTGTATGGACTTTCTTCTCCGTATCTTCTTCCTTTAAATACACCAATGATCACAAGCTCCTCTGAGAAGAGTTCTGGTCCTCTGGGTGCACCCCATCTGGAGCGAGAGGCAGACAAATTAAAAGATGGTAACATAAAATCCAAGTAGTGCCAGGATAGAGAATGCAGCCCTAAACTGATGGTTTCAACCCACAAGTCAGAGTTGACTTGTCAAAGAGTGGAAGAAAGAACTTTTCAGCCAGACGGAACAGGGTGTGCAGAAACACAGTGAAGTAAACTGCACGGTGCACTCGGGGTAATTCGGAATAGCATGAAAAATACTGGAACATATACTGGGGAGCTGTGACATGAGTGGGTGAGGGAGGCACATTAGGAAGTATGGAGTCAGGCATGATGGCCTGCACCTATAGATCCAGCTACTCAGGAGGCTGAGGCAGGAGGATCCCTTGAGCCCAGGAGTTCAAGGCTGCAGTGAGTCATGATCGCACCACTGCACTCCAGCCTGGACCACAGAGCAAACTCCTATCTCTAAAATAAAAATAAAAAGTGTGAACTTTATCCTGAAGACACTACAGAGACAACAGAGGACTTTAGCTGTGATCCTAGGGAAATATATATAGCAAATCATTTTACTTATCTGCTCAAAATAACAGTAGGCTTTTCATCTTTCTCAGTCTCTGTTATAGTTTGGATCTCTGTCCCCACCAAAATCTCATGTCAAATTGTAATCCCCAATGCTGGAAGTGGGACCTGGGGGGAGGTGATTGATCACAGGGGCAGATTTTCCCATTGGTGCTGTTTTTGTGATAGTGAGTGAGCTATTGTGAGATCTGGTTGTTCAAAAGTGTGTGGCATCTCCCCGCCTCTTCTCTCCTGCTCTAGCCATGTAATATGGGCATGCTTCCCCTTCTGACTATAAGTTTCCTGAGGCTTCCCCAAAAGTGGAGCAGATGCCGGCACCGTGTTTCCTGTACAGTCTGCAGAACTTTGAGCCAATTAAAACTCTTTTCTTTATAAATTACCCAGTGTCAGGTATGTCTTTATAGCAATGCAAGAATGGACTGATACAGTCTCCATACTTTTATTGGACAGTAGATGCACTCCTTCCTTGGGACCTTTCTTGTGTTTTCTGCTTTTCACAATTACCTTTTGGAATTTTACTCAAAAGACATTTTCTGGGCAAATCTTCCATGTGGACTCCTTCTATAACCCCTTCTCCCATTCAATACACATACTCACATTCTTGGTTATGTGTTTCATTTCCCTTTAGGACTATTCTCTTTCTAACAAACTCTAAGTCCTCTACATTGTACATATATACATACCTTTTTTCTCTTTTGGTCTGCCTCCCTTAATAAGGTAGGTGAGAGGAGATGCAATCTATGCAGAAGTGGAAGTGCTAGCATGAGTGAGGATCTCTGGTCAACAGTGTTTAAAAAATCTGCTCTCTCAGACAAGAGGAAATAGCATTGCATCTATTTTATAAAATGCATTGGTTTTGTTTTTCATTTATTAGGTTGGTGCAAGAGTGACTGCAGTTTTTGCCATGAAGAGCAGTGACAAAAACCGCAGTTACTTTTGCACTAACCTAATAAAAAGTCATACAGTTTTATTGCAAACATTTTGAAAAATGTGGACAAGCAAAAAGGAATAATTTAAACTCTTTGATATTTTTGCTTGTCAAAGATGAGCACTTTGTCATATGTTTAAATTGTTTATATGATGTGCATTTTATGCATGACATACATTAGATGAAAATGTTTTAAAAAGTAGGTTCATACTGCATATATAATTCTGCATTCAAGTTTATAAAATAATGCTATACTTTCAAAAAATTCCATTGTGATACATATTTTAATCTGCTTTTTAATGGCTAAATATTACCACTAAATTTATTCAACTAATTTTATATTGTTGAGCATTGGGACTTGTTTCTGATGATCACTATTATCAATACAATTGTAATAAACATCTTCAGACATAAATCTTTCTGTAAATCTGATTATTTCTTTAGGGTAAATTTCACATTGTGGAGTTGCGATAGCTTTTAAATTGCACTGTTTTCTTTTCCTGAATCTATGCCAGGTTCAAGAATAACTCAGCCCTAATAACCACATGCTATTTTATTTTCTCTGTATTTTTAGATATGCCTGAGGAATTGAGAGAGTGGTCATTGTCTTTAGTTAGAATGTTTTCTTTCAGTTTAATAATTCAAACTCAACATTTATTCAATTTGCCCAACAATGCAATGTGTTTATTTCTGTATTATTTAAGCATCATTTCTTAGTAGACAAGGTTCCAGTTTAAGTGATTAAGTACATAGATGAAAAATTGAGAGCTCTTCCCTTTGGAAATATTCATTTATATTGTCATCCGTAATGATCAATAGTTATCTTAATTACTTAATTTTCTAACAGAAAACATTGGTGCTTACATGACTATTAAGAAACTCAAATTAATTTTAATTACTTATTCTAGAGTAATCATGTCAGTTGCTAAGACTTTAAAATGGGGAAAAAATGTCTGGAAGGTGAGTCACTCCTTCTCCCAAACTGAACATCAAGACTTCACTAAAATGATATAATGCCCACCAACGTTTACTGAGCTTAGTACTAATGTCAAGCATGTGCATGCTAACATACATCCTAAATATTTATGAAAAACTCGGGAAAATAATAAATGAAGAACTCCATTCAATAGAACCAACTTTGTAAAGAAATGATTTCAAAGTGATGATGCATATCAGATCTAAAATGAGAGAGGACAGTAACTTGAAAATTACTCTGAAATGGAGAGAAGAAGAGAGAAGGGCATTGAATGAAGTTGGTGTTCATTCTTCAAATGGAGATTGGCTTATTCAGTTTCAAGGAGGAATTAATCCTGTTTCAAATGAAGGAATATATTTTATGCCTAGAATGGCAAATTGGCTTACAAATCTAATTCTGCTAGAAATAGGGATATTGGAATTTGAGGGGGAAATGCCATTCAAATTAAGATTGAATGAATTAACTCAAAAGACATTTTGTTCATGAATCTTCCATGGCAACCCCTCCCCAGACACCGTCCTCTCCTACTTAGCACATAGACCCACATTCTTTGCTCTATTTTTGTTTATCTTGGGGACTATTCTCTTTCTAACATATGGGTAGCTATGTTCATTTATTCATTGATACATATTCAGGACTTAGCTCAATCACAGTCTTGTAGCTGACGCTTGAGAATATTTCTTGTATAAATGTTTGAAAAACTTTAAAATGATCCCTAGGTGCAAAAAGTCAAGCTTTTACAGAAATTTCTTCTAAGATGAATAACCTAAATCAAAACTATCCAGTATTTCTGTTAAAGTAGTAAAGCATTTTAAACTTCAATCTCTTTCTCAGTAAAATAAGTGGAAGAAAACTTCATCTTTAATGAAAGCAAGAAACGACGACAAGTTCAGACCACTCAACAAGCCACTTTCTGGCTAACTCTGAAGTCTTCTCAAGAAGAGGGAGATATTGACAGCCTGTCTTCCATCAAAATAAATAGTTTCTAGAAAAAAGTGTAAGAGGTCTGAAAGGCAGACCCAGTAATTAGGCAGAAATACAAATGGATGCGTGTAAATCCTTTCTCTTGACAAAGCCTGTCTATCAAGATGATACTGCTTGCTCCAAAATCCTATTTTGAATGTTGAAAGCTGACTGTAAACTCCCCTCCACCTCATCCTCCCAGAGATGCTTATGGGGGGCTCAGAATACAATCATACTGATGAGAATAAAAGTG